>NC_000015.10:47026874-47651874 GCF_000001405.40 Homo sapiens
ATGGGAACCATACTTCCCATGGGGATCTGTGCAATCCTGGGAAAAAGAAAACCCTCCTGACTTGCCTGGGTGTCTACACTGATACAAAGAGCCACACAGAGTTTTTGCAGAGGCACTGCTCAAGACCATGGGGAGCCCCACAGGACTTGGATCCCTGAGGAGCCTGGCACCAGGTGCCATAATACCAATAGAGGCTGCAATCATGGTGACAGGGTGCCATAAGATCACTCCACTTATTTCCAGGAAAGACCTGAGTCTTGCTTACAGCCCAGTGACACTGCTCTTGTCTGAAGTCTGGCGGCATGCACAGAGATGCATTCCTCCAAGAAACCCCTAGATGCCTGACCAGGTGACTCCAGGCACCCCTGCTGCTCCTAGCCAGGCCGGACTCACTGGCTTGGCCTGCCAGCACAGTGGCCCCACCAATTTCTGTGTTTCTCCAAGAAAAACCTATACAGTGAACCAGATGACTCTCTCCACCCACACTTCGTCTAGCCAGGCAAGCCTCACTGGGTTGGGCAATGCCCAATCAGGGCAGGAGTCTCCACTCTCAGAACACTGAGAGGAGTGAGATACCTGTAATCATGGGCCCACAGGGGAGCGAGGCATGCCTCACTCCACAGGGCCAGTTCAGGAACGATGTGACCTGCCTGCCAGTCACAGCTTCTGCCTGAGGGAGCCCCATAGCTTGAAATACCTAACAAAGGAAACACAGGCATGGCACCAGTGATCAGAAGGGACTTCTCCAAGGCGCAGGAGTAAACCTGGTAAGGGGATCATCACTGTCCTCCTCCACAGAGCACTACTGTGAATTTGCTGAAATACAAAAGAATGCTACCACTAAGAGCCCATCTGCCAGCCATCACTCTTAAGTGCCATCTACTGGATTACAGCCCAAACAACGACACCAAAAATTTGCCAGTAAACAGCATCTGTGAAATCTAAGGCAAAAATTCAACCACAAATGAAGATCCTATATGAGACCTGTCCCCCTTAAAGTACCCAGAAATGAAGTCAACTGATCATACTCATCTTACATCACAGTCAAACAAACATCAGCCCTCTCAGATGAGAAAGAATCAGAACAAGAATTTTAGCAATTTAAAAAGCCACAATGTCCCCTTACTTCAAATGAATACACTAGCCCCACAGCAACTGTTCTTAACCAGACTGAAATGATAGCTATAGAATTCAGAATCTGGATGGCATGGAAGCTCATTGAGAGCCAAGAGAAAGTTGAAAAACAATCCAAGGTATCCAGTAAAATAATCCAAGAGCTAAAAGACAAAAATAGCCGTTTTAAGAAAGAATCAAACTGGGCTGGGTATGGTGGCTCACACCTGTAATCCCAGCACTTTGGGAGGCTGAGGTGGGTGGATCACTTCAGGTCAGGAGTTCGAGACCAGCCTGGCCAACATGGTGAAATTCTGTCTCTGCTAAAAAAAAAAAAAAAAAATTAGCCAGTCCCGGTGTGGCAGGTGCCTGTAATCCCAGCTACTCCGGAGGCTGAGGCAGGAGAATCGCTTGAACCTGGGAGGCAGAGGTTGCAGTGAGCTGAGATTGCAGTATTGCACTCTGGCCTGGGTGACAAGAGCAAAACTCCATCTCAAAAAATAAAATAAAATAAAATAAAATAAAATAAAAAGAACCAAACTGAATTTCTAGAATTGAATAATTCACTATAAGAATTTCTGATATAGTCAGAAGCATTAACAACAGAATAGCCCAAGCTGAGGAAAAAATCTCAGAGCTCAAAAACTGGTTCTTCAAGTCAACTCAGTCAGAGAAAAATAAAGAAAAAAGAATTTTAAAAAATCAACAAGACCCCCAACAAATATGAGATTATGTAAAGACACTAAATCTATGACTCATCAGCATTCCAGAGACAATGAGAGTAAGAAACTCAGAAAACATATTTGAAGATATAGTCCATGAAAATTTCCCCAATCTTACTAGAGA
This sequence comes from Homo sapiens, assembly GCF_000001405.40. Classification (NCBI taxonomy): domain Eukaryota; kingdom Metazoa; phylum Chordata; class Mammalia; order Primates; family Hominidae; genus Homo; species Homo sapiens. The sequence goes on from NC_000015.10 coordinate 47,028,834, forward strand.
GGTGGAGATGCAAATTTGAGAAATACAGAGAACCCCTGTGTGATACTATATAAGACAACTATCCCCAAAGCACATAGCCAACATATTCACCAAGAGCAATGCAAAAAATAAGATCTTAAAGGCAGCTAGAAAAAAGGTCAGGTCACTTACAAAGAAAATCCCATCAAAGCATCAGCAGACCCCTCAAGAGAAACTTTCCAAGCCAGAAGAAATTGGGGGCCTATGTTCAGCATCCTCAAAATGGAAATTCCAGCCAAGAATTCATATCCTGACAAACTAAGCTTCATAAACAAACGTGAAATAAAATCCTTTTCAGAGAAGCAAACACTAAAGGAATTCACTAACACCAGACCAGCCTTTCAAGAGTTCCTTAATGGAGTAATAAACCTGCTACCACAAAAACACACTCAAGCATATAGCCTGCAGACAATATAAAGCAATTACACAAACAAGTCTACCAAACAGCCAGCTGGTATGATGACAGGTATGGTATGATGATGGTATGGTACAACACAGGACTAAAACATCACATATCAATACTAACACTGAATGTAAATGGCCTAAATGTCCACATAAAAGGTGTAGAGTGGCAAGCTGGATAAAAAGACAAGACTCAACTCACTGCTGGCTTCAAGAGACTGAATTAACATATAATGACACCCACAGGCTCAAAGTAAAGAGATAGAGAAAGATTTACCATATAAATAGAAAATAAAAAAGACATGTAGTTACCATTCTTATATCAGATAAAACAGACTTTAAACCAACAACAATCAGGAAGGACAAAGAAAGAAGGGCATTATATAAAGGTAAGGGTTTCAATACAACAAGAATACAACTATCCTAAATATATACGCACCCAAAATTGGAGCACCAAGATTCATAAAGCAAGTTCTTCTTGACCTACCAAAAGACTTAGTCATGCAATAGTAGTGGGAGACTGCAACAGTCCACTGACAGCATTAGAAAGATCATCAAGGCAGAAAACTAACAAAGAAATTTTGGACTTAAGCTCTACACTTGACCAACTGGGTCTAATAGACATCTATAGGATATTCCATCCAACAAACACAGGATATACATTCTTCTCATCCACACATGGAACATATTCTTAGATTAACCACATGCTTAGTCATAAAGGAAGTCCCAATAAATTCAAAAATAAAATAAAATCATACCAAGCATACTCTCAGACCACAGTACAATAAAGGTGGAAATCAACACCCAGAAGTTCTCTCAAAACTACACAAAAACATGGAAAATTTTAAAACTTGCTCCTAAATAACTCTTGTTGAACAATGAAATTAAGGCAGAAATAAAAATTAAATTATTTGAAATCAATGAAATTATAGAAACAGCTTACCAAAATCTTTGGGATTTGGCTAAAGCACTGTTAAAGGAAAGTTTGTAGCACTAAATGCCTTCATCAAAAAGTTAGAAAGATCTCAAATTAACAATTTCACACTGCACCTCGAGACACTAGAAAAAAATTAAAAACAAACCACAAGCTATCAGAAGATAAGAAATAACTATAATCAGAGAAGAACTGAATAAAATTGAGAAACAAAAGTCCATACAAGGGGTCAATGAAACCAAGAGTTGATTCTCCAAAATAATAAACAAGATTGGTTGGCCATCAGCTACATAACAAGGAGAAAAAGAGAAGATCCAGATTAGCACAATCAGAAATGATAAAGATGACATTAAAACCAATGCCACGGAAATACAAAAGATCCTCAGAGACTATTATGAACACCTCTATGCATAAAAATTTGAATTCTAAAGGAAATAGATACATTTCAAGAAAACACAACATCTTAACATTGAACCAGGAAGAATGTGAAAACCTGAACAAACCAATAACAAATTCTGAAATTGAATCAGTAAAAATTAAACTACCAAACAAAGAAAGCCCCGCACCAGATGAATTCATGCTAAATTCTACCAGACATACAATAAAAACCTGGTACCAATCCTATTGAAACTATTCCCAAAAAAATCAAGAAGGAAGAGCTCCTCCCTAATTCATTGCATGAAGCCATCATCATCCTGATACCAAATTCTGGCAGAGACACGCTGAACAAAGAAAACTTCAGGTCAATATCTCTGGGGAACTTAGATGTAAAAATCCTCAAGAAAATACTAGCAAACTGAATCCAGTAGCACATCAAAAAGTTAATTCACCACAATCAAGTAGGCGTTCTTTCTGGGTTACAAGTTTGGTTCAAAACACACAAATCAATAAATGTGATTCATGATATGAACATAATTAAAAACAAAAATGACATGATCATTTCAATAGATACAGAAAAAAGCCTTTGATAACAGTCAACATCCCTCTTGATAAAAACCCTCAACAGGCTAGGCATCAAAGGAACTTACCTCAAAATAATGAGTTATCTATGACAAAACCACAGCCAACATCAAACTGAATGGGAAAAAGCTGGAAACATGAGAACTGGAACAAGATAAGAATGCCCACTTTCACCACTCCTATTCAACATAGTACTGGAAGAGCTAGCCAGAGCAATCAGGTAAAGGAAAAAAAATTCAAATAGAAAAAGAGGAAGTCAAACTATCTTTCTTTGCTAATGATATGATTCAATGCATAGAAAGCCCTAAAGACCCCTCCAAAAGGCTGCTGGAACTGAGAAATGACTTCAGTAAAGTTTCAGGTTAAAGAAAAAATGCAAAAAATCAGTAACATTTTCATACACCAATAATATTCTAGCTGAGAGCCAAATTAAGCCACAATCCCATTTACAATAGACACACACAAAAATGAAATACCTAAGAATACATCTAAGCAAGGAGGTAAAATATCTGTACAAGGAGAACTATAAAACACTACTGAAATAAATCATATATAACAAATAGAAAAACATTCCATGCTGATGGATGGGAAGTTAATATAGTTAAAATGGTCATACTTCCAAAAACAATTTACAGATTCCATGCTATGTCTATCAAAATACCAAGATCATTTTAGACAGAAGTAGAAAAAACTACTCTGAAATGCACACAGAACTAAAAAAATAAAAAAGAGCCCAAATAGACAAAGCAATTCTAAACAAAAAGAACAAAGCCAGAGGCATCACATTACTCAACTTCAAACTATGCTATAAGGCTTCAGTAATCAAAACAGCATGGTACTGGGACAAAAGCAGACACAGAGACTAATGGAATGCAATAGAGCACCCAGAAATAAAGCTACACAGCTACAACTATCTGATCTTTGACAAAGTTGACACAAATAAGCAATCAGGAAAGGACTCCCTATTCAATAAATAGTGTTAAGAAAACTGGCTAGCCATATGCAAAAGAATAAAACTAGACCCCTACTTTTCACCATATACAAAACTTAACTCAAGATGGATTAAAAGATGTAAATGTAAGAGCTAAAAGAAGAAAAAATCCTAGAAGAAAACCTAGGAAATACCCTTATTGACATCAGCCTTGGCAAAGAATTCATGGCTACATCCCCAAAAGCAACAGCAACAACAACAACAACAAAAAAAACATGGACAAGTGGGACCTAATCAAACTAAAGAGCTCTACACAGCAAAAGAAAATATCAACAGAGTAAACACGCCCATTACAGAATGGGAGAAAATATTCACAAACTATGCATGCAACAAAGGTCTGGTAATCACCATTTTGAATATTTTCATACTTAATATATAAGTGAGATCATGTGGTATTTGTTTTATTGTTCCTGGTTTATTTCACTTAACATAATGCCCTCCATGTTAATTCATATTGTCATAAATAACAAGATTTGCTTCCTTTTTAAAGCCAAATAGTATTCTATTCCATATATATACACCACATTTGCTTTATCTATTCATTTATTGATGGTACTTAGGTCGATTTTATGACTTTCTATTTTGAATAATGTTGCAGTGAACAGGGATTGCAGATATTTCTTCACTGTAACGATTTTGATTTGAACTATTTTGGATAGAATGGCAAAGTGGAATTGCCAGGTAATATGTTAATTATATTCTTTAACTTTTTAAGAAACTTCCATACTATTTCATAATGATGGTACCAACTTACTTTCCCATCAACAGGGTACAAAGTTTCCCTTTTCTCTACATTCTCACTGGTACTTGTTATCTTTTGTCTTTTTGATAATAGCCATTCTAACAGATGTAAGGTGATATCTCATTGTAGTTATGATTTGCCTTTCCCTCATGATTAGTGATACTGAGTATTTTTCACATACCTTTTGGTATGTATATGTATTCTTTTTAAAAATATATATTCAAGGCCTTTGCCCACTTTCTACCTGGGGTCTTTATTTATTTGCTATTGAGTTGTTTGAAGGCCTTACATATTTTGCATATTCATTCTTTATCAGATGTATGGTTTGTAAACATATTCTTACATTCTGTAGGTTGTAGGTTGTCTGTACTCTGTTGATTTTTTTCTTTTTCTGTGCAGGAGCTTTTCAGTTTGACACAATCTCATTTGTCTGTTTTTGTTTGTATGTCCAAAAATATCTTTACCTTGACCGATATCATGGAGCTTTTCCTCCTACGTTTTCCTCTAGTATTTTTTAGTTTCAGGTCTTACACTTAAATCTTTAATCCATTTTGAGTTGGTTTTTATAGATGGTGTGAGATTAAGGTCTAATTTCATTTTTCTTCATGTAGATATCTGGTTTTCCAGTACTATTTATTAAAGAGACTGTCCTTTTCCCCATTTTATGTTTTTGGCATCTTTATTGAAAACAAATTGATCATAAATGCATGGATTTATTTCTGGGCTCTCTATACTATTCTATTTGTCTATGTGTCTGTTTTTATACCAAAAATATGCAAAAAACGCTTAACAACTCAAATATAAGAAAACAAACAACCTGCCTTAAAAATAAGCCAAAGACCTTAAGAGACATCTCACCAAAGAGCATAATAGAGGACAAATAAGTATATGAAAAGGCATTTCACATCATATGTCATTAGGGAAATGTAAATTTAAACGAGATATAAGTACAGCCTTATTAGCATAGCTAACATTCAGAGCACTGACAACAACAAATGCAAAGACGTGGAGCAACAGGTACTCTCATCCATCAGTGGTGGGAATGCAAAATGATGTAGTCCTTTAGCAGGACACTGGCAGTTTCTTATAAAACTAAACATACTTTCACCATACGATTTAGCAATTGCACTCTTTGGTGTTTATGCAAAGGAGTTAAAAATGACCACACAAAAACCTGCACTAAGATTTTTATAGCAGGAGAGAGGTATGAACTGGCCGAGCACAGAAGACTTTTGGGGCAGCAAAATTCACTCTGTATGATAATACAATGATGGATACATGTCATTACACATTTGGCCAAATCCATACAACACCAAGAGTGAACCCTAATATAGACTTTGCATGAGAATGATGTGTCAATGTAGTTTCATCCGTTGTAACAAATCTACCACTGTAATGGGAATATTGATCATGGAGGAGATGATGCAACTGTAGGGGCAGGGTATATATGGGAAATCTTTGTACCTTCCATTCAATTTTGCTGTGAAACTAAAACAGCTCTAAAAAATAGTCTACTAATAAAAAAAAGTCACACAGATTCTACCTCAGTAGCTCTGAGGTGGCATCCTGAAATCAACATTTTAACAGGCATTCCATATGATTCTGATGCATGTGATCTATGGATTTCACTTACAGAAGCAACTAAGCTGCAACACTAATGAATTTTCATAGAGTAGGCATATTTTGCTGATTCAATGATAGTTTGTACTTTCTCAATTATTTATACCAAAACCAAGTACCACCAGGTTGAGTTGGTAGAAGTCATGAAAATGGCAACTGTGGTCTAGAAGACATGACTCTTCTGGAATATAGTGGAAAAATCTCACCAACCCCACCTCTAAATTGAGGGTTAAACAACAAATATCTACTACTACAATACTAGTGTATACTAACTAAAGACTCACAGCTAAAAACTCGTAATAAAGGTTTTTTATTAAGTGGTAGTGGTAGAATCTAAGGTGCCCTGAAAGCTCAGTGGGTAAAGCTATTTTTAGGCAGGCTGTCTTTATACTGATAGGCAAGTTGTATTCCATGGGGATCTATATATTTGTCAACTTGATCTTGATTACTGTATCATACTGGCACTAAACAAAGTTAAACAGAGCTTAAAAACCACCAAATTTCTATCAGCAAGCTACTGCAATCTAAGAAGATGATAGAGATGAGAGTAAATGCAATGAGATACATGGCATTAAATTACTAGTATTTTATTTTATTTTATTTTATTTTATTATTTTATTTTCTTATGAGACAGAGTCTCGCTCCATCTCCCAGGCTGGAGTGCAGTGGCACAATCTCAGCTCACTGCAACCTCCGCCCTTGGGTTCAAGCAATTCTCCTGCCTCAGCCTCCCAAGTAGCTGGGATTACAGGAGCACGCTGCTATGCTCGGCTAAATTTTTGTATTTTAGTAGAGATGAGGTTTCACCGTGTTGCCCAGGATGGTTTCGAACTTCTGAGCTCAGGAAATCCGCCCACCTCAGCCTCCCAAAGTACTAGGATTACAGTCGTGAGCCACCGTGCCCAGCTACAGTCTTTTATATCCTCTTTCCCAATCATATTCATTATAATGAAATTTGTCATCTACTTAATTTTAAATATTTTCTATCTTTGTAGCTGCATACTTTTCAGCCTGCTAAACAATGAATACACAAGAGAGCTCTGAGTATAAATTTATTTGTTTTGAATGACAGTTTGCATTTTTTTAGTAACACATACTTAAATAACACAGCATTATCTATCCTAGGAGAATTTTCCTTGTAGCTATTTCCTATATTGTGTGAGAAAATTTGCAAACTGAATGCCACATTAACATATTCATTTAATAAGGTCATGAGATAATGTGTAAAGCACTGTCTGCCCCTTCTCTTTCAAATATTTAAATGGAAAAATTTCCTTTTCAAATTCCAACTTTCAGGTTTTCAGGCAAATGACATTATGCAGCAATTTAAGGGTAGACTTGGTGTTAGCAATAATGCTACTTTGTCATCTCACCTTTCTCTCAGCACTGGCAAGTCAGGTTCTGCAGCTGAAAGGACTGAATGACTCTTGAGTCACAACTTTTTTAATTTTTTTTTGGTAAAGAAAATAACATTGGCGTTATGATGATTCAGAACTACAAAGCAAATAATGTCCATCTTGTAGAGTCCTGTTCTGTACCACTTGACTTTCAGAAGCAACCATTTCATAAAAGTCCTATTTACTTTTCCTTTAATTTACAATTATTGAAATTTTCATAAGGATTTTGCAACAGCACTAGACATCACATCCTGCCAGGAAAGAATTATAACTTTGTTGAAGCCTGAACTGACAGCTAACTCATAAAAATGAATGACATTCTATATCATAACATCTCATAGGCTGTTCAGAATTTTAATGGCTTACTTCATCTTTCTTTAGCATAATGAGGCAGACAGTATAACAATATTCAACATGAAAATGAAGATGAAGAAAATACGAATTGAGGCAGGAAAGTAACATTTAATAAGATTCAGACAACATTCAGATTAAAAGTTTCAATTAGCAAGCTTTTTATCACAAAAAAGCTTTGTTACCCAAGACCAATTACTATTTTGAAAAATGTTTATCTGTAGACACACTTAGCTCTTCAGTCTCTGTTTCTAATATGAGTCCCAAAGTTTCTTACCCAATTCAGCACTGCAAGATTCATTGAATCAGATGAAACTATAACAGGTCATTGAGCTAAAATGATTATAAAATATATTTTAGACATGTAACTGAGATAATATTTATGTCTGTGAAAATGGTTCTCTAATCCAGAAGCCTTGTATTTCTACATTTTAAAAAATTCTGCAGTTTATATTTGGATTGAACTTATTCAAGAGACAGTTGAGGGCATGTGAATTTAAATATATATATTATATAAATATGTCATATAAATATATGTTTATAAATATATAAAATATTGTTTTAATATTTTTATGTATTTATCATTTTGAATGAAAAGAGCAATAACCACAAAGAATGGATGAAATAAAGTCAGATTCTCATAGTAGCATATAAATGAAACAAAGTCAGATTCTTATAGTAGCATATAAAACTTGAAACTGTTCACTCATCTTTGCAAAATTATACTACAATTTGCACCTAAACAGGGTATTTGGGTTTTTGTATTTTTATATAGAATCAGCCTAGTTAGAGATATTTAGTTTGTCATCTTTCTATATATTTGATGTATCAATACAGCACATTTTTGGTTAGTTATGATGCCTGAACTGACCAAATGAAGCAGACAGAAAGAGAAAGTAGTTAAGGTCAGCATCAGATGGGGCAAATGTGAATTCTGAAGCTGAATACAAATCGAGGGAGGTGAAAGTGACTAGTGACAAGTTAGCTGTGCCTGATATACTGCCTGTGAAACAATGAGTAAGAAAATAATAATGTAACATATTTGAGTGTTGCCATATCTCCCATGTAACTTATTCATGGTGTCAGAAGACATCAAAATAATAGAAAATAAAAATGTGTTCTTCACATTTTAAAATAACTGAGATTTATTGTAGTCTAATTAAATTTTGCTCCTCACTTTTCAAAATGTTAGATCACTGCCAAAACCCTTTAATGAGTGCTGTATCATTAGTAGTGATTTGAGACTTCTAGAAACTTGTGTGTTTAGTTACATTCTTTAAATTTATCTTTATAATTCTTCTTTAATTTGGATGACATCTAGTTTTTTTTTTAGATGAGTGCAGAGTTTCATGACTATACCAACTAAACTTTTTTGTTGTTGTTTTTCTGAGTCAATGCTAATTGCACATGTGTTTTCATGTATTACCTAACTGTCTCAAGGTCTTTAAATTACAGCTTGAATTTTCATTCAGTGCTTCAATTACTATGGACTCTTATGGGTACATTACAAATTTTTTAGTGGAATTACTAAATAGTTGTAGATTTAATGATTTGTTGAATTCTTTGAATTTATCATATCGTGTTAATTTTATCTTGGAAGGTTTTCCTATATTTATCCATTGTATCTAATATTTGTTCCATTAATAATTATAAATTCTGGTATGGGTAACTTCTAATTATAAATAAAAGTAAGAATTACTTCAATTTTCTTTCCTTTTCATGATTGCCCTAGTTTTTTAGACCATGAGCCACATTGTGTTTGTTTTGGATCCTAATCTGAGGAAATCAAAGTTTATGCTTTTTTTTTTTTTTTTTGATGCAGAGTCTTGCTCTGTTGCCCAGGCTGGAGTGCAGTGGCAAGGTCTCAGCTCACTGCAACCTCTGCCTCCCAGGTTCAAGCAATTCTCCTGCCTCAGCCTCCCAAGTAGCTGGGATTACAGGCACCCGCCATCACGCCCAGCTAATTTTTGTATTTTTATTAGAGACAGGAGTTCACCATGTTGGCCAGGTTAGTCTCAAACTCCTGACATTAGGTGATCTGCCCACCTTGGCCTCCCAAAGTGCTGGGATTACAGGCATGAGCCACTGCGCCGGGCCTGTTTATGCTTTCTTTTTAGAGATGAGGATCTCTGAATTTTATCTTTTTCTACAGTGTTTTAAGTGAGATTTGCTGTTGTTAAATAGTGTATCTTTGAGATCATGCAATTCAGTGTTTCTTTTCACAAGGTCAAGAAAACATATTTTGAAAGGATTATGAAGTAAAGGAGAGACTGGGCCTCTTTTCTGGCCCTAGTTGTCATTGATGATACCTATATAAGTGGTTTAATATTCCTGCATATGAACTTGTCCCAGAAACAAAATGGACAGATTCTTTCTGTTTTACTTTTTCACTTAGGTTGATCTATTTTTCTTCTTTGTTGTCCAATTGAAGCAAAGTCTTTAAACTTACCAAATTTCAAAAGAGTAAAGCAACTTTCAGGAATGGTATAGGCCCAACCAAGGAGCGGAGATGCTATAAAAGGGTAGTGCAACCATTTGAGTTAACAGCCCAGAAACAATAAGGAGCTGAATTCTCAGGAGGACCCAGAAGTGCATTCAACATCCTGGTTATGGCATGGGTTTTAAAAATCATAGTTATAATACAGATTTGAATCACACTGACAGTGCAGCTTTTGACACATTAACTCTTACTTCTTTGTGCCTTTTTTTCCATAAACATAACAGGAATAGCAAAACCTGCTTCTGAATGTTGACATAAGGAGTAAACAAAATAATGAAGGAATGTGATCATCACAGTATTTAGCAAATAATGGGAATGTTAAATAGTAAGCTATTTGTATTCATTTGTACCGGCCTTCATTAATTTGATATTTCATGAAAAGATATTATGAAACAAGCAAAACCTACCCTGGCAGTATAAGCAAAAGTGACCTTTCTGTTTCAGAATATTTTAGTGAAGTTTCTCTCCATATTTAAGAGACAAGCATTTATGTAAAATTCAAACAACTCATGTAAGAAATAGCTCAAATTAACCCTTGTGAAAAATGCTCCTTTCTGGAAGAAACCGCTTTGAAGATGATAAATGTAAAGCTGTCTACATGTGCAAATCTAGATGTGCAGTTTTCTGATGCAACTGCAGAATTAATCTGGTAAAATAACACTATAAATCATGGCAAATGTGCACTGTGTAGGTTCTAAAAATTAAATTGACATTCTTGTCTGAGTTGTGAAAATTATGTATTATGGTTTAAGTTATGTCATGTAGTAAATATTTCTGGTGGAGTACAGGAAGGAAAGGCATAAATCAAATATTTTTGACTAATGATTTAAATAAAGCTATAATTTGATTTAATATGAATTTTATTTATTCTAACTCTAGTCAACTTCTGATTAGCTGCAAGCATAGATGCACAAGACAAACAATTCCAGTAGTTTAGGAACTGATGTAGCAACTGATGTCATGTCAGTCAAGGAGCCTCTAGTCTTCTGTTCATTGAAAAGAAAAAAATTGGGTACATATTGGAAATCCTGGACTAACTTTGGTGGGATTCCAGAGACATCTCCATAGGTAATGACAAATTAGACTTATCACTTAAATGAATGAGTCATAGGCAGGTCTATGGGAAGAAAAGAACTTTGCTAGCTTATGAAATAAAAGTTTTTTTTAAAAAAAGCACTTAAGAATTCACAGATATACAATCCAGAGAAAACTCTGTTGGGCTGCATTCTGGTTTGCAGAAATACTCCCTGGCATTGGAACCAGTCCAAACTTGGTTTCAATCCTGATACAGTCACTTATTAGCTAAGCTATATTTACCAACTCACTTAACTTATCTGAGCGTCAGCTTGGTCATCAATAACAATAAGTAGGAATAATAATGCTTTATTTAGATTGTAAAAAGGATTAAAGAATATATATGCAAGCCAAATAGTAAGTGTTAAGTAAATGGTAGTTATTACTATAAATTGATGATGATAATGATGATGATGATTACCCCTTGCTTGCCTACAAATTGCCCATTTTTGAGAACCCTTATAATTCTTTTCACCTAGGAAGGTGCCCTTGATGTTTGTTTTAAGCAGATTTCACTTACATATAAATAAATGGAAGGAGAAAAGAATGCAATCTGAATTTCAAGAACCTCATATTTTTACTCTTATCCCTCAGCCCCTACCCAGGTTGGTACTATAAAGAGTAGGAATCTGTCTAGTACATTTCCACTTTCAGTAAGAAGCTATCCAAGAACAGAGAAACCAAACCTTGATGGCTATCTCCTACAAAAGAATAGAATAAAGTGAACATATTTAGATATGACAAAGTATTTTCCATCTTATAACCACAAAACAAGGTCGTCTTATTTGTCAGTCCTTAAGTGACAATGATTCAAGTTCCCATCTCTCTACTCTATAGTAAGTACATTTCTTTCTTTCTTTCTCTTTCCTTCTTTCTTTCCTTCTTTTTCTTTCTTTCTTTTTCTTTTTCTTTCTTTCTTTCTTTCTTCTTTATTTCTTTTTCTTTCTTTCCTCCTTTCCTTTCCTTTCCTTTTTAGTTTTATTGATTTGTTCATTCATCTTACTTCCTCAAATACTTTTTGGATTCCCCAGAACAGGCTTATATATTTCACACATCTGTAATGATGTCTCTTGTGGCTCAACCATCCATTTGGCTGGCTCCACTGCTGACCACTTCAACAGTTTCTGAAGTACCTATGTACAGACAAAAATCTAAGATTACTTTTGTTCCATATGAGGGGACAAACACTTTCCCTAATTTTCAACAATGATAGCTGGAACAGTTTTCCATATTTAAACAGTTTTTGCAAAAGTTCAAGAATAATGGAAGAAATGTAAGTACGGCACAGGTAGTAAAGTGCTGCTAGATGTGATCAGCCCACAAGCATGTAGATTTAAATCCAGACTCATTCATAGATCAAATAGGGTGTCTTTGTCCAGGTCCCTGACAACTGCTCTGAAGCTGGGGGTGAATTACTTCTGTAGAACGATATATTCTCTACTTGGAATCCAAGGTGATAACCACAAATTCAGAGAGGGGGAAAAAACCCTCATCACCAGAGTGTAAGATTTTCCTTTTTAGCCCATGTTTTTTGTCCTCTCTTCCAAGAATGATTTATGGTGGGTATTTCCAAAGCTTTCAGAACACCCACTTATCCTCACATCCTCAGACAATCTTGATTGATGAGCATCCATGGAGTAATCCAACAGCACATAATTGCATGATAGAAGCATCTTCCCTAAGCCTGGGTATTCAGTCATGCCTGAGGCACCATCGGACTGCTCCAAGTTAAGCCTCAGTGGTCCAGGTCAGTCCTTTTTACTATCTTATCCATTGCCTTGGGATGAAAATTGGGCCTGAACACTTTTTTTCTGTAATCTCTGTGAGACTACTTGACTACCTAATAAAATAACTAGTTGAAAAAGATTAAACACAGGCATTCCCTCCGAGATTAAGGGATGATTTTCGGAGATAGTAAAGTCTAAATCCTTACATGAAAAAAATAAACCATTAGCTGACCTCAAAACAGAATATCAGCATATATGGACACCCATTCACATTTACCAACCATATATATATATATGCAGTCAAAGGATTACCACAATTGAGCTAATTAATGTATCATCACCTCATAGTTACGTGTGTGTGTGTGTCTATGTCTGTTGAGAACACTTAAGATCTATCCTCTTAGCAAATTATAGTAAACAATATGATATTATTAACTATAATCACCATGATGTACTTTAGAACTCTATAACTTACTGATTCTGAATAATTAAAAGTTTAAATCCTTTGGCAAACATCTCCCCATTTCCTCCTCCCCATCCCCCTCCAGCAACCTTCATTCTATTTTCTGCTTCTATGAGTTCAACTACTTAAGATTCTTTATATGAGTGGGATCCTGCAGCATTTGTCATCCTGTGCCTGATTTCTTTCACTCAGCATTTCTTCCAGATTCACTTGTGTTGTTAGCAAATGACATAACTTCTTTCTTTTTTCTTTTTTTTTTTTTTTTTTTTTTTGAGACAGAGTCTCACATGGTTGCCCAGGCTGGAGTGCAGTAGCACGATCTTGGCTCACTGCAACCTCCGCCTTTTGGGTTCAAGCGATTCTCCTGCCTCAGCCTCCCAAGTAGCTGGGATTACAGGCACCTGCCACCATGCCCAGCTAATTTTTTGTATTTTTAGTAGAGACGGGATTTCACTATGTTGGCCAGGCTTGTCTCAAACTCCTGACCTTGTGATCTGCCTGCCTCAGCTTCCCAAAGTGCTGGGATTACAGGTGTGAGCCACCGTGCCCAGCCAACTTCTTTCTTTTTAAGGCTGAATAATATTGTCTATATATACAACATTTTCTTTATTCATTCATCCATCAATGGACACTTACGTTGATTGCATATCTTGGCTATTGTGAATATTGCTACAATAAACTTGAGTGTGCAGATATTTCTTTGACATACTGATTTTAATTACTTTTGATACATACCCAGACATGGGATTGCTGGGTAATATGCTAATTCTATTTTCAATTTTTTGAGGAAACCCCATTCTGTTTTTCATAATGGCTGTACCAATTTACGTTCCCACTAACAGTGTATAAGAGTTCCCTTTTCTCCACATCCTCACTGATACTTGTTATCTTTTATCATTTTGGCAATAGCCATCCTAAAAGGTGTAAGGTGATATCTTGTGGTTTTGATTTGCATTTCCTTGATATTAGTGATGTTGAGCATTTTTTTCACATACCTATTAGCCATTTCTATGTCTTCTTAAAAAGATTCTTTTTAATGTAGCACATGCTTTTCCCTGGAATAATGGGTGAATACTTATTTTATATATGCATAATTAAATGACTTTTTTTGCTCTTTTTCAGAAAAAAAGGGAAAACATCAAAGGCAAACTCATGTGACAACCTCCTTGGAACAGAAATTTGCCCCAAATTTTGAATTTACTATCTTTCCATTTAAGTTTCAGAAATTAAAAAAGAGCACAGCACCATATGTAAATGTATTTAAGAGTCTTTATAAAAATATGCTATTCATTACAAACACTCATGTCTGTAAGGGTAGACCCTTTGAAATGACATGCAGCTATCCCAAATAGCTTTCTTTATGGACTTGGAGAAAGACAGACTCTCCAGGTATATACCCTCCTCAAGCTCATAGCTTACCTCACCTAAGTATTCTTTACAAAATTAGAAAATGAGGTTCATTATCTGCTGCAAACTGGGGAAAGCAGTCCCAGTCCAGTGTCCGGAGTTGGAGAGCACAGCATTATTGTGATTGTGCTCCACTTTCCCCATTGATGGGCATCCTCATAGAAGATGCAACCAGTAAAACCTTATGCAGTGGCTTTGCATCAGGACAGCAGGTATAATTGTGGCATCATGTATGTTATTGGGGATCTCTAAAACTTCTTATTTCTCCAAAGCTAGAGATTACACTTTTAGGTTCCTACTTATAATAAAGTATATTTATTATGTTAATTTAGAATTTTGTGTAAGTAGTATAACCATATTAAATTACTTTTTAATCAAAATAATTGGCTTCTTTCAAATTCAAATTCTGAATTGGACATTAACCCACAGTTCAAGGCTAGAAGCAGATAGTGAGAGGGGACTAATAGGAAAGAAAATCAAATTTATCTACTAATTGCCAGAGACTTCCATCATTACAAAAAATGTAGAGAGCAAGAGAAGCATGGGGGGGCAGGTGCGGTGGCTCATGCCTGTAATCCCAGCACTTTGGGAGGCCAAGCTGGGTGTATCACCTGAGGTCAGGAGTTCAAGACCAGCCTGACCAACATGGAGAAACCCCATCTCTACTAAAAATACAAAATTAGCCGGGCATGGTGGTGCATGCCTGTAATCCCAGCTCCTCAGGAGGCTGAGACTGGAGAATTGCTTGAACCCGGGAGGTGGAAGTGGTGGTGAGCTGAGATTGTGCCACTGCACTCCAGCCTGGACAACAAGAGCAAAACTCCATCTCAAAAAAAAAAAAAAAAAAGAAGCATAACTGAAAACAATCAAATTTTCTTTAACAGAAGAATAAACAAATTGTTGTTCATTCATACAATAAAATACTATTGTAAACCAAAAATAAAATTCTAAGGTCCCCCAACCATCTGAATGGATTCCCTCCTCAGCCAGGGTGCTCTACAATTTAACCTGAAAGACTGGTTGGAGCCATGATGGAAAGTGGGGGTCAAACATGCCTCATTATCATACCACGGCAGCATTAACATTAACAGAGACCTTAAGTCTGATAAGAAATATTTATGATCTATTTTCTCTGAAGCCTGCTACCTGGAGGCTTCATCTGCATGATAAACCTTTAATCTCTACAACCTCTTATCGCAACCCAGACATTTCTTTCTATTCATAATAACTCTTTTCAACCAATTGCCAATCAGAAAATGTTTAAGTCTCCCTATAACCTGGAAGCCCCCTCTTCCTTTGAGTTGTCCCACCTTCTGGACCAAACCAATGTAGTTCTTAAATGTATTTGATTGATGTCTCACATCTCCTTTATTAAAAGAAAAACTTTAGCCAAGTTAAAGGAGTTCAATTAAGCAATCAATGATTCACAAATACGGCAGTCCCCAGAATCACAGCAGACTCAGATACACTCCAGTGCAGCCACATGGTGGAAGAAGATTTATAGACAAAAAAAGGGAAATGAGGCACAAAAAAAGGAAAGTGAGATATAGAAACAAGTAGATTGGTTACAGCTCAGTGTTTGCCTTATTTGAACACAGTTCAAACACTTGGCAGTGTAAGAGTGGTTGAAGTATGGCTACTGGGATTGGCCAAGACTCAGCTACTGTTACAGGTGCCTACTTCCAAGTTAGGTTTTCAATCTTGTCTACCTATAAATTAGGTTGCAGTTCATCCAGAAGGACTCAAATATAGGAGTATGGAGTGCTCAGGCCACATTTAGTTCACTTTAACAATTCCCTCCTTTTGGTCACTTTCTCAATTTTAAGAGATTGACCAAAACTTTAGCCATTGATGTTAACTATTACCATTGCAAATGTACTTATTTGGTCTTCAAACCCACTGGGAAAGAGTAGAACAGTGAGTTTTGTTAAGGTAGGAACAAGGACTGAGTAAAGGGTAACTCCCTTATGCTGGAACGTCCTGTTTACAGGAGAAAAACAAAACCTGGTCTGTTCTAGGATCTATGTGTTTTCTTAAAGAATTAGTTTGATTATGGCATATTTAGCACGAATGGCTGCATTTTGATTTGGTTTGGTCATTTGGGGTATAATGTATGAGCTCAGTCTAAAACAATGCCATCTCACAATTTTGTTTAAAAACAAAGTCCCCCTTTTTGGTCAGTTTCTCACTTAGGTGAGAGCATGACCAAAACTTTGGGCCTTAGTGCCACTCTCAGTTACCATCATTTTGGTTTTCCAGTCTCATTATGTCAATCATAGGTTACAGTGTCCTCATGGTTGTACATTTCTTTCAGCTCTTGTCATTCCAGTTGAAGAGACACCATGGCTGTATGCAAACATTTAAAACCTTTGATGGAATATAGCACACAAAAGAGACTGTTATTGTAATTATTGGGAGGATAATACCAAGAGTTTGGAGTATGCTTTTTACCCAGGGTCCCCATAATCCTTAAACCATTTAGCAAACCTAATATCTGAACTAATTTAGACCAGATATCTTTATTTTATCAATAATTCTTAAAGCCATTTTTATTTCCCAAAGATTACTAGTTATGTGAATTAAAAGACATTAGTTTTCATTTTTCTTTCAAAATATTTAAGTGCTTAGTTTTCTTTAAGCCGATTAATTAGAGATCTTTTATATAAACATTACACACACAACACATATATAACTATACAGACAGAAGAAGAACCAGTAGTTGTAGAATTTTTCATTTGCTGGTTTCTTAATTGGCTTACTGGCCTCAGGGTGGAGCCCTTCAAGAAACAAAGCTAGGAAAACATGCAGTTTATAGGGACTAATAAGCAGGCACAGCTGGAAGACAAAAACAGATCCCTAAAATTAAGGGTCTCATTTTTATATCAGATCTTAGATCCCCCCAAAGAGGGAAATGTTATAGGAGAAGACAGTGCAATGCCTTTACCATGCATTTTATTGCATAGCTACCCAAAACCAATTAGCCTGTTTTTGCACACAGCCCATCCCCCATGAGAGTCTTATTTTTCTTTGGGGGTAGGGATGTTGCCATACCTCGCAGGTGGCTAACAGCGTGTTTCTCTGATTCAAACATGCAGAGTCCCATAATCCTCCCATAACTGCCATTAGCCATCACTAAAAGTATATTTAGCCTTAGATTTTCAGAGGGATCTATCCACCTCCCATTCCTACCTAGAACCTGATCGCTCTTAAGTCAAATTTATTTTTGAAGAGTTTGACTCTTCTAGTCAACACTGTTCAGAAACAAAAGAGAACAAACTATCAAGACATACAGCAACAGACAAATTTCAAAAACTCCACTGAGTGAAAGAAGCTAGAACCAAAGATGACATGTGCTACGGTTTCATTTATATGAAGTTCTAGAACTGGCAGACCTAACCTATGGTGATAGAAACCAAATCACCAGTTGCCTTATGTTGCCGCAATGTTGACTGGAAAGGGGCATGAGAGAAGTTTATGAGGTGAAATAAACGTTTTGTGTTTGGATTAAGATGTGTGTCACATGGGTGTATAACTTTAATTGTGTATATTTCATTCTATACATTTAATTCCTCATAAAATAAAATAAAATAAACTGAAGAGAAGTAACTAAGAGTACAATGTCTTTATGCTACTCCAAAGAGAAAGTTTACCTCCAAAAGAGAAGCATGAGAGGTTTGCTTTGAGCTATAACAAAAATAAGGTTTCTGAAGAAAGAAGATATATCAGACAGAAAATGGTTTCTCTAGGAATTGAAAAAGCAGAAATAGATTTAAAAAATTGTTCTTGTGAATTCAGTGCATAGCAAAGTATTATCGTTTTTAGTGCCAAGTCTCTTTTCCCCTAAAACCTGGATATGCTGTATTCTTTAAACCAATTTCAAGAAATAAGTGAAAAATCTCATAGGAAGAAAGAAAGGAAAATCTCTCTTTGAGTATACACTAAAACCTGAATGTACAAATGGTACCTAACAGTGTACTAGGGAAAATACACAATACGCTTAAGTTGTTTAATTTGAGTAGTATATAATAAAAGAGCAATTTAAAAGCTGTGGATAGAGTATGGATAAACCAAAAGGGATAATTTTGTATGTACCCTGCAACTGTTACCTTCTCTAGGCCTGAAGGGATGAAGGGCAGTATTAGTTATCGAAACTTGGAGACAAAAAGGCCATGTGGAGATAACCACCTTCAAGACAGTGATCCAGGACATTGGTGAGAGATAAAAGCATATGGCTCAGAGAGGAAAGTCATAGAAAGAAGATTATTAGTGGAGACAAGACAAGCCAGTGGGGAAGAAAAATGGTGAAAACAAAGAGCAGGGAAGAGGACAATAGTATGTACGATGAGTCCAATCAGGCACTGGGGACAGGGAAGTGGGTGTGATTTTATTTTATTTAACAACAAAATAGATGGAGAAATGAAAGGCAATGAAGTGCACATGAATAAGCTGGTTTCTACTGTGTGCAACTAGGGTTGAGTCATGCTGGAGACTGTTGAAGATGTCGAACACACCTTTATAATTGGCCACCTGAGGAATGAAGGAGCTGTGTACATAGTAATTTCCTGACTTTATCTATGGACTAAAGGTTGTATTAATAGCAAAACCCACAATTAATTTTGCACCAACCTAATACCTTGAGCCATTAACTTCCTGGCATTTCTTGTCTGCTAGGAAGAATACTCAGAGAATGGCCTCAGGCTGAGAGATGTTGAGATAGAAAGCTCTTTGGAATATGTGAGAACCATCAGCTGAAGTTGCAGGTGATTTCCAGAGCAGCCTTTAGAGATAGGAGTGAAGAATGCATAGCTTCTGTTACAGGTAGTAATCAAGATACACAAGCTCTTCTGTGGACTTCTAAGGTGTGGGAGTTGATAATTTCTGAGAGCAAAGAAAAATGGCATAAAAATAAAACAGAAGGTGATAAGGAATGACTACAGGATAGGCTGTAGGAAAGAAGGAGAAAGAGGAAAGGTCAGTTTAGGTTCAGTTATTTAAGAAAGTCTCTTTGAGGAGTAGGAATTTGAAACCAGTTCTGCAGAAACCTGGGGGTAGAACATTCCAAACAGAGCAAAATAGAAGAACAAAGACTCAGAGGCAGGCTCAATCTTGGCAATAGGCTCAACAATCAGAAAAAAAAAAAAAGCAGAATAATGAGGGGATACAGAGTGATAGGAGATGAAATTGGAGAGGGGGTCAGATTACATGAATTTTATAGGACTTGGTGATTTACATTTTATTCTAATATGTTGAGAATCCACAGATCATTTTAAGCAAAAAAAAGGGCATGATCTCATTCATATTTTAAAAGTCAGTTGGGTTTCTCTGTATAATACGGATTTTTATGGGGCAAGAAGGAAGGGAGTTGTTACAGGTACTGGAGAGGAAAGATGATGTTTGCTTGACTACGTCGGTAGCAATAGAGGTGGGAAAAAGCAAGCAGATCAGAATAACTTTTTGGTCTTCAGTTCACTTAAAGTGTTGATACATTGGAGCATAAAAGATAAATATTTTACTTTTCATCCCTAAAAGGCAGAAAAATATAGAGGCAAAAAATAGAATGTTGGAAGTTTAGGAAATATGGTTTTTGACTTGACCTTAAAATGTTCCAGCTGTATATGATCTTAGGGCAATCACACAGCTGTTTTGGCTGCGGCTTCTTCATTTCTGAAATGGCATTAATAGTAACATTCCTATGGCCGAGGTGTTAAAGATTAAAACTATAGAGGTAAAGCAGTCTTGAAAATTTCAATGTAATATCTAAATTTAAGCTATTATAGGGATGCCCTAAGTTGCTTTTAAAAAATGCTATGTTATTACATGCTACTCTTTGATAACCTTTTATTTATGATAATTAATGTAATTAGTGTGCTAATTTTCTACAGTTGCACCCTGGGGCAATCGTGCAACAGTTGTAATTTTAAAAATTGGGCAAATAAGTAAATGTCAATCTGTAATAAAACCCAAATGAGTCCGTGATGAATGTTGATGGTGACTGGTAATTTACCTGATAAAATATTGTAACTGCCCAGTTACCTTGGAATAGCTGATTCCATAAAGTAATTACCATGTTCTGCATAGTGAAGTGTCATCAGAGAAAATTTTAACGCACAGTGATCATTTTTAATTTGGTGATTTAAATATCATATTGATTGATGAAATAGTAGTATTTTAATTCAGACTGTTAAGTCAAAAGAGAGAGAGACGTTTATCACATACTATACAGTGCACTGTTGTGTAATAATCGCTCATTTCTTACCTGTTTTTAACTATCATTTAAAAAATATCATTCCTTCTGATAAAGATAAAATCTTACTGGAGTGAAAGTTAAAAAGCACTTGGACCCAGTCTCCTACCTAGAACCTGATCACTCTTAAGTCTAGGACATCTTTAAGAAGTCATCTTTACCTTGCCGTTTTCTGAGAGTCGTATGTTATGATTTCATTAGATCCTCAAGCAAACAACAGAAGCATACTACTAGTATGGTATTCTAACATTTGGCATGATACTGTTCATCAAATTGTTAACTTTTGGTTAACTGTGTGTTTCTTTGTTTGCTTTCCAAGAATATGTTTCACAGACACTATTAGTTCAAGAAAGCTGGGGGAAAAAAAAAAAGTTAAGATCCTGACTAGAGAATGAATTAGAGAAAGCCAAAGTAATTGCCTGGAAAACATATGTGGGAGGTTGGGTCAAGTTTAAAGGTTCAGAAGTAGACTTTGAGATAAGCATTTTTCTGGATATTTTGAATTATTTCCTAAAGATATTATTCTTTGAGATATGACCAAAAACATATAGCGAAAGATCAATTTTGTTTTGGCAAATCCAGTCCAAGAAAATAAGTTCTCTAAAGGCTCAGAAGTGCTTTGTCCTAGTAATCAGTAATCACAACTCTGTACCAATTATTGGTAAGTAATATATATAGATTATCAGATACTGCAGTTTCTGCCAGTTTGTCTGAATTAACCCTTTCAGTGTTTTGTGAGCTTCAGTTTTAAAATATTAGCAGAATATAAAATAATTTTAAATTTTTAAAATTTTAAAGTAGGAAAAGATTTAAGCAAACACTTAACCAAAGAAG
Organism: Homo sapiens; assembly: GCF_000001405.40. Taxonomy (NCBI): domain Eukaryota; kingdom Metazoa; phylum Chordata; class Mammalia; order Primates; family Hominidae; genus Homo; species Homo sapiens. The sequence goes on from NC_000015.10 coordinate 47,050,498, forward strand.
ATACACAAATGGCCAGTAAGCATATGAAATGATCAACATTATTATTCATTAGAAAAATGTAAACTAAATCCACAATGAGATGCCCCTACACATATAATTAAATTGGCTAAAATTTAAAAATTATAGACAACTGAAAGTATCAAGTGATAGTGAGGATGTGGACCACAAAACTCTCAGTTTGCTAGCGGGATGCAAAATGATACTTTGGAAAACAGTTTGGCAGTTTCTTATCGTTTTAAATATTCTCTTACATACAACCTAGAAATTCCTCTCTTAAGAATTTACCCCCGAAAAAGGGAGCAGGGGAAGTTCATGTAAATCCCTATATGCAAATATTTATAGCAGCATTATTCACAATACCTTAAACCTGGAAACAACTCAAATGTACATCAATCAGCTAGTGATAAACAAAGTTTTCTATATACAGATAGTAGGTTAATATTAGCAATTTAAAAAGAAGAAACTTAAAATCCACGAAAGAACATAATTTCGCAAAAGACATGAAAGGCAATACACTGTTTCATTCCATTTATATGATATACTGGTAAAGGCAAAACTATACAGGGAGATCAGTGGTTGCAGGATATATAAGTAGGGGTTGGAGACTTAGTACAAAGGAAATTGAGGGAATCTATGGGGGTGATGGGAGTATTCTGTATCTTGATTGCGGTGGTAGTTATATGATTATAGACATTAATCAATAATCATCAAACTGTATATCTAAGAAGGGTAAATTCTAATGAATGCAATTTATCAATAATCATCAAACTGGATATCTAAGAAGAGTAAATTCTAATGAATGTAAATTATACATCAATACATGTGATTTTTAAAAATCTAAGGATATGAACAAATTTTGGCAACAATTTGAAAATTTAGAAAAAATGGACAAATTCTAAGAAAATACTACTTACTAAAGCAGACACTGGAAAAAAAGAAAATGTGAGTAATCTGATTTATATTAATGAAATTAAATATTTAACATATTCCATTTTGGAATAGTCCATGCCAGGATTTGCCTGCAAATTCTTCTAAAGATTTAATAATGGAATAGTAATTCTTTTATAACACTTAGAGTTCTATAACAGTTAGTTTCTATAATTGCGGAAACCATTTCCAACACATTTTATGATGGCCACATTATCTTGATAGGAAATCTTACAGGGCAGTACACGAAATAAAAACAAAATCCAGGCTTCATATACAAACTGATGTAAAAATCTTATGCAAATTTTTAAGCAAATTCAGTAGCATATTTTAAAAGTTTAATGTAGACTAACAAACTTCCTTTAATTCCAGAAATGCAAGTATGTTTTAACATTAAAAAATCAATGAGTAAACTTTTTTGATTTTGATAATTATACTTTGGTTATAGGGAGATGTCCTTTTTTTAGAAAGTCAAATTGATTCATTTGGAGGTATGTATCAGTCAGTTTTCATGCTGCTGATAAAGATATACCCAAGACTGGCCAATTTGCAAAAGAAAAGAGGTTTAATAGACTCACAGTTCCACATGGCTAGGGAAGCCTCACAATCACGGTAGAAGGTGAAAGCCACGTCTCAAGTGGTGGCAGACAAGAGAAGAGAGCTTGTGCAGGGAAATTCCCCTGTATAAAATCATCAGATCTTTTGAGACTTATTTGCTATCATGAGAACAGCATAGGAAAAACGTGCCCCCATGATTCAATTACCTCCTACTGGGTCCCTCCCACACATGTGGGAATTCAAGATGAGATTTGAGTGGGGACACAGCCAAACCCTAACAGGGTAGAAGGGCAAATTTGACATATTAGTCTTAAATAATTCAAAAAAAAGAGAAGAATGACAGAGGAGGAAAAATCATAAATAAATGGAGCAAAACATAAACAACTGATGAATCTGAAAATCTCAATAAAAATATTTTGTGGTTTCTTATACTTTTCTTGCAACTTTTGTGTTTGAAAGGTTATCCTCCTTCTGCTCAAATTTGCCAAAAACATTTAAAAGTCTACTAGTGCAATTTACTTCTGAATAAAAAGAAAAATCAGATGTTTGTCTAAAATCTCTGATAATAGTATTTTTTAGAATTGAAAACCTCAGCAAACTGTAGCATTTTAATTTGATAAACATAATCTTCAAAAAAAAAGAAAAAAATCTGCAGCAAAATCCTTCTTAATGTGAAATGTTAAACATTTTGTCTGCAAGATAAAATATGAGGCTAGATTACTTATTCTCATTAGTCCATCCTACTTTATTTTAATCCATTCATAGCCAGTGCAAGAGGGCAAGGAGTAAAGACTAAAGACCAGAAAGGTAAAATGCCACTCCCATTTTCACACTATGCATTTCTGTTTATGAAATGTCCAAGATAATTTTCTACTTAATTATTAGAATTAATATAACAGTTTTGTTTGATTTCTGATATAAGGCCAATATTTTTAAAATTGTATTTCTTTATACAATAAATAGAAGATTAAAATATAAAAAAGATACCCCTTTGAATAGCACCAAAACATCAAATACTTTAGATAAGTTTAATCAAATATATGCAAAATCTCCATAGAACTATATAACTTTATTAGGTAATATTGAATGAAACTTAAATAAATAAAGAGATAGAATGTGTTCATAAATTGAAAACTTAAATTTATAAATATGTCCATTTTCCTAAATTCATCTGTTGATTACAGTATCAATCACAGTTCCAAGAGGCTTCTTTATCCATTGACATGTAGATTCTAGAACTTAGATGACAATGCAAAATGCTAAGAACAGCTAACATCTCAAAAAAGAACAAAGTACTTACAGTCCCAGATATCAAGGCTATAACATAAACAATAGTAATGAAGAAAGGTAAATATCACAAGCATAGATAGTCCAATATAACAGTATAGAATCCTGTATCAGTATGGAAAAAGAAATCTAGATTTTTACCTCACTTCATTCACAAAACCATTTCATTCATGTAGATCTAAATGGGAATGGAAAAGCAATAATTTTATAAGATAATAAAGAATATCTTCAGGGCCTTGGAAGGCAAGGATTTCCTAAGCAGGTTATGAAAAACATTAATGATTTGAACTGTATTAAAATTAAGTGTTTTCTTCCCTAAAAAGGCACCAGTAAGAGAGCAAAAGCAAGTGAAACTAGATTATTTGCGGTTTATATAATTGACAAATGGCTTATATGCAGAATACATAAAAATTCCAACATTAAAAAGACAGGCAACCCAATAGGAAAATGGGAAAGTATTTTGAAAAAGCAGTTTACAAAAGAGATTATACAAATATCTAATAAACATTTTAAAAGACGTTCAACCTCACTTGTGCTTAAATATTAAGTCCATCGAGAAAAATACCATACATTCACCAGAAAAGTTAAAAGATAGGAAACAATTTAAAGTGTTGATTTGGTTTTGAGGCAACTGGAAATCTCTTACAATGCTATCAGATGAATTTCGAACAACCACTTTGGAAACAGGTTTCATATTATCTACAACATTTGAACACATGAGTCCTGTATGATCTAAGAATTTCATTTCTGGGAATGCATTCAACAGAAATGTATGCACATATGTAGTCATAGAGACTTATAACAATGTTCACAAATCGATTATTTAGCCACAGAAGGAAAGCAATGTCCAGCGAGACAGGAAAGAATAGTTGTATATGAACAGATTGTACTACTTTACATCTATCAAAATGAATATTATAAAGATACACACAATAACATCTGTGAATCTTGATCATAATTTTGAACAAGAGGAACAAATACAAACACTTTCTGTATTAGTCTATTTATAGGGGGTAAATTATTCTTTGCCATTTGACATCAGGACAGTGGTTACATTTTGGGAAAAGGGAGAGGGAAGTAATGTGGTTGGGGCATGAGGAGCCTCCTATGTCCTTTGAGTGTTTCTTGACCCAGGTTGGTAGTTTCATGGGTGTGTTCACTCTGAACTAATTCCTTGAGCTATACAATTATGATTTGTGTAATTCAATTATATTATATTTCAGTGGAAGCTTAAGAAAGAGAAACATTGCTGCTAAAATTCACTAAGTGAAGGCTTATGGGGAAGTAGACCTTCATAGCATCCCATACTTGCAAAAGGGGCAATCTAACTGAAGGATGATATCAGTATCAGATATCAGATATCACACAAACCAGTGATCACTCTTAATGTCTCAACTGTAGGTCAACCTGACATTACAAATTTTCTGATGTAGTACAACATGAGGTACAAAATTTCACCTGTGATTTATCTAGTCAAGCATGTTTAACTGGCAGCCATTAAGGCATTAGGTGTAAATTTAGACACAGAAAGCAATCAAGCAAAGCCCTAAGGTATGCCATTTTGTAGGTAAATTGGCCTCATTCCTTTAACAAGTCAGTACCATTTAAAAAGGGGGGTAATTCTAGATTTTAAAAAAATTAAGTGACGGACAATTAGATATAATGTGCAGGACTGCACTGAGACTGATTTAAAGAAATCAGCCCTAAAGAAAAATGTTTAATTAATTAAAGACATCTAAATACAGCATGGATATTATATATAATGAAAAGAAAAATGTGAAAATTATTGACTGAAAAAGAGGTTACAAAGTGTATATTTGATGAAAAATAATATGTAAGGCTAGAGGCAAAGGTACTAACAATGGTGGTTTCTTGTTTATAGGACTATTTCAACACATTTTGCTCCTCCACATTTGAAAACCTTTCTCTGATGCACATATACTGTTTGTGTAATCATAAAATTATTTTTAAATGATTCAACATTTCTGAATAGCAAATTACTATATGTGTATACTTTAAAATAGACAATTTATAGGGCTACACCCAACTTGTGGCTGTGCACTGTCCAGTTACTATACATGTACTTCTTACCCTCCTTTTAAGATCTAGTTATAAAATTCTGAATTCATTGAGGGCTATTAGCACAGCTACAATTGTTTATGCTTCTTCTAAGTTTGATATTTGTATGGTATTTTTAAAACTATATATCATGAACTTTTTATATATATTTGGGTATTTTCATATTTTAACTATAAAAAAGTACAATGTTTACTGAACAAAATAATAGAATAATTATTTTTTTAAATGTAGAAATTAACAATTGCAGGCAATATCACTTCCCAGAAATAATTTCCAGTTTTATTACATTGTCATCACGGACTAAATTATACACTATTTTTACTTGTTGGAGTATGCTAAGGTTTTCATTGAGGCCCAATACTTTGTCCACTTTGGCTATTATTCCATGAGTATTTGAATAAATATGGACATATTAGTTATCCTCCATTAATTGCTTATGTCCTCCTAAATCTCACTTATGTTTTTTCACTTGATCTCCCATCAGCTGAAAAATAGCATTATAAATTGTCTTTTAAAAAATGCTTCTGAAGTTTTGTGCTTTCTGAATTTTGCATACATATTTAATAAATATTTATGACAGTTACTTATTTATATTGACCTCTTTATTGATACAAAGTGCCTTTGTCCTACTTCGTATTTTTTTACCAATCATGAATAAAACCTGTTTGTTCTAAATATTGTGATCTTTGCTTTTTTAAAAAAATTTCCATTTGCCTGTAATTCTTTTGCCCAAAGCTTCACTTTCAAGCTTTTGAGTTAATTTTTATTAGAGTTGCTGCTTGTATGCAATAAATCACTGGCTTTGTTACTGAATGTAATCCTGGAAGGAATTATGATTCCTCTCAGAGTTTCCACTGTCAAGAACCTAAAGAGTCTGTTTACAGAGATGTAGCTAGGGTTAAAAAAATAAGAGAGAGAGAGAGAGAGATGCAGAGGAACAAAGACATCAACCACGGAAGCCATAAAGGGACAAGAGAAAAGATAGTATTACCAGAGCTAAGTGAGTTCTGGAGCTGCAAGGAAAGGTCACATAACAGGAGTTCTAGTTATGGAGAGATGCAGCCCCTGGCAGAAGCACAGAACCAAAGCAGAGGGAATCGGGGAAGAAATAACCCATTCTCCTCTCCACCTAACTTGAACCCTACAGGAGCCTCCCACTGAGTGCCTTCTGCTGAAATTCAGGCTACGAAGGAATCTGGATGATGTTGACTGCATGGCTGTGCATCCATGAGCACAGAGCAAGTTAGACAAGGGAAGAAAATAAATCCATGAAGTCAATAGAAACTTACCAGAACATTACTCTGACTTTGCATTCATTCTTGCCTCTTGCTTAGATTAAGAAAATTGGATCTCCAGTACAGGGAGACCACAGTCCTAGCATAATTTAAATTGTGGCAGGGTGTCAGCAATTCAGTCTTATTCCCAACTGGATTATAAATGTTAATGTCACCCACTATCAATACTCTTTATATGAGATAGCAAGGAGAGTGAGGGGAAAGAAATATTCAGTTAACATAAATATGTAAATTAGCTAATACTGTTTCACTTTTGGTCATGAGGCTAAATTGTATCATCATAAAATCCTTTTTCTATCATCCATTCCATTTTCAAGCAACCCTTTACTACTTCTGTGGTACAGGAATTACTGTCTCATGGGATGACCCAAATCCTCATTTCATAGGATCAAAATCCCTAGTGATCCTGTCTTTATTTGGTGGCTCTTTATGGGACATATAAATGCTAAAAGGCTCCACAGCAGATCTCCTGGATTCCAACTAGGCCTACTTGCCTAATTTTCCTTTGTTAATCAGAATTAATCAATCCACTTAGTATAATTAAACTCTGTATTGCCAGTTAGGTCAATGGTATTAGGAGCTAAAAATAGCAAGGGTGCAATTTCAGGTCCAAATTTAACGGAAACACAGCTATATTTCTTGAAAGAAATGTTCCTTCCTTGGAAAAGAGAACCTCCAAAGCTACCAAATACAAGTTTCCAGGAAGGGAAACAAAATTCCATAAATAGAATATTAGGTAAAATAATTCTACTTCTTAGTTCCTGATCCTACATATTCTGGCTTTTGGAAATATGGCTTATATATCAGCTAATAGTTTAATCTGTTAGGCCAACACCACAATTTCAAACAATATTGTGTCACAGCTGGCACTGAAACTGAGCGTTTAGGAAGCCACTCCATCATTCTATCAGGCCAGCTGCTTGCTGGTGATGGGACATGTGGGGAAACATGTGCATGGATCTTTTGTGACAATTTGTTTTGCTGTAAAATGAGTTTCCTTGTCAAAGGCAATGTAGTATGGGATGTTATGGCAATGAATAAAGCATTCTATAAGGTGACATATGGTGACACTGGTAGAAGCATTGAGGGCAGAGAAGAGAAACCCATTTCCAGAATACGTATTTGGTTTTATGTGGACAAATGATTGCTTACTCCACAATATAAAGGATTCAATGTAATCACCCTGGCACCAGGTGACTGGTCGGTGTCCCTATGAAATGGTGCCATATGAGGAACACATTGGCCCTTGGTATTAACAAGTTGGACACTCAGTGATAGTAGACAGATCAGGGTTGCTAAAGGGTAGTCCATTGTGTTGAGTTCATGCATATTTACCATCCATACAACTATGACTACTTTTTGCATGGTTCCACTAAGTAAGCACCAGTATCACTGGGAGAAAGCTTGATAGACATCCACAGGAAAGATCAGACACCTAATCTACCTGATTGTTGAGCACCTTCTCTTTAGGGGATTTCCCTGTTGAATATGAATGAGAGTTGAGGAAAATTTGATAACTAAGCAGGAATAGCTAATAAAGGTCTGAACCACCTGCTCATTCAATATACTTGTGACTCCCCTTCCTGTTCAGCCTTAATGTCACCCATATCGATTCCATTATATAATAACCTGCTAATTTTCAAGCACAATTTTAAGATTTGATAACTTGGATAGCACCCAGTTGATGGTGAACACTTCAAATCACATAGTTACATGGTGACAAGCCAGACTTCTTAAATAGATAAAAATATTTGGCAGAAGGGGACATAGTTTTGTTCCAAAATCATTAGTTAGGTGAACTGTGATTGTCTTCTTGGGGTTACTGAGAATCTTCAAACAGCATTACTCTAAGCCAGATACTTAGATCTACTGAGTCAAAATGCCCATGCAGCAGAGGAGTGTACAGCACAGACTGAACCTGCTGCAAAGAGCTATTTGTTCTAAATGGGTAGACTTGTGAGTTAGCCTGTAAATAGGTTTGAATACACACAAATTAGTAATGTTACTTCCAAAATCCAGAGTAGCCTCTCAGTCACTCTGCTCTTTCTGTGTGGTAGGCAGTACAAGGTATAGCTACCTGTTATTCCCTAAGAAAGAGATATTCTTACATACCCCATTTTGTAATAGCTTCTACATTAATTGGGACCCTTGTATAAAACAGAAATCTGCTTCAGGCTTGGTATGGTGGCTCACACCTGTAATCCCAGCATTTTGGGAGGCCAAGGCGGGAGGTCACTTGAGCCTAGGAGTTCAAGACCACCCTGGGCAACATAGCGACCCCATCACTATTATTAAAAAAAGAAAGAAAGAAAAGAAAAAGAAATCTGCTTCAATGGTCCACAATAGACACTTTGGTGAATGGACTACTTACCTCAGTTACAGCAGGAATTAAAACCCCAGCAAGGGATTCTGTAATACTCAGACACCAGGAACAGTGAAACGCTGTTACCATCCCTAGACCTGAAGGGGCAAGGTGTATAATTTGTATTATTGAAGCCTAGGAAGAGCTGGTGCTGTGGAGAAGAGTTATCTGATAGAAACTATATTCATGCAGAATTAGGAAGAAAGTAGGGAATAGATATCAGGATTTCTCTCTCTCTCCTTCTGCCATCTGACCCATTGCCAGTGCCTTACATTAATCCAGTTCAACTAGGAGCTAGCTGGCAGAGGAACCTGAATGATAAAGTCTTAGGAGTTCACCTCCTGGAGCACAGAACAGAGTACTGAAAGTCAGATAAAGGATTTGGGTGGAGCTAACAGAATTATCAACACATTTTTTCTTGTCCAATATCAGTCTTTTGCTTTAATTATTAATTTTATTTCATTACATATAACAGTGAATATATGTTTAGTTTGAGTTTTGACATCTTATGTAATGATTTCTGCTTTGAATGTTTTCTTTTTTCACATTTTCCTATAATATATTCTTTGTGTATATGTTTGCATTTGCCTTCCATAAGATTTTGTGTGTATGTATGTGTATGTGTATCAGTTATGATGATACACAGCAGAAAAAAATATTTTTAAATCTGCAAATATATATAAAGTAGAGATGCACCAAATAAATATTTGGCCAAACACTGAAAAGCTGAGTATCAACATCATTATTCACTTGAAGCTGAATATTACTATCGTAGAATGAATCCAAAGTGTTATGAAATTCAATTTTGATTGCAATATTTGCCACTGAAATTCCGGTAATCAAAAATGTAAAGCTTGACGTTATTCAAGGACAGTAATTTCTTGGCATTGTCAGCTGCAATATTGTTCCTGTGATCATCATAGCACAGGCAGATGCTAATTTGTCTACCTTCCTATATCATACATAGGAGGAAATTCCCACCAAATTATTACACTTTCTTCCGCTATAATATTAAAAAATAAAGTATATCTATCAAGACTGTGGATCCTGAAAATGTAGTTGATGGTGACGATGCAGCTTCATTGAAGCAATCCCCCAGCAACCGCAGCTTTGCACACTTGACTATTTTTAGAAGTGGAATTAGAATGGATGCCTTGAAATACATATTTTTATTCTTATATTTTCCTGCACTTGTTCCATAATCACTTGAGAATATTTCTCTATAAACCTTTACTTTTAAATGTGGCAATGGAAAAGTGAAAATAGCTTTTAAGATAAAACAATTGTCTCTGAATTTTCAGCTGCATCTAAACTTCCATGATGCAAGCTAATTTCATACGTCCTCCAGTTTAGGATGACAGGAAGAGCTTTACCACAGGTACCTTGTAAGAAATATGTGCATTCTAATGGCATATTGCATTGGTGATTTCCCCAACAGATTATAGCAAACAGACTAATTTCTCTTTAAGCAACCACTGGATCTTAAAAAGTCCTGAGATGGAAGCTGCGCCATCAAGGTTTGTTCAAGCACCCACTTTATAATATGTGACCACTGCCAATTTATCTTGTATAGGTTCATAACAAAGCAGTTCCAAAATTGTATGCCTGTCATGTAGTATATCTTTAGCTGAAGATTTTAAGATTTCACTTTGGTTAGTTAACACTTGAAAGTAAATACTCAGATACTAACAACAAATCTAAAGGATCATGAGGTCACTGATCCCATATGAGCTTAGGGATGCCAGAAATGTGGATGGATTAGATCAGTTTTCTAATCTGAACTCCCAAAATATGAGGCAAAACTAAAGGTGAATGGAGAATTCGGCTAATCCAGAGGGTAGACATGCACACACGTGAGTGCAAGTGTGTGCTTGCATGAGATATGTACCCTCCGGGGCCCTGAGAAAGTAGTGGCAGAGATAGACTTCACAGGGACACCTGGGCACTGCCCCTGCCTTTACACATTTGTCAGGTATATTGGCTCATGGGCTCATTCTCTTTATCAGAGAAAGATTACAGGTTTCTAATATAAACACCAAAAGATCAGGTGATATATTATTGAAAGTTCACTGCCTATTATAGCCTGAGTAATATAACAAAATAATGGCATATGGATGGTCTGATGGCAATATTAGTTTCTTCTACTAGGTAGGGAAGGAGGTGCCTTTCTCTTTTTGTGAATGTGGGCCTTTGTTGTAAATCGGGAGTTGACATATTTCTGGAACTTAAGGGAAAACCACATCCAACCAGAGCCTAACCTTTTAATCCATCCAAGAGTTTACTTAATTCACCCAATTAAAATATGGATTCTCTATAATACCTATTCATAATCTCTTTAGTCCATATTTTCTCCATTATGTCCAACTCCCACCATTCAGCTGTTATGTACGGTGAGAGCTATTTTTAAGATTGTAGAATTAATTACTGAAAATATGTACTCCCTAAATCTACAGACTCATAAAATCCATATTCACCTCTGCATTCCAGTGATCAGAAAAAATATGGGACATATTTCCAAATATAACTCCTTCACTGTCTCTTTTCAACAGAGCATAACAGAGTGACAGAATTGAAGGGAGAGGGCAGATAATTTAAAAATATTATATAGGGGGCCACCTCTTGAAAAGGAAGTCTAATATTCTACAGGAAGGCTCTGGCCCTAGGTTTTCATCTGTAAATCATAGTTACTCTAACTCTTCTAGTTACCAGAAGGAACATTTTCTTTATTCATGTTGTTATGTTGTTCATCTTGGAAAGGGAAAGTAAGAGCTTTGTAATAACACCTAAGATAATAATGGCTTCACAGATTACTGTGATCATACAGGACAGTATGTTTTATAGTTTTAGATTTCTTAAAATCTGGGCCACAAACAGAAAATATTTCATGTAAGGAGTAGAAACCAATCTAAGAAGAAGGGCAAAGAAAACAACTAAACATGCTTTGCTTGAAAGAAGGAGGACTTAAGGCAACATTAGAGTTGTTTTCAAATATTTGAAGGCTTGCCAATGAATGACCAAGGAGACAAATTTTATGCAGCCATTAAGGGTGAAGAAAGAAATGGTGGATACAAGTTTTAGGATGGCATATGTAAACTACTATAAGGAATTAATAATTACTATCATACATGGATTGCTTTAAGGGATGGGGGACACAAACAGAAGGATCAAAACAGAGTCTTATGGTTAGAAATGCTGTAGAGAAAATATGGCCATTGAATGGGGAGTTAGACTAATTAAGCTGTATAGACCTTTTCAATTTGATTAAAATTGTATGAGTTATATGAAATTGTATGAGATAGTACTGATATTTAAGGATTATTGTATTATTTTCCTATTTGTCGGGCTAACAAGAGTGAAGGCAATGCATGATAAATGTGGTATAGTGATGATTACTAAATTTGGAGTTGGAAACATGGAGCTTGAATTCAGAATTCAGTTCTATCACTGACACTAGTAAATTAGAATAAATAATTAACTTATCTGAGACTCAATTCATTTATTAAACATAATGATAATTATACTATATACCTCACAAGATTATTATGTGACTTAAATTAGGTAGCATGTATTCAGCACAACAAACGCTTAGAAATGGCCTAATATGTGCACTTGCAACTGTGACAAGCTGAGTCACAAAGATGAGAAAGTGGCAGTTGCAGCCTAAAATGTTGCTAGGTTTTTATAACACATACAGAGATAGCTATAATTCAACAGGGAAAATGCTATAACAGAGGTGAATTTAAAAGTACCTTATGAACAAATGAAGTTGGGAAAGGTTGATTTTGGAGATGAATTAGAAAAACATGCAGAAAAGAAGTGCCATAAATCTTGCAAGACAAACAGTATTTAGGAAGTATGTAAAAATATACCAGAAATAGTCAGCATGAGCAAATGCATAGATATTGAATAAAAATCTGCCTAAGCCCTGTCTCCGAAAAAAATATAAAATGTAAGCCCTTCATGGGGAACAACAAATAGTAAAAGCTGACTTGAGTATGTATTTGAACACACCTGGTATGGTATGTGGAAGATAGCAGGTACACAATATGTGCTTTTTTAAAAAACAGAGTGCTTGACTTCTGGTTCTGGCCATAATAAAATAATGGATTTCAGACTGATTCTTCTGCTGTAAGCAACTATAAAACTAGACAAAATGTACGATGTTCCCGTTTTAAAGCATTCTACAACACACAGCATAGAGTCATGATCCTTGAAGTGAACTCCACATTTAAAGCTGGCCTTTTATATAAGGCTACTTCCAAAACTGCAGAGAAGGAAAGAGGAGCCTAAATAGATAGCAGCATTTTTTCTGAATGGAGAAACAGATTGTAGGATGCAGCTGAGGTGGCTGGAATTTATGAAGAAGATTCCAGAGAAGAGAGAGTCAACCTGAGAAAGAGATCTAAAAATCTACAAATGAAGTCTTCTTGAATTTTTTGAGTGAACAACATATTACGCATGTACAGAGTAAGATTTCAGAAGGCCACACAGAGAACAGTTTCTGAGAGGCAATGAGCTGAATGAGGATTTCACTGGTTCAACAATGTTGAGAGCCATTAGAGTTTCAACTAGCCGAAGTGAAAAGACTCACTAAGCAACTCCCAGCGTTTAAATAAGAACTCAGGAAAGTCAGCTTCCAAAGTAGGGCTCATCTACTCCTATCAGAAGAAATACTCTAAAATCAGCCTTAAAAACCTAAAAATAAGCACCAACTGGATCAAACTAATGTGCCAGTAAATTAAGTGTCTGCTCAAAATAAAATTCAACACACTTCTACCAAAGACAGAAGTCTGGAATCTAAATAATATAATATGAAAAATGTCAAATATAAAGTAAAAACAATTATTAAACTTGCACAAATAGTGGAAAACTATGAGAAAATTAGGAGAAAAATAAGCAATAGAAACAGACCTAAGATAGCCAGGATGTTGTTAAGAATAAAAACAAGCATTATTAAGCTGGTATTAAAATATGTCCAAGGATTTAGAAGAAAAAATGGAAGACACTGGAGAGATGTAGAATATCAACAAAGTAATACAATTAAAAATTCTTAATTGTAGGCAGGAGAAAAGGCACATAATAGAAAAGGGAATAATGGTAAAAAATACTTCTGACTTCTCATCAGAACAAATGTAAGCTAAATGAAAATCTAAAAATTATTTAAAGTATAGAGAAGAAATAATAAGTCATTTCAGAACTACATATCCAGTGAAAATAATCTTCAAAAGGCAAAATTAACACTTTAATAAGGTTAAAATAATAGGTGAAAGAATTCGTTACCACCAGAAAAGCACTACAAGAAATGTTAAAGCATGCTCTTCAAGCAGAAGAGTAGTGATAAAAAATGTAAACTCTGTCTTGTGCCAGTTTTCAAAGGGAATGCTTCCAGTTTTTGTCCATTCAGTATGATATTGGCTGTGGGTTTGTCATAGATAGCTCTCCATTTCTTACTTCTGTGCCTTTAAAGGTATTACAAAGGAATTTAAGAGCACCCATTGTAGGGCAAAAGTGAAGAAAAAAATTAACTGTGGGTATGTTATGATAATTGCTTGTATTAGTTATGAAGCCATGTATCTACAAGAATGTCCTTATCCAAACAACTGTATTTAGCATAAAAAATCCTGGAAAAGTGGCTTATCAATTTCAAAAACTTATCTCTGTAAATATTATATAATGGAATTTGTTTTCCAGTATCTTACATAGCAATGTCATCAAGTTTATAAACTGGATAATCGGCTAATTATTTTATGAGAATGGCAGAAGTCATTTAAAGTGGCCACATTCAACTCTGAGTGTATATGTGCATATGCCCATCAAAATACAAGCAGGGCTCAATAGGTAGTTTATGTTTGTGGGCAGGTAATCTTAAAAAATATTTACCTAAAAATCAATATGACTGCTTAAATAAATAAATTGTACATTATTCTAAGAATACATGTTATGAAATATTGTCAAGCCTAGCAGTAATAAAGATAAAAGTATAATTATTCTTGATAACCCCAAACTGAAGAGAACTCAAAGGCCCCTAAAATTGGAGAATGGATTGTAAAAAGCTGTGATATAGTCAAATAATTGAAAACTACTCAAAAGTACTACAAAAAAAGACACCAAAAGTATGTATTGTATGATCACATCCATATAAAGTTTCAGAATGGGCAAGATCAATCTGTAGTGACAGAAGCAAGAATAATGGCTGGAGGGTGACAGGAATTGATGGTATGTGGCATGAGAAATTTCTGGGGTAATGTCGATGTTCTGTGGGCTGTGGGTTGCTCAATCATTTATTTTTATCAAAAGTCACTGAATAATAACTTAAAATCTGTGCATTTCACCGTATCTAAAGTATACCACAACTAAAAACAAGGAAAAAATACTATCAAAAAATATGGAAAAGTAAACTTTTGCACATTAGTCTCAAAAAACAACGATTTCTGATATTCTTTTTACTCTATCAACATGTTTTTCATTTTGAATCATCTAGGTTTTTCTGTATTATTGTGCTTCAGCTCAGAGAGTGAATATTTAACAAAATGCAGAGTATGAATTTCAGTGAAGTAATGACCAAAAAATAGGCCATAAACAGATTATTGCGAGATTAGTATTTGCGGTATGCACAGTAGCCTCCCAAAGATGTCCACATCCTCATTCCTGGAATCTGTGAGTATAGCAAAATGGACTTTGTAGCTGTAATTAAGGTTACAAACCTTAAAATAGGGCGAGCAGCTTTAAGTATCCAGGTGAACCCAATCTAATCATGTGAACCTTTAAGAGCAGAGAACATTCCTCAGCTGGAGAAAAAGAGGCTTGGCAGAGGGAGAAATTAGAAAGATTCCACCTGAGAAAGTTCGGAGGCGTCATTGCTGGTTTTGCGATGTAGAGGCTCACATAGGAAGTCTGTAGACAGGTTACTAGGAGCTGACACCAGCAACCACCAGTTGACACAGGCAAGAAAACAATGACCTACAACTGTACAAGGTACTGGGAATGGTGATACAACTGCAAACAACTAAATTCTGCCAAAACCTTAATAAACCTGGAAATGTACTCCTACCAGAACTTCCCAATAAGATCCCTGTTGATTGTCACCTTCCTTTGGACCTTGCTGGACGTTGAACCAGGGGAGCTGGTTGAGCCCACTCAGACTTCGGACCTACAGAAGTGTGAGGTAATAATTTATGTTGCTGAAGCCATTAATTTTTTTTTGAAATTGTCATGCTGCGAATATAAAATAAATACATTATTTTAGAATGAGACTGGATCTGGAAGGGCTTGTGTTGATTCTCAAGGAGATTGAAAAATATATCTCATAAATCTAGTGAAAACATGAAAGTTCTGGGGAGGATGAAATTGATAATATCTTTTCCATTTGTATTAGTCCGTTTTTGCACTGCTATCAAGAACTGCCTGAGACTGGGTAGTTTATAACGGAAAGAGGTTTAATGACTCACAGTTCCGCACGGCTGGGGAGGCCTCAGGAAGCTGACAATCACGGCCGAAGGCAAAGGAGAAGCAGGCACCTTCTTCACAAGGTGGCAGGAGAGAGAGAAGCAGGAGCACAGGAAAAAATTGCCTCTTTTAAAACCAAAAGATTTCATGAGACTCACTCACTATCATGAGAACAGCATGGGAGAAACCACCTCCCCATAATCCCATCACTTCCTGCCCTCAACACGTGGGAATGGGTGGGAACACAGAGCCAAAGCACATCAGCCTTTATGTTGATTCTACTACGTCATTCCTGTTAGACCATCTCTCTCTGTTTTGTTTTCCTAGAATATCCCATTGCTTGTATTGAAATCATTTCTAGGTATAAACTTTATTCTCAGTAAAACTTTGAGAATGTGAATATACTTGGTATTTTTACTTCATCAACACATAGGAAAATTCTGTACAAAGCCAAAATTCTTCTTTTGATTGCCCTACTAATATAGGAAAAAAATGATGGAAATATAAATATTTTATATGAAAACTAAAATCTTCTGATATGGCCTCAAGGCATGTTGGTCAACCTCATCCCTTTCACAAACTGGCATCAGTGACTGTTACTCTCAGTTTCCTTCCTTGTTTCCTCACATATACTCTCCCTATTCCTCCCCCAAAATCATTACTTCTAGTTAAAATAGATCTTTCTTTCCATTTTTCATTCTTGTCACCATTTTCAGGAAAGAACTATTACCCCTTTCTTTGATCAAAAGCAACTCCCCAAGTACAATGTTTTTTTCTTGCCTGGGAAGGTTATTTTTTTTCATGTTGGAAAGAAATGAAAGATTAGAAACCAAACCACACACAACCTTGCATACTGCAGTCACCAAGGAGGTAACTTTCCACCATTACTTGAGACAAATGTGTGTGTGTGTTTTTAATCTAGTCTGATCTCAGAACCTCTAAATAGATGAAGAAATACATGTGTAATTGAAAAAAAAAATCTGTTCTCTCGGCCATTATTCAAAAGACAGTAGCTCAAATAACAAATCTTAAAGCTCTTTAAAATGGAAAAACATTTTCTTGGTGGAACATCAAATGATAGCTTATTCACATTAAAATCCATAATTACAACAAGCGCCAGTGAACAGGTCTGGCTATTTTTCATTGAAAACAAACAAGTATAACAATCGTAGAACACCTGAATTTATTGGCTTTAATTAAATGTGTTTGTTCTAAACTGATGTAATTTAAGCACAATCCATAGAAAAGAAAATCTATTGTATATTCAGTACCGATTTGCCTGTCCACATAAGAATATTTATAGTCTAGTGAAAATTAGCCTGATGTTATATACAGAAAAGGATAAAACCTCTAATAACATTATTTTTTTCATTTAAAGGAAAGGTTTAAAATAAACTTTATATATTATAAAGTCAGCTAAAGTTATTTTTATTTCTCTTAACTAAATACATTGAGATTTTAGAAGCAAAAATATAAATTTCTGAAATTGTATACATTATCAAAACAATTTCACTGAAGATTGGGGTTTAGATCAGGAATCAGTGTTTCTAAGAAGTCTATTGATTACTTTCCTCCACCTATTGTAAGTAACTAATAAACTTTTTTTTGCTATGTTTGAAATATTAAACTAATATTAAACATAACTGAACCAACTCAGTGGATGAACTCTAGCATTGAGGTAGGTCTATGTAACATATTTGTGATTATAGCAATAAAAGAAATGCATTTCAATTTTTTTTTCAATTTCTACTATATACTAGCTAATGGATTAGCTTTGTAGTATTAAGTTGAAGAATGGGAAGCAGAAATAGAGTAGAAAAGATAAATGACATTTATTAAGTCCATGCTGTGGACTAGGTATATGATGGA
Source organism: Homo sapiens (assembly GCF_000001405.40). Classification (NCBI taxonomy): domain Eukaryota; kingdom Metazoa; phylum Chordata; class Mammalia; order Primates; family Hominidae; genus Homo; species Homo sapiens. The sequence goes on from NC_000015.10 coordinate 47,068,321, forward strand.
CTTTCTGTACATATTTATTTATATAAGAATCTTATAAATTGCAAATTATCCTCACTTAATATATAAGAAAATTGAGACTCAGACAAGTAAAATAACTCATTCAAGGTTACATAAATGGGCTTTCAATCCTTATTTGTCTAGTTCCAGTGCCCACGACCTGGCTGTCTGGAAGAGAAACAAACTGAGGAAGAGAAAAAGTAAAATAAGCAGTGAAGGCAGAAATTGCTAAACTCTGTAGTGCTATCAGGGGCACATAGGCATCTTCCTGGAACTAGCACTACGAGAATGTAGCCCTCTCCATACATCAACACTGTGTCTTTGTAGTGAGCTATAGAGAAACTTAGAAGGCAAGACCTCGACTGCCTAAGTGGACATAAATGTAAAATGTTTAGGTCTTGTGCAGGTCCAGACTCAGAGTGAAGAACGTGAAGATCTTGCTGCCTCAGGTGAGAAACTTAAATGGATGTCAAATAAACTCAGTAATCAAGGTAAATGATAATGTAATATTTTATTAAATCAAAATTAATGTGGGAAATCCATGATGAACAACATATTAACATTGTAAATTAAGACAAAATCAATATTACTGATGTTTTCTTTTGCTTCATGCTTCCATGTGGCTTGGCAATGGTGCTGTGCTGTTACTGATCCTATGGGACTGCTGAGCATCTGCTAGAGATGATAACAAAAAGAGTCAAAGGGTGAGTCAAAGAGTGCATGTATTTAAAATTCATATAATAATCATATTTAATGACTACAGCTTGAGGTTTTAAAATTTCTTCATATCTGTAGGTGTACTATCTTTTTCTATTTTAAAAATTTTCTTCCTTCTTTCTACTTTTTTTTGGAAATTGTCAAAAGTGTATTGTATTGGCCTTTTCAAATATCATACTTTGAAAATATTTATCATGTACTCCTACTTTTTGTTTTTTATTTAATAATTTTATGCTCATCAATTCCACCTATATCTTTTCTGCCAGTTAGTCTACACACTAGTTTTCAACCAGAAGTCCTTTTTTAAATGTCCAAGTCCTCTCACATTTTATATGCATATTATAGTTTTTCATATTCTATTTGTGTTGAAAACTCTTATTCCAAGAGCCTTTACTCAGTAATTCGGGATGATGGATAAATTGTGTTGTGGGTGTTCCCATGGATTTTCTTTTGCATGTGTGAGTTCCCTATTCCTCTAGGGAGAGTGTAGCTATGTATGTTAATAAACAAAAAGATTCAAGTCACTATAAACAAGACAATACATGAAGAGTGCAGGCAATATCTTAAATAAGAATTATTGGCACTGACATTGATAACTCAAATTGGAATAAAACAGAATTAAAAGTTCACTATCATGTAGTGATTCCTTAAAATAAGGAAGGATTTGGATATAGATTTATAGGGGAAACATGTTACCAGGACATTCTTAAGAAAATAAAAGGATGGCTGAAAAAAATTATGTAAAACCCGAATGATCATTCAAGCAACAAATAGACATAAAAGGCCTCAGATAACATCACCCCAAAAATCTAGCCAAAGAATGGGCCAAAATAAGGATAAAGTAAATAGAGACATTTTATGAAATGACAGATAAGTCCTATAAGTACAGCACAAAGATTAAGCAACTAAAGAAAACTTCTTGCAGACTATAGAATAAAAGGCATAAATTTTGGTAAAATAAGAATAACGCAAGTTACAAAACTCCAGAGGTTGCAGAAGAGAATTAAAAAAAAAACTGTCTTGACAACATGATCTCTTATAAAAAGATGTAGACTGGAGCAGTTTAAAAGTAAAATCTGAAAGTAAAATAGAAACCACAGGAACTTCTACCAGTAACTGCAGATTTGTAATGGATATCAACTCTCCCATGGAACACAACAACAAAATTTTCTTCAAGACACTAAATGTTAACAAAGCCATGGAAAATTGCAAAGCCCAGATACAATAGCTGAGCTTGGCATTGAGCATCACTTTTCAACTCAAGATTTTTACTGATTCTAGGAAGTTAAAAAATAGATTGCAAAACTAAGGAATACTTTTGGCAGCCAAATGCATGTAACTGTGTGAGTGTGCAAGGGATTGTGGTGGGGAGAATTGGAGTACAGTACCCTCCAGGCTTTGAGTTGGGGGCAAGGACTACACTCGATAAAGACCAGCCCACTTAGGGACATAAAACTAGTGTCTAATTATCTGTACACTTATGGGTGCACTAAGTAACCTGCTAGTGCCCTTAGCTTACTGCAGAGAGCAAATGTAATTCCTCTCTAGAGAATGTTAACATTTCCAAGGCCTCAAATTACTTTCAGTTTTTCATATATAATGCCTAGTACTCAATTTAAACATACATGTAAATAAATATATGATGAGATATGATGAAGAAATTACTGAAGGAAAAAAGGAGGATGATATGGTTTGGCACTGTGTCCCTGTCCAAATCTCATCTCTAATTGTAATCTCCACCTGTTGAAGGAGGGACTTGGTGGGAGGTAATTGGATCATGGGGGTGGTTTTCTCCATGCTATTCCCGTGATAGTGAGGGAGTTGTCATGAGATCTGATGGTTTTAAAAGTGGCAGTTTTGTCCAGTGCAGTGGCTCACACCTGTAATCCCAGCACTTAGGGAGGCTGAGGTGGGTGGATCACTTCAGATCAGGAGTTCAAAACCAGTTGGCCAACATGGCAAAACCCCATCTCTACTAAAAATGCAAAAAATTAGCTGGGTATAGTGGCACACACCTGTAATCTCAGCTACTCGGGAGGCTGTGACAGGGGAATCACTTGAACCTGGGAGGTGGGGGTTGCAGTGAGCCGAGATCACACCACTGCACCCAGTCTGGGCTACACAGCAAGACTCTGTCTCAAAAAAACAAAACAAAACAAAACAAAACAAAACAAAACAAAACAAAACAAAACAGTGGCAGTTTTTCCTGCTCTCTCTCCTGCTGCCATGTAAGATGTGCCTTGCTTCTCCTTTACCTTCTGTCATGATTGCATGTTTCCTGGGGCCTCCCCAGCCATGCAGAACTGTGAATCAAGTAAATTATTTATATTTATAAATTACCCAGTCTCAGTTACTATCTTTATAGTAATTTGAAAACTGACTAATACAGCAGACATATAAGAGAAAAATCAACAACAAAAAAAGTTTTTCCTGGAAAAAAATAATGAATCTCTTTATAATTGCCTAATTATAGTACAGATGTTCCTCAACTTATGATAGTGTTACATCCTGGTAAGCCCAATATAAATTGAAGATATCATAAGTAGAACATGTATTTAATACGCTTAACCTGCCAAACATCATACCTTAGCCCAGTCTACCTTAAACATGTTCAGAGCACTAACATTAGCCTTCAGTTGGGCAAAATTATCTAACAGAAAGCCTATTTTTATAAGAAAGTGTTGAATCTCTCATGTAATGTATTCAATATGGTACATTATTTTGGAATTGTGATTGTTTTGCAGCATTGTAAAGTTGAAAAATTGTAAATCAAACCATCATTAAGTCAAGGACTATCTGTATATTTAAATTCTTTTATACAGACACACACACACATACATACACATGGAGAAAGAGGGGAAGAGAGTGACAGAAAGGTAAACAGTGAGACAGAAAGAGAGACCAGAAGTGACCAGTGTGAGAAATTAACAAAGGGGAGGACATCACTACAGTTTCTATAGACATCAAAAGAAGTATAAAAGATTTCTAGTGGCCCCAGCTAGTGTGATAAGGCAATTAAAAGAAGTTAAATTTGTAAATATTGCAAAGGAAAGTAAATGCTATTTTGCAGATGGCATGGCTATGTACAAATATCAAAAATTATCTACAAAAAATTAGAAATAAAAGCCAGTTTAGTAAAGTGACTGGATTTATAACAAATGCACAAAAAGCAAAAATCAATTGTATACCTATTACACTTTTTGTTTGATAAAGTAGAAATAATTCATCACAATCAAGGACAGAAAGGAAAGGGAATAAATACATCCTTAAACTGTGTACCCTAGATGCCTCTCTTGCTTCACGCTAGTCTCAGTCCTGATGAAAACAGCTCATTATTTGTTAGAGAAATTTAAATTAAAACTGTAATGACATGCCATTCTACACATACTAGTTTGTCTAACATTAAAAGACTAACAATAACAATTACAAATGAAGATACAGAACAAGGGAAATTCTCATAGACTGCTGGAGAAAAAGTAAATGGATGCAGCTACCCACTTACATACTTATACCACAAGATACAAGCAAGGATGTTCATAGCAGCATTATTTGTTTTTAAAAAAAGGATGAATTTTAAAAATTGCCTATGAATACTATTCAGCAATGAAAATGAACAAATTAGAACTACATGTAACAACATGTGTCAATCTCACATGCATAATGTTAAGCAATAAAAGAAAATAAAAGAGTGTGTATTTGTTTCCTGGGGCTGTTGTAACAACTTACCACAGACTTAGCGATTTAAAACAAGAGAAATTTATTCTCTCTCAGTTAAAGAGACCAGAACTACAACATTCGTTTCACTGACCTAAAGTCAAGGTGGCAGAAGGGCTGTATTCTCACTGGAGACTCCAAAAGATAATCCGTTCATGGCCTCTTCCATCCTGTGGGCCTTCCTCCATTTTCAAAGCCTGCATCACAGCATCTTCAAACTTCTCTATTTCCGTCGTCCCATTGCCTTCTGCTCCCTCTGTCTCCTTTTTACAACGACACTTGTGACGGCATTTAGGGCTCACTCAGATAACGCAGGATGATCTCCTCTCAAATTTCTTTCTTTCTTCTTCTTTTTTTTTTTTTTTTTTTTTTTGAGACAGAGTCTTGCTCTGTCACCCAGGCTGGAGTGCAATGGTGCGATCTTGGCTCACCGCAACCTCCACCTCCTGTGTTCAAGTGATTCTCCCTGCCTCAGCCTCTCGAGTAGCTGGGATTACAGGCGCCACCACCATGCCCGGCTAACTTTTGTATTTTTGGTAGAGACGGGGTTTTCATCATGTTGGCCAGGCTGGTCTCGAACTCCTGACCTCAGGTGAATCCACTTGTCTCGGTCTCTCAAAGTGCTGCGATTACAGACGTGAGCCACTGCGCCCAGCCTCAAATTTCTTAAATACATCAGCAATGCCCTACTTCAAAGGAGGTCAGGCTCCATGGATTAAGACACGGACATGCCTTTAGAAGGCATTATTGGCCTACCACAGAGTGGGTATATAAATATCAAAACATTAAGAAAAGTAAACTCCAAATAGTGGGTATCTTTGAAGACAAATGAAGGAGTAGTAATCTATTTTGCAAAAAAAAAAAAAAGTATATTATTCTGAGTAGTAGTTGTGGAGGTATTTGTTTTGCGATAATTCCTTAAGGTGTATAAATTTTCTTAGGACTTGACCTTACATATATATGTTTATGCATACATTATTCATAGATATACATATATTAAAATTTAAGAAAGAAATTATAATGACTCAATCTTCTAATATTTTAAAACAATTTTTAAATGTGACCTTTTAGGAAATAATGAAGTCACATAAATAAATTTAATACTTCCAGTTAAAAAACAGATATAGTATTCTTTTATTAGAAAATTATTTTTTATCCATTCTGCTAGCTCTCTCTCTCAATATACATATAGTTATGTATCTCCTATCTATATCCAAACTTTTTGGAGTATGAAATTTAAAACACATATAACTATTTTACAGCTATTATAATAATTGTATATGCCTATTCCTTTTAAACTTGAATAGTACCAAAAAGTGCAAAGAAGAAACAAAAAAAAAATCACCCAAATGAATTCCACCAACTGTTAACATTGGTGTTTCTGAAAATTTGGGGTGATTTATTTTGTTTTCTTTGTACTCTTTGGCATGAAGTATTTTTATAAAATAAGCAAAGTCATTACTATAAAAATCACTGAAATAAAGCCTATGCAGAAATTGTAATAATGAAGATAACAGAGGAATCACTGCTTACATAGCCATTTATTTAGTGCTTACCATCTACTATGCATTATTCAGTGTGTATTACATTTTGTTTTTCATCATCACAATAATTTTTCAAGATATATACATATATATATATAACAGAATATTGTATCTGTATTTATTATAGATGATAAAACAGAGGTGCTTTGTGAGTTTAAGTGACAGCCAGCAAACAATATTGCTTCGTTATGGTACCCAAGAGTTCTGGCTTCAGTGTGAAACGAAATATTCAATGTTTTCCACCGCCACTCAGGATGATTCTAATTCAATTATGACTGAATCAGATGGATGTATTGACATTTCAGAAGTGCAGATTATTCAGTGAAACCATGTACATGTACATGTTTGTTTTCTCCTCAAATCTTGCTCTCCTTCCTCATTCTTTCAACCAACACCTAACACCTCCCTGAAAACACACAATACACACAAACACAACTAATGCCTTGAGAGCTGAGGCCATAGCTGACACATATTTCAACACCAGAGTCTAACACAGAATCTAGCACTAAAAGTCACTCCCAGAATGTTTACTATAAATAAATTAGTGATGAGAGACTGCAGCTTAAATCCATGACCATCAACTCTGCTGCCACCCTTCCAAGCAAGAGTTAGGGCCCTCACTGAAGCTATGTAGTTGTCATTTATGCAGAAGCTTTGTAAAGAAAACCAGAGCTTGGATAGTGGGTAGCAGCAATCTCTTCTCAACTTCCCCTATGAAGAGAAAAACTCATTGCAGTCTATAGCTACCAAACGCAGAGGTCACAGGATTTCTGTGACAAGAACTCCCACTGCTATGGTCTTCCACAAATAATGCTAACAGAAACAGAGAGGAAAAACAATTATCAAACAGAATCAAATAAATGTCTGACTGCATGCTCTCTTTCAAGATTTTGCATCTGAGGATATCAGAAAGGAAAGCAATTCAGAGGTAATCACATGCCTAATGTGCAAATCAATAACATGCTGGTCTAATGCTCGATTTCATGAGATTGCTGTTATATAAATGTAGGGAAAAGCAAATAATCAGGAGCCAAAATTGTCTTTATCAGGGAAAGTTCATAATTAGTTTGCATTTTCACAAAATTCCAAATAGTACTGATTAAGCCAATATGTATTCCAAGCAGCAACAGCTACAATAGTCAGCCTGTGTGGGGAGAAGCATAAATCTAATGAACTCAAATTTAATATCCCTAATTGTACCAATGTAAGTAACAGTCAATGACTGAGCATGAAGCCCTTTCCCTAGACAATCTCTAAAATAGCTTTTAACTGAATTTTGTGAACAGTATGTAGAGAAAATCTAAGGAAAAAAACACAGTGAAGGCAAGAATTCCCAAAATGCAAATCAGAAAACATTAAAATAATATTATGAAAGTTTGGTTTTCACAATTAGGGTATTGTTCAAGTTCAATTCACATTCTCATTGTTGTATTTTTCTTTTAATTTTTCAACTTCTAGACATATTTATGCAATTATTTGTAAATCTGTCTAAATTCTAGAAAAAAATTTGCCCATTTGAATGTCATAGAAACAGAAATATAAAAACAATTTTAAGATATAAATATTCTTGAGGATTTATAACCAAATATTTTTATTCCTTAGTCAACTAAAAATATTCCCTTATATCTGTGCCCCAATTAAAATAAAATTGAATGAAATGAATATTTTAAGATACTGGTTTTCAGCATTTTCTTACTTTTTTGTAAATGGTACAAAACTAAGTAACTAGTTCTCCTTTGCATAAAGAACTGCTCACCACTCTCCAAGAACAGCTGTTTAATTCTGACAAATAAGAAAATAATACAGATACACCTTTCACTCCTCCAGAACAAAGCGAAGAGAAAGAGATCAGATTGACAGAGAGTGGGAAGAGAGATGATTTGTTCTTGAAGACAGACATGAAAGGTCAAGATATGAATTTTAGATAGACAGGGTAAGAACTTGACAAGCGAAAAGAGAATCAACTTTGTGATCTGTTATATACTTGCAATGTCAGAAAAAATAAGATATTATGCTTCAACTTCAAAGTGTCAAGTGTAATACTGTAGTTGATGCAAGGGATGTAGGTTTTAGGAAGAACAAAAAGACCGTGAGCCAGACTTGAGTGCCCTTCTGCCAGGTGTTTTTTTGTCATCTTAATCAAACTAAGGCTCCTGTATATTTGGGATTCATTGCTAGAAGTTTAATCTGCCCTGTTGTTGCCTTTCATCTGCTTCTTTGTCGCCTGAGAAGTAGATTGATTTATCGATTTTGATTTTTAAGTTCAAGAAGGATATTTTAGTTCCAGGCAAAAGTACCTAATTTATAAGGTGCTGAAAATGTGTGAAGATGCCACCTTTCCAATGAGTTTCTAAAGAACTTAATTGGCCTACTAAAATAATAGGCTTGATTTTGAGGCCTGACTGGCAGTTTACAAAGTGCTGGCTGGCTCAGATCTGTCCCTTTCAAGCTTAATGAACAGTCTTTGTTCAACTTCCAAACATTCCATATGGTTAGTGCTTGATGGAACACAATATTTTCACCATGAATGAGAAGTTCAATACATTTACTCATAACTGCTAACTGAATAGCCTATATAGAGTCAAAATTTAGCCTATGTGTCTCTAACTATATATATATGTATATTATATGTATATTATATATATATGGAGAAGTTCTATGTTCATATATATATATATATTTGGAGAAGTTCTATGTTCACTAGGTACTGTACTCTGCGGAACTTATATAAAATGGGCTGCCAGAACATGCATGATTGATTTGGTTTTGTTGCTGATACCCAGAAAATCTTGATTTCCCTTGACTTTCTACTCAGCAAGCTAGTAAATAAATTTATTAGTGGCAATATCATAGCACTTTTCTCTGATGAGCTCTAAGTATTTTCCAAGCATCTCCTCATTAATCCTTACAATATTTCTATGAAGTTAACTAGCAGAGATATATCTATTTTAAGGTAGAGATCAAATTGTTTTATGGATAGGTGAGTTGTCCAGAATTGTATAGATTATTACTGAGGAAGAAGGAAGAAAATTAGGTTTCCCATATCTCAGATAACCATATAATTTATTCTGCAAACTAGGAAACTTGTGAAAGTGATAGGGACACTATTAATAATGATGCCAGGAGAACACTGACAAACTGAGAATACAACCATGCTACCTATATCCTACTGAATGGAATAGTAAGAGAATCACAATGCCTAGTTGAAAGTTGTAAGCCAAAGGATTTGTTTCATTATTTTGAGTTGCTGTAAAATAAAATTCTACTACAAATAGTTTGTTGCATTTACTTCCATTATTTTAATATGTAATTTTTCAAACATACTTGGAATTATAACTTAACATGTAATTTTGTATTCAGAATTTTTAATTTGACACTTCAAATTGTTTTGCTAATATACTAAGAATGCTTTATAAACATTTACAAATTACCACATTATGTTAACATATATGGATTTACCTTAATCAACATAACCATAGCCCAGTTATTATTTATAATTATTTAGATTTATGAATAGTGCTCCAATGAGATTTTTAGCATACATTTTTCATATAGCTTTAACAATCTCCTTAAGATATATATTTTTTGATTGCCTCCAGTTATATTTTTAATCTTTATTTACAATTTATTCTTATTTTTAGGCTTGAAGTTTACCTTTTGGGGGAATTTATTCTTTAATCTTGTTAGAACTTGTTTTGGTGACTGGTAGACGGGAACAATCATGAATGATGTCATTATTTGTCTTAGTCAGCTCGAACTGCCATCACAAAATACCACAGACTGAGTGGTTTAAACACAAATGTATTTTCTTACACATCTGGAGGCTGGAAAGTCCAAGATCAGGATCTGTGAAGGTTTGCTATCTGGTGAGCGTTCTCTTGCAGACAGTCAAGTTCTCTCACTCTGTCCTCACGTTGCAGGGAAAGAGAGCAAGCTCTCTGGTGTCTATGTTATAAGGGAACTAATTCCATCATGAGAACCCTGCCCTCATGACATCATCTAAACCTTGTTACTTCCCAAAGGCCCTGTACCCAAACATCATCACATAAATTCTGAATTTTGGGTTAAATTACATCTATCTCATTATAATACTATTCTATTAATATTATTTAATTGGTAATACATGTTGAAGTTTCTGGAGATTATTGTTTTTCTATTAACATGATAAATTATAGTAAACTATTTCCTAATGGTCATCCATTCTTGCTTACTAACGTGAACACTACTTGATTATGAAGTATGATTTTAATGTGATTGCAACTTTTAATTGTAAAGTACGGTTTTAGAATATTTGCATTAATATTTATTAGTGGAATAGGCCTGTATTTTATTGTGTGTAATGTATATGAGGGAGATGAAGGGAAAGTGATGGGAAGAGAACACATGTGTTCAGCTTTGGTCAAGTTTAGTATAAATACAATATTCATAAATATATTTGGAAGTATTTTTATTTTCTGTACATGGAAACATTTAAAGCTATAGATTTCTCCTCTCCCTCTCACTGTCACTCTCGCTCTTTTTGTGTGTGTGTGCCCGCGCATGTGTGTGCACTGCATGCATCATTTAGCCCTGCTGACTGATATACCTGGTTATTTATGATCAAAAGCCAGACATTGACCTAAGAGAAAAAGTCTTTAGATGGGATCTCCCTCCAAAGAAATTGTAGTTTTCTTCTGGCTTAGAGGTAGATCCTCTTGGTCCAATCAGGCTGAAATGCCTTGAGGCTAGATTTCAGTTTTTGTGGCAGCTGGTGCATTTCTAGTTTGCCTTTTCAGCTAGGGATTAGCTTTTTAGGGGTCTCAATGCCTAGGGAGATTTCTAGGTCCTCTGTTCCTTGTTGAACTCCAATTTTGTCTATCCTTTTGCTGAGAGGTCTGCTTAACTTCCTTTTAGTCGGGTAGCTCCATTTTATGCTAAGCTTCTTAGTTGCTCACCTTCTGCAACTAAAGAATCAGAAAATGCTGTGAAGGAAAAACAAAACGAAATTGCATTGTTTCTACCGGCCCTTTATCAAGCCCTGGCCACCATGATAGTCATGAATTCCAATTGTTGTCTATGCAGGCCTACCAGATTTCTAACATCTCTGAGCTACCATTTTCTTCTTAGCTATCTGCTCAGCAAATGCATCCAAATGAAAGGTTGTGGAGAATGTTGAAATCACTTCAATGTGTTTCTCTTCTTTCTGGGAGCTTAGACACTCAAGTTCTGGATGCTTTGATTGCTATCGGAAGCCCTTAAATAGCTACTTATTTTTAATTAATTTTATCCAGCTTTCATAATTGTTCTTGCCAGGTGGGATGGCCTGATACAAATTAACTTGTCATAGCTAGAATTAGAAGTGGAAAACTTTAAATAGCATTGAGTTATCAGTACTTTCATGTCTTGGTACATTTCTTCTTGAAAATGTTCATGCCTGCTGATTTGTCTGTTTATTGAGAGGAGAATGTTCAGAATTTTATATCTTCAACATCTTTTTCTGCATTAATAAGATACTGAGATTTTATAACTCTTGTAGTCATTTTGGTCACTTATATCTTCATATGGAAAAAGTCATATAATCCAGGGTTTCCAATATATTTGTGTAAAATTAAGAAAATGATCTTATCTAATTACTTGATCAATATCTGTGATTATATTTTGTTGCCTTCCAATTTTAATATTTGTTCTCTATTCCTTCTTTATCTGGATTGAGGTTCTGATTAATTATTTTAATGTTGTGAATTGTTTTCACTTTTTCCATAAAGTGAGTTCTTGAGTTTATTTCTTTACTGCATCATTCTATTTTCAAGTCATGAACTTCTGCTTCAATTAAAAAAAAAACCTCACCATTTCTATGAAATTGTTTTGTTCATATTTTATTTTATTTACTGTATAATTCAGTATGGAATATATAATATTATAAAATATGTAATAATAATAGGATAAAAAATAAGATATAAAAAGTAAGGGGTGTCAGTTTAGAAAATTATACTTGCTGATACGGTGAAGTAACTCTGACCAAACTAACCTTCCAGCAATAAAAACAAAATTGGAAAACTGGATAAAATATACATGGTAACGTATGTTAGGTCAGCTTTGTCTGTCTTCAAACAACTATAAATATTGTTCTACCCTTGTTATTTATTCTTTTTCATTTTGTTTTGCTCAATTTTTTTCTTATACACCATTTATTTGAGTAAGTTTTGAAAATATCTGTTCTTCATTTTTGCTGTTTCTAGTGTGGTATATATTTCTCAGATAAAATATATTTATTTTCTCTTTTATCTTTTACTAAACTCACACTACATATATTTCATTTATCTTATATCTGCTTTAAAACCTATTTATGTCTTTTTAGGTCACTTACATCAGAGGAGTTGTATTGGTGAGGGTAGGGGAGTTTGATTTAATGAAACTGCATTAAAAATTTGTATTCACTTTGTGACTCAATGATAGTCAATGTGGCATGTAATTTTTTTCTGTCTTTTAATGTTATATTGTCTTTGTTGCTTTTCTCTAACATCAAATATATGTTACACAGGCACAGTGCTGGTATCTTTTCTTTTATTATCTTTGAATGGGACTCATTATTGTCTGAGCTATTTATTAAAATGGTGAAGGAAAAGATCAGTAAAGTAAATTATGTCAATAGGCAGTATCAATTTAGATCTGTTTTCCAAGAATATTTTCTTAGCAACTGTGGTGTTATGATATATATTGGTTTTCATCCACAGTTCCTGGCTTATAACTCCCCTAGCCCTTGTACAGTCTTTTGTTATAATATTGGGTGTGTTAGGCCTTAGGATCAGGCCTCTCACCTTCCCATGGCCTTTTTTCATTTTTATGTTCCTGCCTTTCTGGTTGTGGGTCTTAAGACCATCTCAGGAGAGAGTCCCACCCTATACCCTGGAGGGAGGAATGCTGATATCATGAAACTTCCATGAAAATCCAGGAGGACAGTGTTCAGTGAGCTTCTGGATAGCTGAACACATGGATGTTCCTGGATGGTGGCCCTCCCAGGGATGGCATGGAAGCTCTGCTCCCTTCCTCCATGCATTGCTCTAAGTGTCTCTTCGTCTATATCCTTTGCAATATCCTTTATAATACACTCAGTGTTTCCCTGAGTTCTGTGAGCCACTCCAACAAATTAATCAAACCCAAAGAGGGGGTCATGAGAACCCAACTTGAAGCCAGTAGGTCAGAAGTTCAGAGGCCTGGACTTGTGGCTGGTAGGTTGAGGGTGGGCAGTCTTGGGGACTGACCTGTGAGATGTGACACTACCTCCAGGTAGACAGTGTAGTGTCCGAACTGAATTAGAGGCCACTCAGCTGGTGTCTGCTCCTTGGTGTATGTATGGAGGAAAAAACCTGCACATTTGGTCACAGAAGTCTTCTGTGTTGCTGATTGATCTTTGTGGTGTGAGACTAGAGGAAAAACACAGAGAGTTTTCTCTACACAGCAACTATATAATCTGTGGGAACATCTCTTTTTACACCTAGCCCTACATCTGTCTGGCTACAGTCATTTATCTGGCCTTGGGAAATGTGACCACAGAATCAGATATACACATGAGATTAAATAATACACGTGTATGTCATTTAAATATCCAGAAAAATTATGACTTCACCAGGTATGAAGAATATAAAAAGAACTCTGTCAAGAGTCATACAGTAAATAGATTTTTGAATTTAATCTAGTACCTAAACAATCAGAGTAGGGAGGTTAGATATTAAAATCAGGCTAAAGAAATAGGCAACATGGATCTAGAAAACATGGATTGCATGGCCATCTCGCTTAGAGTTCATGGGCTTGGAATCTCTATTAACATAACTTTTACAACTTTAGAATTTGTTCTCATATTAATGAGGGAAAAACAAACAATTACCCTGAGTATCTGAAGCTCCAGATCTCATTTTCCAGTCAAAATCTCTGATAGGTAAACAACCTGAAAAAGTAGCCACAACTCACTGAGGTGATAACCCCATTTGCTTAAGAGAATGTAATTGTTTTTATGATTTTTTTATCCCAGGGAAACATTGAAAAAAATTTAGAGATGATGAAATATATGAAAACTATAATATTTATACTTTAGAGATGTGATATTTATTCATAATTGTATTAGTATTTAAATATAGATTAGCATTTTACATTCCAATTTTAAATGTGTAACAGAATAATTTAGATATTGTTTTTTTTGAGTTGAAATTATAAGCGGTTTTACCGCGTTGCCAGTAGTGGTTTAACATTTAAGATAATTTAAGAGTCAGGATTTTGTGAGTTTAATTTATTAGCTCTATAAGGGTTGTTTAAGTACTCTGGAAGGTTTTATTTGTTAGTCCTATAATTAAAATGTTCACAAAGATAATTGAACCTATTAAATTTATAAATGTAGTTTAAAATCTTTAAGGGAGTTTAATTAACTAAGTTGTAAATGGAAGCAAACATTAATCAAAGTCCCCCTTAAAAATAATTTTTATTGTACTAGATTTATAAATAGAACAATAAGATTTCTAATTTGAACTCAAAAATTTTAAAAATTGGTTAAATATTTAACATAAGATGCTGCACATTAATTCAAAATATGAAACCTTGTAAATAGTTCTTTTTACATCCAAGAATCACATTGATGCCCACTGGTAACCACTATGAAACTCTTTAAGCGATAGGTCCTGTATGAATTTTACTCCTCATGATTTGAAGATTATGCATAAATTCCTTCTTCTTGTTATTTTGTTTCCAATTTAGTCTTTACATAGACAATTCAATTTTGTCTTTACATAGACAAAACTCCTATAACAGAAAAACTTAAAACAAAGAGGGTGCGTTCCTTCGCTTGCTTTCTGAGGACGCCCTACTCCAAAAGGCAGTAGCTTTCAATAAACTATCTCTTCTTCTCATTGTACTCTGTGACTCACCTTGAATTCTTTCCTGTGTGAGGCCAAAGAACCCTCTCTTGAAGTCTGGATTGGGACCCCTTTTTCCAGTAACACTAGTACTGTTATAATTAGGTAAATGTTACTCATACCTGAAACATGGAGCTTAAATGATTGAATTTCATTTCTACACAACATTTTTTTCCCTTAAACTGACAATTTTTTAAAATTTTTGTTTTGTTTGGTTTTCTATGTACATATCAAAGTACCAACTGCAAACTCTACCCCAGTTTTCTAATGAGTCTCATAATGCATTCAGAAGCATTAAACATTTTATCAGATTTATCTTTTTGAATTTTTTTTCTAGATACCTCTAATTTACACAGGTTGCTGTGTACACATACCGTACATCTAACAACCAGGAGATTCCCTGTACTTTATACCTACTCTTTCCTCATTTACTTCCTCATTTTAGTGAAACTCTTCTCCAGTAAATTCCTGAGATAGGATGTATTGGATGTAGAGTTTTAGAATCTTGCCATGCTGTAAATGCTTATTATTGTTTCCTCCTATCTGATTTATAGTTTGGTTGGGCATACTATTCTGCATTAGAAATAATTTTTTTTGCAATTTATAAGGCTTTGCTTGTCTTCTAGTGACCATTTTTATTTCTCTTCTCTGGAAATTTGAAGTTTCTTCCTTTTTTTCTTTTTTTCCAGGGTGTGCTGATTTTTGTGTGTGTGTGTGTGTGTGTGTGTGTGTGTGTGTGTGTGTGTTGATCTAGGTCTATTTTCACCACTGGCTTGAATTCTGTTGGACACATTCAATCTAAAATTCATACACTTTAACTCTTACCCATTTCAAAAATTATTTATATATGTCATACTTCATTGTAATTTTTTCTTTTCCCAAATGCCTGTATTTTGTTGCTGGCCCTATAGGACCAATTATTTAATTCATTAAACTGCCCCTTCCTCATTCCCAACTCGTTTACACTAACTTTTCCAGGGGATGCCGTCAGCTTTACCTTCCAAATCTCCCACTAAGTTATACATTTCTGCAATAAATTTCTTAATTTTTAAGAATTCTATTTTTTGAATATCCATTTTTTTATCACACCTTGTTCTTGTTGTATTACCTTATCTTCCCTCTCTGAGGAAATTAATAATTACATTTTTCCCACACTGTATAGACTCTGTTTACTTCCAGTTGTTTGGTTTATTTTTTGTTTCTGTGTTTGTTATTGGATGTACCTAGAATCTTGTGATTGTTGGTTACCTGTTTGTGTTCAAGAGCAATACAATAAACGTTTACGGTAAGCTTCAGGTTCTTAGGTAATAATTCTCAACTGTGGCTTCCAGACAGGGCAATCAGGTCAAGAAGTTTTCCCAGAAAAGCCCCTCATGGCATATCCATTCGTCTATTCCTTTGGGCTGATCATGATCTTCCAACTAGAGTCTTCCAGTCTTCTCTGAGGATATAAGACTAATAGACTGTTATGTTTTGAATCTAGATAGAGGTGAAAATTGGGGAGATTTAGCTTTCAGTAGTTACTGTTCATTTTGGCCCCCTAATTTATGTATGACCAATGAAGATGATATTGCCAGTACTAAGATTCCCTGGTACCTCTCTAGACGGCAAATTTCTACTTTTCCACCAGCAGAACCTAGAGGCATTCACGAGGCTTGATGGAGTGGGCATTGGGAACAGTCTTCCAACCAGTCTTCCTGGGTTTTAGCCCTACCTTTACTTCTACTTTCAGAGGTATCCCATGCAACCAATTTATGAACATTTTGCAGAATCAGATTTCCCCGCTGCTTACAATTTTGTACTTTTTGGTAAGCTAAGTCAGTTACCAGCCATTCATGGACTTCCTATTTTCAAAAATGTTGCTGTTTTCCTTTTATATCACTTCAATAAGCCATTTGCCATCATGTTATAGTTTCAGGTGGGAAAATAAGTCTCTGTATGTGTTTCACTTGCCATATTTGCTCAGGTGTCTGCATCTACTCTCACCGCATTTTGAAGAGAGGTTAAATTGTTATGTCACTAACAACTAGTCTTCAAAGTTTGGTTTAGAATTTTTAATGGTGTTTACTTTTAACAAAATTAGTGGAGTTTTTTTCTTTGTACATTGATTTTTCTTTTGGTTTTCAGTTGTTTTAAGAAATAAACGGAGGGAGAGATATGCTTCCTTTGCTCCCATTAACCAAAAGAATAGTTTGAACAACACAGGAATTAACTTTTCCATTAAGTTTAAGAGGACCTGCTTGAGACACAGCTGGGCCTTGAGCTTTTAAAGGTCCTATAACTTTATACCTGTTTCATTTTTTTCTATTGTTGGTATCTTCAAATGTTCTGATTTCCCTAGATTTATTTTTATAGTTTAATTTTCCGTAAAAAATTAACCTCTTCATATATATTTTCAAATATAATGACCAAAAGGTACATACTGCATTCTTTAGAAACTTTTCAATTATCCAGTTTTCCATTTTTCTTGTTGTATTTTAATATGCTCTCACTTTTTTGTCATCTAATTTATTTGTCTTTTCAAAGAAACAATTTTTTGGATTTATTGAAAAATTCCATTGCTGTTGGGATGGGAGAAGATTAAATCCTTTAAATAATAGGCCAGGCATGGTGGCTCACACCTGTAACCCCAGCACTTTGGGAGGCTGAGGTGGGCGGATCACTTGAGGCCAGGGGTTCAAGGCCAGCCTGGCCGATATGGGGAAACCCCTTCTCTACTAAAAATACAAAAACACAATAATTAGCCAGGCATGGTGGTACGTGCCTGTAGTCTCAGCTACTTGGGAAACTGAGGCACAAGAAATCACTCAAACCCGGGAGGCAGAGGTTGTAGTGAGCCAAGATTGTGCCACTGCACTCCAGCCTGGGTGACAGAGCAAGACTCTGTCTCAAAAAAAAAAAAAATCTTTAAATAATAGTACATTGTTTTGCAGATTATAAGATCAATAGATATTTATTGTAAAATGCACAAATAGTGCAACCTTTCTTAAAGTACACAGTGAAATACTTCATGTTGCCATGTTTCTCCAAGAGGTACTATTGGGCCTTCATACTAAACAATTCTTCCTTATATAGGACTGTTTGTCTCAATGCACTGTTTAACCCAATGCTTGCTGCATGTGATCTCTACCCTCTAGTTGGTAAATGCTTGTCATGTCCCCATCATTGATACAACCAAAAATAACCTACATTTCCAAAATTACTCCAGAGGAATGGTCCTGAGAAAGAGTCGAAAGTTCTCAACTCCTCAGATTAGATCTCTATTAAATAATTGAACAAGTGTGCTAATATTTGTAAAGCTGTTCATTATACAAGTTTATAAAAAAATGCAAAGATGGTAATGTCTTAAATTTTCAATAGATATGTTTTATAAAAATAATGGTAAAAATTAACATTTTACCATCATTTTAAATGATGGCAACATGTCCAATGTATTTTTGTATGAAATATCAGGTAACTACAAATCATAATTAGCATAATCCAATTTTTTAAAAAGGTACACATATGCCTTTTATGAGTGAAAGTATTTGAGTTCTAATTAAATTTTTGTTGGTGGATTTCTAAGGAATAGAAGAAATGGTGAGGCAAGTGGGATTGTAGAGAGAGGGAGATTTTAATTTACATTTAATTCACTCCTGGAGTGTTTGAGTTTTTGTAATAAAACATTATAAAATGTTATATCATTTACAGTATGATCACTTATAAACTTTCATTTCAATTAAAAGGAAAATTTTAAAAAGAGGACTACCAAATTACTACTGCAGCCATCATAGTTTCATAAATGACTTTTTCCTTCCTTCATGTTGTGTTAATGGGTGCCTACTAGGTCAAGACCCAGATTTGACACTGTGTACAGTCAGGATATAAGTATCAAAACAGAAGATTTCCTATCTGGGTACCCTAGCTTCCCGTTTCCTGAGCAAGCTGGGAAGCCATAGGGTCCAACTCTGTCTATATGTACTAATGAAACAGAGATACTTTTGTCAAAGAATATTCTTCTTGATGGTAAAAATATTAGCTAACATTTGTTAGCTGACAAAAATGAAGTATATTAAATATGCTAAGGGAAACTGTGGTTCAAGTGATAGAGATTTTTAATTCTTTTTGAGATCATGTAATTATACCCATGATACAAGGTAAGTTTGATTCAGAATAATTTCTGCCAAAATAAAGGATGCTGTTGATGGCCTGCTCATCCCCTGCCTATTGACTGTTATTCTCAAACTAAAACAAAATTAATTTTTAAATAACAGGATAAGAAATATGAATAAGCTCTGCCTTTTGTGGGACAGGTTGAAAGTACTGAAGAAATTCAGAAAGGACATAGTCAGGAATAGATAAGAAAAGAAAAATATATATTATTTTGGCCATTGATATGGTTTGGCTCTGCGTGCCCACCCAAATCTCATCTCGAATTGTAATCCCCACATGTAAAGGAAGGAACCTGGTGGGAGGTGATTGGATCATGGGAGCAGCTTCCCCCATGCTGTTCTCATAATAATGAGTAAGTTCTTCCTCCTTCATGTGCTTACTTTCTCCCTTGCCGTCGCCATATAAGACATGTCTGCTTCCCCTCCCACCATCATTGTAAGTTTCCTGAGGCCTCTCCAGCATGCAGAACTGTGAGTCAATTAAACCTTTTTCCTTTATAAATTACCCAGTCTCAGGAAAGTCTTTTATGGTAGTGTGAAAACAGACTAATACAGCCATGAAAAATGAATAATGGTTAAATAGCAGGAAGAAGAAAGAACATTCTTGTCCTAGAGAGTACAAAAGGAAAGCCATGGGGTTGGACCAAAGAAGAATACAAAGGAAGAGGAGAGAAGAGTTACTCATTGTGCTCAGGAGCTGAATTGGGAAATTTTTTACAAAACCAAGAAATACCAAACTTAGTGAACTATTGTGGTACCAGTGAATAAAGAAATATTAAAGTGATGAAAAATAATTTAAGTAAATATAATGAGAAGAAAAGAATATCTGTATATTTTTCATCAAAGGATGTAATGATTAAAGTTACATTATAAATCATTCTATCTATGGAATTATGGATTGAAAAGAATAAAAGTCAGACAAACTATAAACTTCTCTCATTCTTTATTTTGGAACTTAAAGAACTTGTGTATCTAAGTTAATCAGATATTTTTATGTTATTTTTACAAAAGTACCTATGCATTAATTTAGAAAGATTTTTATTGCTTGTTTTCTATAAAAATAAAGTGTAAGATTTTACTACTTCAGATAACATTTGTTATAAGTCAATCTATGTCTTCCAAGAAAATCTCTTGGTCAGGGCTCACACTTCACCATGTTTCAGGTTTGATTTCTTTTCAGAGAGGTAAGATTTGTTACTGTGTCCCCTTAAATTGAAATAGATGTAATTAATGTGGCTATAGTGAGAGTCATCTTCAATATGGTAATTGTGTTCTGAAACATTCATCTTAAAATGAAATATTTTCTCCTCTAACTGGAATCTTTCATTTACAATTAACTTAAACTTTTAGTCTTTACACTGGAGACTCTTCTTTAAAGAAGATGTGACTATTATGTTCTCATAGAAGCTAGACTCTTGGAGAAGACAGAAACTGCAATGGCAAGAAGATTAATATGGGTCCTAGAGTCTAGAAAGTTGTCTAGAGACTATTTTAAATGGTTACTGCAAGAAAGCTCAAAAAGAGAATAATCATTCAGAGTAGGAAGAGATAGAAACTCTTAAACAAAATAACAATACCATGTATAGTCAGAGGAAGAGATTTTGCCCGTATTATTCTGGGGAAAGAAAGAAAATATTTTTGTATAACATCATAGAAATGTAAATGGAGATGTTTTAACTTCTCCGATGGGTAGTTTTAGAAAAATTTTAATAATTGAAAAGTTTTTTTTTTTTTTGAGATGGAGTCTTGCTCTGTTGCCCAGGCTAGAGTGCAGTGGCACCATCTCGGCTCACTGCAAGCCACCTCCCGGGTTCATGCCATTCTCCTGCCTCAGCCTCCCGAGTAGCGGGACTACAGGTGTCCGCCACCATGTCCGGCTAATTTTTTTTTTTGTATTTTTATTAGAAACGGGGTTTCACTGTGCTAGCCAGGATGGTCTCAATCTTCTGACCTCGTGATCCGCCTGCCTCGGCCTCCCAAAGTGCTGGGATTACAGGCGCGAGCCACCGTGCCCAGCCAAGATTATTGTTTTAAAGTGTGAAAATTAATATTGAATTATTGTGTTTATATAATCTGGTGTCCTATAATTTCTGTTTGGAATATAAAATCAGCAACTAATATGTATTTTTCAATACATTATAAATAAAGAGTGCTAAGTAAGTGACTTCAGTGTGAAATGTAGTCATATAAAGAATATAATAATTCTACTGGATTCTTTTTAAATGGACTGTATAACATTATATTAAAAGGTTTCCCCAGTAATTCATTATATCAAAATGGTCCAGGCCAGGTGTGGTGGCCTACGCCTGTAATTCCAGCACTTTGGGAGGCCAAGGGCACGGATCACTTGTGGTCAGGAGTTCGAGACCAGCCTGGCCAACATGGTGAAACCCCGTCTCTAATAAAAATACAAAAAATTAGCTGGGTGTGGTGGTGGGCAACTGTAATCTCAGCTAATCAGGAGGCTGAGGCAGGAGAATTGCTTGAACTTGGAAGGCAGAGGTTGCAGTGTGCCAAGATCATGCCACCCCACTCCGGCCTGGCCTGGGTGATAGAGCAAGACTCAGTCTCGAGGAAAAAAAAAAGCTTGAAAAATGTTTGCTTATTTTGGTAAAATTATTCATTGACTATGCTCAGAAATCAAGCAAACTGTCCATATTTCATTTTTAGAAATTACATATTAAAGATCTAAAACAAAGGATAAAATATATGCAAAAATATTTGTATTTCTGTATAAATTAGTTTCCTGAGTTAACTCCTTGACTGTTGACATCGAATCTATTTTAAATTAAACAAGGTGCTGATAAAACAAAAGACAAAGAAAGAAATTCAAAATAAAATTGAAAGATGAAATCAGAGCTTATCTGAGATAAAATTTCCTCTGACAGTGTAAAAGAGATCTTCATACAAAAAGCAGAATTTATATAGTCTCTTTCCAAAAGACCACAAAACCAATCAGTTAATAGTTGATTTTTATGTGAAAAAAAGAGAGTATAAAAGAAAAAATAATGACACCAAAATCCCTTTTAAATTCAAAGAGTCATAAAGTTTCAAAAATGTAATTTAGATAAGAAATTAATGTCAGCTACATTCCTCCACAGTAAAGGTCTGCATCAACTTTTCACCTAATAGTTTTAGCATTCATTATAAATCTTGCTTCAACCATTATATTACTAGGTGTTATAACAGAGTACTACATTCTTTCATTTTTTTCTTCATTTATTAGCTGGAATAATTTTTAAAAGAACATTTCCTCCTAAATATGTATTGATTACACCAAAACACAGTTTGGATGGGAAAAGCAAGATAAATAGACAAATGCTTGATTTTTATTCCCTTCCCTACTTTTCACAGTAATGAATTAGTGCTTCAACAAACTTTAATAGTGATTAAAAACTTATTTCCCATAATACAAATTTTAAATATTTGTAAGTAAATAATAAATAATAATTTACCCAGTATTTCATGAGTACCTATAATCAGCCAGGATCCATTCTCCAACAATGTGGGGAAAGGAGCCCAGCTTAAAATTCCTGTCAGGACACCAGCAAGATGATGAAATAGAAAGCCTCAAAGCCCCTCCACCGTCCTCTCCAAGGAGACACCAGCTCGACAATAATACACAGATAAATCCCCTTTGTGAAAAGTACAGAAACGAATTTAAAGACTCTGGATTCCCTGGTAGGCTTCAAGCCAGGCACATCTAAACCGGCAGGTAAATTTGTGGCACTCACTCATCCTCCCTCAACAGTACAACACAATAGAGAGAAAGCTCCAAACTCCCAGCTTATCTCTAGGGAGAGAAAGAAATGTCTAGACGATATGTCGAACATTTTGACTTTTTGGGACAGCAGGGCTGCCCAAGGAACTAGCACCTATCTACCCTGAATCTAAGTGCTAACAGGAAAGGATGCCAGATTGCATGGCTGCTGATAAAGCCACAGTTTGGACTGTCACTCAATCACCATCATTCCTCCTGTGACTCAGTATAACGAGATTGGGAGAATACTCTACAGTTCCTGATTCCCCCAAAGGAGTGAAAGAGAATACTGAAACACACATTCAGTGTTCAGACTTCAGAGGAGTTGCCAAGTGATTGTTTTCTGTCTTGCCTGAATTTAAGTGCTAACAGGAAAGCTTTCCAGGTTGGGGATATTAAGAACAAATGAGTTGAGGCAGTTTGGGTTAGCATACATTGACTTATCATACTCTCCTTCCCTGGATCAATATGCAATGAGTGGGAGAAAACCCTCAACTCCTGGCTTCTCCTTGGAGAAGGAAAAAGCTGGAGTGTGCATTCAGAATTCCAACTTTTCCCAGTCAGCCTGAGGGACTGTTTTCTGTCTGACCTGATACTCTTGATGTCTGAGAACTGCTGAGAACAAAAGAGAGCTAGGGGGTTACAGCAACTCCAGAGAACCTACAGTACTACAGATAGATAACAAAGAGGGCAAGAGATTACAAGCTCCTGAAGAAAGACCTGCAAATTTTTCTAAGAATTTACACACAATTCCAGAGACAATACATTCACAGAATAGATTTGACACACCTCAGAATCTCTAACTGGGCTGACAGGTGAAAGAATTTCCCAGTGCAAAACCAGTCTGTAAAGACAGGGAGAAGTGGTTATTTTTTTCAAATCCTAGAATCACAACACAAAATTAAAAGGCACACAAGGAAACAGGGAAACATGGCCCAATAAAAGGAACAAAATAAGTTTCCAAATATCAACCCTTCAAAAATGGAGGTATATAAATTAACTGGCAAAGTGACATACCCTGACACATTCTCCAGGATAGATCACATGTTAGGTCATAAAACAAGTCTTAACAAATTTAAGACAATGGAAATCAAGAATCTGTTTTGACCAAAAATAGGATGAAGCAAAAATTCAATAGTAGAAGTAAAACTGAAACATTTACAAACATATGGAAATTAAACAACATACTATTGAACAACCAATGAATCAAAGACAAAATCAAAAAGAATGTTACAAAACAAGCTGACAAAAAAAAAAAAACCCACACACAACATAGCAAAACTTAGAAATGCAGCAAAGGCAGTACTAAAGAGGGAAATTTATAGCAATAAATGCCTACCTTAAAAAAGAAGAAAGATCTCAAATAAACAACCTAACTTTACAACTCAAGGAACTGAAAAAAGTAGAACTAAGCCCAAACCCAGCAAAAGGAAGGAAATAATAAAGATTAATGCAAATAAAGGATATTTTCACACACATATTTTCATTATAACCAGAAAGTGGAACCAATGCAAGTGAATAGATAAAAAAAAACTGTGGTATTACTATACAATGGAATATGGCAATTAAAAAGAGAAAAGACTCAACCAAATAAAATTAAAAATGAAAAAGTAGACATTGCAATTGATGCCACAGAAATAAAAAAGAGTATAAGAGACTGCTGCGAATGATTATGGTAGTAATTGGATAACCTAGAAAAACATCAAATTACTGGAAATATACAACTTACAACACTGAATCAAGAAGAAATACAAAATATGAACAAATCTATAGCTCGTAAGGTGTTTAAATGAGTAATCAAAAATCTTTCAGCAAAGAAAATATCAGGTGCAGATGACTTTACTGGAGAATTCTGCCAACATTTAAGGAAGAATTAATGCCAATATTTCTCAAACATTCATAAAAAATTAAAGAAGAAAGAACAATTCTAAACTCTTTTTGTGAAGCTAGCATAACCCTAATAGCAAAACCAGACAATGGCACTACAAGAAAAAAAATTAAATATTCCTAATGAATGTAGATGCAAAATCCTCAACAAATATCAGCAAATTGAATTCAACAGCACTTTAAAGTATCATCCACCATAATTATGATGGATTTATTCCTGGAATGCAAGAAGGGTTCAACATGTGAAAATCAATATAATATGCCACATTAACAAAACAATTAAAATCATATGTTCATCTCCGTAGATGGAGAAAGAGCATTTGATGAAATTCAACATTCTTTCCTTAGAAAAACACTTGAAAAAATAGGAATAGAAGGAAATTATTCCTACAGAATAAAGGCCACATGTAAAAACCCACAGCTCACATCACATTAATGAAGAAAAACTGAAATCTCTTTTTCTAAGATCAGGATCAGGAACAAGGTAAGGATGCCTTTATGAAGTACATAAAGTCCTAGCTAAAATAATTAAGCAAGAAAAAGATATAAAAGGCATCCAAATTGGAAAGGAAGAAGTAAAATTTTTTCTATTCACAGAAAACATCATCTTATATATAAAAAGACCCTAAAGATTCAACAAAAAGTTCTTAGAACTAATAAAATGAATTCAACAAAGTTGCAGGGTTCAAAGCAAAGATTCAAAAAAACACAAACAGCGAACATTCTGAAAAGGAAATTAAGAAAGCAATCCATTTGCTTGTAATGGCATCAAAATGAATAAAATAATTAGGAATATACTTAGCCGGTGGGGGGCAGGGAGCATGGGAGACTTGTACACTGAATACTGCAAAACATTGCTGAAAGAAATTAAGGAAGACATAAGTAAATGGAAACACATCTCATTTTAATGAATTGAAAGAATATTTTTGAATTCTAATACTAGCCAAAGCAATTTACAGATTTGATGTAATCCCATAAAAATTCCAATGATAATTTTAGAGAAATAGAAAGGACAATTCTAAAATCCATATGGAAACACAACGGACCCTGAATATCCAAAACAATCCTAAGAAAGAAAAACAAAGTTAGAGGCCTCACATTTTCTGACTGCAATGTACTACAAAGCTACAGCAATCCCAATAGTGTCATATGAACATAAAATTGGTCATATAGATGAATGGAACAGAATAGATTTGTGGAACAGAATAGAAAGTCCATTGGGAGGCCAAGGTGGGTGGATCACCTAAGGTCAGGAGTTCAAGACCAGCCTGGCTAATATGGTGAAACCCCGTCTCTGTGAAAAAATACAAAAATTAGCTGGGCGTGGTTGTGGACAGCTGTAATCCCAGCTACTCGGGGGGCTGAGGTAGGAGAATCACTTGAACCCAGAAGGAAGAGGTTGCAGTGAGCCAAGATCACACCACTGCACTCCCACCTGGGTGAAGAACAAGACTGCATCTCAAAAAAAAAAAAAAAAAAGAAAGCCCAGAAATAAACCCACATGCAAACAGTCAAATGATCTTTGATGAGGGTGCCAAAACTATACAATGGAGAAAGGATAATTTCTTCAACAAATATTGTTGGGAAAACTGGATTTCCATATGCAAAAGAATGAAAGTGAACCCTTATCTTACACTGTTCACAAGTGTTAACTCCAAATGGATTGAAGACTTAAATGTAAGACCTAAAGCTGTAAAACTCCTACAAGAAAACATAAAGAAAGGCTTTATCACATTGGTTGTGGCAATAATTCCTTGGATTTGACACCAAAAGCACAGGCAACCAAAGCAAAAATAGGTTAGAGTGATTACATCAAGATAAAATGCTTCTGTGCAAAAAAGGAAACAACAGAGTGAACAGGCAGCCTACAGAATTGGAGAAAATATTTGAAAACCATACATGTGCTAAGAGCTTAATATCCAAAATATATAAGAAACACCTATAATTCAAAAGCAAATAAACAAATAACCCAATTTTAAAATGGCCAAGTTCTTAAATAGATATTTTTCAGGAAGACATGCAAATGACCAACAGGGATATGAAAAGATACTCAACATCATTAATTATCAGGGAAATGCTAATTAAAATCACAATAGGATTTATCACCTCATAACTGTATGACCATTTTTAAAAAAAGAAAATAGCAAGTACTGATGAAGTTGTGGGAAATTGAATTGGAACCCTATGTACTGTCAGTAGGAATGTAAAATGATAGAGCCATTATGGAAAACAGTATGGAGGGTCCTCAAAACATTAAAAAATAGACCTACCATAGGATGCAGCAATCCCACTTGTGGGCATTTTTCCAAAATAATTGAAAACAAGACCTTGAAGTGATATTTGCATTCCCATGTTCATTGCAGAATTATTCACAATAGCCAAAAAGTAGAAACAATCTAAATGTCCATCATCAAATGAACAGATAAAGAAAATATGGTATATATGTATATACACAATGGAATATTATTCAGCCTTCAAAAGGGAAATTCTGTCATATTTCAACATATATCAATCTTAAGGATATTGTGCTAAGTGAAATAAGCCAGACACAAAGACAAATATCTCGTGATTCCATTTATATGAGGTATTGAAAGTAGCCAAACACATGGAAACAGAAGATAAAATGGTAGTTGTCAGGGCCTGGAGAAAACAGGAACCCTGGAGTTGCTGTTCACCAGGTATGGAGTTTCAGTCAAGCAAGATAAAAACATTCTAGATTTCTGCTGTACAACAGTATGTATATCATTAACAAAATGTTCTGCAAACTTAAAATTTTATTAAGATGGTAGATTTTTTGTTATGTGTTTTTTAATTACAAAAATTTCTGTCTGTATTTAGTTTACATTTTAGTAAGGAAAGACAAATAAGCTGATAAATGATAATGATAAATGCTGTAAGGATATGTAGAGCAATAAAAGAAGTTATGGATATGTGAGTATAATTTTAGATAGTGAAGATTTCTATATTAAAATGCCACATGGAAAAAGGACTAAGGGGAATGAGGAGATGAGTCATATGGAATGCCCAAGACACAGAACAAGGCAGGCAGAGAACGTAACAAGGATAAAGACACTGAAATGAAATCATGCTTGCTATATTTCAAAACAACAGCAAGGACACTAGTGTGACAGAGCAGGAGTGACCAATGGGAGGTTGGAGATTTTGTCAGAGATATAGTCAAGGCTCAGGATCGTACAGGGACTTGTAAGCCTGGAAAGCACTTTCAATTTCATTCAGAATGAGATGAGAAGCCATTGAAAAGTTTTTAAGCAGATGAGTAAAATAATCCACCTTGTATTTTAAGAGGAACGTTCTACCTGCTCTGTGGAATAGAAAGGTGGAAGGGCAAAGCTTGAAACAGAGCAGTGAAGAGTGTACTGTAATATTATGCGAGAAATAGTGGAGGGAATGAGAGGTGGTCAGCCTTAAACTGCCATTTGCTCTCTGTATCAGGGCTCAGGGACTTTCAGACTCTCCAGGGATTCCTTACAGTTTTTACATTTGTTTCTCAGTTGCAAACATAATCTCTTCACTCTATCAGAACTCTAGATCTGAATCCTTGTTATGAGTCAAGAGTGCACCCTAGTTTACCCTCTTGTCAGTAACTAGAGTTGAAATGTTTTGATATTAATTGATATAGTAATAAGATTGGTTAGAGAAATAGCAAAGAGAGAGCATCCCCATCCTATGACCATATCAGCACCAGAAGAGAAAAACACATCTACAGACAGAGTTTTTCCATTGGCATAGGCCCTGGTATTCTGTTAGGGAACAGGTTATAAAGGAAATACAAAGCGTCTTTGTACTTACTTTCAGAACGTATTTTCTTTATCATGAAAAGAATCCAAGGCTTTTTTGTTTCTAATTGTTTCTTGTGTATCTACTACCATCCCTTGCTAAATTATTGATACGTTTCCTCAAATCTCGGCATGATGTCCTACATTCCAAATTTTTCAATAGCTGAAAATTTCACCTTTTCAGTGCCTTCATGTTTATCTTGGTAAAAAGTTGAGAAAGACTATAATAGAGTTATTTAATCAGATGTTTTTCATCTACCATAATTTTTGAATAAGGAAAAACATCAACACTTTTTCTCCTTACTTGGCAAATAATTTCCATAAAGACTGTAATAGAGTTATTTAATCAGATTTTTTTCATCTACCATAATTTTTGAATAAGGAAAAATATCAACACTTTTTCTCCTTACTTGGCAAATAATTTCCATAGAAAGGAAAAAAACAATCAAAACAGGTACAATGTTACAAAACCAAAGGACCATGTGAGGTGAAATTTAAAATGAGAAATTTGTCCACATTACTTTGTGCAATGCAACTCCTGGGAAATAGTAACTCAGCACCTGAGAGCTAAATAATTCTACAGGACTAAATATATATTCTGGTATTCAGGGGGGAAATGACATCATAGAGAGGTTAGGTCTATTAAAACATATTTGTAGATGTATCGGTATAAAAATTGCTTTTAGAGCTGGGAAGAGAAAAAAAAACTCATTTGTTTAACAAGTTCGTTTGGGTGCTTTTCACTAAAAGAGAAACATCATATGTTTATAACAGTGAGGATGTAAATTGCAGTACATTTCAAATTACATGAGAAACTAAAGAAAATATCTGTTTCAGGTCACTGAATAATGCATCCTTATTTAGTGTTTGTCCCTAATTTCTGTGACTTTATGAATAATTCAGAGCAATGATTTTACCTTTCTCTACAGCTGTATTTGGCAAATTTCCACATCATTTTTGTTGCAAAGATGCAGCCAAGTTCCTTAGAATAGGACTATGTTTAGAATGCATTTTTTCCATAATGAAAAATATTATGAAAGGGACAACTAAGATATAGCTTACAGGGTTCTCTATTGTGATAACTAAAACAGACTTAGCCTCAAGTAAAACTGACATCTTGATAACTGTTGGTGGTGAAGGAGAAAGAAGACAACATTGAGCCAGACTGGGGAAAGATGAATTCAAATTAGTTAGAGATTTGTCACCCAAAGCAAAACAAATTCAAGCTTGAACTGAGCTGACATTGACAGTTATTATGAACCGCAAATCCCTCAAATTCGTATGTTGAAATCCTAACTCTCAATGTGTTGGTATTAGGAGGTAATCTTTGGGGAGGTAATTAGGTCATGAAGATGAAGCCCCCATCAAAGGAAAGTAGTGCCCTTCTAAGAAGAGATACAAGAGAGATTTTTCTCTCCTACATGTGAGGATAAAATAAGACAGCCATCTGTAAACCAGGAAGACAGACTTCACCAAGAACCCAACCATGTTGACTCCCTGATTTCAGATTTACAGCCTACAGATCTGTGAAAACCAAATGTTTGTTGTTTTAGCCACTCAATCTAGGTTTTCTGTTATAGCAGCCCACATTGACTAAGAAAATACTAAACCCTTTATTTGATAGATGAAGATAGTATCAGACAAGGTATCATATGAGTAAAAACCTAAGATTTATGTGTGATCATTTTACATTGGAGCAGCTACTGAAACTTGAGACCAAAACCACTAGCTAACATCAGTATGTCAACCCAAAACATTTGGGACACTAATGAAGATACAGCAAATGAATTGTTTTAATATATAATCAAGGCAAAGTTATCATCAGAATTATAGAAAAAAAATCCACTAAATTTGGTTTATGAGAAATTCATGATTGATTGCATACCTTGATACTGGGCTTAAAGCAGCAATCCTAATTCCAGATCTACCTTCAAGTCTGAGTCAGTGTTCTCAAATGCTGCCAGTTTCATGTCAGGACTGGCTTAATATTGAAGGTAACTGAGCATTGCTAATGTCTGACTGAAGCTGAAAGAGGTCAAAAGCAGGGTTATAACTTTGGGAAAACTGACCTGGTGTTAACTTCCATCCCTTTCATTTCAAATGGGAAGTTATCACAATTATAAGCTATTAGCAGTCTTTATCTAATAACTTGTGGATAATTCCCTCTTTTTCTTTTTTTAAGAGTCAGGGTCTCACTCTGTCACCTAGACTGGAGTGCAGTGGTGCAATTGTTACAGAATCTTCGGGGTGTCGATTTTCTGGTTGGAAACCTCTGTGGTTGGTGGCATCTTTGCCCCAGTTCTTGTCCTGCATCCAGGAAGAATGGTGTAGGTAGACAAGTGAAGGGTGAAAGGAGAGGAGCTTTATTAAGTGTCAGAACAGCTCCGAGGAGACCCATAGTGGGTAGCTCCTCTCTGTAGGTTGTTCTGTCGAGTGTTCAGCTCTCAGCAGAAAGGGAAGCCCTGGAGAGGGTTGCTCCTGTCTGTACCTGGTAGTTCCCAGCCATCTCTGCAGGTCTCTGAAGCATTCAGCAGAGAAAGTAGCTGGCCCTCTCATTGTCTCCAGCTATTAGCAGAAAGGATAGCTCCTTTCTGCATCTAGTCTTCCCTCCTCTGTCTTCTGCCCTGTTCTGGCTGAGTCCTGGGCTTTTATGGATGTCAGAGGGGAGGAAGTGTATGCCCATTGGTCCATGGGCAGCCATGGGCGGGCCCAGGAAAAAGCACCATGAGTTTCCCCTCCAGTCTGCAGGACTGGCAGCCTAGCCTGCAGGTGGGGCTTCACTGGGGACCCACCCCCTTCCACCCAGGAACCTGTCTGCCTCCCACAGCCATCCATGGCACCCAGGCTTCTGGCATCAAGGGGCACTTGCAGGCCAGTGCCCAGCCACCCTCAGATCCCCTCAGCTTCCCCTCCCATGCTCCTGCTCCTCAGTGTTCAAAGTTCAGAGGGGGCTGAGGTGGCAGGGGGCTGGCATGTCATCACTGGTCCCAATGTGTGCATACCTGGCTGGACTGTGACAGCACCCTGCTGGGTCCCAACCCCACTCTGAGGTCAGAGCACAGAGCCAGGAGCTGGGAGAGACCAGGCAGCAGGAGGAGGCACCTCCAAGCCTGCAAGGGGCAAGGGGGGACGTTCCCAGCCTCCCCAAGAGTGCAGGGATGCCTGAGTCTGCAGCATTGGTTTGGGTGGCTGGGTGGTGGGCTGGGGCAGGGGCAGTGTAGGGGAATTGGATAAACTCCGGTCTGCTCCATGGAGTGGGAGGTCCAGGTCTACAGCTACAGCTGCAGTTTGGGCAGCTGCAGCGGCACCCAGGGAGCTCCCATTCCAACTCGGAAGGGGCAGGGCTCCCACTTGTCCCCGTCCTGCCAACTCCAGGGAGCATACAACCCCGGCCACACCTCCCCACTGCAGCTGACATGATGGCAGCAGCCGCTGCCGTCACAACCATAGCTTATTGTAGCCTCAAATTCCTGGGCCCAAGTGATCTTTTTACCTCAGTCTCCCCAATAGCTGGGGCCACACACATGTGCCACAATGCCCATCTAATTGTTTTTTATTTTTGGTAGAGGGTGGTCTGGCTATATTGCCCAGTTTCATCTCTAATTCCTGGCCTTAAGCAATCTTCCTGCCTCATCCTCCTAAATGGCTGGGATTACAAGCATGAGCGACTGTGCCCAGCTCCTGATAAATCCTTTCTTAATCAAAGTCTTCATCAGCAGCCTTACTTACCACAATCTTCCCAGATGATCTCAAGTATCCAAAGAAGTTAAAAGTAGCTTCTGCTGACAAAACTGTTGGGTTCCCTGATATTGTGCAATAAAAAAATTATGCTAGGTCTTCCGTTAGCTAGCTCTTCTGTAACAGTCTCTTTCTTTGTATGAATCAAAACTGATGCAACTTTTTAAAGAACTATTCCTAGAAACTTTCTCCCTTCCCAGTCAGAATTAATGTATTATTTATCCGTTTAAAG
The DNA here is from genome assembly GCF_000001405.40 of Homo sapiens. Lineage (NCBI taxonomy): Eukaryota > Metazoa > Chordata > Mammalia > Primates > Hominidae > Homo > Homo sapiens. The sequence continues at coordinate 47,100,740 of NC_000015.10, forward strand.
GACTATATAAGTAGGACATGGTTTGGGTATATCACAGCACTTATGGCCATTTACTTTGTGGTTCAGTGATTTCTGTGTGCTTCTGACTTGTATATACTTTCAGCCCTTGTAGATGTAGTGGTTGTAGTTTCCCAACTTAAATCTATCTTTATCATCCACCTTTATCCACAGTTCTCCTCATGATTAGCACATTGTCAATAAATATTTATTAAGCTGAACCAAAAGTTTTCACTATGCATAAATACTAAGATGTCCATGTCCATGGTCATGCAGGACAACAGAAGATAATTTTTTTTACCAGTGTATCTATTGCTAGCAATTGCTTCAAGGTCAGGAGCCAACTCATGTATTAGACATGTAAATCTTGTGAAAATATTCATACTGGAAACAGCATGTAGCAAATGCAAACAGAAGGAAACAAATCCTTTAATTTATCACAGTCGCTTCAAAGTATGAATTCTTCTTCTAGCATTACATCCAAATTTGATAAAATCCAAAAATATTTTATCTCAATATTTTAAAAGTGTTGATGCTGTATACATTGAGTTATTGTACAATCGAATGGAACCCACATTCAAAGTTTTTCCTCAATGTTAAAATTAAATGGTTCTCTCTGTGATTCTGTTTGCAGTTCTTTTCATTTCATTGTTAGAATTTGCCTCTACTAATGTAATTCATTTGGCGTTCCAGACGTTCTGCTCTTTTCAAATGTGTATTTTGACAGGTGCCTCAAACATTCATCCTTGGTTTGTGCTATGGGCTGAAAGTTTATATCTCTCCAAAATTCATATATTGAAATCTAATTCCCAATATGTTGGTGTTAAGATGTGAGGCCAGTCTGGACACAGTGGCTCACACCTGTAATCCCAGCACTTTGGGAGGCCGAAGTGGACAGATCACAAGGTCAGGAGTTCAAGACCAGCCTGGCCAACATGGTGAAACCCCATCTCTACTAAAAATACAAAAATTAGCCAGGCGTGGTGGCACACACCTGTAATCCCAGCTATTCAGGAGACTGAGGCAGGAGAATTGCTTGAGCCTGGGAAGCAAAGGTTGTAGTGAGCTGAGATTGTGCCACTGCACTCCAGCCTGGGCAACAGAGCAAGACTCCATCTCAAATAAATAAATAAATAAATAAATAAATAAATAAATAAATAAATAAATAAATAGGGGAGGTCTTTGGGATGTGAGTAGGTTATGGGGGGTGGGAAGCCCTCATGAATGGATTAGTCCCCTTATAAAAGAACCCTTCAGGAGCTACTTTGCCACTTTTGCCCTTATGCCACGTGAAGATGCAGCAGTAAGTCTGAGAAACAAACCTCACCAGATAACAACTCTGCTGGCACCTTGATCTTGGACTTCCCAACCTTCAGAACTGAGAACAATAAATTCTGTTTATAAATTACCCAGTCTAAGGTAATTTGTTACAGCAGTCCAAATGGACTCAAACAGGTTGTAAACACTTGAAAAAAATGAGTATCTGTATTGAATCACATACTTTAGCCAAAGTTTGCTTGTAGGAATACAGCCTATGGCCAAAGAATTAATAGCTGACTCCCATTTGAATGGCCAAGATTTGTTCTCTATTTCCAATATTTTATTTGTGTGCCTGTATGTTGGACATGGACATAGGCAAATTTTTACAAAACAAACCAGAAAAGTTCAATAGTCTTTCATTCTCTTTCGCTAACTTCTTTTAAGTATACTTCAACAATTATCTTAATATTGTCACCAGTAGATTAAGCGTACTGTTATAAACACTGTATTTCTATTTATTCAAGGCTTGAATTGAGCTAGCTGCTAATAACATTTTTTAATTAGCATTGCAACCATATTCACCTACCATATTTTTCCCTCTCCTTTGATTTCTGGGCCATTACTCACTTTCACAATTTGTATGTGACTCACCATTCTATACCTACTTTTGCCTTACCTTAAAATATTTTTTGATTTAATACATTTACATTTTTTCTCCTTTTGCTTTTGGAATTGTATTACTGTCATGAGGGGTTTTCTTTTCCTTTTTCAAGAGTTTCTCAAAATTCTTGACCAAAGCCCTATCCTCTGAAGTCAGTAATATTCTTCACTAAATTACTGCATCACATGTTTACATCTGGCTAAAGTAAGAAACACTAATCGTATTCTGTAGCTAATCGATAATTGTTAAGATAAATTTAACAATTTATTATAATAAATTATAGAAAATGATCATTTTTAGGTTCCTTATACTTGTAATATTTGTAAATAATATGAGTTATCACCTCTTTCTGTAGCTAATTGCATAGGGAGCACATGCAGTTAGTGGCATGTTTCTTAACACATTTCTCATATCAAGAATAACAAATACAATGCAGTGGGGAGTGGAGAAAAGAATTAAGTGTAGCTACATCTGCAAGTAACAATTGCAGCCACTTTGTCAAGGGTAAAACAATCATCAATGAGCTATACAGATTGTTTGTCACCAGAATAACTGAATCAAGAGGTTCCAACTCATTAATTTTTTTCATTCCCATATGCCTGAACATCTGGGACATGAAGAAATAGTGCGTATGTGTTAATAGGCAAAGCTATAGTAATGACTTCTACCTATTAGAAGCAGTTATCTATTTTCCTGTTACTATCTAATTTTTACACAAAAATACTTCAGATGACTATTGACAGAAACTCAGAAATATGGCATAAACTAACCAATATAAAGGTAATGTAGTAATGGCAGAAAGTTAGAGCTTAAAAGTTTTTACAATGGGAAGATTATTGTGATAATGGGAGCCATGTATAAGTTTGTTTTGAAATGATAATGTACAGCTAAAAGAGTATAATGCTCAAATTTTTGTATATGTAGTTTTCGTAATTCAACAAGTAGGGTTAAGAGACAATAAGAATTATACAGAATGTTGGATTTTATTTCATGTCTGTTCCTCTTGTCAGACATTGCCATCTTTCCCATGTTTCATCAGGTGTTCGGTAAGTTAACAACATTCACTCTGTGAAAATTACCACATGATTTATTGTATAAATATAGTTGGAAATACACTGTGGTTCCTCATATCCTGAAGCTTATAATTCAGTTTGGAGACTACACTATATAAATGTAGAAATGCCATAATTATGCTTATAAATTGACTTTTTAAAACATGCAAATTAATATGGTAGAAACTGAATACGTAAGTATGGGGGTGCCATATAAAGTAATGATCAATGCCAGTGGGATTAATCAAGGCAAGTTTCTTGGGGAAGTGAATTCTAAACAGAATTTGATATATTTGTTTATTTAGCACTCATTTTATGTTTTCTAATTATAAATATAATGTATTCTCATATTCTCAAGGTAATGAATTTGCAAATTTTAAATTAGTAGGAAGAGTAAAAGGAACTAAGATCCCACTGTCCAAAGGTAATCATTATTCAGGTTCTGCTCTTTTCCTTCCATTTGATTCTCTGATATTTTCTTCATGGGTGCCACTTATAACCCACTTTGTGTTTCAGTCAGTGTCTATACATACAGACTGAATGATACCAATGTCTCATAGAAACTAAGTTTAATCAAATCAAGAAACTAAGTTTAATGCCAGTCTATATCAATGTACCGTTTCCTTCTAGCTAAATATTTAGGCTTTTCCAAATTTTGTTAACATAAATAACTCCAAAAATATTTTTGTTAACATTTTTTCTTAGTGTTATTTTCCTAAGGTAGACTTTAAAAATTTACTATAATAAATTATAAAAAATGATCATTTTAAGGTTCCTTATAGTTGTAATATTTGCAAATAATATAAGTTATCACAACTCTCTAGTTATTTCTGCTTGATATTTTACTGCATTGATCAGAATTCCCAGAATTGTAACATAATGCTAATTATTAAATCTTACATTCCTTCTCATGTTAATAGTTATTATTTTGTAAATATGTTGCTATTAGCAATTTTTAGATTGGCATCCTTAATATATTAGTTAGATATTAGTAATTCCACTTTTCCCTATAACTGTATTTTTCTTTTTAATCAGAAATCAATCTTGAATTTTGTTCAATAATTTTATGATATTTATTCTGATTTTTATATTACTTTCTATTAATATATTGGTAAGGTTTTCTAAGATTTTCCATATGTTTATCTGAAAGAAGTTCTGTAATTTTCTTCACTGTTGCCATTATCAGATTATATATCAGATTTACAAAAGTTTTGTTAAAAATTTGGTTTCCCCCACATTTTTCTATGTCATTGAACATTTTGTTGACATTTCACATTTCTTGATTATTGAAGGAAATCTATAAGTCCATTGCTTGTAAAGGTTTTTTTGGAGGAAAGTTACTGTTTTTTAGTATATACTACTTTGTTACTGCTATATTCATCTATTAAAGTTAAATTATCTACTTTAAGACTTAAAATATTAATATATCATAGTATTAACTTAGAACTTAAATATCTTCACATCTGTTGTTATATGCTTTATTCCTAATTTTTAAATGTGTAGTTTATCTTGATTAAATTTTATTGAAACTTATCTATTTTATTATTGTTTCTTTTTTAAACAAGCCAGTCAGGATTTTGCAATTATATTTTTTCTGATTTATGATTTCATTGTTATTGTTACCCTCATATATCTTGTTTTTTTAAATAAATTTTTATAACTTCTTAAATTTGATGCTGTTTGCTTTTTTTTAAGTAGACATTTACCTATTCTTTCTTCACCCACTTACGTTTGAGTCACCTACAACGTGTCAGCTTCTACATTCCCTGATCTTCCTTGCTGCCTTCCCTTATTTCTTCCTACAATCCAGGTACAATGATCTTCCAATTGGCTCTCATGACACCCTACACTTCTGTTATCACAGCACATGCTATTCCATTGTGCAAACGGATGGGCAACTAAGAGCACTTTCAAGACTTTATCATAATGTTGCAAAGTCATATTTTTTTAGAGACAGGGTTGTGCTCTATCACCTAGCCTGGGGGAGTGCCGTGGTGTAATCATGGTTCCCTGCAGCCTTGAACTCCTGGATTCAAACAATCCTCCCACCTCAGCCTCTAGAATAGCTCCGACTGCAAGGGTGTGCCGCCACACCCAGCTAATTTTTTGCTTTTTATTTTTGTAGAGATGAAGTCTCACTCTGTTGACCATGCTGGTCTTGACCTCCTGGCCTCAAGTGATCTTCCCACCTTGGCCTCCCAAAGTACTGAAATTACAGACATGAGCCACCACGACTGGTCTGAAAATTCTTAAATCTACTCATGGGCTATCTTCTAACTGTTCCCTTCCTCTATTTATGTCTCCAGTAAATTTCAACTCATTCTTCAAATCTGGCTTCTGAGTGACCTTTTCAGAGATTCTCCAATGTATCCAAGTAAATAAAATAACTGACTTCTATGTTTTTCCATTTTATTTTATGATTAAATCTCAAAATGTTGAAATAAACAATATATCCTAAGTAGTTTCTGTTTCTATCTCAAGTTCTAGATTTTGAGGCCTTTGAAGATAGAAACAATGGAGCCAGTTCCTTGAACACAGGAGTTAATCAGTAAGCATTTGTTGAATAAACAATAACGGGACATCTTTCCACTTTCCTAAAACTTACCAAAGAATTGTTACTCATTCTGATCCATCTTCCCTTATGATGAGACCAAACCACTCACTGTGGTCAACGGCATTCAAAAATAAAAAGTGGGGTATTTCCAGAGGTAAAATTGTGGACAAAACTATGTGAAATATTCATGTACTTATGAATTGATTCATTAAAAAATTCTCACTATTAATATTTGGCCTACACATCATTAGGGACTGTGAGTATAGCAGAACAAAATAGAAAAATTTTCTGGCCACATGAAATCTATATTCTAGAGGACAGAAGAAATGGTCTGATAAGAATCAGGAAAGAACAAGGTATGTCCAGATTAAATCATAACCTTTATGTAGAATAAGAGTGAAATCACTGTAAGCTATGTCGATATTTGATCAGGCTACTTGAACACTTTTAGATAGATAAGTGCTTTAAAGCCATTGATGGCTGTTGAACAAGGAACTACTGTGGTCACTGAATTTCATGACAGACTGCAATAGAAATGGAAAATGTACATATAAATATTCTCAGGCCCCGATGTGCCATATCATGGAAACTTTGCAATTTTCCAGATGACAGAGAATAGAAATATGAGATGTGACAATGGAAATGATAATGAAAGGATGAATGTTAAATACATTGCAGAGGAGTAAGAACTGGCAAGAATTGACAAATGATGAGTTAAGCGAGGTATGAAAAAATGAGAAGTCAGGTGAGTAAGAAGGGAGGGGGAATAAAATCATGCATTGCTTAATAACAGAGATACTTTCTGAAAAATGCATTGTTAGGCAATTTCATTTTCCTGCACACATCATAGAGTGTACTTATACAAACCTAAATTGTAGCCCACTACTACACAACTAGGCAATATGGTATAGCCTATTGCTCCTAGGCTACAAAACTTTATAGCATGTTACTTTAGTGAATACTGTAGGCAATTATAACACAATGATAGATATTTGTGTTTCTAAACAAACATCAACATAGAAAAGGTACAGTAAAATACAGTAAGATAGTCTTATGGGTCTACCATTGTATATACAAGTCTGTCGTTGAGCAAACATTGTTACGTGGTGCATGACTGTAATATGGTATCATGTTGAGCAGAAAGTCTCAACCTTCACAGTTGAGGCACACTGATAAAAACTATAATAAGAAATGTATTACTGATTATAAAATCTCATAATTATGAGTAATTTGTTCTTTCATAAATTTAAGAGAATTCCTCCAGTATAACAACACTCACTTTCATTCCTGTATGCTTGTCTTTAAAAATAGAAAGAAAAGTTGGTAAAAGTATGGCTAAAGTTGGAACTTCTCTCTCTTCTACCCTGGCTGCAGCATTAGTGAATAAGTATAATTTTTTGACTGTAACAATTAAATATTTCTCTTTCTGGACTTTACTTTTCCAGAAGGAGAATCTTTGGAGGAAAAGCTGATCTGTGAGACAATAAAGGAAAAGTGTTAATGTTTATGCCATATGAACCTTTAGAAGGAAATCATTTTCTGACGGAAGCTTGCTTGTATCAATACATCCATGCATGGAAAGAAATATTCTCTTCAACATCCCCATGTCTTTTGTATGCTATCCTATTCCACCAGCCCTGAATTAGTGCTTTTGCTCTGCAGCTAACTCTCTCAAGTTCCTCTTTTTGAAGTCCGAATCTCTCTCTTGAATGTTTCTGGCCTCAGTATCTACCCTGTAAACACACTAAACCTGATCCATTTACAGACTAGATAGTTTTTTGGTCCAAAAGATAATTCATGGAATTTCCCTAATAAATATATATTAATTTCTATTACTTTAACAATTGATTTTCATTGATCCTGATGAGGATTGGCTATTAGTTCATTACTATGTGTATTTTGTAAAGATATACATGGCTGGCAGAAAAGAAGATATTGTATGCCATAAAATATTATGAGACAATTTTTTAAAAATAAGACTGTTTTTCCTGAAACATGCTATTTCTATAAACATATGCTTTCATGAAATTTTATTTCTCATGATTTTATTTCTTTATGATTACCTTGTTGTATGCTGACTATATTATATTGTTTTAGTTCTTTATGATTACCTCGTTTTATGCTGACTATATTAATAAAGTTAGAGATTCCATGAAGTTTCAAGAGATTTTCTCTCTCTTTTTTTTTTCTTTAAGTTCTGGGACAGAACATGTGCAGAACATGCAGGTTTGTTACACAGGTACACATGTGCCATGGTGGTTTGCTGCACCTATCAACCCATCAGCTAGGTTTTAAGCCCGCATACATTAGGTATTTATTCTAATGCTCTCCCTCCCCTTGCTCCACATCCCCTGACAGGCCCCGGTGTGTGATGTTCTCCTCCCTGTGTCCATGTGTTCTCATTGTTCAACTCCCATTTATGAATGAGAAAATGTAGTGTTTGGTTTTCTGTTCCTGTGTTAGTTTGCTGAAAATGGTGGCTTCCAGCTTCATCCATGTCCCTGCAAAGGACATGAACTCATTCTTTTTATGGCTGCATAGTATTGCATGGTGTATATGTGCCACATTTTCTTTATCCAGTCTATCATTGATGGGCATTTGGATTGGTTCCAAGTCTTTGCTATTGTAAATAGTGCTGCAATAAACATATGTATGCATGTGTTTTTATAGTAGAATGATTTATAATCTATCGTAATGAGATGGCTGAGTCAAATGGTATTTCCGGCTCTAGATCCTTGAGGAATTGCCACACTGTCTTCCACAATGGTTGAACTAATTTACGCTCCCACCAACAGTGTAAAAGCATTCCTATTTCTCCACAGCCTCTCCAGCATCTGTTGTTTCCTGACATTTTAATCATCATCATTCTAACTGGCGTGAGATGGTATCTCACTGTGGTTTTGATTTGTATTTCTCTAATGACCAGTGATGATGAGTGTTTTTTCATATGTTCATTGGCCGCATAAATGCCGTTTTTTTTTTTTTTTTTTTGAGTCGGATTTTCACTCTTGTTGCCCAAGCTGTAGTAGTAACGGCACGATCTCGGCTCACTGCAACCTCCGCTTCCTGGGTTCAAGCGATTCTCCTGCCTCAGCCTCCCAAGTAGCTGGGATTACAGGCATGCATCACCATGCCCAGCTAATTTTTTGTATTTTTAGTTGAAACGGGATTTCACCATGTTAGCCAGGCTTGTCTTGAACTCCTGACCTCAGGCGATCCACCCACCCTGGCCTCCCAAAATGCTGGGATTACAGGCGTGAGTCACCATGCCCAGCCCTAAATATCTTCTTTTGAGAAGTGTCTGCTTATATCCTTTGCCCACTTTTTGATGGGGTTGTTTTTTTCTTGTTTAAGTTCCTTGTAGATTCTGGATATTAGACCTTTGTCCAATGGGTAGATTGCAAAAATGTTCTCCCATTCTTTAGGTTGCCAGTTCACACTGAGGATAGTTTCTTTTGCTGTGCAGAAGCTTTTTAGTTTAATTAGATTCCATTTGTCAATTTTGGCTTTTGTTGCAATTGCTTTTGGTGTTTTAGTCACGAAGTCTGCTCATGTCTACGTCCTGAATGGTATTGGCTAGGCTTTCTTCTAGGGTTTTTGTGGTTTTAAGTCTTTAATCTGTCTCGAGTTAATTTTTGTATAAGGTGTAAGGAAGGGGCCCAGTTTCTGTTTTCTGCATATGGCTAGCCAGTTTTCCCAGCACCATTTATGAATTAGGGAATCCTTTCCTCATTGCTTGTTTTTGTCAGGTTTGTTGAAGACCAGATGGTTGTAGATGTGTGGTATTATTTTTGAGGTCTCTGTTCTGTTCCATTGGTCTATATATTTGTTAGTTACCAAAACCATGCTGTTTTGGTTACTGTAGCCTTGTAGTATTGTTTGAAGTCAGGTAGGGTGATGCCTCCAACTTTGTTTTTTTTGCTTAGGATTGTCTTGGCTATATGGGCTCTTTTTTGGTTCCATATGGAATTTAAAGTGTTTTTTCTTTCTAATTCTGTGAAGAAAGTCAATGGTAGCTTGATAGGAATAGCATTGAATCTGTAAATTACGTTGAGCAGTATGGCCATTTTCATTATATTGATTCTTCCTATCCATGAGTATGGATTTTTTTTTCCATTTGTTTGTGTCCTCTCTTATTTTCTTGAGCAGTGGTCTGTAGTTCTCCTTGAAGAGGTCCTTCGCATCCCTTGTAAGTTCTATTCCTTGGTAGTTTATTCTTTGTAGCAGTTGTGAATGGGAATTGACTCATTATTTGGCTCTCTGCTTGTCTATTATTGGTGTATATGAATACTTGTGATTTTTTCACATTGATTTTGCATCCTGATACTTTGCTGAAGTTGCAGCTTAAAGAGTTTTAGGGCTGAGACAATGGGGTTTTCTACATATACGGTCATGTCATCTGCAAACAGAGACAATTTGACTTCCTCTCTTCCTATTGGATACCTTTTATTTCTTTCCCTTGCCTGATTGCCCTGGCCAGAACTTCCAATCCTATGTTGAATAGGAGTGGTGAGAGAGGGCATCCTTTCTTGTGCCAGTTTTCAAAGGGAATGCTTCCAGCTTTTGCAATAAGTGTTTATTATGTTGAAGTTTTGTGAAAATAGTAGATTAGGTTTTTCTACTAGTTGGGTATCTTAAAAAATCATTTAGTATTCAGTTTTTAAGTTTTAAGTAAATGAGATCACAAGTGACTAATTAAAATAATAATGAGAGTACTATAAGTATTCCAAAATAGTTGTTTCTAGTGGTGATATTTAGGGTGTATATTTGGTTTGGATTTTGTGCATATGTATTTCTACATTATCTACAGTGAATACGTTTGTGGTGTAATTTTAAAAGATCACTTTATTTACATCAAACACTCTATGTTTCTTTTTTTGTGATAGCTTGTGCCTGACCTAATTCTAGTGAACAGATTGAAGAAGTGAGGAGACATCAGATAGATATAAACACTTTGCCAAGGAGTCCCCCTGCAGTGCCACAGGGGCAGTAGGCTCACTTATTCCATATCCTTGGCATTTGCAGGGATAGACATACACAGGGAGGCACGGGGAGCTCCTGAGGAGCAAGGGCAGATGGTCAAAAAAATCTGGTGGGAAAAAGTTGCAGTGCCATAGACCTTCTTTCTTTTAATGGAAACTCAGGGATGGATAGTCTGGCCATAAACTATTAATAGTACCTCTGGGAAATAATAATACTCAATACGGGGCCCATCAAAACTGTTTCTCAAATTTAAAAGAGCCACAGGGTTGCAGAACAGGGACTTAGAAATAGTAGAGGCAATTATATTTAAAATGGATGGTCACAATACCCTGATTCTGGGTTAGTATGGTTTGCCTCCTCAGTAAATAAGACTCGGAATCATAGCAGTAAAAGTATTTTGAGCCTGGCATTTTACACATAGAAATGTGAATCCATTTTTACGTTTAAAAAATACAAATCAATAGAAAATATGTGGTTTTATACATGAGATTTTGGTTTAAGGACTATGTTTTAGTGCACAGTCTTCTACATAACAAAATACAACTGCATTCAAAACAAATTATTTGCTATGAAGCAGAGAGTGAAATTTATCAGGGTCTTAATATTTTAAGTTAAGTTTTATATTTTGAGGTTCTTACCCTGGTTTGGATTTTGTACATTTACACAACACCTTATAGAAGTGGTTTTCAAACTGTAATATGGGACAACTGAGTGTCCACAAACTCAAAACTATTTTTATAATAAAGCTAGGACTGCGCAAGTGTAGAGCAGAATTTTGCAAAGGCTATATATGTGTATTATCAGAACAGATTGAATGCAGACACAGATATGAGATTCCCATTGTCTTTATTTAAGCCAAACATTAAAGGCATTTGCAAAAATATAAAGCACTAATCTTTTAACTAAATTTTGCTTTGGAAAATATATTTTTAATGAAAGTGTCATTTATTTTAATAGGTAATAAGTTAATTTTATGAATTAGTATTTTTAAGAATTTGTTTTTAATTTTGAATATGATAAATATAGACAGATATAACCAACATATATTAAAGTGTTTTCATTGTAAAGAGGTCCTGACATCAAAATGTTTGAGATTCCATCTACACCTCCAAGGTTGTATCTGTTGTTCATATAATTAAACACCAATTAACAAGACTATTCATTTCTTATTTTTGTAATATTAGATCCTTTCTTTAGACCAGGGATCAGCAAACTTTTTGTAAAGGGCCGTATGGGTAAGTATTTAGGTTTCATGGGCCATACAGTCTCTGTTGCAACTAGTCAATTCTATCATTATAGTGCAAAAGCAACTATAGGTAATATGTAAGCAAATAAGTGTGGCTGTGTTCAAATAAAACTTTATTTACAAAAACAGAGCGTGGGCCAGATTTATTTCACAGGCTCTAAATTGCCAATTCTTGCCCTAATTCCAACTCTTGCCCTGGTCCCAAATGTGTGCTTCAGAGTGTGTGTGTGTGTGTGTGTGTGTAAGTGTGTGTGTGTGTGTGTGTGTGTGTACGTGTGCACATGTGCATGGGGAGGAGGGAGTTACAAAGAAAATTAATATTTATTGATCATCTATTATGTGTTTGGAATTTACTAACAACTATATATATATTATTTACATAGTTTTATTTTTGTGTATTCATTTTAAACAGTAATATTAAACCTCATTTTACAGATAAGGAAACTTGATATAAAAATGTGACACACACTAAATAGTGACACACATTTAGCAGAACAGTAACTTGGGTTTGTATTCCAGTGTGTCTGTCTTCCAGGATGCCATGAGGCTTGTCATCACTAGGAGCACAAGCAGCAGCAAAAGCAACAGCAACCACTCACACGTTCATAGTACTTTTTAGAACACAAGGTACATTCACATTGATTACCTCATTTGATTTTCACCCTCAACCCCAGAGAAAACCTCCAGAAAGACCAGATAATAGTATCCTCAATTCATAGATCAAGAAAATAGGATTCAGATTATGTGATTTGCAATTATTAAGTAGCAGAGTTTCAATTCTGACCAGTATTTTTTGATTCTCAATCCAAATGTCCTGTTTTTCCAGATGACTTTGTAGAGTTTGCCAATTTTATGATTCCTGATAATCAAATATTTCTCTTTTTTTGTCCCTAATCTCTAAGCACGTCACTTCAAAGTTATAAAATTTTTACTTCTCCAATAGAGATGTACAGAATGGAGCATAGAGTGGAAATATGCATTTTATCTCCATCACTATGAAATAAAACTTGTGCTTAATCAATGGGGAAGCATCAAAGGTCAAAGAAATGAAAAAGACCTTAGTTCAGAATTAGTAACATTTTCAAAGATATATTCTTCTTTGAAGCAGAAAGTAATAGAGCTACTAGGCTACTTGAATGACCCAGAATTATAGTAGCTTTCTTTTCTTTACATCTACAATAAATGAAAGTAGAAGCTATAGCTTCCCAAAGAATCTTGACAATAAACTGTGAACCTCTTCTTGACCATTTATAAGTCCCACAGTTACAAGTGGACTCACCTCTTGGTGAGAAGTTAATGTTTTCTACATGATAAGAGTTAAAGATCTGATATGAGTAAATATTTACTTGAAGAAAGAATAGTTTACAAACATATAAGTTGAAATATAGTTAATAATTTTTTTTCCTGAGCAACAATTGTTAATGCAAGAAAAAATTAAACCAAACAGTGCAAAACCCAAATTGATGGTAAGCTTTAAAAGAAAACTAGACAATATCCCATTTTGGTAATAATGCAACTGATAAAGGAACTATTTGAGGTTCCCAGTTTCCCCAGAATATTCCCCTCTGGGATCAGCTTTAGCTAAAAATGTCTTTAGAAGCTTTCTTTCACTATTTCCTGTACTGAACATCCCCATGCTGCCCATCAGCCATGCAGACGTTCCTCACTGTCTAGATTGTTCCTCCTCTCATTTTATCTCACATGCATCCCCTGCCAGCTCCAAGCAGGCCTTTTGGTATAATGGCAGTGGGAAAGCATGACAGCTCACTTCTAACTTTTATCACTTCTTCTGACATCAGAGACCAAGAGAAGACAATTTAATGAAAAGCTGGCTTATATGACTGGAGTCTGTAGAGGGAAACATAAGGGAAAGAAAAGTTAATTTACATCTCCAGCAGATCTTTGATCCTACAATAGCTATTTGATTGTGGAAGACTCAGTCAAAAGAAAAACGAAAGTCAAATTGCTTGAAGCACTGAACTCAGCAAAACACTCAACAACGTACCACAGTGGCCAACATCTCTCTGGCAGGGCTGAAGCCTAGGTGGTCTACTGTGAGTTTTGCATCATAATTTTCATGTTTCTCTGATAATTACAACTTTGATTTCTTGCTGTGTTATTATCTTTATTCTGAGAAACTACTTAGAATTCTTAAGTGAAAGCCTGTAGCAATCAAGCCGAAAGGACTGTGGAAGGAAATGGTGAATGCTGAGATATTCAGCCACTTGTGATTATTTTATTTAAAGCCAGATATTAACTGAAATTTTGACTGGTTGTCATTGTGGTGTTTTAAAAATTCCTCTCACGGAATTTCAAATTGAAGACAAACGTAACTTTAGAAACGGTGAAAATATGACAATGAAAACTCAGTAGTTGATTTCTTAAGCTGGTTTCAACTCCAAGAGTGAAATCCTTGGTGCAGAAGAGTTCAACTTAACAGCCTATCTGGCAACCATGTAACGGACCTGCCTCAAAGGCAAAACACCCTTAAAATGAGATAACTTGAGACAACTCCATCACCTCAGAAGAATTCCAATATTAGACTTTCTTATGACAATTTCTGCTTTAGAAAGATTTGGTTTTCAAAGTCCACCATGCCTAAAAATTACCTGGCCTCAAAAATAATATGCTGAGGGGCAGAAACCGGAAACAAAAGTTTGCTTACTATAGGTTCCATTTTTATGAGGCTCAGGAACAGAAATAACCAATGTATGCTGAGAAAAGTTAAAAATTCACTTAGCATAGTTGGTATATCGAGGGGAGTTGACTAGAAAGGGGCAGAGGAACTTTCTAGAATGATGGAAATGCTTTATATCTTGGTCTGGGTATCCATCACACATTATCTTCTACATGTAATTATGTTTCCATGAAATATTATTTTTTAAAATAATCCACTGGATACCCTGTTAGAAATACAAATTCCTGAAAGACAACTTCAGAGATTCTGAGTTAAGAGATTTAAGGGATTGAGTCCCAGAATCTAAAATTTCGTTTCAAACCAGATAATCCTTGGATCACACTTTGAAGTTTGCTAATAAAGTGAATAGTGCTTTAGTTTTAGATAGAGCTGGTCTGGGACATTCCTGAAGCATATTGGAGATTTCTGTTCAGCTTCAGGAGGTTATACTAAGTTCTCTCCCTTCATTTCTGCATTAAAATTAGGTGGATCCTTCTGCTGCTACCTCTAGTCTCCTGGGGGTAATTTAGATGGAATAATCATTCCTGTCTACTGTCTCGCTGACATATGTCCTTAGTTGTGGGTTCTCACATGGACTGCTCCTAGAGTTGAATTCTAATTTTGATGGCTTACACCAGAGATGCTGCATTTCTTGTTTTCAAGCTGCTAGAGGAATTGGCTGAGTTGTCAAGGGTCATGAGAAGATGATGAAACTTTGGAATATTGATGATTATATATGTATGTGTGTGCACATGTACATATACACACATATAAATGGAATTATTATTTTCTTTTTGCAACAGAAACTTCTGTTATCTGGAGGCTAACAAATTTTAAAGGAAAGGCTGAAAAGATAACCATTATAATGACATAATGTTTTTCATTTATTTTTTAAGATTTTAATGTATTTAAAATGATAAAAATGCTTTTTATATGTATTTTAAACAAAAAAGCAATTTCATGGTAATTTTGTAAGTGTTTGAGAATAATTACCAAAATAATTATTACTAAATACTATGCATGCATGAAACAAGAAAGCTTTATATAGAATTTAAGACACTAAAATTTTTATAAAGAAATTATCTAATTTAATCAAACCATGAAATTATGGCTTTTAATAATAGCATTAATAATTAGCATTTTTACTGCAATTTTAAAAATTATTTCTTTTTTTCTTTTTTATTTTTGTATTTTAAATTTCTGTGGGTACATAATAGCCATATGTATTTATGGAGTGAATGCGTTGTTTTGATACAGGCATGCCATGCATAATAATTGCATCATGGAAAATGGAGTACCTATCCCCTCAAACATTTATCCTTTGTGTTATAAACAAACCAATTATATTCTTTTAGTTATTTTAGAATATACAATTAAATTGTTGTTGACTATAGTTATCTGTAATGTTATCAAATACTAGTTCTTATTCATTCTTTCCAACTATTTTTTTTGTACCCATTAACCATCCCACCTCCCCTCTCACACTCCCACTACCCTTCATAGACTCTGGTAACCATCCTTCTGCCCCCTATGTCCAAGAGTTCAATTATTTTGATTTTTAGATTTCACAAATAGTGAGAATATATGATGTTTGTCTTTCTGTGCCTGGCTTATTTCACTTAACGTAATCACCTCTAGCTTTATCCATGTTGTTGCAACTGATAGGAACTGATGCTTTCTTATGGCTGAATAATACTCCATTGCATGTAAAGTACATTTTCTTTCTCCATTTATTTGTTGATGGACACTTACATTTCTTCCAAATCTTAGTGGTTGTAAACAGTACTGCAACAAACATGATAGTGTACAGATTGCTTTAATATACTGATTTCTTTTCTTTCGAGTATATACCCAGCAGTGGGTTTGCTGGATCATATGGTAGCTCAATTTTTAGTTTTTTGAGGAACTTCCAAACTGTTCTCCATAGTGGTTCTACTAATTTACATTCCCACCAACAGTGTATGAGGGTTCCCTTTTCTCCACATCCTCACCAGCATTTGTTGCTGTGTCTTTTGAATGTAAGCCATTTTAACTGGGGTGAGATGATATCTCACTGTAGTTTTGATTTGCATTTCTCTGATGATCAGTGATGTTAAGCACCTTTTCATACGCCTATTTGCCATTTGTACGTCTTCTTTTGAGAAATATCTATTCAAATATTTTGCTTATTTTTTTAGTTGGGTTATCAGAATTTTTTTTTCCTATAGAGTTGTTTGAGCTCCTTATATATTTGAGTTATTAATCCCTTATCAGATGGGTAGTTTGCAAACACTGTTTCTCATTCTGTTTGTTGCCTCTTCACTTTGTTGATTGTTTCCTTTGCTGGGCAGAAGCTTTTTAACTTGATCTGATCCCATTTGTCCTTGTCTTTTTTGCTTTGGTTGCCTGTGTTTGTGGGGCTATTACTCAGGAAATTTTTGCCCAGACCAATGTCTTAGAGAGTTTCCTTAAAGTTTTCTTATAGTAGTTTCATAGTTTGGAGTCCTACATTTAAGTCTGCAATCCATTTTGATTAGATTTTTTGTGTATCATGAGAGACAGAGGTCTAGTTTCATTCTTCTGCATATGGATATTCTGTTTTTCCAGAACCGTTTATTGAAGAGACTGTCATTTCCCCAGTGTATGTTCCTGGCACCTTTGGCAAAAATGAGTTCACTGTAGGTGTATGGATTTCTTTCTAGGTTTTCTATTCTGTTCCACTGTTCTATGTGTCTGTTTGTATGACAATACCATGCTGTTTTGGTTACTATGCCTCTGTAGTATATATCAATATTTTATTTATTTATTTATTTATTTATTTATTTATTTATTTATTTATTTGAGACAGTGTCTCGCTCTATCGCCCAGGTTGGAGTGCAGTGGCGCTATCTCAGCTCACTGCATGCTCCGCCTCCCAGGTTCACGCCATTCTCCTGCCTCAGCCTCCCGATTAGCTGGGACTACAGGTGCCCGCCACCATGCCCGGCTAATTTTTTTGTATATATATATTTTTTTTTAGTAGAGACGAAGTTTCACTGTGTTAGCCAGGATGGTCTCAATCTCCTAAACTCGTGATCCGCCTGCCTCGGCCTCCCAAAGTGCTGGGATTATAGGCGTGAGCCACCGCGCCCAGCCATTTCCCTGATTTATCAGCATGGAATAAGCCAAAAGAAAAAATTGTATCATTTTCTTCTTCCAAAAGTCTTCTTTTTTCCCTCTGATCAGACCTATCTACGCCATTCCTGTGATGAACCTGATCTCAGAGTGATTATCACAGACGTATGTTCTGTACATATTAAAATGGATTGTAGAGGATTCTGGGAAGATTGCGCTAGGAAGTACCAGAAATCTGTCTCCCTACCTGGAAAACAGTTACACTGGTAGAATATTTCTGATGTAGCTATTTTGGAACTCTGGAATCTATTGAAGGCTTGTAACTTCCGGGGAAGGCTTAAATAATACATTGTAGTTAATATCAGTCGATTTCAGTTTTTAGTATAGTAGCAGCTACCCATCCTCCACTCTTCACTCCTATGGTAAGCATCTGTGCAAATGTTCTTGGAACACCTGGCCTACAGCTTGCAGGAGCTAGGGTCGGCGAAAAGTACCCTATTCTCCAAATATCAGGTATCTGTGCTCTGATTGCTGATTGCTACTTCTGGTCACAGAGGTGCAGAGCAAAAAGGCAGCAGCCATTGTTGTAACACCTTCCTTCTTTTTTTTTATTGGCATTTTTTTTTAAATTATACTTTAAGTTTTAGGGTACATGTGCACAAGTGCAGGTTAGTTACATATGTATACATGTGCCATGCTGGTGTGCTGCACCCATTAACTCATCATTTAGCATTAGGTATATCTCCTAACGCTATCCCTCCCCCCTCCCCCCACCCCACAACAGTCCCCAGAGTGTGATGTTCCCCTTCCTGTGTCCATGTGTTCTCATTGTTCAATTCCCATCTATGAATGAGAACATGCGGTGTTTGGTTTTTTGTCCTTGCAATAGTTTACTGAGAATGATGATTTCCAATTTCATCCATGTCCCTACAAAGGACATGAACTCATCATTTTTTATGGCTGCATAGTATTCCATGGTGTATATGTGCCACATTTTCTTAATCCAGTCTATCATTGTTGGACATTTGGGTTGGTTCCAAGTCTTTGCTATTGTGAATAGTGCCGCAATAAACATACGTGTGCATGTGTCTTTATATTGAATGTCCTAGTCTTAAATGTCTGGCTTACAAAAGGAGAAAAAAGAGAAAAATGATGGGGGAGCAAAAAGGTGCCAGCCCTTTAAATCCCCTGAAATCAAGTCAGCCTTATAGAGCAGGGCTTACAACAAAGAAGGAAGGTGTTTTATAGTCCTTTGGGTATATAACCAGTAATTATAAAACTATAAAACTATACTGGGTATAGTTACTATACCCAGTAACTATAAAACACCTTCCTTCTTTGTTGTAAGCCCTGCTCCATAAGGCTGACTTGATTTCAGGGGATTTAAAGGGCTGGCACCTTTTTACTCCCCCATCATTTTTCTCTTTTTCTCCTTTTGTAAGCCAGACATTTAAGACTAGGACATTCAAAATCAGCTTCATGTACAGGAGGAATTATAAAGTTACCACTTGTGCCAAGGGAAGGTACAGGCTAAGAAAAGACCTGAGAAGGTTTTAACACCTCAGATGGGTCCTCGGCACAGAAAAAACGTAAAGCAAATTTTTAAAAAAGAAAAAGAAAACAGCAAACTCCAGGTAAGGGGGAGAATCTGATATTCAGAGAAAACACATTATTAGATGTATAGTATAGTTTAAGTGTATTAAATGTATAGTTTTCAAGGAAAAATAATCATAAGGCACACAAAGAAATAAAAAATTATTGTTCATTTAAAGAAAAACACCTAAAACTGTCCCTGAAAAAAATCTAATGACAGATATATTAAACAAAGTCATTAAAAGTACTGGCTTAAAGATGCTCAAAGAATTAAAGGAAGTCATGGAGAAAACCAGTAGCATGATGTATGATCAAAATGGAAATAGAAGTAAAGAGATAGAAAACCTAAAAAGAAACCAAAAAGAAATTCCGGAGCTGAAAAGTACAACAACTAAAATGAAAAATTCAGAGGATTCCGAAGGCAGATATGAGCACATAGTGTAAAAATCAAGGAAATTGAAGGTAAAACAATAGAAATTATTGAGACTGATGAATAGAAAAAAACGTAAAGAAAAATGAACAAACCCTAAGGGACCCATAGGAAACCATCAAGTGGACTAACATAGGCATTGTAGTTATGTAAAAAAGAGAAGAGAAAGAGAAAGGAACTAAGAGAACATTTGTAGAAATAATGGCTGACAATTTCCCAAATTTGGTGAAAGACATGAATATAAATATCCAGAAAGCTCAACAAAATCCAAATATGCTAAATCAAAGTGACCCGTTCCAAGACACATAATAACCAAACTGTCTAAAACAAACAGCAGAGACTTTTGAACACGGAAAGAAACAACTCATCACATATAAGGGAGTCTCAATAAATTTAGCACATAAAGTAGAAAATCTAGAGGAGATGAATAAATTCCTGAAAATATACAATCCTCCTAGAGTAAACCAGGAAGAAATAGAAACTGTAATCAGTCCAATAACAAGCACCAAGATTGAAAGGATAAAATCCTCCTAGATTAAACCAGGAAGAAATAGAAACTGTAATCAGACCAATAACAAGCACCAAGATTGAAAGGATAATGAAAAAGTTAGCAACAAAAAGAAGTCCAGGACCAAACTGATTCACAGCTGAATTCTATCAGACATTCAAAGAAAAATTGATACCAATATTATTGACACTATTCCAAAAGATAGAGAAAGAAGGAATCCTCCCTAAACCATTCTCTAAAGCCAGCATCACCCTAATACCAAAACCAGGAAAGGATAAACACAAAAAGAAAACTACAAACAAATATCCCTGGTGAACATGGATGCAAAAATCCTCAACAAAATACTAGTGAATTGAATCCAACGGCATATCAAAAAGATAATCGTGGGTTTCATACCCAGGATTCAGGGGTGGTTTAACATATGCAAGTCAATAAACATGATACACCATATAAACAGAATTAATAACAAAAATCACATAATCATCTTAATAGATGCAGATAAAGCATTTGACAAAATACAGCATCCCTTTGATTAAAACCCTCAACAAAATTGGCATAGAAGGGACATACCTTAAGGTAATAAAAACCGTCTATGACAAACCCACAGCCAACATCATACTGAATGGGAAAAAGTTGAAAGCATTTCCCCTAAGAACCGGAACAAGACAAAGATGCCCATTTCATCACTTCTGTTCAACATAGTACTGGAAGTTCTAACAAAGCAATTAGGCAAGAAAAATAAATAAAGGACCATCCAAATCAGTAAAGAGGAAGTCATACAGTAACTGTTTGCTGATGACATAGTTGTATTCATAGAATACCCTACAGACTCATCCAAAAAGCTCCTAGAACTGATAAACGAATTCAGCAAAGTTTCAGGATACAAAATTAATATACACAAATCAATAGCTCTGTTATAAACCAACAGTGACCAAGCTCCTGGGTGCAGTGGCTCACGCCTGTAATCCTGGCACTTTGGGAGGCTGAGGCAGGCAGATCACTTGAGGTCAGGAGTTTGAGACCAGCTTGGCCAACATAGCGAAACCCTGTTTCTACTAAAAATACAAAAATTAGCTGGGCATGGCAGTGGGTGCCTGTAATCCCAGCTACTCGGGAGGCTGAGGTATGAGAATCGCTTGAACCCAGGAGGTAGAGGTTGCGGTGAGCCGAGATGGCACCACTGCACTCCAGCCTGGGAGATAAAGCAAGACTCAGTCTCAAAAAAAGTAAAATAATAGTAATAATAATAATACTTCCAATATTATGTTGAACAGAAGTGGTGACAGTGCATGTCCTTGCCTTGTACTGGATCTTAGCAGGAAGGTCTTTAGTTTTTCTCCATTGATCATCATATTAGCTGTGGGTTATTTATAAATGGCCCTTCTTATGTTGAGGAAATTTCATTCTATACCTAACTTGTTAAGAGATCTCTATCAAGAAAAAATGCTGCACCTTGTTACATACTTTTTCTGCATCAATTGAGACGACGTTTTCATCTTCCAGTATGCCATTATGAGATATCACATGGCTGATATGTGTATTTTAGTCAAGACTTGCATGCCAGGGATATATACACTTGCCCATAGCATATAATATTTTGAAGTGTTGTTGAATTTGGTTTGCTAATATTTTATTGAGAAAATTTGCATTAATGTTTATTTGGTTTCTTTCCTTGTGATTTCTTTGTCCAGCTTTAGTATCAAAGTGATGCTGGCCCCATAAAATGTGTTTGGACATGTATTCTTTACCTCTATATATTGAAAGCATTCAAGAAGTATTGGTAATAATTATTTGAATGTTTGGTAGAATTCAGCCTAATTCATCTAAGCCATCTGGTCCTGATATTTTATTTGTTGGAACATTTTTAATTACTTGTAATTTCTTTTATTTCTTATCAATCTGTTCAATATTTCTATTTCTTCTTGATTCAATCTTGGTAGGCTAAATTTTTCTAAAAATTTATTCATTTTCTCCAGGTTATCCAATTTGTTGGCATATTAATGTTCATAATTGTCCCTTATGGTTTTTTTAAATTTCAGAGGCATCTGTTGTAGTGTGTCCACTTTTCACTTCTTATTGTATTTTTTCGAGTCATCTGTCTTTTTCTCTCAGTCTAGCTATACATATGTCAATTTGTTTATTTTGTCAAAAAAATTTCCTAGTTTTATTCATTTTTTCTGTGTTTTTTTTCTATTCTCTGATTATTTCTATTCTTTAATCTGCTAAATTTGGTCTCATCTTATTTTTCTTATTCTAGCTTTTTGGGACATAATGTTAGGCTATTTATTTAGCGTTAGACTTTTTTTAATGAGGCATTTATTTTTACAAAATTTTTCTTTTAGAACTACTTTGACTGCATTCCATAGGTTTTGATATATTGTGTTTCCATCATTGGCTCAAGATATTTTAAATTTTTTCTTATGAAATCTTATTTGACCCATCGGTAGTTCAGAAGCATGTTGTTTAATTTCCATATACTTATACATTTTTCAAGATTTCTCCTATTATCAATTTCTAGTTTCATATCATTGTGGTTGGAAACAATACTAGGTATGATTTCAATCTTAAATTTGTTAAGACTTGTTTTGTAGCCTAACATATGGTCTGTCCTGGAGAATGTTCCATGTGCACTAGAGAAGAATGTATATTCTGCTGCTGTACAATGAAGAGTTTTATACATGCCTGTTAGTTCCATTTAGGTTAAAGTGCGGTTCAAATCTAATATTTCCATGTTGATTTTCTGTCTGGTTGATCTATCTGTTTTTGAACGTGTATTGTATTCTCCTGCTATTATTGTATTGGTACCTATTTCTTCCTTCACGTCTATTAATATTTACTTTATATATTTAGGTGCTTCAATGTTGAGTGCATATGTATTTACCACTGTTATATCCTCTTGATAAATTGATCCATTTATCAATAAATAATTATCTTCTTTGTCTCTTGCAACAACTTTTGACTTGAAGTCTGTTTTATCAGATATATAAGTATTGCCACCTCTGATCTCTTTTGATTATTATTTATATGGAATATCTTCCTGCTTCTTTTCCTTTTGACATATGTGTGTCCTTAAAGCTTAACTAGATCTCTTGTAGGCAGCATGTAGTTAAACATTGTTTTTTAATCCATTTAGTCACTTTGTCTTTTGCTTGGAGAATTTCATTCATTTATATTCAAGGTTATTTTTGATAGGTAACAACTCACCACAGCCTTTTTTGTTTATTTCTGATTGTTTTGCATCTCCTTTGTTCCTTTCTTCCTCTCTTATCATCTTTATCTGTGATTTGATAATTTTTTGTAGTTGTTAGCTTTAATTCCTTTCTCTTAATAATTTGTATATCTGCTGTCGGGTTTTTTTGTGTGTTTGTTTTGTGCTTACAATGAGCTTAACAAAAAGCCTCATGTTAGAGATATGTATGATTTACATACTGTCATTACAATATTGGAGTATTCAGCATTTGACTATGTATTTACCTCTACCAGTGAATGTTACACTTTCATATGTATTCATTGTAATACAAATGATCCATGACTTATAATGGTGATACATCCCAGTAAACCCATTTTAAGTTGAAAATCCTGTAAGTAGAAAATGCGTTTAACACACCTAACATACCCAACATCATAGCTTAGCCTAACATACCTTAAATGTGCTTATAACAATTAATGTTAGCCTACAGTTAGGCAACATTATTTATAAAAAGCATTTTTTTATAATAAAATATGGAATATCCCATGTTGTCTTTTCACTTTGTTGCTTGTTTCCTTTGCTATGCGTAAGCTTTTTAGCTTTATGTGATCCCACTTGTCCATGTTTGCTTTGGTTGCCTGTGCTTATCGGATATTGCTCAAGACATGTTTGCTCAGACCAATGTCCTGATTTCCCCAATGTTTTCTTATAGTAGTTTGAGTTTTCATAGTTTGAGGTCTTAGATTTAAGTCTGTAATCTATTTTGATTTGGCTTTTGTATATGGTGAGAGATAGGGGTCTAGTTTCATTCTTCTGCATATGGATATCCAGTTTTCTCAACACCATTTATTGAAGAGACTGTCTTTTCCTCAGTGTATGTGCTTGGCACCTTTGTCAAAAATGAGTTCACTGTAGGTACGTGGATTTGCTTCTCAGTTCTCTATTCTGTTTTGTTAGTCTATGTGTCTGTTTTTATGCCAGTACTATGCTGTTTTGGGGTACTATAGCTCTACAGTATAATTTGAAGTCAGGCAATGTGATCACACCAGTTCTTTTTACTTAGGATAGCTTTGTCTATTCTGGGTCTTTCATGGTTCCATATAAATTCTAGGATTGTTTTTTGTATTTCTCTGAAAAATGACATTGGTATTTTGATAGAGATTGCATTGAATCTGTAGGTTGCTTTGGGTAGTATGGATATTTTAACAATATTGATTCTTCCAATCCATGAACATAAAATATTTTTCCACTTTATTCTTCCAATTCATGGACATGTAATATTTTTCCTTTTTTTGTGTGTGTCCTCTTCTGTTTCTTTCATCAGTGTCTTACTTTTTTCATCATAGAGATCTTTAACTTCTTTGATTAATTCCTAGATATTTAATTTTATGTGTGGCTATTTTAAGTGAGGTTACTTTTTATTAATTTTTCAGATTGTTACCTGTTGGCATATAGAAATGTTATTGATTTTGTTTGTTGACTTTGTATCCTGCAACTTTCCTGAGTCTGTTTATCAGTTCTAGTAGTTTTCTTTTGGAGTCTTTAGGTTTTTCCAAATATACAATCTTATCATCTGCAAACAAGGATAACTTAACATCTTCCTTTCCAATTTGGATGTCTTTTTTATTTTTCTCTTGTCTGATTGCTCTAGCTAGGTCTTTCAATAATAGTGATTACAGTTGGCATCCTTGTTGGGTTCCAGATCTTAGAGAAAAGGCTTTAAGCTTTTCCTGATTCAGTGTAATACTAGCTGTGGGTCTGTCATATGTGGCTTTTATCATCTTGAGGTATATTCCTCCTATCCTCAGCTTTTGAGGTTTTTTTTTTTATCATGAAGGGATGTTGAATTTTATCCAATTTTTTTCAGCATCAGTTGAAATTATCATAGGGTTTTCATCCTTCATTCTGTAGATACGATGTATCACGTTGATTGAATCAATATCACATTTTGAACTATCCTTGCATCCCAGGGAGAAATCCCACTCGTTCATGATGAATAAGCTTCCTAATGTATTGTTGCATTCAATTTCCTAGTATTTCATTGAGGAGTTTTGGATTAATATTGATCAAAGATACTGACTCATAATTTTCTCTTTTTGATGTGTCTTTGCTTTGATATCAGGGTAATACTGGCCTTGAAGAATGAGTTCAGAGGTATTTCCTCCTCCTCTATTTTTCAGAATAGTTCGGATATGATTGGTATTAGTTCTTTAAATGTGTGATACAATTCAGCAGTGAAGCCATTGAGTCCCAGGATGTTTCCTTTTTCATTTCTGATTTTGTTTATTTGGATTTTCTCTTTTTTTTCTTATTCTGGCTAAAGGTTTGTCAATTTTTTTTAACTTGTCAAAAACGCAACTTTTGGTTTCATTCATCTTTTGTATTTTTTAATTTCAATTTCATTTATTTCTGCTTGAATTTTATTGTTTCTTTTCTTCTATTAATTTTGGGTTTGCTCTTGCTTTTCTAGTTATTTAAGATTCATTGTTAGGTTTTCATTTGGAATTTTTCCTCTTTTTTTGATGTAGGCACTTATAAACTTTCTTCTTATTACTGCTTTTGCTGTATCTCATGAATTTTGGTATGTTGTGTTTTTATTATCCTTGGTTTTAAGAAATTTTTCCATTTTCTTCTTAAATTTTTTGACCCAGTGATCATTCAGGAGAATATTAACTTTTATGTATTTGTATATTTTCCAAAATTCTGCTTGTTATTAATTTCTAGTTTTATTTCATTGTGGTCAGAGAAGTTTCTTAATTTCATTTCAATTTTTTGAATGTTTTAAGACTTATTTTATGACCTAACCTCTGATCTATCCTTGAGAATAATCCATGGGCTGAGGAAAAGAATGTATATTCTGTAGCTCTTGGATGAAATGTTCTGTAAATATATATTCAATCCATTTGATCTATAGAGTAGATGAAGTCTGATGTTTCTTTGTTGATTTTCTGTTTGGAAGATCTGTTCAATGCTGAAAGTGGGGTGTTGAAGTCTCCAGCTATTATAAGTATTGGGGCCTATCTCTCACTTTAACTCTGATAATATTTCCTATATATATATATATCTCAGTGCTCCAGTGTTGGGTGCATATATTTGTACAATTCTTATATCCTCTTGCTGAATTGACCCCTTTATCATTATATAGTGACCTTCTTTGTCTCTTCTTACAGTTTTTTTCTTGAAATGTATTTTTTCTGATATAAGTATAGTGACTCCTACTCTCTTTTGGTTTCCATTGGCATGGAATATCTTGTTTCCATTCCTTTAGTTTCAGTCTATGTGTGTCTTTATAGATGAAGTGTGTTTCTTGTAGGCAACAGATTATTGTATCTTGTTTTTCATCTCTCCAGCCATTTTATGTCTTTCAATTGCAGAATTTAGTCTATTTACATTTAATGTTATTATTGATAAGTATGGACTTGTTTCCTGGTTGTTTTGTGGTCTCCTCTTCCTCCTTATTTCCTTCCTATCTTCGTCTAGTGAAGGTGACTTTCTCTAGTGATAAGCATTAGGTTCTTGATTTTTATTTTTTTCTGTATTCATTGTACAGTTTTTAGTTTTAGGTTACCTTGAGGCTTGTAAATACTATAACACATTATTTTAACCTGATAACAAGTTAACACTATTAGAATAAACAAACAAAAATAAATAAAAACTCTACATCTTAACTTTGTTCCTCATTTTGTAACGTTTTAAACTTGTTATTTCTATTATATCTTATTGTACTAACTATGTCTTGAAAAGTTGTTGTAGTTATTATTGTTGATTGGTTCATCATTTAATCTTTCCACTTAGGATAACAGCAGTTTACACACCGCAGTTACAGTGTTATAATATTTTGTGTTTTGCTGTGTACTTACTATTATCAGTGTGTTTTGTACCTTCAGGTGATTATTTTTGCTCATAAAATCCTTTTATTTCTGATTGAAGTAGTACCTTTTGCATTTACTTGTAGAATAGGTCTGGTATATGAAATCCCTCAGCCTTTGTTTGCCTGGGAAAGTCTTTATTTCTCCTACATGTTTGAAGGGTATTTTCACCAGATATGCTATTCTAGGGTAAAACGATTTATCTTCAGTAACTTAAATACTTCATGCCACTCTCCTGTGGCCTGTAAGGATTACACTAAAAAATTTGCTGCCAGATAAATTGGAGCTCCATTGTATGTTATTTGTTTCTTTTCTTAGTTGCTTTTAGAATCCTTTCTTTATCCTTGAATTTTGGGAGTTGGGTTATTAAATGCCTTGAGGTAGTCTTCTTTGGGTTAAGTCTGCTTGGTGTTCTATAACCTTCTTGTACTTGGATACTGATATCTTTCTCTAGTCTTGGGAAGTTCTCTGTTATATCCCTTTAAATAAACTTTCTTCTCCTATCTCTTTCTCCACCTCCTCTTTAAGGCCAATAGCTCTTAGATTTGCCTTTTTGAGGCTATTCTCTAGAACCTGTAGGTGTGCTTCATTGTTTTTTATTCTTTTTTCTTTTGTCTCCTTTGACCGTATATTTTGAAATAGCCTGTCTTCAAGCTCACTAATTCTTTTTTCTGCTTGATCAGTTCTGCTATTAAAAGACTCTGATGCATTCTTCAGTATGCCAATTGCATTTTTCAGCTCCAGAATTTTTTTTTAATTATTTCAATCTCTTTGTTAAGTTTATCTGATAGAATTCTGAATTCCTTCTCTGTGTTAACTTGAATTTCTTTGAGTTTCCTCAACACAGCTACTTTGAATTCTGCCTGAAAGGTCACATATCTCTGCTTCTCCAGAACTGGTCCCTGATGCCTGTTTTAGTTAATTTGGAGAGATAATGTTTTCTTGGATGGTTTAATGCTAGTAGGCATTCTTTCATATATGGGCATTGAAGAGTTAGGTATTTATTGTAGTCTTCACTGGGCTTATTTGTAGCTGTCTTTCTTGGGAAGAACTTTTCAGATTTGTGAAAGGACTTGGGTGTTGTGATCTAAACTGTATCTGCCTTAGGGCGCAACTGAAGCTCAGTAGTGCTGTGGTTCTTGCAGACTCATAGAGGTACCACCTTTGTTGTACTGAACAAGATCCAGGAAACTCTCTGGATTACCAGGCAGAGATACTTGTTCTCTTCCTTTACTTTCTCCCAAACACACAGAGTGTCTGTCTCTGTTCTGAGCCACCTAAAGCTGGAAGTGAAGTGACACAAGTACCCTTGTGGACTCTACCACTATGACTTCACTGGGTCAGATCTAAAGTCAGCACAGCACTGAGTCTCATTCAAAGCCCGCTGTAACCACTCCCTCGTTACTGCCTATGTTTGCTCAAGGCCTTGGGGCTTTACAATCAGCAGATGGCAAAGCCAGCCAGGCCTGTGTTCTTCTCTTCAGAGCAGTGAGGTCCAGAAATGCTGTACAGGAGTCAGAAACTGAAGTGAAAAACCTTAGAAGTTTACCCCGTGTTCTACTGTGTTGCAGCTGAGCTGGCACTCAAACCACAAGACACAGTCCTTCCCACTCTTCTCTCCCCTTTCCAAAGGCATAGGAGCCTCACCCCATAACCATCACCATCCCAAGCCATCAACAATGTTCCCTTAAAGCCCAAGGTCTCTTAAGTCAGTTTGTTATGAATGCTACCTGGCCTGGGACTCACCCTTCAGGGCAGTGGGTTCCCCTCTGGCCCAGGGCAGGCCCACAAATGCCATCCAAGAGTCAACTCCTAGAATCGTGGACCCCAAAAGCCTATCTGGTGCTCCATCCCTGTGGCCATGCTGGTACCTAATGTGCAAGACAAAGTCCCTTTTTCCTCTTCTTTTCTCAAGCAGAAGAAGTTTTTCCCTATAGCCACCACAACTGGTTATGTGCCGAGTCCCACCTGAAGTCACAAGTCTCAGAGGCTCACTAAGACCCTTGATGTAGTACCTGGGTATTGCTGCTGGTTATTCTAGGCCCAAGGGCTCTTCAGTTAGCAGGTGATTCATGCAGCCAGGACTGGTTCCTTTCCTTCAAGGCAGCAGGTTCCTTTAGGGCCCAGAATGTATCTAGACAGTCATCGTGGAGCTAGGGCCTGGAATGGGGGCCTCATGACTCTGACTGGTGCCCTATCCTGCTGTGGCTGTGTTGGTATCCTAGATGAAAGACAGAGTCTTCGCACTTTTCCCTCTGCTCTCCTCAAGTGGAAGGAAGGGGTCTCTTTTGGAGCCGACAGCTGTCCAGCCTGGGGGTAGGGAAGGTTCAAGCGATCCTCCCACCTCAGCCTCTTGAGTAGCTGGGACTATAGGCGCATGCCACCACATTCAGCTAATTTTTGTATTTTTAGTAGAGACGGGGTTTCACTGTGTTGGCCAGGCCAGTCTCAAACTGACCTCGTGATCCACCCGCTTTGGCCTCTCGAAGTGCTGGGATTACAGGCATGTGCCACCGCATCTGGCCTTTTTTCTTTCCTGTTAGATACTTGTTAATTTGGTGTCCTTCCTGGGGGTGGGTGGTGAGAATCAGTGGAATTTTCTATTCCACTATCCTGCTTGCACAAACTCTCCCATAATCAACACCAGGAGTTCTCAGCAGACTCCCTGAATTGAGGAACTGGAGTTTAGAGTCCAGGGAAAACAGGCCTATTATAGGAGTTCACAAGAAAATGTACAAAAGAGGAGACAATAGCTCAGAGAGAGAACTCAAGAAATTGGCAGAGTCCCCTCAAGTATTTAGCACAACACTGATTAGTGCATGTGTGTAAGAAAACCAGCCGACACTGGGGAAATAACCACCCAAAAGGATTAAAACAGTGCTCATACTAACACAGAGCAAGAAATAGGTCTGTTCCCACAAGCCAAACCAGAAAACTTGTAGATTCACAGAACATTGATTGGATATGGTGAGAGAAAATGTTAAAAAGCAATAGAATCTACCCAAAAGGAAACAGAGAAAAGAAGAAAGCACCTCTTCCCAATAATGAATGAAAAATCAAAGATCACTGGAACAACCTGAAGCAGCCTAACATGTGTATAACTGAAGTTCCCCATGGAAGAGAAGTAAAGGATAAAATATTTAACAAAATAACCAAAAATTTTCCACGTGTGATGAAAAGTCAAAGCAAAGAAGCTCAACAAACTCAAAAGGGACATTAAAAAAAATCAATGTACACGGCAATCAAATTGTTTAAAATCAGCGACTTTAGATTTTTAAATCTTAAAAGCAACCAAAGAAAAAAACACATGTAATGTACATAGTAACAAAGATCAGGATGACAACAAATTTCTTATCAGAAACAATGCAGGTAAGAAGATAGTGGAAAAAATTGTCAACCCACACACTGAATGAAAATATCTTTCAAAAATGAAGAGGAAATAAAGACTATTTAAAATATACAACAGGTGAAAGAATTAAATACCAGCAGAACTGCAGTACAAAAAAAGGGATGAAAATAAAGTATTTGAGGCGGAAAGAAAATGATATCACATGCAAATATGGGTTTTTGCAACACACAGCACCAAATAATGTAACTACATCATAAATATATTTTTCTTAATATTTAAATTTTTTAATGATAATTGACCATGAAATGAGAAAATTGTAAAAGTACTGTAGAGATGTTTATAGCATATGTATAGGAAAAATACGTTACAATGCTAGAATAAATGTTGGGTAGGAAGAAATGAAAGTAGATTATAGGATGTTTCTAATACTATAGGTGAAGTGGTATAATATAACTTGAGATAGACTATAGTAGATTAAAAATTTATATTCTGGCCCTCTCCCTCTCCCTCCCCCTCCCCTCCCCCTCCCCCTGTCCCTCTCCCTCTCCGTCTCCCTCTCTCTCCACGGTCTCCTTCCACGGTCTCCCTCTGATGCCGAGCCAAAGCTGGACGGTACTGCTGCCATCTCGGCTCACTGCAACCTCCCTGCCTGATTCTCCTGCCTCAGCCTGCCGAGTGCCTGCGATTGCAGGTGCGCGCCGCCACGCCTGACTGGTTTTCGTTTTTTTTTTGGTGGAGACGGGGTTTTGCTGTGTTGGCCGGGCTGGTCTCAGCTCCTGACCGCGAGTGATCCGCCAGCCTCGGCCTCCCGAGGTGCTGGGATTGCAGACGGAGTCTCGTTCACTCAGTGCTCAATGGTGCCCAGGCTGGAGTGCAGTGGCGTGATCTCGGCTCGCTACAACCTCCACCTCCCAGCCGCCTGCCTTGGCCCCCCAAAGTGCCGAGATTGCAGCCTCTGCCCGGCCGCCACCCTGTCTGGGAAGTGAGGAGCGTCTCTGCCTGGCCCCCCATCGTCTGGGATATGAGGAGCCTCTCTGCCTGGCTGCCCAGTCTGGAAAGTGAGGAGCGTCTCTGCCCGGCCGCCATCCCATCTAGGAAGTGAGAAGCGCCTCTTCCCCGCCGCCATCCCATCTAGGAAGCGAGGAGCGCCTCTTCCCCGCCGCCCATCGTCTGAGATGTGGGGAGCGCCTCTGCCCCGCCGCCCTGTCTGGGATGTGAGGAGCACCTCTGCTGGGCCGCAACCCTGTCTGGGATGTGAGGAGCGCCTCTGCCCGGCCGCCCCGTCTGAGAAGTGAGGAAACCCTCTGCCTGGCAACCGCCCCGTCTGAGAAGTGAGGAGCCCCTCTGCCTGGCAACCGCCCCGTCTGAGAAGTGAGGAGCGTCTCCGCCCGGCAGCCGCCCCGTCCGGGAGGGAGGTGGGGGGGTCAGCCCCCCGCCCGGCCAGCCGCCCCGTCCGGGAGGTGAGGGGCTCCTCTGCCCGGCCGCCCCTACTGGGAAGTGAGGAGCCCCTCTGCCAGGCCAGCCGCCCCGTCCGGGAGGGGGGAGGGGGGGTCAGCCCCCTGCCCGGCCAGCCGCCCCGTCCGGGAGGGAGGTGGGGGGGTCAGCCCCCCGCCCGGCCGGCCGCCCCGTCCGGGAGGTGAGGGGCGCCTCTGCCCGGCCGCCCCTACCGGGAAGTGAGGACCCCTCTGCCCGGCCAGCCACCCCGTCCGGGAGGGAGGTGGGGGGTCAGCCCCCCGCCCGGCCAGCCGCCCAGTCAGGGGGGGAGGTGGGGGGTCAGCCCCCCGCCCGTCCAGCCGCCCAGTCCGGGAGGGAGGTAAGGGGTCAGCCCCCCGCCCGGCCAGGCCGCCCGTCCGGGATGGAGGTGGGGGGTCAGCCCCCCGCCCGGCCAGCCGCCCAGTCCGGGAGGGAGGTGGGGTCAGCCCCCCGCCCGGCCAGCCGCCCCGTCCGGGAGGGAGGTGGGGGGATCAGCCCCCCGCCTGGCCAGCCGCCCCGTCCGGGAGGTGAGGGGCGCCTCTGCCCGGCCGCCCCTACTGGGAAGTGAGGAGCCCCTCTGCCCGGCCAGCCGCCCCGTCCGGGAGGGAGGCGCGGGGGGTGGGTCGGCCAGCCGCCCTGTCCGGGAGGGAGGTGGGGGGGTCAGCCCCCCGCCCGGCCGGCCGCCCCGTCGGGGAGGTGAGGGGCGCCTCTGCCCGGCCGCCCCTACTGGGAAGTGAGGAGCCCCTCTGCCTGGCGAGCCGCCCCGTCCGGGAGGGTGGTGGGGGGGTCAGCCCCCCGCCCGGCCAGCCGCCCTATCCAGGAGGTGAGGGGCGCCTCTGCCCGGCCGCCCCTACTGGGAAGTGAGGAGCCCCTCTGCCTGGCCAGCCGCCCCGTCCGGGAGTGTGGTGGGGGGGTCAGCCCCCCGCCCGGCCAGCCGCCCCATCCGGGAGGTGAGGGGCGCTTCTGCCCGGCCGCCCCTACTGGGAAGTGAGGAGCCCCTCTGCCCGGCCACAACCCCGTCTGGGAGGTGTGCCCAGCGGCTCATTGGGGATGGGCCATGATGACAATGGCGGTTTTGTGGAATAGAAAGGCGGGAAGGGTGGGGAAAAAATTGAGAAATCGGATGGTTGCCGGGTCTGTGTGGATAGAAGTAGACATGGGAGACTTTTCATTTTGTTCTGTACTAAGAAAAATTCTTCTGCCTTGGGATCCTGTTGATCTGTGACCTTATCCCCAACCCTGTGCTCTCTGAAACATGTGCTGTGTCCACTCAGGGTTAAATGGATTAAGGGCGGTGCAAGATGTGCTTTGTTAAACAGATGCTTGAAGGCAGCATGCTCGTTAAGAGTCATCACCACTCCCTAATCTTAAGTACCCAGGGACACAAACACTTCGGAAGGCCGCAGGGTCCTCTGCCTAGGAAAACCAGAGACCTTTGTTCACTTGTTTATCTGCTGACCTTCCCTCCACTATTGTCCTATGACCCTGCCAAATCCCCCTCTGGGAGAAACACCCAAGAATGATCAATAAAAAAAAAAAAAAAAAAAAAAAAAAAAGAACGAAACTCCATCTCAAAAAAAAAAAAAAAAAAAAAAATCTCCCAAAGAAATACCAATAAACAAGAAAATAGTCAAATGTCAAAAAAAAAAAAAAAAAAATTTATATTCTGAAGCCTACAGAAACCATTAAGAGAACAAAATGAAGAGTTATTACTACTAATAAGACAAAAAAAGATGAAATAGGACTATAAGGTACTCAGTAATTCTAAATAAAGGAGGCAACAAAGGAGAGATGGGAGAAATGGAAAAGAAATAGCAAGACGATAAATCTAACCTGACCATACCAATCATTGTGTTGCATGTGAGTGGTCTGCATACCCTAATTAAAAGGCATAAATTAGCAGACTGGGTAGAAAGATAAGACTTAATTATGTGCTGGCTACAATGTAAACTCACTTATATGTAAAGGCCACTAAGGCTAACGTAAAAGGATGGAAAGAGTCCTACTATGTTACACTTACCTATAGAAATTTGGAAAGGCTATATTATATCAGAGAAAGTATATTTAAGAGCAAAAAATTCTAGCAGGGGTAAAAATGCCACTTAATAATGATACAGAGGTCAATTCATCAACAGAAAATTATAGTTCGAGCATTTATGCACCTAATATCAGGGATTCAAAATACATGAAATAAAGACTGAGAGAATAGGAATGTGAATAGTCACCAAAAGTGGAAAACAAACAGGCACTAGCACTTAGAAAAGTCACAGTTAGATTTATTCTTAGCCAAGTTTGAGGACTTAAGCCCAGGAACACAGATTCAGTATAGACTGAGACTATGTCCCAAAGTAGGCTGCATGAGGCACTGTATATATACATTTTCTAACAGGGCACAGTAAGTTTTTTTAAACTTTAATTTGGTTCTGGATATTTAATAATATATTAATAGCCATTATATGATCTGCTCCATGTTTTCCCCTAGAAAGTAAATTTGAAAACTTGGTATAGATATCAATATATAAAACTCTAGTAACGCTATCAGATTTGGTATAGATATCAATATATGAAACCCTAGTAACTCTATCTTATTCTAAGGTCTATCTTTTCTAAATATATTCCCATAGCAAAGTAACCACATAATCACACATTTACAACTAAACACTCATGTAAGTTAAAGGGGTATTTTTCCCCTGGAAGTCATAATGATATATTGCATTAGGCAATTACAGATTTGAAGAACGGATAGTGCCCCATTCAGAGTGGTTACTTAGGACATTATAATGGGAGTGTCACATTTATCATGGCATATAGGAGACACGATGCTTAAATACAATGGAAAGGCCATTAATGTAGAAAGGTTTTAAAACTGTCATCAGATCCATTAGAGTTGATACCAGTATTTTACATAAAAATTGCCTGCTGTGAGGATAAAGGTATCTGAGATCAGATCATTTGAAGAAAATCAAATAAGATACTTGATTGCTAGATGACATGGCTGTTAAAAGAACAGACACAAATATATATGAATAGAAGCTTAATGCATTGAAGACAGAAATGTCAAGAGAAAAACTTCCTTAAAAGTAGGCTGATTCTTTGGTTAGAAGCCAAAATAAAATGGAGATTCTCTTTTCCAGAATAGTCTTGGGGATAATACTTTTTTGTCTATAATAAAAGAATATTCATCAACATATTCATACACTATGGGCTCAGTCAAGTAATCCAATCAAGTACATCATCAAAGTGATCTCTGGTGTCTTCTTTCTTAAATCTTAACGTGGAAAAAAATGCCACTAAAAAGTTGTTTAAACTTTTAGTATCTCCGTGCTTCAAAATCAATATTAGGTTTTTCTTTCTATATTCTGACATTGACTAAGGTGTGTACTTGGATAAAGACCCAATATAAACAGATTAGTGCACCGTGCTCTTCAATTTTTAGTAATGAGGAGGTTATCAGAAGGACTTCTGTCTAATACAAAAGCACACACAACTAGTCTCAGTCTGAAAGTCATCAGCTTTTTGAAGTTCTGAAATAAGTCTTATCTTCGGGGTTATATTCAGTGTTAGTGGAATTGTTAGGCAACTACTTTTCTTATGCTTACAAAATAATTGACATTTTATAAGATGGCAACTGAAAGAAGAAGAAAAGTTCTGCCTAATGGGTTAACATGATAGGATTTTAATGCATTTATGGCAGGACTGTGATCCAATCTGAGTAGTTCTTGAGTCATCCTCCCACCTACTTGACATTTTATTCAGACATCCTCTGCGTTTCGCATTACTAACCAAAATGAAGGCAAAATCCTATGAGGAGCTCAAGGATCCTCACTTAAAGAGCTAGAATCTAAATGCCCAACACATGAAAATGAAAATATAATGAAATTGGAAAGGAGTGTGCCAAGAAAGCATTCCTGCCTAGAAAAGCAATGTAGCTGGGTTTTAACAAGGTCTAATAATGGTCCAAGTTATGCCTTCTTGTCCCTGTGCCTTCCACTCAATTAAGAATGCTGGCAGTACACAGGGTGGCTCACAAGTGCTCCCCTCAATTTGCGGTAACAAAGTGCTGGCACCCCCTGTGCCCTTCACCAATCCGGTGGTCATTTATGGTATATGTGTAGATTTACACTTAATCACACTTGTCTGTATTTAACCAACAGAGTAATCATATGAAGATATTTCTCAGAGGCATTCAAGCCACTTAGCATATCAAAATATTCATCACTTGAGGGAAAAGATCCTATGTCATTCTTTCTTTTTTCTGCTTTACTGCATTTTCAGAGTATTTCAAATGAGCTGCATTTATTCTAAAAGAGGAAAAGTTAAAGGAAACTTTAAAATAGGGTGCATCCCAAATCAGAGTAAACTCCTTTTAGATTAATAAAGACATAAAACAAGTAAAGTCGCTCATCAAAGAGAAATTTCTAAACAGACGTCATACGTCTTTTCTAAGACTATCTGTGTGCATCCTGACGCAAAATAGGAAGAGGAATGACCTACCGTCTGACTAATTGCTACAGTCTTCCAAAAATATCTCCAGTTTAGGTCATTGTTTCCTAATTTATTATTTTATGGAAATCAAATCTTTTACTTCATATTCCTTTGAAAGAAGGAGGAAACCTAGATTTCAGTTTGTAACAGTTTTTGCTGCAGACTGTTTTGCTTTTGTGGTCATTCTTGGGTACAGTCTCATGAGCCAGCTGGTATTAGTATGAGATAGTGCACACTAATGAGACGGCAGAATCCTCTTGATAGGTTTAGCCTGTGATAACCTTCGTCTTAATTCTGTTTTGTGGTCTGGAAACTATTTTGAACATATGCTACTTTGGGAATTTTACTCTCTCCAAACCATTTTCAATTCGGCATTTTATATTAGAAAATTGCTATGGGTCATTTATTAATAAATCTTCTTAGGATTACACAATTCTTAGGCTCATGTGGTCATTAATGGTACCAAATAAATCATGATCCATCCTTAGTTCGATTATGATGGTGAAATAAGATGTAACTTTTGTTCTATTTTAAAGTTAAGTTCATAATAGGAATAGTTTGATTTTGCACACACAGATTGCGTGTGTGTGTGTGTGTATTTGTGTGTTGTGGAATAATGGGTAACATAATTATATCCATTTATTTTGTTTTAACTATCTTTATTCTCTTACTATTATACTTTAATGCCCATTTAAGCTATCATTTCTAGCTAGTCAGTTGGTATTAAAATCTCAAATGATGCATACTTCAATTAGGAGTGAAGATTCCTTTGATTTGTTCATTAAAAATACTTTTAAAAAGGTAACAAAAATACAAACTTCCTGTCTTTTACATTTTGGTAAATTTTTCATTAGCTTGTAGCCATTTGCATTTCTATTCTTCTGCCAAAGTTGAAAATACTTCTATTGAAAAAAAAAAAAAAGAAGGAAAACACCTGTTTTGGGTCTAATTATGAATTGCAGAGAACTATCATTCCTAATTACTA
Organism: Homo sapiens; assembly: GCF_000001405.40. NCBI lineage: Eukaryota > Metazoa > Chordata > Mammalia > Primates > Hominidae > Homo > Homo sapiens. The sequence continues at coordinate 47,138,145 of NC_000015.10, forward strand.
AATAGCTACAGAATTCCCATTTAAGTCAAATCAACTACACTTGAAAATAAACCTAGAATTTAAATGTTATCATCATTTATAATTTATTCTACTTCTGCACAGAAAAAGAAGGCTCAATTCAAAAGAAAGCCTTGGATAGATGTGTGCTTTGTAAATCTTGCTTGATGGTTTTAACACAGATGACACCAAATTTTGAAGAATTGAATGAGAAGCAGCTTTTTTTTTCTTAAAGCACATTTTTCAAATTAATCTTAACTTATTCTTGATAGTTTCTTCACCTCCCACCCAAGAAAAGACAACCTGCAATAATTCTAAAAATATTTTTATATTACCATTTAAATCTTCTAAAAACACCAATATGAAGCCATATTTAAGAAAATTTTGCACATAAAATAACTACTTTTAATTCAAGAGAATAAGTATAATTAGATCTCAAAGGCTGAAACAGATAACATCTACTACTCATACATTAGTAGAATCAATGACCCAAAGAAATCCAATGCTAATTTCTCAGGCAAAATTACTGAGAGTATGACTGTTAGACCTCAAATGCAGTTATAATTCTCTTAGGAAAGACCAAATTCTCCCAGCATCAATCTTTAATTTGTAGACATAGTTCAGTTTCCTCCTGGATACTACCAATCAGTACCCCCAATGTAGGGAGCATTTATGTTGATTTTAAGTCATTTTAGGCATTAATTCATGCCATATATCATAATGCATATATTATAATTACATATTTCTTTAAAAAGGCATTTAAATATGAGAACAATATAGCTGCTAGAAGAAATTCTAAGGGAAGAAACCAGTAGCCACTTTTCTTAGCTCTGTCTTGTTAGCCAAGCCTTCTTCTGTAGGTTATTTTAGACATGTTTGTTTATGGCTACTTCAAATATGGTCACAAATAACCTTGCTGATTCTCTTTCTCTAAAAATCACATGATATAGCACATATTCTGACAAAAGCACACATTGCAGTATTGATTTACAGAGGAATATGACAACAGTCCAGGTTAGGTCGATGGCAAGGTTTAGCATTCTCTTAGGATTCCATGTGCAAATGATGATTTACAATCAGTTGAGTGCATCTTAAAATATATATGCATCAACAAAAAAAACATAAATTGCTGTGTTGTGATTTTTTTTCACTTTACACATCCTTTGTTTTTCTTCTTTTGGAGTTTTCATGTGAGGTATTATTGGTTTTAAGCCCACAAAGAAAGATAATGGAATCTGTAAGCCTGCTTTGGGAATCAGGATAATTCTAGAAACCCTCACTAATCCTTGGTAGAGATAAAACAATACCACCTCTGTATTTTTCTCACATACAGCTCTGGGAAGGAAGGAGCTCAGTATATATACTCTGTTTCCAACTCTTTCTCTAATAGTAAATAAATTATTCAAACACAGACTTTGGAATTGGGAGAACTATATTTGAGTTCTGGCATTTTCACTCACTAAGTGTGTGACTTTGGGCAAGTCACTTACATCTTTACATCTCCGTGATATCCCCCACAAGAATGGGGATAAAAATTGTATCAAACTCCTAGTGTACATAAGATAATTTGGTGAAACAGTACATGTAAAGAAATTAACAGCTGATCCAATGTTCAATAAATGTTACTGTTACCATTATTTTTGAAAGTCATAATTTTTTGTCAGCTTTATTACAATAAAATTCACCCATGAATTTTTATCATATATACAGTAGCCTAACCACGGCCACAGTCATGAAATTGAACATATCCATCATCCTAAAATGTTATCACAGTCATAGACTTTTAAGACCTGAATAAAATTTAGTGGCATCTAGTCTAATTTTTGTTTTATATGTAAGAAAACTAAGGTTTTTTTGAGGTGCAGGAAATTGCTCATACTCACTTATCTCAGCAGTATCAAAGTTCATTAAATATTTTGTTTCTTTCCTCTGGACTCAGTTCTCTGCTGCTTCATCACACTGGCTCTTTTGTGGTCAAAAGTTTTCTGGGTGTGGTAGAACAGGCTACTATGCAGAGTAGAGATTTCACGGAAGGATAGGAATGAGAGAGAGATTTCCAAAGAAATAGAGCAACATGTGGGCAATGCATGAGTGACCAATAAAATGCTGCCTGCTTCCAAATTTGAGTGCATGAAAGATTATTCACTCTTTCAGTCAAGACGCATTCACAAAATTTTCTTTATCACTGGAATTCAGGAATTTCAATAGTGTATCCAAAGTACAATGTAGAAAAGGGAAAATAATATGCACATTAAACAAATAAACTATAAAATTTGGGAGTGAGGTGGGTGTGTGACAGAATAAGAAGATTGTATTAGAGAAACAAGAAGGACTTCACCCAACATGGACACAAAACAAAAATCATATGGACATTTAAAAAAATATATATCAAACTCTGTTTTTCTTGGGAGGATCTGATGATTTTTTGTTGGAGACTTTAGCTTATTTTACACCAAGTTATGACAGCCTTGTATCCTAGGTCTGATTGGGCTTTTTAAGCATTATAGAGTTTGTCATTCAGAATCACAGAATTTCAGCAATTCTGGTTCTTTTGAGATAAAAGGGCCTCACACTTCCTGCCATCTTTCTCTTATCAAATGCCTGGGTAAGAGAAATGATACCTACATACAGTAGATAAAAATAGTGGCTTTCTAACATTTTATCATTAGATACTGTAAAACAATTTTGAAAACTATGAATCATCTTGTACATTTGAAGTTGACATCTAAAATTTTCCATCATTTTAACTTTAGTATCAAAGAATACATAAAAGCTGTTTTTTAAATTAACACTTTAAAATAATACTGGTAGATCACTATTTGAAACATTTTCAATAAAATGTGATTGTTACCATGATTTCATACCCACCATTATTCATTAAAGGAAAATATGAACAAGGTATTTTTCACAAATCTAATGTCATTCCATTTTGATCTTGATGTTTTTTTATTCCCCCTCAACATATAATCTTATTCTTGTAAAATATATTTTATGTTATGAAAATATTTTCTAGATTACACTATACTACTTAATGGCAGCAAATACACACACATATAAATAAACATCAATTTTTAAATCATTTTCTATAGGCATTTATGTTGACCAACGGAAAATCCATTTATTACAAATTTCGATAAGTAATCATTAAGGACAATAAGTAAAATGGAATTAAAATGTATTTTTTAATGAAATAAATTAAGCTCTTGTTTCATTTCAGTTTGTGTACCCTCCTTGAAAATAAAACAGGGTTCACATATGTTCTCACTCCTGTATGGAAGCTAAAATAGTTGATCTCATATAAAACAGTAGTGTATTGGTTACTAGAGGCTGGGAAAGTGGGTAGGAAAATAGAGGTTGGTTAATGGATACAAAATTTCAGCTAGGTAGAATAAATAAGTTCCAGGGTTCTATAGCATTGTAGGGTGACAATAGTTAAAAATAATTTATTGCATGTTTTCAAAAAGCTAAAAGAGAGGCTTTTGAATGTTCCCAACACAAAGAAATAAATGTTTGAGGTGTTGGGTATGCTAATAACCTAGTTTTGATCATTACACATTGTGCACATGTATTAAAATATCACTCTATATCCCACAAATAAAAAAATTACATGTCAATTGAAAAAATTTAAAAACTAATTAATTTTTAAAATGAAACAGGATTCAGATCAATTATAGACATATGCATCAAGATAAATTGTCATAAGTAAATAGATTGGAATTAAGAGTTTTGTTACAGCAGTGAAACTCAATTCATTGAACTCCTTTCAAATTGTAAGACAAAAATTGATTTTCACTGAAATTTATCTATAATAATCCAATTGCTAGAGTAGTTCTTCATTCGATTTTATTGAGAAGAAAGAATTAGAACCCAGATGATTGTCCAAATAACTTATTTCCCAGTCATTGCTATCATTTAAATTATCCCTTTGATTGGACCTTCACCCACAGGTAAGGTATTATGTATGATTTCCTTTGTGTGAAATCTATGGCTTTCTTTTGTAAAGTGAGAAAAAAACTATGAGAGGGAAATTAGTTAAAGAGAATAAATGGGAAGCCTCTAGCATAGTTGACCACTGGAAAATTGCCATGCAAATCAATTCTAGGAAACTACACATTTGGGGGTTTAAGATTTGGAAATGGATTTTCTTAAAACTATTCCTGCCAGGGTGCCTAGTGGAAAGTGTAAATGGATCCTCAGGGGAAGGGATATTCCAGTATAAAGAACACTGAAGTAAGAAACCTAAGACTAATTTTACCTATGAAATTTTTCTTATGTTGCTCTTTAGGCCTCTACTAAGTTACATCATCAGAAAACTACATGCATCCTCAGTGAGAAACATTCCCACTGAGATATAAGGTAGTCTTGATATTTTTGAAGGCTGAAAGAGTGAAAAAAACATATGCCATTAGCTAGAAATAAGATTAACTCAAGACTGCACTTGTGGGCCAATAGAAAAAAATTATTTCAAGATAACTTTAGGGCTTCCAGTTTCTGGCCTGACACATAAGGACCTTAGAAGTTGCTGCTCCCTCATAATAACAAGTAAAAAGTTGAGGAAAAAAACTGAAAAAAGAAGTTAGATCTATAAGAGAAGTGAAATCACAAGGAAAAGCTCCCAAAATTAAAGAGATGGGCAAACGGATACATAGAATCACAATTTAACTGGGGCAGAAATCTTCTTAAGGAACAATACCTGAGTAAGAAAACCTGAACTTTAATTGACGAATTTTTGGAGGCTCAGAGTGGACAATTCTGAAAGTTAAAAATTTGAGAGGGAGTAATGTCAGACCTCAGCAGGATAGTAGAATAGGAGGTCCCAGGCTTCAATAACCCCTGAAGAAATGCACAGACACCAAAACAAGGACACAAGGATTACAATGAGAAACTAAGAAAACTCCAAGACTGGGCCCTAAAGAAACAGAAATCTATGAAATTACAAGCAAATAATTTGAATCATCCTTGTAAAGAAATCCAATTAACTATAAGAATATACAGATTTTAAAAATAAACATTTGGAAAACAGTACACAAAGAAAATTAAAAGTTTGACCAAGACATATTAATAATAAAAAATGAAAAATCTAGGCATGAAGAACACAAGGCTAAACTGAAAAAAAAAATGCAATAGAAATATTTAATGGAAGGCTTAATAATCTGAAAAAAATAAGTGAGCTTGAAGACACAACATATGAAAGTATAGTCAGAGGAGCACAAAGAAAAAATAATAAGAAAGAATGAAGAAAGCCTACAGGAATTATGGGACATCATAAGGAGACCTAACTTCACATAATAGAAATTCTAGAAGGAAAAGAAAGAGAAAAAGGATCAGATAAAATATTTGAAGAAATTAATGACTTCCCTAATCTGGGGAAAGATGTCAACATCCCAGTACAGAAAGTACAGAGGCCCTCAAACAAATTTCAACTGTAAGAAATTTTACCAAGACATATAATAATCAAACTATCAAAAATCAAAGGCAAAGACAAAATTCTGAGAACAGCAATAGGTAAGAAACACATCACATACCAAAAGTCCCAATACAACTATCCATGGTTTGCTCAACAGAAACCCTGCAGGCCACGAGACAGTTGGAGTATATATCAAAGCGCTGAAGGAAAAATAATTAACAGCCAAGAATATTTTACACAGCAAATCTGTTAATCATAAATGAGGGAGAAATAAAACCTTTCCCAGACACACAAAGACTAAGGGAATTTATTACCACCAGGCTTGCCTTATAGAAATTGTTAAAGAAAGTGCTTTTAGCAGAAGAAAATAAGACTAATAACAAAACTTATGAAAGACAAAACTTAATGGCATAAGACAGAGCTATATTAAGATTACTCTAGGTCTATAACAGTGCTGTGTAAAGCAATTTTATCTATAGTGTGAAGGTTAAAATACAAAACTATTACCAACAACTATTGCTAAAATAAAGTGTCAAGGGATACGTATAATAAAATTATGTCAATTCTGACATCAAAATGTGCATGGGAGGAAAAAATCATACAGTGATATGTAAAGTTAAGCTGTTATCAGCTTGAAAAATACTATTATAAGTATGAGATGTTTTAATGTAAGCCTCATGATAATCACAAAGCAAAAATCTATGCTAGAAGCATGAAACAGAATTAGGAAGAGTTCAAAGCACACCATGACAGAAAACCATCAAACCACAAAGGAAGACAGCAAAAGAGGAAGAAAGAAATAAAGTATTTACAAATAAAACAGAAGACGGTTAACAAAATGGCAGTAGACAGACTTTACCTATCAAATAATTACCTTGACTACAAATGGATTAAATTATCTAACAAAATGATAGAGTGATTGCATGGATAAAGAAATCAAGACCCAACTATATGCTGCCTATAAGAACCTTAGCTCACTTTTAAGGACAAAAATAGATAGAAAGAAAAGGGATATATTTCACACAAATGAAAACCAAAAGAGAGCAGGGGTAGCTATGCTTATATCAGACAAAATTGTCATTACATCAAAATCTATAAGTAGAGATGAAGAGGGATATTATATAATAATAAAGGGGTCAGTTTATCAAGAGGATACAATAATTATAAATCTATGCACACCGAACATTGGAGCACCAAAATATAGATTACAATACAATAATAGTAGGGGGACTTCAGTATCCCACTTTCAACAACAGAGAGATAATCCAGGCAGAAAATTAATAAAGAAACATTATTATTTTCTTGAGACTTGGGAAACACTTTAGACCAAATGGACCTAATAGACATATGCAGAACATTCCCTCCAATAGTAACAGGATATCTGTTCTTCTTAAGCACACATGGCGCATTCTTCAGAATAGATTATATGTTAGGCCACAGTAGAAATCTTAGCAAATAGAAGAAGATTGAAATCATATAAAGTAGCTTTTTGACCACAATTTTATGAAACTAGATATTAATAACACATGAGATTTAGGAAAACTCATAAATACATGAAAATTAAGGAACATGCTCCTAATCAACCAATGGGACAATAAAGAAATGAAAAGAAAAATTTCAACATATATTGAGACAAATGAAAATGAAAACACAATATTTTAAAACTTATAGAATGCAGCAAAACTGTTTTAAGAGAAAGTTTACAGCAATACATACCTACATAAAAAAAAAGATATAAAACAACTTAATGTTAAGCCCCAAGGAAACAAAGAAAGAACACACTAGGCCCAAAGTTAGCAGAGGAAATAAAAAAAAATAAAGACAAGAACAGAAATGAATGAAACAAGGACTAGAAAAATAATATACATGATAAAGAGAACTAAGAGTTGTTTTTTGAAAAGATAAAATTGAAAAAGGAAGGAAGACTCAAATAAATAAAATCAGAAATGAAACAGAAGACATGATAACTCCTCTTATAATAGAAAAGAGCATAACAGACTATTATGAATAACTATATGCCAATAAATTGGATAACCTGGAAAAAATGGGTAAATTTCTAGATACATACAATCTACCAAGACTGAATCATAAAGAAACAGAAAATCTGAATATACCAATAATAAGTAAGGAGATTAAATCAGCAATAAAATGTCTTCCATCCAAGAAAAGCTTAGGACCCAATGCATTCACCATTGAATTCTAACAAACATTTAAAGAAGAACTAATACCAACACTTCACAAACTGTTCCGAAAGAAGCAAAGTGGAGAGAATACATCCATACTCCTTCCACAAGGCCCCCGTTACCCTGGTACCAAAGGCAGACAAAAATATCACAAGAAAACAAAATTACACAGCAATAACCTTGATGAAGACAAATGCAAAAATCCTCAAAAATAATAGCAAACTGAATTCAACAACACACTAAAATGATAATTTGTCATGCTCAAGTGAGATTTATCCCTGGGATGCAAGGATGGTTCAATATATGCAAATTGTAAATGTGAAACATCACATTAACCATCTGATTCTCTCATTAGATGCAGAAAAAGCATTTGACAAAATTAAACATCCTTTTATCATAAAAACATCCATGCATGCAAATTCTATTTTACATAGTATTGAAAGTCTGCCAGAGAAATTAGGCAAACAGAAATAAAAGGGCAAAACAAAAAGAACTAAAAGGAAAAAAATAAAAAAAAAATTCATATAGAATAAAGAAACACAGAATGTCCAAGGTAATCAGGAGCAAAAAGAACAAAGCTAGAGACATCACATTACCTAATTTCAAACTTTTCTACAAAGTAATAAGCAATTATGCCAGCACAATGCAATACTGGCATAAAAATAGATACTTCAACCAATGGAAAAGAATTGAGAGCTCGGAAATTAATCCACACACGTATGATCAATTGATTTCTGACTAAGGTGCCAAGAACGCACAATGGGAAAAGGACAGTGTCTTCAATAAATGATTTTGGAAAAACTAGATATCTATATGCAAAAGAATGAAATTGGACCCTTATCTCACACCATATACAAAATCAATTCCAATTGAATTAAAGACTGAAATATAAGACATGAAACACTAAAACTATTAGAAGAAAACAGCAAAAAAAGACATGACATTGTTCTGGGTAATGATTTTTTAGATTTCACCCCAAAAGTACAGGCAACAAAAAGAAAAATAGACAAATGGGATTACAGCAACCCAGAAGTCTTCTGTACAACAAAGGAAACCATAAAGATAAAATTGGAAAATATTATGCTAAGCAACATAAGCCAGGCATGGAAAGACAAGTACCAACAGTTCTCAAAGATGTCAGATGATATTTCATTATTTCAATGTGGTTTTAACTTGCATTTTCCTCATGATTAGTGATATTGAGAATTTTTTAATATATCAAAGATTTTTTTAATCTTAAAAGAAGCCAGAGGTAAAGAAAACAACTTACTTATGAGTTCAGCATTATCCTAATACCGAAACCAAAGATGTTACACAAAAACTAAAAATCAATATCTTTGGTTAACATAGGTACAAAAATCCTCATGACAATATTACCAAATTGAATCCAACAATGTATAAAAAGAATTATAGACCATGACCAAGTAGATTTTATCTCAGGTATGTAAAGCTTGTTTAACATTTGAAAGTCAGTTAATGTAATTCCTCATATCAACAAGCTACTGTGAAGAAAAATCACATGGTCATATCCATAGAAACAAAAAAAGACAGCATTTGATATATATTCAACTTCCAGTTTTTAAAAAAAAAGGAATATAGGAACTTTGTCAACTTGATAAAGAATATCTGCAGAAAACCTACAGCAAATAACATACTTAATGGTGATAAACTCAAAGCTTTTCTGCTAAGGTCAGGAACAAAGCAATGATGTCCCCTCTTACAATATCATACTGAGGGTCCTAGCTAATACAATCAGATAAAAAGGAAACAAAACATATAGATTGGGAAGGAAAAAATGAAACTGATTTTGTTCACTGATGACATGATCTACATAAAAAAATCTGAAAAAAATTGACAAAAAAGCTTTGGGAACTAAAAAGTGATTACAGCAAGTTTACAGGCAGGATACAAGGTTAATACACAAAGGTCAGTCATTCTCCTATATACCAGCAATAAATAAATGGAATTTGAAATTAAAAACCTATTATTCTTTATATTAGCATCTTCAAAAATTAAATAGTTATAAGTCTAACACAATATGTGCAAGAGGTACATGAGGAAAGCTACAGAACTCTAATCAAAGAATAACTAAATAAATATATGCTCCATGTTCTTAGAAAGGAAGACCCAATATTGTTAAGATATCAGTTCTTTCCAACTTGGTTTATAGATTCAAATAGAGTCAATTTAATTCCAATTGAAATCCCAGTAACTTGTGTTTATATCAACAAACCAATTCTAAATTTTATGTGGAGAGTCAAAAGACCCAGAATAGTTAACTCAATATTGAAGGAGAAAAACAAAGTCAGAGGACTGAAACTACCCAACTTCAAGACCTACTATAAAGTTACAGTAATCATGACATTGCAGTGTTGGTGAAACAGTAGACAAGTAGAACAGTAGCACAAAATGGGGAGCCCACAATTAGACCCACAGAAATATAGTCAACTAGTCTTTGACAAGTGAACAAAGTTAATAAAATGGGACAAAAATAGTCTTTTCAACAAATGATGCTGAAACAACTGAACATTCACATGCAAAAATAAAAAGAATCTAGACACAGATGTTAAGCCTTTCACCAATATTAACTCAAAATGAATAATAGAGCTAAAAGTAAAACATAAAACTATAAAATTTTTAGAAGACAACACAGAAAAAAAGTCTAGGTGACATTGGGTATGTCAATGACTTTTGTGATACAATACCAAAGGCATGATCCATTAAATAAATAATTGATAATTTGGATTTCATTAAAATTAAAAACTTCTGCTCTGCAAAAGACAATGTCAAGATAATGAGAGGACAAGCCATTGGCTGGGAGAAAATATTTGCAAAAACAAAACTCTTAGGAGGAGAAAAGAAGGAGGGAATGATGAGGAAAGAGGAAATATTTGAAGAGATAATGGCCAAGAATTTTTCCAAAATTAAGATGACGGTAATCCATAGACCCAAGAAGTACAATGAACCCCAACATAATAAATATTAAGAAAAACACTCTTAGAGATATAATAGTGAAAATGCTGAGATCTAAAGATAAACAGAAAATCTTGAGGGCAGCCATGGGTGAAGGGGAACATTGCAGTGGAACAAAGCTGAAATTATGCCTCAATGCATCTTTGAAACCCTGGTCACAGGAGCAGCTCTCACCTTTTATATCCTACTTAATACCTTAGGAGTTTCTAGTACACTATGAGGCTAAGTTGAACCTTGAGACACCAACGATTTTAGCACCACAGGAGTCACTGTTGACAAACGTTTTCATCACTGGTATAAACTTCTATTTCCACTGGAATCACCTTCGTGTTTGTAAAATGCCTGTAATCCAGCAAAACCTATACAGAGCCTCAAGAGAATGAGAAAACAAACAAGATACTGGGAAAAAATATTTGCGAAAGACATATCTGATAAAGGACTGTGAGGCAAAATTTACCAAGAACACTTAAAACTCAAATATAAGAAAACAAAATGGGCCAACGACCTTAACAGATACCTTACCAAAGATATACAGATAGCAAATAAACATGTGGAAAGATATTTTATGAGTCATCGGAGAAATGGAAATTAAAACAATGAGATACCACTACACACCTATTAGAATGGCCAAAATACAGAATACTAACAATACCAAATGCTGGTGAGGATGTGCAGCAGCAAGAACTCTCATTTATTGCCACTGACAATGCAAAATGGTCCAACCACTCTGAAAAACAGTTTCACAGTTTCTTACAAAACTAAGCATAGTCTTACCATAGTATTCAGCAATCCCTGGACCCTGCTCCTTGGTATTTACACAAGGAGTTGAATGTCCACACAAAAACCTGCACAGGGATGTATCTAGCAGTTTTATTCTTAATTATTAGAACTTCCAGGCAACCAAAGCAAGATGTCCTTCAGTAGGTGAATGAATAAATAAATTAGGGTACTTCCAGACAATGGAATATTACTCAGTGTTAACAAAAATGAGCAATCAAACCATGAAAAGATGTGGGAAAAAAAACTAAATTCAGATTACTAAGTGAAAGAAGTCCATATGAAAAGGTAACACTATATGATTCCAAATAGGTGACATTCTAAAAAAGACAAAACTATGGATATAGTAAGAAGATCAGTGGTTGCTGTAGTTACAGGGGAAAGAGAGATGAAGAGGGAGAGCCCAGAGTGTTTGTAGGGTAGTGAAACTATTACGTATGATACTACAGTGGTGGATACATGTCATTATATCTTTTTCAAAACCTGCAAAATGTGCACCAAGCGAGAACCGTAATGTAAACAGTGGACTTTGTGTGATAAGGATGTGTCAATGTAGATTCATCATTGTAACAAATGTATCCTGACTGTGGTTGCTGGTTGGGAAGAGTATGCATGATTGGGGTCAGTGGGTATGTGGAAACTCTCTGCATTTCCACTCAATTTTTCTGTGAATCTACATCTACTCTAAAAAGTAGTTCATTAATTTTTAAAACCAAGGGTATCTTGAGCATTTGCTGTAAAGTTGTTACTGGAAAAATTCACTTATGCTTCTTTTATTAAAGCCTCTTACATTAAATTCTTTAGTCATTTGTACTAGGAAAACTTTGTCAATATTCAATAACAAATATTTTTTATTTTGTTATGTAAAAAGGACTATATGACATTTTGTGATTCTACTTTTTCCTTGACTGTTAGTATACTCAGAGTCCAATTTGATGTTAATTCACTGTCTATATTCCTTAACTATAAAATACACTTACCTTATTTTATGGTTTTATAACTGTTTCAGCAATCTTATTACCTATATGCAGTTTATTTAAATCATCTAAGTCTTTTCTTTCAAGATTTAGAGTATAGGTAGAAGGATGAATTACTTAAAATATAAATAATTAAAATATCCACAGTCTAGCTATTTAGCTGGGGTGTTAGTTGTTCTTGAATTGCTACAAAGAAATACCTGAGACTGGATAATTTATAAGAAAAGAGGTTTAATTGGCTCAGAGTTCTGCAGAGTGTACAAGGAAGCATAGCACTGGCTTCTGAGGAGGCTTCTGGAAGCATACAATCATGGCAGAAATTGAAGCTGGAGCTTACACATCACATGGTGAAAGCAGAAGCAGGAGGGGTGAAGGGGAGGTGCCACTCACTTTTACACAACTAGATCTCATGAGAATTCACTCATTATTGGAGGACAGCACCAAGCCATGAGGGATTGTCCCGCATGACCCAGACACCTCCCACCAGGCTCCAGGCTCCACCTACAACACTGGGGATTAAATTCAACATGAGATTTGGCAGGGACATATATTCAAACTGTATCAGCTGGAGAGGCTAAAATTTGTTCTCATGACAGTTACTTTCTGTTATGAAATTTGTAGTTTATCTTGTTTGTCAAATTATTGTGTATAGCTTTCATGTGCTTGTTAGATAAGCAGGAGACTGCTTTTCCATATATGGCCAGCCCTCCATATCCATCCAGCTCTGCATACCAGGACTGGTGTTATTTTCCATTCTCAGTTGTTTGAATACATGGATGTGTAACTGGCTGATATAAAGAATTGACTGTACTTCATCTATAGAGTTGATGCTTTTCTGTAAGCTTATAACTTATCTAACCCTAGTTATAAACATCTACTGGTCTCTGATTGGAGCAGTTACCAGAACTGCTAACAGGACTCAGAGCAACAAGACTAAACACAGCTGCAAACAACAATGATAGAGAGGTCACATTGCCCTGCAACTATTTCCCACCAATATTGAAAGAAAAAGTCTGCTACCTTTGTCTAATTCACATGGTTGTCAAGGTGTGAAGTGATCATCTTTGGCATTATCCTTTATTAAGGATATATCATAATTTATTTCTTTTTAAAAATGTGAATTTGAAGACTCAAAAGCCCAAGGTAGACCCTTGAGTCTGTCATTCAGATCTCATCAATGGGTTCTCAAATTCCAGGTTCTACATTATGGCCCATTTGAAAAATAGCTAGATATGTCAGATTAAATATCCATTCATAGTGTGTTTTAGGTAACAGGCTTTGAACCAGTCTAAATTCAGTAACTAATTATTTATTTTTCTAGTGTATTAACAGATTTCTGAATGGGTACTAATAGTACTAATTGGAAAACAGCTATTACCACATTTATTATGGTTCTAGTTGTGTATCTAACAAGAAAGATGGTTGGTTACAGATTGGGTATAAACCTACTCACTAAGAGCAACTTTATAGGGGAAAATATTTTTAATTTAGGTTAATAAGAAAATTAAAGACCTTGAATTTAGACATAACTTGTGAAAAATAATTTTTTAATTGATAGATAACTCTGGGTTTTAAACCATTAGAGATCTGAGTTCAAATAAACAGAGGATTACAATTTACAATACAAGAATAAATGTGGTGTTAATTAGTGAGTTGGCTTACAGCCTACTCCCAGACTAATGTCCTGCTTATTTCTTTAGTCCTATTAGACATACTGTGCACAAAAATGCCTCAAAAAGTGTCGTAGCCTATATAGACCATATGATCTCAACTCTGCTCTAAAAAAGTGCCTGTGTACATGTGTGTATGTGAAAATATTGGAAGACCACACTGATATAAAATATTAGTGGGTAATAATACAGTAAATTTTTATTTTTTCTTTGTGCTTTTCTGTGTTTTACAAATGTGCTATGTATACATAATTGTCATTTAACATCGAAGAATAAAAATAGATAAATATTTTTAAATAATGACAAGATTTTAACTGACAATTTTTTGTAGAAGTCAAAGGCATGGAATTGACTGTAGTTTAAGTTCCAACTCTACCATTTGTGGCTATATGTTTCATAGGATGTTGCTTTATTACAATGTCCTTTTGCAATATTGGGAGGATGCATTGTAGGAGAAATGGCTGTGTGCCCCTTCAGGATCTTCTGTATGGAGTTTCAGTTCTGCAATGGGCTGCATGCTTATGGTTTACATATAAGATAAAGCATTTCATGCCCAACCTGTCCCCCTGTCTCTCCAGTCTCCTTGCTATTGATTTGGGTGTCCTTTCTCTAGAACAAGCAAAATATGCAATTATACCAATGAGCAGGAAAGTAATTAACTGGAAAAGAAATATGCCCAGAGTCCATTTTAGATGAAGATTTATCCCAAGAATTCAATTAGTTGAGAGTAACGAGGAAGGACATAAGTAGGCCTCTAGACAGTCTAATAAGGTAAAAACAGCCAGGACAACCCCCTTATAACACAATAGGAACAAATACAATTATGATAAAGTCATCCTGGGATACTCAAGTTTAGATGATAATTTTAGCAAGTCAAACTCTGGGGCCAGCTTTAAATCCTGCTAGGCCTGGGATATTTGAGAAGGTCCTGTCTCTAATCTCTGCCCCTGGTAACAGATGTTACACTGTTAAACAAGTGCACTAATCTCCAGAGAGAACACAGAACAACCTCACAATATGAATACTGGCTCAGGTGCTCATGACTTGTATAACAACGTAGACAATCAAATTCTTAAAAGTGTGTGTAAGAGTATAACTTTTCTAATTGATTTTCTCAAATCTGTTATCCATTCATTCATTTGTTCATTCATTCATTTACTAAACCATGCATAGAACACTTTTCAGGTGTGAGGTACTATTGACAGTTTTGAGGAATAATTTTAGAAAGGCAAGAATTTTGAGTTTGGCAAATTTTGAATTTGAATTCTGGTTCCGACATAAACGAGTTTTATGGGGCAGATCCAAGTTTGTGGACCCTGAAGTGTATATAACTTCTGGGGGCTTCTTTAAGAAAAAGAATATAAAATTTTGATGACAGGCTTATGCAATTGAGGATCACAGAAGCTTCAGCTTTATCAACTTCATAGAAATTCACCTCTGTAGTTGGGTTTGACCTTGAGCTTCAGTGTGAGGTGACCTTAAACAAGTTATTTAACTTTCTTGAGACTGTTTTCTCCTATGTAAAATGAGGATTAAAAATGTCCCTTACATGATTGTTGTGACAGTTAGATGGGACTATCAATGTATGTAAGTGCCTGGCACAGAGTGAACTCATGCTAAATGGTAGCTGATGGTGCCGTCAGACAGCAGGCCCCATTGTCAGACTTCTAAGTAATTTATATAGACCACAGCAGTCAGTAGCTGCTTCCTATATTTTTCATCCTCCAGAAAAGTGCACATGCTCAGTTGATTTGCCAGAAGCCCAGACAAATGCTGGAATGACCAAGCAAGTTTAAACAATACAGCAACTCTCTGGAAAGGAATAGCAGAGTATACCTGGCTTTAGGGAGTCTTTACTGCTTAGTTAATTGGATTCACTGAACTGGCTTTCACAATGACGAAAAGCAAATGTTTAGGATAGAAAACTTTCCTCAGTGGAGCAGAGCACCAACATTTCAAATAAACATTTTGATCAAACATTTCATCACATAGATCCTGTTTGCCCACAAAAACGCTTCTGCACCCATGTGCACTGGTTTTCTTCTTCCCAAAATATTTGCTTGCCATTTTCTAGACAAAGAATGAGAGCATCCCCACCCCTGCCCCCAAAAAATAACACCCAAAATCTAAACAAAAAAACTTTTTCTTTTATTTTTTGTCTTTTTTTAACCATGAATTATCCAGACTCGCCATCATTGCTTAATAATGTTTTTAGTATTTATTTGATTAAGGCCAATGGTACATGATGAGAAATATTTCACCCTGAGTATATAAAACACACTTTTAATTATGACCTCTGGTTTATTTTCTGACTTTCTTGCTTGAAACTCATGTCCTGTCTCCTTCCTCCAATGCTCAGGCCCAAGTTCTGCATCCATATCTGCCCTTTTCATAGGTTTCATCGTCTTGATTCTCTTACCTATTCAATAAAACTACTTTCTACATAGTGTTTTAGATCCAAAAATATAAAAAGAAATTAGCTAGAGTCTCTTCTCTCAAGTTGCACACAGCTTAGTAGAAGAGATTAACAAAAGAGTAATGATTTCACTATATTATGAATAATTCTGTCATAGAGACACATCCTGCATCTTAAGGAAGTACGGGACAAAAAGTGCTTCAATGTACCAGGGAATAGAATAAGGTCAGAATGGATCAGGACAAAAAGAAAATAACAGTGAAGCCAAGTTTTAGGGAGTAGATAAAGTCTTATTAAGAGAGTACAAATGGCCATTAATTGCCAAGACGGAAGAATATGCAGAAATCTCCTAGCAAGAAAGTGCATCAGAGGAAGTAGAAAGAGCTTGGTAAAGCTGAAGCCTGAGGTGTGCATGGGACTAGAAAAATAGATTGTGTCTGGATTTTTAAGATTTTTATGTCATGCTGAGTTTAGTTTTTATTCTTTAGAAAATTAGGTAACTTTGGCGGGGTGCGGTGGCTCACGCCTGTAATCCCAGCACTTTGGGAGGCCGAGGTGGGAGGATCACGAGGTCAGGAGATCAAGACCATCCTGGCTAACATGGTGAAACCCCGTCTCTACTAAAAATACAAAAAATTTGCAGGGCTTGGTGGCGGGAGACCGTAGTCCCAACTACTTGGGAGGCTGAGGCAGGAGAATGGCCTGAACCCGGGAGGCGGAGCTTGCAGTGAGCCGAGATCGCGCCACTGCACTCCAGCCTGGGCAACACAGAGCGAGACTCAGTCTCAAAAAAAAAAACAAAAACAAAAAAACAAAAAGAAAAGAAAATTAGGTAACTTTTAAACATATTGAGGTGGGATTTGTGTTTTGAAAGATCGGCCTGGCTGCAAATTCTGTGGAGGTTGAATTGGCACAGAAAGAGACAGGACAGGAAAACCCCTTGTAAAGCTAACACAGTAGAGAAAAGATGAGAGTTTGAGCCAAGGTAAACAAGATGACAATGAGGGAGAAGAAAGAATAAATGCAAATGTTACCTAGGAAGCAGAAGGAAGAAAAATGAGGGGCGGCAAGTCCTGGTTGATTTCTGGGTTTCTACTTCTTTGTGTGAGTCTTATAGGGAAATTGGACACATACGTAAATTACATGACTCTTAAAATACGCTGAGTGTATACATTGCACTAAGAATTCCTAAGCAAATTACATAAAGTGTGTTTAACCATTTATGAATGTGTTATTAATATTTTATTATTCTATTCTTAATAGAACATGAAGCAAGAAAGCGTCACGGCAATTTTCAGAAAATCCGTAATTTTTACAAATTTTATACCCACAAGAAAGTTGCCAAGGTCTATTAATTTCTTGAGAAGTTGTTCATATATGAAATTTTAGTCCAGCCATTATACGAAGTAGGACTACAGCTTAATATTTTCCCATTTCTTTTCATTACAATGTTATTAGTGTGTTGATTTTTAATTGTTTTATTAATTATTAAATATATGCAAAATTATATTTATAATATATTGAAGGCATAAACAATAATAATAAAATGAGCAGCCATGTAATCCCCTATTCAGCTCTAGAAATGGAACATGACTAACACTTTGAAACCCCTGGGTGCTCCCCACTTATCCCATCCCATCTTCCCTGCACCCACCTCACTCTCAGGTGACTTACAAATCTGTTTATTTGGAGTTAGTTGTCTTCTTATCTTTAATCTCCAGTTTAACTGCATATATATCCTTAATCAATCATGATCATTTTGCATATAAATTAAAGCCTACTTGTGTACTCATGGATATTTATATTTTTTGCCAAACAATATATTCCTGAGATTCATCCATGTTGATGTATACAGCTGTGTTCATTCTGTGACTCTGATGAGGAGTATTCATGAACATATCCTGATTTGTTTATTCATTCTCCTATTTCCTGGCCTACTAGGAATATCCCTGCTTTAAACATTTTGGGGCATGTCTTCTAATGCATATGGTACTTAAAAATCCTAATCAGCTGTTTTTTGCTTGAATCCCAATTATTTCTTTTTTTATCATTTGACTTTCAAAGATTTGGGAGTCCTTCTATTTCAAGGATATATCTTATTAAGTATACATATACAATGCTTCTCGGTCCATGTATCCCCAAACTTACATAAATATATATTTTATATTGTCTATTAACTGACAAGTTTATTAACTCCTGGAAGAAAAAAACTGCTGTCAACTAGAATTGGAGAGTTGATGC
Source organism: Homo sapiens (assembly GCF_000001405.40). Classification (NCBI taxonomy): domain Eukaryota; kingdom Metazoa; phylum Chordata; class Mammalia; order Primates; family Hominidae; genus Homo; species Homo sapiens. The sequence continues at coordinate 47,156,786 of NC_000015.10, forward strand.
TGTGAGAAGAAATGAAAGGTGATGCAACATTTAGGGAAAACAATTGAACTTCATTAACATGAGATTTATACTCAGAAACAAGCAAGGGTCACTAGGAAGAAGCAGTGTATAAGCAGGAATAATTTGTGTGGAAATGGTAGCATTGATTTAAAACGCAGTGGTTACTGGGAGGAATCAGAGCCTTATCTGGAGGAAGAAGGGAAGGAGGTGCCGTAAATAGGGCCCATACTTTTCTGGAGAAGGCTTGATAGGGAAGAACGCACTTTTCCTGGAAGACTGCCTAGGAATGCATCCAGGGTAACAGAACGTGACAATGGACATACAACTGTACACTGGCCTAATAATGTATTGGATCCTAAGATTAAGTGAAAATTGCCATAATCGTGAGTCAATAACACCTCCGAAGATTCTAGGAGGTTGTGAACATGGACTGGCCTAGAAAAATTTGTGAAGTAGAAGTGTCTTTCTTTGCCAGCATCACCATTCTTCTTCCTTTGTGACTGCCCATTCTCAGGGCCTTCATGCTGTCTGCTGGCTGTACAGAACCCTTATATCTCAGCCAACCAACTACACTTCCTTCCATTGAGCAGATGCTTTCATTTTTCAATTTTCATAGCAAACTTGCCCATCATCCAAAACTAGAAATTTTCCGTCTGTGTACCCCCAATTTTGATCAAAGTGTAGAATTTATTCTCATAGACAAACTCTTCTCACACTGACTTCAGAGAGATGCAACATTGTGTTGCATAGTTTGTGAAAGGTAGAGAGAGCAAGGAAAAAGAAGTAAGCACCGCACAATGAAGTCAAGCTGAGACCAGGGAAAGATAGAATGTTCATTGGATCACATGAAAACATTGTCTCTTGATGATAAAATAGAGCTTAGTCCAGAGATTAAACAGTTTTTAGAAAACAGAGGCATGGTGCTAATGAATTTTTGTGATGATCGTAAGCACTTTTACAGAGAGTCAGTTTTACATTGTGGCGGTGATTGCATTATGAACATTTAAAATTTTTTTAGGCTACCAATAATTCTAGCATTTGCAAGTTTATTGCAAGTAGCAGATGATTGAGGACCTCAGGAGTAGAAGTAAATTCTGTTAGGGTGGTGACCACGTCCAACATATTAAACAAAGGCACACAGGCAGCGCTAGATAGTTTTCTGTTGAATGAATGAATGAATGCTGTCCCTTCCCACGTTTTCTACTAGGGCCTATCTGATAAACATATTTGAGGTAACTTGTTAAGGCTGATAAAAGGTGATAATGTTTAACTAATAGTTGAACATTGAACAGAAACTTGCAAAGCCTTATTCCAAAGAATCCTATTTAGATCGTGTGGAATTGCAGACAAAGGTACAAAATCTGCAGGGAAACAACCAGGAAATGGGATAATACAGAAATTCAACCCACTTCCTAAACAATGAAAATCAAGGACATGAGATTAGAAAGAAAAATATGCAGCAGAACTAATTTATCAATTCCTTAAATACATATTAATGCATACCAAGGGCAGACACTCTGACTTAATAGGAGGATATTGAGAATAAATATAAGTAAACAAGAAATTTTATAATATGTTAGAAGATAGTAAATGCTGTAAAAAATATTTAGAGTGAGGAAAAGGAGTTCAAGACAGCAGAAAAAAAAGTGAAAAACCCATTCATTCATTAATTCATTCATTTAGCCACTCAGCCAGCAATTCCTAGGCATCTCTGTCTTCAACACTTGGAATCTAAAGACAAATTAGACATGGCCCTGCTTAGTGTAGTTGACATACGTGAACAATAGAAAGAGGCAAGCTCTTGTTTTGTAAATGCTATAATAAAAAATGGGTGCTTTGGGGACTTCCAATAATGGCTAGCAATTCAGGGGAGGCTTTAGAGAACAGAAAACATTTGCATTGGATCTTAAGAACTTGTTATGATTTAATCAGTGAAGAGGAGAGAAAGGACATTTCAGGTAGCAGAAACAGCTAACGCAATAGTATGCAGTTATGAAAGAGGATAGCAATTCAAGGCGAGGTAAAAAGTTTGTTGTAGCTAAAGTATAATTACAACAAAAGGCAAACTAGGGATGTGTGTTGGGGACTGGTGGGGGTGAGAAAGTAGCTTTGCAGGAGATGAACCTGGAAAGAAGCCAATCTCTCCAGCACACATTAACAGTTTCTACATACACTGAATACATTTTTATGCTGCCCTGCATTTTGATCCTAAGAAACAGCGGGCTTAAAAGTGCTGTGGGACAAAGCAGTATACTTTTGTTTTTACCACGGGTATGCTTGACTTTAACTAGACCCAGACTGCAAAAATCCAAATTTACAAAACAGATAAAATAGAATGTGATTATTTGGTGAACAAAGGGATTCTTAACTCTATACAAAGATTTACGTTCTTTGTTCTCAAATCAAAACTAGTGCCTGAGCTTGCCAACTCCCTGGATGTGTCAGGATTCTCCCATAATGGAGCTATTCCTGACACACTTCTGACTCTTCAGTAGGACTAATTTTTCTCCTGCTTTGTCTTTAAAGTTCTGTATATTCAGAACTTAAAACCGATTATGTATGAGACATGAATTTGTATTTCTACTGTGGTTTTGGTAAATACTGTGAGGTTAACTTCCACCCAGCACACCTCCCCTTCCTTATAAACAAATTGAAAGGCAGAAAGAAAAAGGAATCACTTATATAACTCTCATGGGGCTAGATCTGGGACTGGTGGAGAGGTGACACATGAAACTCACAAAGGAGATGTGTGCCCCTGAATCCACAGGGGGCAGGAATGGGGTCACTGGCACTGTGTGTGACAACTGACACCAAAGATTCCAGGTAACACATGGGGATTGGGGCACAGGCAACATGAGGATAGGAATGTCAGAATCTTGATCTTCCTGTTTGGAGGAAATGGGATAGTGAAAATCTCCTAAGGGGCATATGATGCCCCCAAATCTCATAAATGGCACAAGTATTTTGAAGATAAGCTTACCAAGGACATTAGAATAGTAGTATTTCCTGGGATGATAGCATTGTAAGTCCATGTCTTTATCAATTATTACTCTTTCCTATTTAAACTTTTAGTGAACCAGTGTTTTTTTTTTTTCTGTAAAAATAACACACAAAAAATGTGGGAAATGACCTTTTCCAGATACTCTTACTACCACACCTCTCACAACACTAGGCTTAATGACTGAGTTTGTCAAAGTTTAGTATTTGAGTTTAAAGATATTATCTTAAAATTAATATTCCAATATATTAATAAGTGTTCAAATACACAAATCATTTACCTTACTGGCCAAAACTCTATGTTTTCCATAACATTAAAATGCACATATTTGAGTGTGTGTGTATTTTCAATATCTAAAGCTAACATACTTAATGGCAAAAGACTGAATGTTTGCCCCTTAATAATGGGAAAGGAGACAAAGATGTCTACTCTTAAAACTTCTAATGATATTGTACCACAGTTCTTAGCCAGTGCAGTAAAGCAAGAAAAAAAGGACAAAAGATCAAAGTAAGATGTTCTTTATCCATAAATTATATGAATGTCTACATAGAAAATCCTAAGTGGTATTTTTAAAAATCCTTCTAGCAAAGTAAGTAAATTCAGCAAGACTGCAGAATACAAAGTTGATATTTAAAGTCAGTTGCATTCTTATATTTATACATATTAGCAACAAACAATTGGAAACTAAAACTTTAAAAAGACATTCTCACACCTGTAATCCCAGCATGTTGGGAGGTCGAGGCAGGCGAATCACGAGGTCAGGAGTTCGAGACCAGCCTGGCCAACATGGTGAAACTCTGTCTCTACTAAAAATACAAAAACTTAGCTGGGTGTGGTGGTGGGCACCTGTAATCCCAGCTACTAGGGTGGTTGAGGCAGGAGAATCTCTTGAGCCCGGGAGGCAGAGGTTGCAGTAAGCCAAGACTGCACCACTGCACTCCAACCCCAGGCGACAGTGTGAGACTCCATCTCAAAAAATAAAAAATGCATTTGTAATAGCATCACAAATTTAAATATTTAGGAATAAATTTAATATAGCAAGAACAAGGCCTCTATATTTAAAACTAAACAGTATTGTTGGAAGACATTAAAAGAATATATAAATATACAGAAAGATAAGCCATTTTCATGAATTGTAAGACTCAAAACTGTTAAAATGTTCATTCTCCCCAAATCGATCAATATATTCAATGAAATTTTAATCAAAATTCCAGCAAGCATTTTTCATCAAAATTGATGAGATCATTCTAAAATATATACAGGAAAATCAAAAGCAAGTTAGTTACTTCCAAGATACAATGGGGGTACAGGCATTGGATAAATGCTCCCATTCCAAATGGGAGAAATTGGCCAAAACAAAAGGGCCAGAGGCCCCATCTAAGTTCAAAATCCAACAGGGTAGTTATTAAATGTTAAAGTTTCAAAATGATCTCCTTTGACTCCATTTGTACAATTTGTAAAGGATCTAGAATAGTCAAAACCATTTTGAAATAGAAGAAAGCTGGAAGATGGACACTACCTGATTTCTAGACTTACTATAAAACTACAATAATCATGATAGCATTATATTGAAATAAAGGTAAACCAACAGATCAATGCAAGAGTGTAGGGATTCTATAAGTAGACCCATAAATATGGTCAAATAATTTTTGACAAAAGAATCAACTCAATTCAATGATGGAAAAAGGCTTTTCAACAAATATGCTAAAACAATTGGATATCTTTATTGAAATAAATGAACCTCAACCCAACATCACTTTGCACACAAAATTTAATTGGAAATGAACCATAAACCAAAATAGAACAGCTAAAACACTAGACTTTTAGCAAAAAGAGAAAAGGGAAAAACTTCATGACTCCAGATTAGCCAAATATTTATTAGATAAGATGTAAAAAAAAAAAACCATCTATTGATGAAAAAGGGATAACAATTTTCTCCAAAGTTAATACCTACTTATCTTCTGTATTAGTCCATTTTCATGGTGCTATAAAGACATACCTGAGATTGGATAATTCATAAAGAAAAGAGGTTTAATTGACTCACAGTTCCACATGGCTGGGGAGGTGTCAGGAAACTTACAATCATGGTGAAAGGGGAAGAGGCATGTCTTACATGGCGGCAGGCCATCTTGAATTGTAGTTCCTATAATCTTCAAATGTCATAGGAAGGACCCGATGGGAGGTGATTTAATCATAGGGGCAGTTACCCTTATGCTGTTCCTGTGATAGCGAGCGAGTTCTCACAAGAGCTGATGGTTTTATAAGGGGCTTTCCCCTCTTTTGCTTGGCACTTCTCCTTGCTGCCACCATATGAAGAAGGATGTGTTTACTTCTCCTTCTGCCATGATTGTAAGTTTCCTGAGGCCTTCCCAGGCATGCTGAACTGTGAATCAATTAAACCTCTTTCCTTTATAAATTGCCCAGTCTTGGATATGTCTTTATTAGTAGCATGAGAATGAACTAATACAGATGAGAATAATAGACAGCAGAGATTATTTGATAAGGGAAGTTAGAAGGAGGATGAGCATGGACAAACTACCTATAGGGTACTATGCTCATTACCTGGGAGATGAAATCATTTTTATACAAAACCCCAGCAACGTGCAATCTGCCCATGTAATAAACCTGCACAGGTCCTCCCTGAACCTGAAATAAAAGTTGGGGTAAAAAATCTACTTACTTGGAAAAAGCAATGAAAAGTACTTTTTTTTTAAAAAAAAAAGCAATTAGAGTAGACATTGAATTAAGCAAGGAAGACTTCCTGGAAGAGCTAATCTTTGTAAAACAAACTCATGGTCTAGGGTAGAGAGCTTACCATGGGCCAGACATTGTGCCAGCATTTAATGGTAGACTCAAGACAAGTGCTGGTAAGTTATTCTCTGTGAAAACACCCGTGCTAGAGCTCCTGCCACACACAGTCTTCTGATGGCTCATCATGGTCCTCCATCCCATTGTGAGCTCCTTGGAGTCAGGGGCTATATCTTGTTCCTTTCTGTATCTTAAGCACAAGACTTGGCACTTGGTAGGTATAAACTGAAGTCTGTGACAATTAACAGAACACTTAAAAACAAATGAAAGATTAAGGTTTATTGGGGAAAAAGAAGGTTGAACAATTGTTTAGAAAGAAAGCTTATTGGTGCTGGCAGTGTCTTAAAGTTGGTGAGTTCTGATAGATGAATGTTAGTAGTTGTGAAGCAGCATTTATAATCTTGGAGTTATGGTTAGGAATTTTTAGTTTTGGATTGGGTTCATGAGAGAGTTTTTGAAAGAGGCAAGTGTTTTTGTAAAACATCTAGCTAGATTGTTTTGTGTTGTTAGTACTTTCACATCATCATAATCTGAGCCCTTGGTTTTTCATCATAATTATATTTGGTGGTAACAATTCAGTGATAAGACATCAGCAGAATCCAGTGGAGTGGAGGCAGAGAAGCCCCACAAATAAAGGTAATAAAGTTTTAATGTTCATTCTGCTGCTGTACATACCCACCCCATTACAGTGTTACCATTTAGTTTTATGGCATCACAATCATATAAATGCTTACTGCAGTGATTCATGGTTTTTGTTCAATCCTGAAAATTTCCCAGTGCTATCCATTGAAGAGCAGACTGATTCCATACCAAACCCAACAGAACTGGATTGGGAAATTTACATGGACTTACCCAAATAGACTGACAAAAAATGCAATCTCTTCATTGGATAAAGAAAAATATGCATATAATTATTATATTACTTTATTTGAACATTAAATTTAATTAGAACATAATTATTGGATTACTATTTTATTATACAGGTAAGTGATGTCTATTAAATCAAGCCTCTTAAATGCCATTCATGCTTGCATAATACTAAGTTCTTGCTAGTCTTAACAGAAAAAAAAATGCTATAAATAGACACATTTCAAATTATGCCAAAAACCACCCTCAAATTTATAAACCACATCATTACAAGTGAATCAACTGTATTTCTGTTGATGTTTCAAGCCTAAACTTACTTTTTCTGATTATGAAAGTAATATGTGCTCATAAAAAAGGGTATACAAAGTATAAAAGAGAAAAATTTTCACTTAATTAAATGATTCAAAAGAAATCATTTTTTAAATTTTCAATGCTACTTTCCATCATTTTTTTCAATAACTTTTTGGTGATACATTTGAGATCATGTGGTAGATAAATTTATTTATGCTACCTTTTCTATTTGCCAATATATAAGTAATATATTTTAATACCTATTTTATTCTAATTTTAGAATTATCTTTGTGAAACTTTTTAAACAATACAGAAAATTATAAAGACAAAAATAAAAATCTATATATTCCCACAGCCAAAAGATGAGTTTTATTGTACTTGTTGTATTTCTATTTTTTTCTGTGCTTTTTATAGCTATTTCATGTATGTATGAAGTTTTACACCCTGAACTAATTTAATTTTGTAACTATAGTGTAAGAAAATACATATTTTATCACATCCCTTACCAGGACTGGGCATTATAATTTTTAAAGCCCCTATCAATTTTATCAGTGATACATGGCTGCTGTGTGATATTTCCATTTTTGTGTTTTCAGTGAGGTTAGTCATATTTTCAAATGTTTTTTGGTATTTTCCCGTGGGGTTTTATGACTTTTCTTAATAATTTATAACATTTACTTAGAAATTAAGGATGTTAACCTTTGTCATATTAGGTGTAAATTTTTTTCCCACTTTGCCTTTTAATATGCCCTGTCTTTATTTATAGGTTTTAAAATGCTTTAAATGATTAGACAATTCAGTAGGTCTTCTGCTCTGTAATTTCATCTGTTGCTTTCACATTTAGAAAGCCCTTACATATCCAGCCCTTTGTTGATATTCACTTATATGTCCTCCTAATTTGTTATACAATTAAACATTTTAAAATCTCACTAAGTCTCTTTTACATAGCATTTTGATACTCCATAACATATGTTAAGATTTACATGTATTAGCATCTATTTTGATGCTATCTGTTCTACTCCATTTATCTAATTTCCAGTTCTGATACACAGAAAATACTTTAATTATTGTGATTCTATAAGACCCTAAAATATGTATTAGAGTAAATACTTTATTGTTAATGTTCATAGCTACACTTATCTGTTCACTTTTGTCAATGACTTACAGAATTATTATTTTTTCTGTTGCCAAAAAATCCACTTGGGTTTATTGAAATTGTTTTAAAGTATAAATTAATTTGAAATGGCTGAAACATCTTTACAATATGGAAGAATGTGGTTTGGGTTGCATTACATGCAACCATGTAATCTAAACATGATTGTATTGAAAGCCATTATATCATTCCAAATTTTAAGCCATCCTTGCATTCCTGGGGAGGAGTCCTGTGTAATTTGGGTTAAGTGTGCTACTAAATATGTGTTCTTCATATGTTATTTTTAAGCTTTGAATCTTTATTATCACTGGGATTGCTGTATATTTGTGTTCTCTTGGACTTTTTGTGTTTCACTCTGAAGGTAGCTTAACAAAATAGTTTGGTTTGTTTTTCAGGTATTTTTTAAGCTCTGAAATATTTCATATATAACACTATGATTATCTGTTTTTTGCAAACTCAGAAAAAGCTTACTTGTAAAACTTTCTTGACCAGATATTTTATAGCTACATATATAATAAACATTTCAATTTGTTCTACTCTGATTTATATTTTTGCACAAAATTAGGATTACCTTATATATTTTTATTCAGCTATGCACGAATTTTTTTTATGTAAAGTAAAATATCTTCTGGGGGAGGAGCCAAGATGGCCGAATAGGAACAGCTCTGGTCTACAGCTCCCAGCCTGAGCGACGAAGAAGACAGGTGATTTCTGCAATTCCATCTGAGGTACCGGGTTCATCTCACTAGGGAGTGCCAGACAGTGGGCGCAGGTCAGTGGGTGCACGCACCGTGCACGAGCCGAAGCAGGGCGAGGCATTACCTCACCTGGGAAGCGCAAGGGGTCAGGAAGTTCCCTTTCTGAGTCAAAGAAAGGGGTGACGGATGGCACCTGGAAAATCGGGTCACTCCCACCCAAATACTGCGCTTTTCCGACGGGCTTAAAAAACGGCGCACCAGAGATTATATCCCGCACCTGGCTCGGAGGGTCCTACGCCCATGGAGTCTCGCTGATTGCTAGCACAGCAGTCTGAGATCAAACTGCAAGGCGGCAGCGAGGTTGGGGGAGGGGCGCCCGCCATTGCCCAGGCTTGATTGGGTAAACAAAGCAGCCGGGAAGCTCCAACTGGGTGGAGCCCACCACAGATCAAGGAGGCCTGCCTGCCTCTGTAGGCTCCACCTCTGGGGGCAGGACACAGACAAACAAAAAGACAGCAGTAACCTCTGCAGACTTAAATGTCCCTGTCTGACAGCTTTGAAGAGAGCAGTTGTTCTCCCAGCACGCAGCTGGAGATCTGAGAACAGGCAGACTCCCTCCTCTAGTGGGTCCCTGACCCCTGACCCCCGAGCAGCCTAACTGGGAGGCACCCCCCAGCAGGGGCACACTGACACCTCACACGGCAGGGTACTCCAACAGACCTGCAGCTGAGGGTCCTCTCTGTTAGAAGGAAAACTAACAAACAGAAAGGACATCCACACCAAAAACCCATCTGTACATCACCATCATCAAAGACCAAAAGTAGATAAAAACCACAAAGATGGGGAAAAAACAGAATAGAAAAACTGGAAACTCCAAAAAGCAGAGCGCCTCTCCTCCTCCAAAGGAATGCAGTTCCTCACCAGCAACGGAACAAAGCTGGTGGAGAATGACTTTGACGAGCTGAGAGAAGAAGGCTTCAGACGATCAAATTACTCTGAGCTACGGGAGGACATTCAAACCAAAGGCAAAGAAGTTGAAAACTTTGAAAAAAATTTAGAAGAATGTATAACTAGAATAACCAATACAGAGAAGTGCTTAAAGGAGCTGATGGAGCTGAAAACCAAGGCTCGAGAACTACGTGAAGAATGCAGAAGCCTCAGGAGCCGATGCGATCAACTGGAAGAAAGGGTATCAGCGATGGAAGATGAAATGAATGAAATGAAGCGAGAAGGGAAGTCTAGAGAAAAAAGAATAAAAAGAAATTAGCAAAGCCTCCAAGAAATATGGGACTATGTGAAAAGACCAAATCTACGTCTGATTGGTGTACCTGAAAGTGATGGGGAGAATGGAACCAAGTTGGAAAACACTCTGCAGGATATTATCCAGGAGAAATTCCCCAATCTAGCAAGGCAGGCCAACGTTCAGATTCAGGAAATACAGAGAACGCCACAAAGATACTCCTCGAGAAGAGCAACTCCAAGACACATAATTGTCAGATTCACCACAGTTGAAATGAAGGAAAAAATGTTAAGGGCAGCCAGAGAGAAAGGTCTGGTTACCCTCAAAGGGAAGCCCATCAGACTAACAGCGGATCTCTCGGCAGAAACCCTACAAGCCAGAAGAGAGTGGGGGCCAATATTCAACACTCTTAAAGAAAAGAATTTTCAACCCAGAATTTCATATCCAGCCAAACTAAGCTTCATAAGTGAAGGAGAAATAAAATACTTTACAGACAAGCAAATGCTGAGAGATTTTGTCACCACCAGGCCTGCCTTACAAGAGCTCCTGAAGGAAGCACTAAACATGGAAAGGAACAACCGGTACCAGCCGCTGCAAAACCATGCCAAAATGTAAAGACCATCAAGACTAGGAAGAAACTGCATCAACTAACGAGCAAAATAACCAGCTAACATCATAATGACAGGATCGAATTCACACATAACAATATTAACTTTAAATGTAAATGGACTAAATGCTCCAATTAAAAGACACAGACTGGCAAATTGGATAAAGAGTCAAGACCCATCAGTGTGCTGTATTCAGGAAACCCATCTCACGTGCAGAGACACACATAGGCTCAAAATAAAAGGATGGAGGAAGATCTACCAAGCAAATGGAAAACAAAAAAAGGCAGGGGTTGCAATCCTACTCTCTGATAAAACAGACTTTAAACCAACAAAGATCAAAAGAGACAAAGAAGGCCATTACATAATGGTAAAGGGATCAATTCAACAAGAAGAGCTAACTATCCTAAATATATATGCACCCAATACAGGAGCACCAAGATTCATAAAGCAAGTCCTGAGTGACCTACAAAGAGACTTAGACTCCCACACATTAATAATGGGAGACTTTAACACCTCACTGTCAACATTAGACAGATCAACAAGACAGAAAGTCAACAAGGATACCCAGGAATTGAACTCAGCTCTGCACCAAGAAGACCTAATAGACATCTACAGAACTCTCCACCCCAAATCAACAGAATATACATTTTTTTCAGCACCACACCACACCTATTCCAAAATTGACCACATATTTGGAAGTAAAGCTCTCCTCAGCAAATGTAAAGGAACAGAAATTATAACAGACTATCTCTCAGACCACAGTGCAATCAAACTAGAACTCAGGATTAAGAATCTCACTCAAAACCGCTCAACTACATGGAAACTGAACAACCTGCTCCTGAATGACAACTGGGTACATAATGAAATGAAGGCAGAAATAAAGATGTTCTTTGAAACCAACGAGAACAAAGACACAACATACCAGAATCTCTGGGATGCATTGAAAGCAGTGTGTAGAGGGAAATTTGTAGCACTAAATGTCCACAAGAGAAAGCAGGAAAGATCCAAAATTGACACCCTAACATCATAATTAAAAGAACTAGAAAAGTAAGAGCAAACACATTCAAAAGCTAGCAGAAGGCAAGAAATAACTAAAATCAGAGCAGAACTGAAGGAAATAGAGACACAAAAAACCCTTCAAAAATTTAATGAATCCAGGAGCTGGTTTTTTGAAAGGATCAACAAAATTGATAGACCGCTAGCAAGACTAATAAAGAAAAAAAGAGAGAAGAATCAAATAGACGCAATAAAAAATGATAAAGGGGATATCACCACCGATCCCACAGAAATACAAACTACCATCAGGGAATACTACAAACACCTCTACGCTAATAAACTAGAAAATCTAGAAGAAATGGATAAATTCCTGGAAACATACACTCTCCCAAGACTAAACCAGGAAGAAGTTGAATCTCTGAATAGACCAATAACAGGCTCTGAAATTGTGGCAATAATCAATAGCTTACCAATCAAAAAGAGTCCAGGACCAGATGGATTTACAGCCGAATTCTACCAGAGGTACAAGGAGGAACTGGTACCATTCCTTCTGAAACTATTCCAATCAATAGAAAAAGAGGGAATCCTCCCTAACTAATTTTATGAGGCCAGCATCATTCTGATACCAAAGCCAGGCAGAGACACAACAAAAAAAGAGAATTTTAGACCAATATCCTTGATGAACATTGATGCAAAAATCCTCAGTAAAATACAGGCAAACTGAATCCAGCAGCACATCAAAAAGCTTATCCACCATGATCAAGTGGGCTTCATCCCTGGGATGCAAGGCTGGTTCAATATACACAAATCAATAAATGTAATCCAGCATATAAACAGAGCCAAAGACAAAAACCCCATGATTATCTCAATAGATGCAGAAAAAGCCTTTGACAAAATTCAACAACCCTTCATGCTAAAAACTCTCAATAAATTAGGTATTGATGGGACGTATTTCAAAATAATAAGAGCTATCTATGACAAACCCACAGCCAATATCATACTGAATGGGCAAAAACTGAAAGCATTCCCTTTGAAAACTGGCACAAGACAGGGATGCCCTCTCTCACCACTCCTATTCAACATAGTGTTGGAAGTTCTGGCCAGGGCAATTAGGCAGGAGAAGGAAATAAAGGGTATTCAATTAGGAAAAGAGGACGTCAAATTGTCCCTGTTTGCAGACGACATGATTGTATATCTAGAAAACCCCATTGTCTCAGCCCAAAATCTCCTTAAGCTGATAAGCAACTTCAGCAAAGTCTCAGGATACAAAATCAATGTACAAAAGTCACAAGCATTCTTATACACCAACAACAGACAAACAGAGAGCCAAATCATGAGTGAACTCCCATTCACAATTGCTTCAAAGAGAATAAAATACCTAGGAATCCAACTTACAAGGGATGTGAAGGACCTCTTCAAGGAGAACTACAAACCACTGCTCAAGGAAATAAAAGAGGATACAAACAAATGGAAGAACATTCCATGCTCATGGGTAGGAAGAATCACTATCGTGAAAATGGCCATACTGCCCAAGGTAATTTACAGATTCAATGCCATCCCCATCAAGCTACCAATGCCTTTCTTCACAGAATTGGAAAAAACTACTTTAAAGTTCATATGGAACCAAAAAAGAGCCCGCATTGCCAAGTCAATCCTAAGCCAAAAGAATAAAGCTGGAGGCATCACACTACCTGACTTCAAACTATACTACAAGGCTACAGTAACCAAAACAGCATGGTACTGGTACCGAAACAGAGATAGAGATCAATGGAACAGAACAGAGCCCTCAGAAATAACGCCGCATATCTACAACTATCTGATCTTTGACAAACCTGAGAAAAACAAGCAATGGGGAAAGGATTCCCTATTTAATAAATGGTGCTGGGAAAACTGGCTAGCCATATGTAGAAAGCTGAAACTGGATCCCTTCCTTACACCTTATACAAAAATCAATTCAAGATGGATTAAAGACTTAAATGTTAGACCTAAAACCATAAAAACCCTAGAAGAAAACCTAGGCATTACCATTCAGGACATAGGCATGGGCAAGGACTTCATGTCTAAAACACCAAAAGCAATGGCAACAAAAGACAAAATTGACAAATGGGATCTAATTAAACTAAAGAGCTTCTGCACAGCAAAAGAAACTACCATCAGAGTGAACAGGCAACCTACAAAATGGGAGAAAATTTTCGCAACCTACTCATCTGACAAAGGGCTAATATCCACAACCTACAATGAACTCAAACAAATTTACAAGAAAAAAACAAACAACCCCATCAAAAAGTGGGCGAAGGACATGAACAGACACTTCTCAAAAGAAGACATTTATGCAGCCAAAAAACACATGAAAAAATGCTCATCATCACTGGCCATCAGAGAAATGCAAATCAAAACCACAATGAGATACCATCTCACACCAGTTAGAATGGCAATCATTAAAATGTCAGGAAACAACAGGTGCTGGAGAGGATGTGGAGAAATAGGAACACTTTTACACTGTTGGTGGGACTGTAAACTAGTTCAACCATTGTGGAAGTCAGTGTGGCGATTCCTCAGGGATCTAGAACTGGAAATACCATTTGACCCAGCCATCCCATTACTGGGTATATACCCAAAGGACTATAAATCATGCTGCTATAAAGACACATTCACCCGTATGTTTATTGTGGCATTATTCACAATAGCAAAGACTTGGAACCAACCCAAATGTCCAACAATGATAGACTGGATTAAGAAAATGTGGCACATATACACCATGGAATACTCTGCAGCCATAAAAAATGATGAGTTCATGTCCTTTGTAGGGACATGGATGAAACTGGAAATCATCATTCTCAGTAAACTATCGCAAGAACAAAAAACCAAACACCGAATATTCTCACTCATAGGTGGGAACTGAACAATGAGATCACATGGACATAGGAAGGGGGATATCACACTCTGGGGACTGTTGTGCGGTGGTGGGAGGGGGGAGGGATAGCATCGGGAGATATACCTAATGCTAAATGACGATTTAATGGGTGCAGCACACCAGCATGGCACATGTATACATATGTAACTAACCTGCACAATGTACACATGTACCCTAAAACTTAAAAGTATAATAAAAAAAATATATCTTCCATACAGGTTTTTATATTTACTTTATTTTTATAAATTGATTTTTTAAAATAATTATGTTTCCCAGAGGTGTCCATGAAAAAAATTCTTACAAATCTCTATCTATTCACTCTATTTTTTTTTTTCAGTTTGCACACAATTCACTCCTTTTTCCTGCTTGGGTTGCCTTCTTTAAATATCTCTGACTTCTTTTAAAAAGGACAGTTTTAAGTTCACAGCAGAATTGAGAGGAAAGTCCAGTGATATCCTCTATGTCCCGTTCCCCCACAAATGCATGCCTTTCCCATTATTAACATCCCTCCCCAGAGGGTATATTCATATAGTTGATGAACACTGACACATCGTAATCCTCTAAAATCCATAGTTTATCTTAGGTTTCACTCTTGACATTGTACATTCTATAGGTGTAGACAAACGTATCCATCATTATAGTATTATACAGAATATTTTAACTGCCCTAAGAACCCTCTTTATTCTACCTATTCACCCTTTCCCCTTCCTTGTTGTTTTTGTGTCAAATTATTTCTAACATTGTGTTGCTATGTTTTGTGTGTGTGAAAATGTATTACTGTTATCTTTCCATTATAGATTTTATCAACAGAATTGCCCACTCAGCCATTTAATGTTTTCCCCCCTTGAGTTCCTTTTTGATATTATTGTGACCTCTGTTTACACATCTTTCTTTCTTTCTTTTTTGCTAATAGGAATTTTAACTCACACATAAATGTCACAGTCAATATATTTAACCTTAATTCTATATTTTTGTTAACATTTTATTTTTTTGTTTCCCAGCTACTTTGGATTTCTGTATTTTGCCTTGTAGGCTTTGTTTTATTTGCTTTGTTTTTATTCTATCCTTGTCAACTAGAAATTTTATTTTTTGTTTTACTGTAAGTTGTCCTTAAATTTGTCAAATATTTAAACATATATCTTATTTTTTAAGGTAATTGCTTAGAAATGTGCATTTAATTAAAATGAAGTTATTTAATCTGAAACAAAAATTCTGCTGTACATAGTTCAGATAGGGCAAAGTACAATGTATGGATGACACATTTCAGTAAAAAAAAAAACTGGAAAATGTAACAAATTATTATGAAAATAGGTATTTGGTCTGTAAATAAAATATTTGTTATCACTGTCACTTTATTAGTATTCTTAGAAGGAACAAATAATCAAAATTATAATTTTCTTGCAATAATTTCCCAACAAAACGTTATATATTCTCTTTAGGATCATGCTGCAAAGGCACCAGCTTTATTTCAACTCACACATTCAAAATATATTTTATGATTTCTTATTACATGTTAGGCAGCCATGAAAAAAATCAGACATTGTTCCTGTCATCATGGAACATACAGCCAAGTTGGAGAAACAGATAATAAACAAGTAGATAAGGAATGCACACATGCATGCACCCACATCCCTCCTGACTTTTGATCACTTTTCGGATGTATTTTAATGAGGCAGGAGGAGATATAGCCACAGCAAGTAAGCCCATATATTAACATGGAAGTTCTGATATAAATTTTGTCTTCAGTGATGCTTAATTTACAATGCTTAACTTCCAACCAGTTAAGATTCTTAATATATTCACTTCAAATTTCCCTGACCTAGAATTTCTGCTAATACTTTAATACTTTGTATTTTACAAAGAATGAGACAACTTAAAGGGACCTTAGAGCTTATTTAGCCCCAGGGTGGTAAATACAAGCATCAGTGTCATATTCCCACCTCCTGTGCGCACTGCAGACATTGTCAATCAATCTCAATAGCTATTTATTTTAAAGCTGGAAATAGCTCCAGAAATCATTCTCATTCTCATGGCAGCATTTTGGTTTGCAGTAATCACCTGAAGTTTTTTAATATGAGAGGTCTGTTGGAAAAAAATTGTGTCTCAGAATGAGGAAAATTATTGCCAACTAAAACTTTAAAACCTACAATTCTTAGTAGATCCATATTTTAAAAAATTCCTCTGAATAATAATAAGTTGGGATTTTGAAATAGGAGTTAAATTTAAAGGGAAGAAAATAAAAATTTATTCTGTCATACTGCTCATTCCTAGCCCAATTCCTTGCCCAACTCTGACAAGTTTTAGGACTATTCGGAGATCTCAAACTAGACCTGTGGCATTAAGCATACGTTTCCTACGTATATTAGCTCAGAATAATATTTTCTTTCGGTGCAGACTCTTCCTCTATTTTTTTTAATACAACTCACTATTCACTTCTCATTAGACATGACGCTCTCTTGTAACTACATAACAATGCAAAAGCTGAACATCAATGTAGTCATTGAAGAATTATTTAAGATGTTGCACAATTGACAGCTGTATTAATTTATTCAACAAATATGTATTGAGTGTCTTCTAAGTACTAGGCAATGTAATAGGCTTTTGAGATACATCAGTTAACAAAACAGAAAAAAAGATTTCAGGCCCTTATAAGTTTCTAGTTGAAGAGGGCAGAGATGGAGATAACAATTAAGGTGACAGTAATTTATGTTGCATATTAGAAGGTGATTTTGTTATACAAATGGAAAAGCAGATGCGAAATATAGGGAACCCTGAGAATGATGATGGGGTGCAATTTTAAATAGTGCCTTATAGAGAAGGTGACATTAGAGCAAATATTTGAGAGAGGTAAGAGAGTTAGCCATGCATATAGCTGGGGAAGGATGTTCCAGGAACTGGGATCAGCAAGGAAAAAACTCTTTTTTTAGACGGAGTCTTGCTCTGTCACCAGGCTGGAGTGCAGTGGCGCAATCTTGGCTCACTGCAACCTCCGCCTCCTGGGTTCAAACGATTCCCCTGCCTCAGCCTCCCAAGTAGCTGGGACTACAGGTGTGCGCCACCATGCCCAGCTAATTTTTTTGTATTTTAGTAGAGATGGGGTTTCACCATGTTGGCCAGGATGGTCTCAATCTCCTGACCTTGTGATCCACTGGCCTCAGCCTCCCAAATTGCTGGGATTACAGGCGTGAGCCACCACGCCCGGCCAGAAAAAAACTCTTAAATTACGAGTGGGCCTCATGTATTTGAGGGACAGCAAGGATGCCACTGTGGCTTGGGCAGGGAGCACAAGAAAGAATACCAACAGGACACGACAGAGAAGGGGAAGGGCTATAATTTAGTGCATGTCGCTTTGCACAGGCAACCAAAATTTTATACAACAGTTAAATAAATATTAAATGTTAATGTAATTCATATATGTGATTTTTTTTTTTTTTTTTTTTTTTTTTTTGAGACGGAGTCTCGCTCTGTCGCCCAGGCTGGAGTGCAGTGGCGGGATCTCGGCTCACTGTAAGCTCCGCCTCCCGGGTTCACGCCATTCTCCTGCCTCAGCCTCCCAAGTAGCTGGGACTACAGGCGCCCGCCACTACGCCCGGCTAATTTTTTGTATTTTTAGTAGAGACGGGGTTTCACCGTTTTAGCCGGCATGGTCTCGATCTCCTGACCTCGTGATCCGCCCGCCTCGGCCTCCCAAAGTGCTGGGATTACAGGTGTGAGCCACCGCGCCCGGCCCATATATGTGATTTAATTAAGTATATTTAGTTAGGTTTTAGGCCAAAGACAGCAGGAATCTAATTACCTACAGGAATCCCCTCTCACTTTTGAACCCTTTAAAAATGTTCCCCAGGGCTCATTTAATAAAACAATAGATCCCTATTTATAAAATTTTGATTTCCCTAGTCTTTACAAACCATCTGAGCCCTGCCCACCACTTTTCTAAATGCAACCTACAGAACACATTTTCACATTCAGAGTTTGTGTTTTTCCACATCAAACATAATTACCTGTGAACTATTTTGTGATATTTCTGCAAAATAAATTACATTACAATGCATTTTGGACTCCATTAACTACATAAAACAATTGATTTGAGTCTATTGCATCCTTAGCATGGTGATATAAACTGAAATAGATGTTATTATAAATGCTAAAGGTGCCTCATGTGTACCCTTCAGGCTTCTCTAGTGGTGCTGAAATGAGGTGATGATTCCACAAAAACTCAACTAGCAACCAGAGTATCTTTATACATCTCCTGCATTCATTGCAAGAAGAATGGATTTCAACTCTCAGGGAGGCAGAGTCATACCTGAAGATTTAACTGACATGAGGTGGACACAGCCTCCTTCCCACCACCCTCCAGTGACAGTCCTGTTCCAGCCTAGCTTCAGTGGACAAAGCATCCAGTCACAACATGTGCAACCACTGTATGCCACAAGGATGCTTCCTTGTGCTGTGGAGGATACAACAAAGGTAAGGCAGTTCTTACAGACTGAACATGTAGAGTGTTTTAAAAATTTCAAATCACACTCATGGTTACATGTAAGAAAGCTGCAGAAAACGTTGCTTTGATTTTTTTCTAATTGGAAATAATTGAAGAGGCAAAGCTTAAATATGTAAAATAGAGAATAATCAGGTTCCAAACTATGCAGCCCCAGCCATAATCTCATTCTCCCACTGTGAAGGCTTACTAACTCGTTTCAAATACTGATTCTAACTAGCTAGTTAGAACTAGTTTCAAATACTAATTCAAATACTGATTCAACATACCACTTACTAAATCCATGACTCTGGATAAATTGCTAAAACTTCTTGTGCCTCAATTTCCCTATCTGTAACATTAGGATATTAAAAACACCTTTTCATTTGTATGAGGATTAAATTAGATAATCCTAGTAAAGCATGCACCCCAGTGTCTACATCAATAAATATTACAACGAATATTATTATTCTATATCAGCCATTTTCTATTTCTGTGAGTAACAGGAAGTGGGCAGGTTTACCTCAGAGAAACTCTATTTGTTTTATCTGTAATAAAACTGATGAATATTTTTCCTCTTTTTAGACCACTATCTGCTTTTAACTCAACTATGGGAATATGCTAGCTAGTAACAAAAATGAAACCTGAAATAGAAAAGTGTATATGACAAAAATGTGAAAAAAATGAGATTCCATCTTTAAATGACATTCTTTATTTGAAAGAATACTCCCCAGCTAAATAAAATTGCTTCTTTATGCATTGACTGCTGGGGAACATGAGGAGGAGATGGAGCAAAAATGCAGTTCAGATAGTGCCTTAATCTGCTCAGGCTGCTATAATAGAATACCATAGACCAGGTGGCTTAAACAACAGATATTTATTTCTCATGGTTCTGGAGGCTGGGAAGTCCAAGATCAAGGTACTGGCAGATTAGGCTTTGGGAGAGGGCACTCTTCCTGGCTTGCAGACAGCCACCATATTGCTGTGTGCTCACATGGCCTTTTCTCAGTGGATGCAAATGGAAAGAGAGAGAGAAAAAAGAACTCTCTTGTCTTTTCCTCTTATAATAGCACTAAACCCATCATGAGGGCACTACCCTCTGATAACCTCATCTAAACCTAATTATCTTCCAATGGCTCCACCTCTAAATACCGTCACTCTGGGAGTTAGAGCTTCAACATTGTGACTTTGGGGTGGCAGGGAGAAACAAACATTCAGCCATCACAAATCATGTGCTGTATTTTTGACTTAGCAAGTCAGCGATTAAGACAATGATGTGCCCAAGTGAGCCACACTTATTGATAGTCACAGTCTTGTGAATTTATATCCTATATTAACACTGGGCTTAGCCATGCTACTTTCTTTCGCTAAATGAAAGTTAGCCAGAATAATGCATTGAGATACTTAATAAGTGTTTGCACGTTACAGCTTGTTTCTTTTGGAAGCGAGCCACTATGTTGCACAGAAGCTCAGGCTGGACAACAGGATAATGAGAGGCCAGATAGAGGGAGGTCTACACAATGAGACCATCTTGGACATCTTGGACATTCCAGCCACAATAGATCTCCCAGCTGGATGTAGTTACCAGAGTGATCTCAGCTACACTATGGGGAACAAAAGACCTACTGAGCTGCTCCTAGCAAACCCATGGAATTGTGACAAAAAATAAATCATTGTTGTTTGCAGCTACTAAGTTTTGGAGTGATTTTTAGCTACAATTGATAACTGCAACAGTCAACATATCATTTTAATGAAATATTTAAGCCACTCAGATTTCACTTCCGCAACAGATTTTTATTATACTCATTTGGATGATAGCAAATCAAGGAGAAAAGAGGTCTATGACTGGATCTGAGAATGGATACAGGAATGAGGTGAAATGAGTTAATGACAAAAATAAATTATTAATATCTGGCAGTAGAATTTCTCCTGGTTTCAGAATTGCATTTGTTTAGAAAAAAGAAAAATCCTTAGTAAGTATATCAAGTCGGATTAAGTCTGGCTGCATGTAATAGAAAAAAACAACAACATAATAATGTCGGTAGCTTAAATGATATAGATGTTTATTTTCCTTGTGTTTATAAGGAAAATCAAAGACTGACAGTCCGGGGCTGCTAAGGTCTTCCTGTGATTTTCTGGGACCCAGGTCCCTTCTATGTTGATGCTCTACCATCAAATGGTATTGCTCCATGGTCTGTGATGGCTGGTCAAGCTCTGGAATTCGGGTCTGTATTCTAATCAGCAGTAATAAAGGGAAGGTGCAGAGGGAGAAAAAGACTGTACCAAACTTCTGCTTACATCTCATGGAGAGAATTAAATCAAAAGGCCACACATAGCTAAAAGAATGAAGAAGTCTTCTATATTGCTAGGTAACATGTGATGTGAGCACTAAATATGGTCAATAGGTCTTAATAAAGACTACTTTATTTAAATTACTTTGTGTGAAAGTATTGTGTATGTGTGTGTGTATGTAAGTAATTTGCTGAATAGCTGAGAGTCATGTATGGAAAAATGTCTGGAAGAGTGGCATTAATGTGAAAGATCCCCGAAGTAGAAGTGACAAAGACAAAGTAATCCTCTTGGAGTTTTTTGAACAAATTTTAGGGAGGACTTTATACTTCAGCAGATTGCAAAACAAAGATTCAAGCCAATCATGTCTTTCTTTACTTTTTATTATTTAAAATGTAAAGAACACACAAGATCAGAATTAATGATATAATGAAGCCCCACCTAGCCATCACTCAGTTTCAAAAATTTCAACACAGGATTAATATTGTTTCATTTGTACACCACTGACTTTTCTCTGTCTCCAACACTGGATTATTTTGAAGCAAATAGCAGACATATCACAAGCTAATCTTTCTTAGATCACAAAGGATCAAAGACCCTGAAAGCCTCTGGATTAAATGTGGGAAAATGTATAAAGTCAATCACTGTAGGGTCAAAGAGCAAGATTTGGATAGATTTAGAGAAAACGGTAGATAGTATAAGCAGTTTAGAATTGAATAAAAATAAAATATGTAGAGAGCTACAAGATTATTAAGTAAGCCAAACATGAGAAAGATGGAATGACAACAGAGAGTAGGTAGTGGATTTGTGAAATAGCTAAACATACGCAAAGGAAAAGAGGAGAAAATTATGCAGGTTACAGAACCTTCAAGGAGTTGCCAATGGATAACAAACCATGACTTACAAGATGAAGATGAAAGGAAAAGTGAAGAGGTCAATGGCAAACACCGCTGGCTATTTGGCTAATATCCTTTCTAATTGTTCGCCTTAGTAATAGACCCCAGTTGTATTTATTCAGCAATGTATCCTGCTAAAAGACAATTCCTATCCTCTCCTTGCACATAGAGTAGGTGAAATTCATTGAATAGGACAAGCTCTTTAAAGGAGACTGATTCAGCTGGAGAAGCTCACTTTTTATCCGTTACTTTCTATTTCCAGTTCCTAAAGTCATGATTCCTGGAGTCTTAACAGCCATCAGGGGCTAAAACCAGTGCAGGGTGTTGAAGCTTGTATCACCTTGCATTAATGACTGTGGTGACACCACATTAGCTGTGGCCAGCTGAACTCTGCACTGCTGATACAGGAGACAAAGAAGAGCCACTTGTGCTGAGAAGAGTGGGGGTCTCTATTAAATGTGGCCAAGACTAATTTAATTGACATAGGTATCATGAAAGCGATATAGTAAAAAGTATTTGAAGGATGAATGGGAATTTTTACTGAGCAAAACTGGATGAATGAAACATTTTCCACTGATCAATAGATGTTGTTGTTCTGTAGACAGTGTCTCTCTCAATTGAATTTTTGGATAAAAAAGACAAAGACTCAAACATTTCTTGCAGAGCAGCTCTCCAAAGCTGAGCCAGAATCAAAGACTCAGTGGTGTCGCCCATTATTACTTATTAATTATTACTATTAGTACTAACCTCTTAAAATTCTACTATACTTTGTCAATTTTACAGCACTTTCTTATAAATTACCTCATATCCATTCATTCATTCATTCATTTAACTAAGATGTTTTGAGCACTTATGTGTAAATCCTCATAGTAGGCATGCCTGGGGGACAAAGCACTGCATGGAATCATAGCAGGTAAGGCCCCCAAAATTGTTGCCATATAGTGATTGAGTACCCTATGCTGAACATTTTACAAGGTTTATGGTCTATTTCTACAGAGGAGGAAACTAAGTCTCAAATAACTTCGTGATTTCCTTGACTTTGTCCCTCTCGTATTTCCAATACAGACCACATAAATTATTATCATCTCTGCCTTTGCCCTTTTGTACACTTACTATATATCTTGCTGCCAGCAGTTATGGGGGAAAGGGTACAAAGGGGCAGAACTATTTACTTAATGCTGGCCAGAACTATTGTACTAAATCCAAAAAACTGTGAATAGGGTTAAAGTAGTTCAAAAGGAAAAATACGTTTCCATCCTAATCTGATCTACTGTTTGTATGTTAAATAGTGGCATGCTGAACATTTGGTATAACCTAATGGGAAATCCCTCACGGGCAGAATAGACTTAGACTCTGTGAATACATCTTAGAGAAGTCACATCATACCCTCTTTTCTGCTATGTAAGCAAGGCACCACCAGCCCTAGGCCAGTAGTGAGGGGTTAAATCTCGTTTCAGCCCTGCTTTAAGTGAACATACATTAGTCCCACTGAAGGCTTGGGGAGAAGGGATAAAATGGGAAATGCATGAGCATTTGAAAAATCAAAAATAGGGTTGTCAGTATATCAAATAAAAATACAAAGTACCTACTTAAACTTGAATTTCAGATAAATAATGAATAACTCCTTAGTATAGCTATGTTCCGAAATCCCATCGATTGCATGGCTAACAACAGGTTGCAAAATAGAGGCAATTTATTGTCTGAATATTGCATGGCACATGGACTCATTCTGAAACTGTTTATCTGTAATTTGTATTTAACTGGATGTAATTTGTATTAACTGGATATTTTATCTGGTGGTCCCAGTTAAAAAGAAATATAATACCTTCATCAAGGTTCTTAATTTAACGTACTAGAGCATCTCAGAGGTCAAGAGAGCCTGAATTACATTCTAGAAGAATTTATGTATTTTTTCATTTTACAAATTAACACTTTTAACTATAATGAATAATGAATATGTTCACTAGATAATTATAGCATACATATTTAAAATTAAACCAGATATTGATTTTTTATATTTTATTTTATTGTGGTAAGAACACTTAAAGGAGATCTTACCCTCTTAAATTTTTAAGTGTATAATACATTATTGTTGCCTATAGGTACAATGCTGTACAGCAGATCTCTTGTGCTTGCCCATCTCACTTGACTGAAACTTTATGTCTGTTGATTAGTAATGCCTCCTTCTTACTTACTAGCAGTAGGGTAGTTCTGGCACTATTATACAAGGATGCTAAAATCCTAAATAAAATATTAGTAAATTAAAAAAATTGTAAACTATCATGTACTTTAGGCAATATGGTTGGGTAGTGAGCAACAAATTTAAATTTTCAAGTCTACTTTAAATCATATAAGTATATCCCAGTTATTGTATGTATTTATTATTTGGAGATAATGGCAAAGTCTAGATCGGAAGGCTTTTATATAATATGCTGAGAGCTAAATGTTCCTCTCTCCTCCTCCTTCACTCCCCACAAATGATTGGCTTCATTGGCCACAGAAGAGAAAATTGATCAATTGCTTGAAATATCTTTTTGTTTCATCCCCAGGTATTGAAAGTCATCTTGCAGATTTGGGAACTGTATTTTCATTTCCTTTGGCTGTTGTAACAAATTACCACAAACTTGGTGATTTAAAACAATATACACTTATTTCTGTACAGTTCTGGAGGCCAGAAGTCCAAAATCACTTTCACTGGACAGAAATCAATATGAAAGCAGGATTGTGCTTCCTTGAGAAGCTCTTGGAGAGAATTCCTTCCTTGCCTCTTCCAGCTTCTGGTGGCTGCTGCCATTCATTGGCTTGTGACTGCATCATTCCAATCTTTGTCTCTGTGGTCACATTCCCTTTTCCTCTTCTGTGTCTCAAATTTCCTTCTGTCTCCTACTTAAAAGGACCTATGATTGCACTTAAGGCCCACGCTGATAATCCAGGATAATCTCCCCTTCTCAGGATTCTTAATTTCATCACATCTGCAAAATCCATTTTCTTCCATATAAAGTAACAGAGTTTCTAGGGGATTAGAACATGGGTATCTGTGGGGGCCATTATTTAACCTGCCACAGGAACTGACATTGCTCACTGCTGGGTCCCTGAAGAACACAAATTGGCTTGTTGGTGGGCTTGGCCAGGAATCGGTTTAGCTGGAGATGCCTTTCACTGATTGTGAAGGAGGTCCTAGAACCCAAACGTGAAGGCTCAGCGATCTGTCACGCACACCTGATGTCATGAGCATGGACCATGTCCCTCTCATGTTTCAAATACAGGCCACAGGTAGGGTCCATAGTCCCACCACAGAAAGCAGTTCTTGTGGTATTGAGGTCAATTATATGTCCTCAAAAACCTGAAGTTCTACCCATTTCATTACCGTCTCTTCTTCCTGCTATGATGCTAAGTGTGGATGGGTAAACATTCATTATTTTTAAAATGCTCATTAACATGTATTAGGTGCCAGGGATTATGGCAGGCCATTTAAAGCATGGTGGTCGAGAAAGCAGCCTCTGAAGCAGATTGCCAGGGATCTAATTTCTGCTCCACTAATTACTGGCTATGTGATATACCTCTATGCCTATGTTCCCCGACTATAAAATAGGCTCTATCTCACAAGGTTGTTGAGGATTAAATGAGCTATTATGTGTTAATGCTTGGACCAATGGCTGGCTGCTACCTGATCTTTGGTCTCTCTAGACTTAACAAATGTTAATTACTATTTATTTGAATGGAGAAACCAAAGAGATATGGAGCCCTGTGTGAGACACAGGGATAGCTAAGGCAAGATATGTTCATGAAAGTAATTTTAAGTTTAGGAGTTAAGACAATAAGTTTAACAAGAGGTCTGAGCATTGAGAGGTGTTTGTTTATTGTTTTTTAGAACTCTGACTTAAGTGAGTCAAGCAAGAGAAGAGAAAGAGGGAGGGAAAAATAAATGCTATTTTTGGAGGAAAGATGGTTGGGTAAGCTCTCTGTGGTACTGGTAGGCAGGTTTTGCATGTGGCTGGGTAGCTGGGCAGTCAAGTATTGCATTAACGCCAGCCTGATGCAGCTTGGGCTGGTGTGAAGAACCATGGGATCTCTAAGGCTTAGGGGTCTTCACATTTAGTGACCACCAAGTTACCAACCTGAGTATCATCTTAGAAAAAGTGGGTAATACTTACAAGGAAGACTTGTTTCAAGAATTAAAGGAACGTATGAGCAATCATCCAGCTAACTCCAAAATGCTTTGTTTTCCACAGGACTAATTATATGGGATACAAGCCAAGCATACAAATTGAAGTCTTCCTTCCTTTAAATACCACATAAAACCACCAAAGCTTGCCTCATATTTAAGGGACATTCACTCCTTGAACATTGTTTGAATACGTACTGTATGCCGAGGACCACACTAGGAGCTGTTGACAAAGTTATGAATATGAGTATGAATTATTTCTGCCTGAACAAACTTACAGACCAATAGTTCTGCCTAGAGAAACTTAAAGACCAGTAGTAGAGGAAGTAATCCAAACAGGAAAATGTCACATGAGTGATAGGTATTATCATGAAACTAAGAACAGAATGCTGAGGGAAGCCCTTAGAAAGGAACTTCTCATTGTCTGCAGAAACAGGGAAAAGTAAATATAAAAATATTTCCACAACAATAACAGCGAGGAAGCGGGCTCATTAGAAAAGGGCACGTGTGGCTTGGATTGGGGTAAAGAGGGTGTTCTGGAACTTTGTGGGCCTTTTTGCATATGGAGAAAAGCTGGGCTGACAGTCTAACTCCAAAGGCCAATGAACAGCGGTTAGATGATTAACACCTGGGAATACATTTCTACAGTATTAAAAGTGATATGTAGCTCATTTAAAGAAATACATCTTAATATGTAGTACACAATATATCTAAACCATCGCAACGACAAAATCAAAGCAAGGTCCTTTGCACCGAAGGGCCTGGGGAGATGTGGGCGAAGACCCCAGGACCTTTCCCCTGCTCAGAGACCAAAGGGTTTTCAGAGCGGAGGTGGGGGCTCCCGGCAGGGGAAGTTAGAGCCGAGGGAGCGGCAGGAGCACGTGGGCTGAGTGGGGGTGGGAGGACGCAGACGGCGGAGTAACCGGTGGAAGTGTCAAAGAGGAAGGAGTGGAGGGCTGCTGAGGTGACAGGGTGTGGTCTGTGAGGGAGCGGACGAACCCGGAGAAGAGAGCAGAGAGACCCACCAGGACTAGGAGGCAGCGGGGAGCGTGCCTGCGTCGCTCGGAGCGGTGACAGCAAGGAGCGCAGCGCGGAGGCCGGGCGGCAAGGGGAGTTTCCAGTCCTCGATAAGTGGAGTCCCTGCTCTGCGCTGCGCCAGCGCCTTCCGCCTGGGCCCGCGGTGCTAGACACCTGCCGAGTCCGAAGCGGGAGTCAGGCTGAGCCTTCGGCCCCCAAGTAAGTCTTCCCTTTTCTCTCCATTTCTCCTCCGTCGCCTTTACTTCTTTATCTGCGAAGCGAGGAGCTGCTGACGGAGGTTCTGCGCGAAAAGCGCACCGGGGAGCTCTGGCGGCGTCCAGGATGCTCCAGCCTCCCGGCGCGCCGCGGCCGGCGCAGAGACCCGACCGCGAGGCCCGCCGCCCGGTTCCCGTGCGCAGCATGGCCCGAGGCGGCGGCAGAGTTGTTGGCACTGATAAGACCCGTCTTTTGTGTCTTGCCCGATCCCGGAGCTGTGCCAGGCCGGGGGGAGGGAGCGGAAGCCACTTTATGGCTCGTGGCCCCACCTCTTGCCCCCACCCCAAATCCTCCGGGATTTCAAAATGCCGCGGACTCGGGCGCAAGTGAGCGCCAAACCCGCAAGCTGGGCGAGTTGGATCCGGGTCGGCAGCCGGCTGAACCGCCACGCTGCCCCGCTTTTTTTATTTTCTTTTTAGATACGGCATCTAATTGGTGGGTGCTGGGAGGCAGGGCTGGTTGGGTGAGCACGAGTACCTGGGTGTAGGGAACGACCTACCTTCTTGCTTTCCTTGGGGTTTAGAGGGGAAGGGGTGGGGGCACCCAGAGCCCCGAAGCCCGGAGCGTCCCGCGCTAGCGGGCTTGCGCGCGGCCGGCGAGCAGGCGTTCTCTGGGTGGGTCCCTTGTCTGGCTCATTGTTCGCGGTGACTGTTCTTGGGGCCAGGCTGAGCGACACAGACACCGCTCACCGGGCTGTAAATAAAAGTGACGACTTGGAGGAGTGGGGGTCAAGGCTGCCGGGAGGGAAAAGGCTTGCCCATTTTAGAAACCGACTTGGAGCTCGGAAGAGCAAACGTAGTCGACAGAGAAAACCGCTCCTGAGTGCGAAACTTAGATCTGACTCTAATTCACAGAGACAGCCTAGTAAATTAAACCCTCAGGAACAGGGCACGGTATTTCCCCCATTGAAATTGTTTTCAGAGTAACGAAGATGGAGTTTTAAGTGTTATTGACAGCTGGCCGCTTTCTCTTGCTAGCACCTGTTTCCCTTAAAGATTCCTGGGTGGGGTTTATTTTTTCGCCCCCTCCCTCCTTTTTTTAGAATGTGCATTTATTCCATTTGTGCCTTCAGCTAGTCGAGTTGCATGGTGCTGGGAGGAGAATCCATTTTTGAAAGCAAAGTGCAATTTCCACTCTACAAATGGCCAAGCACTGGTGTAGACGTCCATTGCTCCCCCACCCTGGCCGCATGCTAACATTCATGGAGGCAGACATGTGTACCCAGAATCAGAGGGAGCCGGTTATCCTCAGTTGGAGATCCCAAAAGACTTCTGCATACAGTTCCTTTCGTTGGATGGTAGATACTCTTATTTGACTTTCTTCCATTCTTTAAATTACAATGGTATCACCTGTTCATGGTGCCTATTCCTTAGCCCACTACAAAGGAGGATGCATTTTGCTGGGAAAAAAATGCTCTTTCTTTTTCTGAGGTCCGTGGGTAGTATTCAGAATAAGCTCTTGACAAGAGAAATTATTAAATTATTATGATTTCTTATATATGTGTGTATATATAAATATATATGTACAAGTTTACAATATTGTCTACAAATATACAATATTTGTGTATATATATGTGTATATATGTATGTATGTGTGCATGTATATATATGTGTGTGCATATATATATACACATATATAGTATTTGTAGCTGGTTGTAAATCCCAGTAGTTACTAATGCACCCAACTGACCTGGTTATATTTCACTTTGACATCCCTGATGGACCTGCTAAGTGTATCAATCTGATGAAGCCTGGAGTTCCAGCCCTCAGGAGAAGTACTTAACATGAACACCTCTCTATGACGGCAGTCTGATTCCACAGGGAAAAACCATGTAGTGGGAGTGTTGTTGAGGGTATGGAAAGCTGTATGATTTATTCCAAGGAGAGAAGAGAGAGTTAGGTAGAAGAAAATAAAAATGGAAACTGGGTAGGCATCCAGACCATACTCACGGTTCGACAAATATGTATGTGGAAAAGTGTATTTATTGTGTTCTCTCTCTCTCTTTTATCATAATGTTTATAACCTTAATGCTTTCATAGCAGCATTCGTACCTCTTTTTTTTTTTTGCTTAAAAACTATTATATTTTCAACTCTATTATTTTACATTTTCAATGCCGTTCGTGCCCACTGAATGCATTGGATTATCTTTTCAATTGTTCTTTTGTCTACTTGTATACCATGTCCAACTTAGTACAGGACCACATGAACAATGAATCAACCAGGTTCTAATGAAGATTAAGACATGAAGAGTATTCACAGCTATGTATAAACTGTATACTCATTTAACCATCTTCCCACATGACCAATTTTAGCTAGTAGCTTGTTCATCTTCTGAAGTCTCCAGACTCCAAATTCTTACCCAGATTGATTACTGCACTAAATCTTGATTGTGCAAAGAACAGAACTTAATTATTTTGGTCTCATTTGTCAGTCAGCAGTATTTAGTGTTGCCAAGATAATTATATCATTGAAGTATGCATGACTTTAAAATATGTTGAAAAAGGTCTTTCTAAACTTGTTCATAAAGAAAAAAAAAAGTCCTTGTGAAGCCATAATTTCACTGCTGTAGGCCTCCTGGCCATTCGCGTTTATTGAGTTTACTCTTCCACATGAAGAATGAACCATTGTTTTGTTGTCTAGGAACTGAAGGAAGATGGAAAGGGGGCATAGAAAATGAAGCACTTGTAAATGTTATTATTTTCTGTATTTGGAAAATAAATATTTTTAAGTAAATAACGATTATCTTCTTAAAGATACACTAAAACCTTATTAAGAGATCTGAGAAAAAAAGAATTTTCAAAATAGAAATGCTAGCTGCTTCTAAATATTCATAAAAGGTTGGTGTTTACAAACACATATATTTTTGAACCAATCTCAAGATTTTTATGTCTTTCTATGGAATTATGAAGTGTTATTCAATTATTATTAAAACATTGAAATCTCATCAAAACTTATATTTAAACGTACTGTCTTTTTGCAAGTGCTTTAATTGTAATAGCCTGTTTGTTGAGATTAAAAAGAACATCATTGATGTCATGGTGTGCTTTGCATTTTAAAATAGTGGCTAATGAATTACAAACATTCATTACTCAACAACTACTTGCTGAAATTTCTCAGGACCCCCAAATAGAGATTTATTTGTACTATATACTATCATTCATGCCCTTGCTGAGTTTATGTTGATACCCTTTTTCTTCTTCAAAATTAATTGCCTTTTAAATTAATACTATGTTGGGTCTGACTCTTTTGTTATTTTTCTCCTATGTCATAAATTTATGTGCAAATATCTTCAGCATTGTCTGGTTAGAGAACTTACTGTTGAAAACGTGGGAATTAGTGGGGGGAGGGGTGAAGAGAGAAGAACAACTTTTATTAAACCTGGAGTCAGGACTTAAGACAGGAAAAGAAGGGCAAGTTTCATTTAATAAAATTCACTGAGGAATTTGTCTTTGACCTTTAAAAGTCCGAGCTGTGTAGTACATAATATACATTTGGGTAAATCAGGCACTAACTTCATAAAGCATAAGGCAAAATAAGAGAGTTTCATGGTGTCTTTGCTTTGCTACATTTGAATGGTGGCTTTAATTCCACTCACTTTTTTATTTTTGGGGGATGCTGTTCTATTTATGTAAAAATGGATATCGTCAATGTTTATTTTGGGAACATTTTATTTTAAAAGCTTAGTTTCTTCTATGAGTTTAGCTCTTATTAAATGTTTACTAAGAAAGATGATGTTTGATTCAGTTTTCATAACTAAATGCAACTAGAAACACATTGATTAAGTGATTCAAATAAGCCCATTTAAATACTAAATTTAGTCTTCTCTTTCACAAGCTATTGTGAAGAAAATGCTTTGAATTAGATTTTTATTTTAATAACCAATATTCATTTATATTTCCTGTAACGTGAAGACTAACATTAATGGGTAATAAAAATGAAACATTTGTGAAATGAGGAGATATAAGACAATGCAAATTAATGATTGTGTGTACTCTTGATACCTAGCTTTTTTTCTGATAAATTAGTATTTTTAATCTCAGGGGTAATGTAGATTTCTTAACTGATTACATTTTCTTTTTGCTTTAGGCACAAGAAAGCTCAGAGCCCATGGGAGATTTAATTTATTATCATATAAGACTCCTTGGAATGAATATATGTGTTATCTTTCCAAATGACCTTACTTTATTCTACTTATGTATACAATTTCTCTGTCATAATGTCTTATTTTGTTTTTCTTTTTCAATTGTGGAAGAAGGCAGATCATCAAAGTTGTTATGAATAAGTGTTTAGAAGTACAATCAAGCCTGCAAGTAGTTATTAAGGTCTAATATTGCAAATGCTGAGGTGACATGAGACAAAGGAGGCAAGATTTCTGATCTAAAGATACTTGTATTCTGGCTGGGTGGAGAAGCCATAAACTCCTAAGGAATTAGCTCAAAGTAAGTCAACATGTGCATACATCTGTTGCACCAAAATGAAAGCCCAACCCTGACTTTAATGACATTCAGTTTCTAGAAAAACACTATTATAGCACCAATCAGAAAAGCCAAGTAACTAAATCTTTTAATTTTCTGGGCACACTAAGACTTAAGTAGTCTGAGGATATCAGGGTGGAAATAAATGTAGAAAAAGTTATTGTGATTCCATGGTAGTGGAAACTCCCATACACTTCTCTTTCCCTTTCTCTTTCTCTTTTCCTCTCTTCTCTTTCTTGATTCCTCTGTCTCTCTATCATTGGCTTTCCCCTTGCTACCCTGGCAGACCTGATTGACAGGTGTGACAATTCCCATGGCAAGCTAATCCCACCAGGCTGGCAGCTTTTGAAATTTCTATGTAAATACAGTATTTGTTCTAAGTACCACACTTAAATACAGTAGTTAACGTTTAAGCACCCACAGGTTGTTTCTCTTTGTACTTGAATCAACAACCATTTTCAGCTCTTAGAAGGGACCACCCACAAAACTGTACTTTTTGACTGTAGAAAAACTCAGGGAGAAACAAATAAAATGAAGCAAAAAGTTGAGAGAAAAAAAACCCCAAAAACCACAAAACTAAATTATCGCTAAATTATCGACCCAAGGAGGCATGGTTAGGCTAAGGCCAAAAACTCTGAATTAAACTTCCAAATCTAACCAGCTACCTCTAGATGTAAACCTGATTTTCATCTTTTCTATCACCCACATAGACATGACTTTTTTTTCCAGACATCTTGATTACAGTTAATGTTAAAATAGCTTCAAGTCTAAAATGCAGATGTGTTGTCTTGAACTGAAACGAACTATCAAACAGACAATGATAAATAATGATCATTTAAACTTGGCCTTTTAAAAAGCACATTGGATACAATAAAAATCAGTGTATTAGTACACTAAATGTGCTTCCAATTATGATATAAATAGTGCATAAAGCTTTAAAATTTTCATCAAATTAATGTATCACTGACATGCAAATTAACTACTGACATCTATGGTGTATGCCATGTGATGATTTCTAATTGGCAAGTGAACCTCAGAGGATTATTTATAGATTACACTGCAACAAAGTGCTGGAGTAAATTCGCATTGTGCAGCTCAATTCAAATTGGTGTTTGAGCTTTGATTCTCTTCACTTTTTCACACCCCTTTTGATCTCCAAAGGCTCTCAGAAATAAGCTAGCTAAGGTGCTAAATATCTAATTAATAACATTTGGGCAGAGAATTTGTCTTCAAATGACCCCTAAGAGATTTGGAGACCAGTTAATATCCCTCACTAGCTTGTTCAGGTATGAATAACTCTTGAGGCTGTTGAGTTTGAACTCCAAGATTTGGTAACATCCATTTCCATCCAAAGCACGTAAGAGAAATGTTCACACAGGAAAAGTGAGGAGGAAACTTGAAAATTTACCAAGTGTATTAATTTTTAAGAACAGCTGCTTCTAAGGATCTAAGTGGAAATCCTGTATTATTCTCTAATGGCAATTGAGGCTTCTTTTATCTTTACTTTCCATTACAATTTGTGTATGAAGAATGCAGTGAGAGAATTACAATGTATCTGCAATTCCCATACTATGTTATTAGCTCCAAGTTTGGCCTTTCTTTATTCCATGTCCGTGTCTCCCTAAAGGTAGAATGACCAAATAAAAAATGAAGAAGTAAGTCCATTTATTCTGAACAGTTTCATTTATTATGTGTTTTATACATGACCTCATGAGGCAAAGATACATTAGTGTAAATTCCTGCTTACAAAGATCTAACTTATTAAATAACTTTTTAATGTATTAACCTTTTCAATATTTTCTTCATACTATATCCATCCTGGAATGTACAACTTAGCCTGCCAAGTTGGTTAAATGTCTATCTTTTCTTAAAGATTGTTAAAAAGAAACTCTCTTTTTGAAGGAATCTCCATAGCTGGGTTTAAACTTGACATCCTTGATTGGGTGAGGTGGCTCATACCTGTAATCGCAGAACTTTGGGAGGCTGAGATGAGAGGACTGTTTGAGCCCAGGAGTTCCAAACCAGCTGTGGCAACATTCGGAGACCCTGTCTCTATAAATGATAATAGTAATAATAGCCGGGTGCAGTCATACACGCCTGTACTCCCCACAAGTGGAGAGGCTGAAGTGGGAGGAACTCTCTAGGCCTGGGAGCTTGAGGCTGCAGAGAGCCGTGATTGTGCCACTGCACTCTAGCCTGAGCAACAGAGTGATACCCTGTCTCAAAACATATATATATATATATATACTTGATATTCTTTTTGTAAGAGCTTGTGTTTGTGGTGTGTTTTATAGTTTATATTGAAATCATGAAAATATTTAGACAATCTAAAAAATATATACAAATACAGTATTTATTATAAGTATTACTATCATCCTAAAGCTGAGGAGATAAACTAAATATTGGATACAAGCAACACATGGAAGTGAATACTAGCGTTATTTTTAACACTTTTGAATAATTTGTTCTTAGGCCTGTTACCTTTTATGGAAAGGTGCCTTCACTAGTAATGAGGCCATGGCGTGGGTATGATCAAGGCAACTTGACTTCTTGCTGATAAAGGTTTATAAGGAAATTTATCTTTTGATTAGGAAACCTCACTTAATTTCATTAATAAACATTGAATGAGGACTTACCGTGTCCCAGGTATTGAAATAAGAAATGACTATTAAAAAGAAATGAAAAGGTCCCTGCTCTGAAGGTATTTAGAATACAATGAAAAATTAAATGTATCAAATAAATGTGTAGATGAAATCATACATATTACAGGATGTTGGGGGAGCTATAATGAAGGGTGTATGTCTCAATTTAGGAGATGGTATAGAAAAGCTTAATGGGAGAATTGAAGCTAAAAGTCAGGTATAAATTTTTCAGGTGACGAAGCAGTAGATAGTAGTCTCTGTTATAGAGTTGCTGGAGAGAAGGCAGAAAAGTGAGGCACAGATGGAGAATCAAGAAAGTCGAGCAGGAAGTATACATTAGACCAAGGTTATCATAGCACTCTGGACCAGAGATGAAGATTTAGAAGTGTAATCCTGAATCCAACGTTCTTATACTTTGCCTACATCCATGAAGCTGAACATATCTAAGGGAAATACACAACCATGGTGTCATTTCGTACTCATTAATCTTAAGTATGTTCTTAAGGTTATCAGGTGATCTTACTGTGCTTCCTGAGTCTATATGATACTTTCTCCTCTCTCCTTAAACACTCAGTGCCTCTGTCTACACCCTCACTCTCAGATGAAGGCCATGCTTCCTATTCACTGATAAAATGGAGAACATCAGAAAGGAACTTCCATTGACACTCACTGCCACATCTATCCATCTACCAGCACCTGCTCCCACATAATCTACCTCCTTTCAAGTTTTCTCACAGAGCCCTGGTGGAATTTCAACAGTTGTATCTTAGTAGAATGCAATGTAGAAATGGGTAAATGCAATTTGCCAATGAAAAAGACTATTCCCTTAGACCTAGAACTTCTATTTTTATTTATTTAACCTTAGGAAATAATCTGGGTTTCAGTCAAAAATTTATATAAAGGAAGTTTCTTTGAATACTGTAAAATTAGAAACAATACATCTGCCCAAAGATGGGAAAAAAGCATGTTTATCATCATTAAAAAGCATTTTTTTCAAAGAATAACTATTGATAAGGTAAAAATGAATGATATAGTGTAAAAAGAAAAATAAAACAATACTGTACAGAGTATATCTTACAATGTTATGATTGTACATAGAAATGACCAGAAAAATGAACATGTTAAAAGGCTGCCCTATCAGATATTGAAATGGAAATTGTTCTGTGTAGCAAATCTATTGAAGATATACTCATCTTGGAAGAGACAACTTGATGGGAAGATTCTGGCCACACAGAAAATGTCTACTGAATAGAGACAATAGAAAAATCACAATAGAGAAAAACGTTGTCCTGTTTCCAGCAGGCATTTCTCTTACCTAGTATATCCAATCCACCAAATTTCATAGAATTAACTGCTAAAAGACATGACAAATTAACTTAATTCTTGCTATCTCCACTGCTATCCTTCTGGTCTGAGAAACCATCATTTTGGGCCTGGATCATTGCCTTATCTCCCAGCAGTTTCCTCTCACGCTTGCCCTTGCAGAAACAAAGATCTGAGAGGCCATATTGCATGGTGTTTGAAGCATGGACCCCATGGATGGGCTGCCTGAGTACAAGTCCCAGAGCTTTCCCTTAATAGCTGTGAGACTTGGGGCAGGTTACTTCTCTTCCATTTTCTCATCAATAAAATTGACAATATTAATACATATCTTATAAGGTTGTTATGAGGATCAAATGAGTATCCCTAATATGAAAATACAAAATACGAAATGCTCCAAGATCTGCAACTTTTTGAGCACAGACATGACACTCACAGGAAATGCTAATTGGAGCATTTTGGATTTCAGATTTTCAGATTAGGGATGCTGAACTTGTAAGTCTACTGCAAATATTCCCAAATCACCACAAAAAGATCTAAAATCTGAAACACTTGTAATCTCAAGAATAAGGAATACTGAACCTTATGTTTTAGCTGTTTGTCAAGGCCGAAATTGGATTATACTCTTCTCTGCTTAAAACCATCCAAAGGCTTCTCATTACACTTTGAATGGAATCCTTGTAGTCACATACATCAACTTCAATTCTCACCACTCTCTGCTTCCTTGGTATTTCTATGAAAAACAAAAACAAAAACAAAACAAAAAAACTCTTGTTCTGTCACAGGGCCTTTGTGCATGCTGTTCCCTTCATCTGGGACACTTTTATTGACTCTTCATAGCTTCTTCCTGCCCTTCATGTCTCTAGCTCTGCCTTCTCCTTGAAAAGCCTGTCTGTGACTTCTATTAATCTGCAGAATATCTCTTACTCTTTTTATTCACTCTTTATTCCTTATTGTCTCTTTAATAGACCTTATCTCAATTTGAGCTTTTCTTTTGTTTGGTTAACTCTTTTCCCCTCTATTTCATGACTAGATTTTAAATTCTGTGAAACAAGGATAATGTCTGTTGTGATTACATTTGTTCCCTTAATACTTAACAGAGAGTACAGCATATGGTAGACAACTAAATAAATATTGGGTGAGTGGGTAGGTGGATGGATGGATGGGTGGATGGGTGGATGGGTGGATGGATGGATGGGTGGATGGGTGGATGGGTGGATGGATGATAGGTTTGGTTGGCTGGCTGAGATTCTTACTATTAAGATCATGGAATTGTATTTCTGAGAGAAGCTAACTTAATATTTACAAGGTCAAATATATATGTCATATATGTGTCACTAAGGAGATACAGAAGGTTAAGTTATTAACACTCCTTATCATTTACTTCTGGTACCTAATGTCTTAAAAATGCTTGTCAAAACACCGGTGCATTTTGAAAGAGTTAGAGAGTTTGAGAGGGAGAGTGGGGAGGTAAGTGGACTGGGGGACTCTAGACTTGAAGATACTTCAGGCCAGGACAGACCTATGGGAAATTGCGTGTGGGGGCTAGGGAGTGGGCAGGGTTGAGGTGGAAGTATTAAGGTGTTGGTAGTCCAGGCATTCAAGAGGAAGTATCAGATCAGCATTTCACAAAGAACCAGGTCAAAAATACTACATAAAGTAACTTCTTCTTAGCTTTAGAGAATGTTCAGTAGGGCCTTGCACACATAGTACCAAAATATGTGAATGAAATATTTGTCTAGGAAATTACAGTTACCTGATGTCATGACATAAAAACAAAACTGTTTTCTTTCTTTGACTCAGCCAGTTTTTAAAATGGTAGTCAGTCAACTGGAGTATGTACATATGTGAGTGTATCTATCTTTACAGACAAACTTTTTGTTCCACCTAGGAAGATACTTCATATGGAAGATGTTTTCATGTACTGCTTTTTATCATAAAAGTATAAAGGCCTGGAAAGTTTTGTGTTGAATGATGTTCTCTTTGTCTTACCAGGAGGTGTCACTACAGCTCACTCAAACTTAACTAGTGCATTCTATAGGGATCAACCGGTGTCAGCACTTACCAGAATAGCATTACCTGCCTACTAAGTTTTCCACCAAGTTACGTAAAGGAAATTTGATGAAAAAAAGAATCATTTCCAGATGCCTATTTCTCCTCCATACAAATATTCTTATCATTAATTACCTGAAACTTAAAAACTTGTTTAATATTCTAGAAACAAATGGCATTTTTACTTTCCCTTGAGTGTTAAGTGGGGACAGTGGAGAAAAAAAGAGCAGAATAAAAAGAGGAAAGATGGACACAGAGAAACATGAAAAGAAGGGTGAAACAGAAGTGTTTCCAGTGACAATGTGCTGTGTGAAGACCCCAGAGCACATTGCTTTCTCACCTGTCTTACTTGGGCTGCATCATCCGTTCCCTGCCCTTTATCTCTGCCCAGATAAGTCTAACTTTCTCTGCCAGAGCTGGGATAATTAGAACAAAAATGATTATCTGGTGTTGAGCTAATATACTATCACAGCTCTTTGACATATATAATTTTCTATCTCCCCTGATAACATTATAAGATAGGTATTAATACAAAAATTTTCCAGGGGAAGAAAATGAAAATCAGAAAGTTTGCATGATTTGTGGTTATAATTGTGTATTTTACCATGGTCTTACCAGATGTCAAAACCACACTCTTGTTCTTTTCATGATGCCTCTAAAGGATCACTCTCACGGGAGACTTTCCTAATGTCCTTTAACCCCTGACCCTGACCAATTTAGGTATCTCTTCTCGGGGTTCCACTGCATCTTGTGCTCGCCGTGTTTGAACATTTATCATGAATGAGCACAGCCTTCTATTCTCTTGTCTACCTCTTCATCCAGAGTCTGAGCACTTTGAGGGTGGACACGATGTCTTGTTGAAAGAACAGAATGTGAGACCCCCATTAACTGGATGGGTGAGTAAGAGGAAAGGCTCACCTACAGATGGGGATTCAACGTGGGTGAGCGTGTGGATGAAGGACAGCAGAGAAAGCAAGGCCCCCCAGGCCACCTGCCTTCACCCACCACCACTGGCCTCAGGTGCTCCACAGCAAGTTATCAATGAAGGGGAAAGTTTCAGATTTTTTTTTTTTTGGAGACGTGAGAACAGGGTTAACCACCCAAGAAGCAGGTGATATTCATCCAGCATAGCCCACACGTTGTAGGTCCACTAGGACTGGAGGGAAGTAACTGGCATCTGAGGAGCTATGTGTTCTGCTGTCCTCCAGGTGGCAGCATGGCCCAGCTGTTGGAGACAAGCTCAGTTCTTGGACATCCCTAATGCTGCCAGACTCAGAACTGTTCTCAAGGCGTTTAGTGCCCTGGGAATGATTAATGGCTCTGCCCGTTCACTGCACCCGGAGGGTAATTGAGCCTGCAGTATTTTGGAGGCTGCAGAGAGGCTTTCTGAGCCACTGTCTGATAGAAGGGGCTGCAACATTTTGGATATTATATCCCTTGGGAGACCTCCTGGAGGACATTTGTGTGCCAAAAGAGATCTTTGGTAGAACTCTTTAAAGAGGAAAAAAGACAGCCCCCCTAAAATATGGGGAAATTGAGCAGTTTTAACGTTTTTTCAGAAATTTGGTTTGCTGTATGTTCCATATTCTTTTTTCCTTCTTTGGTTCTGAAATAATATTCCTTTCCACCTGACTTAAAGCAAATCCTTTGGAAGGTAGCTTATGTTAATTGACTGAGTATTTTGAAAGCATGCAGGCAGAGCTATGTAAAATGTCTTAATTTAAATCAGCGCTAAGCCCTTTCATATTGTAAGCTGAGGTATTTAAAAGTAAGATGATTGGAAATTTCTAAAGTTGCACACGATTCAAGAGAATGCGAAACATGTTAGAAAGAGCTACTGGCACGAGGCTACAGCATCCATTTATTCTCAATATACACATAATATCAATTATAGAAGACAACCAACAAAAGATCTTAAGCTTGTCAGGTTGGGTTTGTGTGGCTGCTTCTGTTCATTAGAATTTTGAGTAACTGGGAAAACTACCAGATTCTTAATGGTTTCTTGAACAGGATATACTAGGAGATCTTAGCACTGTTAAGAAAAAAAATCACATATAAATTCAAAAAACCTTTGCTCATCTATGTGGCCAAATGGGGAATCTAACCCTCCCCCTTTCTGTAGTTTGGATTTAAGTACCTGTGGTGGTGGTTTTTTAGCTTCTTCTGTGGATTCATTAATATCACTTTGGTACTTTCAAGAACAGTTGTTCTTCCCTAACCTGTGAGATTTTACTCTCCATTATAGAAGAGTCTCTCCTCCTAGCCTGTGATGATTTGATGCTGTACCCTGTATACGAGGTTATCTTCCAGATGTTTAGAGAGCCAAACTTAACTGGTTCTCTGTGTGCCAACACTTTTAAGTTTTCACAGGCAGTGAGTTTAAGGTCTTTAAATCATTGGAATAGAGTAGAAAATCAGAAGAACAATTAGGATGGCCCCTCAAATTCTGTTTTTAAATTAGGTTACAGATGTGCATAGACTGCTCTTCTATCTTGCCTTGCTTTGTTAAATTTATCTCAAAGATTGAACTTGCAAGTGTCTTTTTTTTTTTTTGTAATGAAGACCTAAGCTAAAGATTGAAAGAAAGGAGTGGAGAGGGGGAATTAATTGAAATAAATCCACAATAGTTCATTCATAGCCTCTAATTTAACTACCACAACAAAATTAGTGGGAAAAAAAAATCCTAGCATTAAGTCTTGTTTGATGATTCTTGACTCACTGAAGGGCTTTTCTCAGCCTACCAGTTTCTTTGGCTGTTTTGGATAATTTATCAGAAATGTCTTGAAATGACCTCTTGATATGGAGATCTGTATTCCCATGCCGTCATTAATTATTGCACTGTTTAATATATACACACTATGGAGTACTCTAAGTATTATTGTTTATATTTCTTATTTTTTTTACTAATTTTTCAAAATACAAATTTCTTTCTGTGTCATATTTGTAAACTAATAATAATTTTTGGATATATTTAAATCATTTCCTTGGGGAGTCAAAAGGCTTACTGTCCTAGAAAAGGACAGAGTTGGTATTACCTGACACATGTAACATAATGCCCTCCAACTTCATCTGAGTTGTTGCAAATTACAGATTTTCCTTATTTTTTTGTGGCTGAATGGTACTCCATTGTGTATATACCTCATGATCTCACTCACACGTGGAATGTAAAAAATTGATCTCATAGATGTGGAGAGTAGGATGGTGGTTACCAGGGGTTGGTGCAGAGGGTGGGAAGATCTTGGTCAAAGGATATAAAATTTCAGTTAGACAGGAGGAATAGGTTCAAGAAATCCATTGTACAAATGGTGACGATAGTTAATATACTGAATTCTTGAAAATTGCTGTGGGCGGATTTTGTGTTCTCACTACAAAATATGACAACTCTGTGAGGTAATGCATATGTTGATTGGCTTGATTATACCATTCAAAGTATGTATTTTTCAGGATTTGATATTGTGCAATATAAATATATACAATTTTATCTGTCAATTAAAAAAATAAGATATGGATCCCATTGTGTCTAGGATCATGTTGATTCCTAAAGACAGAGCTCTAAGGAAGTGGATTAGGTGAAAACAATAACAGCTTGGCCTCCTCCTCTGCTTAGAAGGGCTCCTGTGTTGTGTAACTCCCAAGTGAATCTTTCACACCAAGGGTGGTCCAAGCAGGGACCTGGATTCACACTTGCAATTGGATGAGATTTTTTTTTCTCTTTTCTTTGGGGAGGATAACGGTTAATTAGTAAGCAAGAGAACCAGGATTCAAATTTAACTTTTTCTAAACCCAAAGCCCAAAATTTTCATTCTGCTTCCTTGACACCAATATTTTTGACAAACTGTTTGTAGCAAAGGATCACAAAATTATACAGTGACAGGAGGGAGGACACGTATACGTCAATATGTTTTTGTGCTTCTCTGAAACACCTAAGGGAAGAGATTTCAATGGGTACAGTTTGGAGTCCTTTCCTGGGAAGGAACTTCCCTTAAAAAGCATCATTCTGAGGACTAAACAGGAAAAAGATGTGGAAGAGAAAAACATTGACAACTACTTTACACTTTTCCCCTATTGGTTTTGCCTTTGTGCCTCAGCATCAGCAGTAAGTAATTGGGCTTTAAGATCATTAAAAGTTTCTGTATGTAAGTCCACTTGTTTGTTTGTTTATCTGTTTTTATCTCATTATTTCTAGTCTTTCCACAAAATATTTCAGGAAGCAAATGTGTTAGGATAGTTAAATAGACCTATTGGCTAATGAAGAGGTTTATATTAAGGTGCAGAAGAAAGTTATGAAAACAGATGGTTTCAGCTGCTCTCATTACCAGCCATGAATTACACCACCTGGAGAACTGCAATTCCTGTGAATTCACAATACATTTCCAGCAAAGTGTTTTGCTGAGTAGTCTTGCTGGGTGGAGTAGGTTTTGTAGTTGAGTAAGGCAAAGGTATAAGCAAGCCACTTAGAGCTCTGTACTCTAGGAAGAGTGTGTGTCTCCCCTACAAAAGCAGAAAATAAAAACATTCCTGTTTTACTTGGAATATGTTTTAGAACAAATATTTAAATATCTAAGTGGATATGTACATGGGTCCTTGTGTATGTGTGTGATATTTCTGCAATTCCTTCCAAAAAAATGATGTAGTCCCATTGTGAAAACCTAACTACAGAAGAGCTAGAAATTTATTTATTCCATCTTGACCTGTGCTCAACTTTTCCATGATAAAACACTCCTCAAACCTTCCTTTGCAAGAAAACTTGCTAAACTAAAATATATCTCTCCTCTCTCCTGCCTTCTCAGTACCAAAGTGTAGGATTTATTCTAGAGTATTTTGTGTATATGTGTGTGTGTGTGAACTGAGATGTCTAATAATACAAATAAATGGCATTTACCAAATTCATACTGTGCATTTTGCAGTGAGCTAGGTTAGCTAGTTACATACGTTATTTCATTTAGTTCTCATTATGAAAGTTACTATTATTAATACTGTTTGACAGATTTAAAAAAACAGAATCTTTGAGAGGCCAAGTAGCATGCCTAGATTTCAGCCAGTTGCGGTAGAACTGAGGTCATCCTCAGAGAACACACTTTTATGATGTATATCTATGTGTCTTTGTCTATATACTCCATATCACTACGTTCTGCTCAAACCAAAAGCAAGATTACTCAACAAAGGAACACTGAAGATTATCTGTGTACTTAAGTTGCCCTGAAATAAGGGAAAGGGCGAAAGGGCTGTGGAAATCACAAGACTCCAGTTTTGATTTAGCTCCCCTTGCTTCCTCAATCTGTGAGTATCTGATGTGCTGATCTTATTAGCTTGTTGGGAAGAAGACCAACTATATTTGTGAAAAGTGTTACAAGACTATAAAGGACTAGGAAACAAGGTACAACTAATCAGATAAACAAATTTAAGTGGTACCTGTTTGAGGGAGAGTTGGCAACCCTTCTCTGGGGTCAGAAAATTATATTTTATA
Organism: Homo sapiens; assembly: GCF_000001405.40. Taxonomy (NCBI): domain Eukaryota; kingdom Metazoa; phylum Chordata; class Mammalia; order Primates; family Hominidae; genus Homo; species Homo sapiens. The sequence goes on from NC_000015.10 coordinate 47,200,432, forward strand.
AAATTCACATATCTGTTGGGAACAAAATATGTACTCAAAAGCATAAAATAAGCCTGGAATAAATTCACAGTGCCACTTTTAATTATAATTCTTAGGATTTTAGTCAATGTTAATTATTACTGTTTTATTCTAGTGAATTACTAAAATAAAGAAATATTAATTATGCGCTATTCTAACCAGCTTTAAATTTATGTAGTAAAGTCATTAAAAGTTTCTATCTGGTATTAGCATAAAAGTACACATACAATTCCACTATTTTACTAAGGCTGACATTTTGAGGTTGAGTTACAACTGCAGGGCAGTTTTCAAAAAATTGCCCTACAAACATCATATGAATACATTTTACACATTTATAGGTAGAAAAAGAAAGATATTTCCAAAAGTTAACCTAGAATGCTGCCCCAGCATTTGCTGGTTTCTATGCTTGACAAAATCATTCTTCATTGATTTAGAAAAAGTTACCAAAACAATATGATGACTGAATGATTTCTTGTTTCACCAGAGCTGCGTGGTTTCTTTGAGTGTGCTTTAAGAGAGAGGGAGAAGCCAGGGTGGGCATGAAGAGCCAGTATGTAAGCTGTATTCAAGGTGGTCTCTGTCTTTTTAGAGCTAAGGGAAACTGTCTTTTGCCTTGTCTTATTCATCGATTTAGTAGAAAGCTTGTGTGTGTTTTATATTTTGGAATATTCAGTCTTTTAGATTTACTTCCAAATAATTTATTTCTACATTATGCTTCTTTGTTTGTAGAGAACAATACTTACACAAGTGTTTTATGAAGTAAAATGAACCAACACTACACTCTACAAAGGGAATTTCAAAATAAAAACCATTACGGATGAATGGCATACATTACAGACATCTCTACCATATGTCTTAATGGGTCTGTTGTACTGAGCCCATTTACAAAATTCATAGGCCTAATTTATCTAAGAAATAGAGCGATAATGCTTTCAAGACAAGGAAAGAAATAGAAATGTGGTAAATATAAAAGACACATTAATAATTTTTCCTATGACCCTGATTTCTGTCTTTTCTTTTAAATTATTCAGAGTCATATCAGAAGGATAGTTTTAATAATACAGACATTATTCAATATCAGTAGAAGTTTGGCAACATTACTTCCTAGAGTAGGTGGTTTTGAGACAGAGTAGGGACAGGGCTTGGCTTCACCCCCACTAGAGGATTCTTTTATGCAGTCCCACAGATCACAAAACCTATACCACTACCTCACTGAAGCCGTAATGTTTAACCATACCTTTTACTTAATTCCAGAAACTGGCCTTAAGAGATCCAAATATTAAACCAAGATTGTGGAGTGTCCCACCTCAGGAAGGAATGCTGGACAATTGATTTACAGCCTGTTGCTGTTGGTCAGACCACCAGTTGGTCTCTTATTCAAGATAATTTCTATACCCTACTCCTCACATACTTTGCCCAGCCCAGACGGCATGCCTTATTCCTGATGTCAGTTCCCACACTTTGCCTAATAAAAAACCTCTGCTGGCTTTTTTGGGGGGTCAGCTGGAGGATCCTTGAGCTTATGCTGCCTTCCTTATGCTTGAGCACAAGCCCCAAAATAAAAGCTTTGTTTGGGAAATTGCTTGGCCTCATGTTAATGTTCATTACATGGGGAGCCACAAGCCTGTGGTCTGTAACAGATTCAGAGGATGGGAGAACTTCCGATATCATTATGTTACAGTAGGTAGCTAATCAGGAATGAGCAGGTCAGGAGAGGGCCTCCCTGACCCCATCAGGAATGTTAGGCGACCATCAGGTGATTGTCGGGAAGTTGTTACACTGCGTCTCTAAAATAATAATTGGTCACAGCCAGTCCCTGAGAAAGGCGGTCTCCCAATAAATAGATACAACTGAAACGGGTGATCAACAGCTTCCTGATAAGATCTCAGGAGTTGGGCGGGTGGCCTCAAGCAGACACATTAAGAGGCAAAATGGCAGAGTTTAACTGGTGTATGGCCTTCCAGGGACATTCGATTGGTAAGGGAAGAATGCCTCAAGTGAGCATGTGTACAACTCCAGTAGACACACTGTACATGCTCACCTCCCAAGCACTAGCAGGCCACTGCACATATGGACACCACGCCTCCTCCCAAGGAAAGAATCAGGGGAGAAGAGATGCAAGACCCTGGAAGTATGTCAACATATAAAACCCCAAGTCAAACGGTCAAACCATGCACTTGATCTCTCAAGTCACCTTCGTGGCCCTCTTCCAAGTATACTTTACTTCCTTTCATTCCTGTTCTAAAGCTTTTTAGTAAACTCACTCCTGCTCTAAAACTTGCCGCAGTTTCTCTTTCTGCCTTACGCCCCTCAATTGAATTTGTTTCTTCTGAGAAGGCAAGAATTGAGGTTGCTTCAGACCCTTACAGATTTTTAGCTGGTAACAATTACACTTCTAAGAGCGAAAAAATGTGGACAAAGTGTAGGAAATTCTGTAATGAAGGAATTTCTGGGATGTAGACTCTATCCACCATGGTGTATAAAATATGTCTGAGAGATATCTCTCTCCAACAACATCTCTTTCTTTCCTTTTAGTGAAAACAAAGAAGGCAAAATATTTATATAATTAGATCCTTAATTGTTTTTTAAAAAGTTATTTTCAAAAGGAGTCTGAACTGTTGTTTGTTCAGCTTCCTTTTCTGGACCTGCCTGTTTGAACTGACTCAGTTGATACCACCTTTCACTATTAAAAGTTTTGGGACTCAGAAGGCAATACCCCCAAACTGGCACTTTGACATGTTGAGAGGTCTTAGAAGCTGCCTCAGAATCAAGTTCCCTCTAACCTTGTTCTATTCCCCCACCCCCAATTGCATGGAGGGACTCTTTCTGGAATTTCTTATCTGACTAAGAAAGCTTCTTTCCAAAAGAAAGGCAATTGTCTTAAGATCCTCTCCCTAGGAATCTCATCAAATAGCTAGGAAAGATCAATCACTGGAAAAGAGAAGAGACTGGAAGTCCATCACCACACCCACGCAGATTTTTCATCTGTTCTTCTGAGGGCAGCTCTGAGAGATTGTCTAGGAGACTTTATATGTCTAAGAACAAGACAACCTTTAACCTTTGTTCCTGTGCCTTTCCACCCTTACAGGCCAATCCATTCCCCCATTTTCCTCTTCCCTATGAAGAGGTCATTTAAGCTTCAACCATCTGGCCCATCTTTGAGCTCATACTTTATAGGACTCCCATGCTCATGTGTGTATGTAAAACATTTGTTATGCTTTTCTCTAGGTAACCTGTTTTTGTAATAAGAGTGTCAACCTTGACCCTTTATGATAGGGAGGAAAAGGATCATCACCTTCTTTCTGCCCCTGCAAAAGGAAAATACTTTGGGCATGTTAAGAGTTATTGAATGAATCTAATTGTTTTGTGGACATGAAAATCCACACATTCCTATTTGTTTATTTAATTTAAGAGACTGAAAATATTATAAATCAGTGCTGTGTACCAGTATGTTTACATAGAAGTTAATTATTTTAAACAGAAAATATCCATGGCATAGATAATACAAAATAATTTGACAATAAAATATCTAGCAGTAACCATAAGCTATTAATTACAAACCTCCTTTGACTTGAGAAGAGAGTGGTGGACACTGGACTGCTGGAACTCAGAGCAACTGTAGAGAAGGAAGAGTCGAATTATTACAACAATTCAGTTTCTATTCTTATAGGTGGCCATTCAAGGTGATTTGTGAGGAACTATCACTCTGGCTACAGTTCAATGACCATCCTAAGCTATTCAAAAGCATTGAAGCCAAATTCAATGAAAAATTTAACCTCCTGTGGTGCTCTTGTCTTCCAAATACAGTATCAACAGAGACTTGGTACTTTTCCACTGTGAGGTACATAAATGTCTTCTGTCTCAAAAAATAAATAAAAAGGTAAATTCTCTCACTATGGACTATTCAGTTTGTGTGGAAGATCATTAATGAGACACTGTAAAATCTGTGGCCAGAGGTTACTGTTTACAGTAAAATTGAGGTTATATCTTCATAATATTTCATTAAGTTAATCACTGTGGAAAGGGTGACTGTTTAATAACGACCATGTTTAATCACCTGGTCAGTTGAGGTCTGGATTGAATTGACAGATTTGACTACTTATTTATAGGTTTTGGACCTTTCTCTGGAGTTAGGACACTAGGATAATGCAATATAGAATCAAAGGGGAGTTTAGAGATTAGCTAGATAGAAATCTCAACTCTCACCTGTCAGCTCTGTGACCTTGGTTATATAACATCTCTGATAAATTATAGAACTTCTATAATAGACGGAGATCAAGCAGATCATATATGAATTAAATGAAATAATATATGTAAATCATCTATCATGTACAGCATATTTTAAGTGCTCAATCAATGATGTTTATGGTTGTTTTTAGGGAGGATTATAATTGGAGAAAGGTTAAACTTGTTAAAGTATGGGCCTATGTAGAATTTTTCAGGTAAAGGGATTTGAACCCAAAAAAGTTAGTAGAAAACCTTGGGGGGAGAAGGGAAAGAAGCTGTAAAAATGTCAGATTTATTTAGCACCTACTATGCTTTGGACACTGTAGTAGGCATGTGGTTGAAGAGAAAGCTATATAAGAGGACATAAGAACATCAAAATTAATATTTACCTGATTATAGTTCTTCCCAATTCCTTTGCAAAACTTTCTGCCTCTGAAAAGAATCTGAGTTGCAATTTAAAAGTTGTTTGCTAATTTGTGGCCTGGATTACAAAACCAGTTCCAATCATTGTAGATACCTAGTATATTTTGTTGAAAGTATGCTACTAAGGAAAAATAATGAACTATTTATTGTCTTCTCCTTTTTGCTCTTATGAATTTTGAAAATTTGATGTGATTAACAGTTTCCACATGTGTCCTTCTATATATTTCTTTCTTTGAGAAAGTGAACCCTTGAAGGTGTACTTCGTATAGCGAGGGTCTAACATATTGTCATTACATAGTTGTGCATGGTGACAAATTTGGAATTAATCAATGAGTGAGTGAGAGTCAGTTAAATAAGTAAACCTTCAGGTTAAGATCAGTGGTTTAGTGAGCAGGGTCAAAAGCATATTTGCCAGACACATCAATGTCACTCTGCCAAGTTCTGAAATGCATAAAATATTATATTATAAAAATGATTACTATCAAATATAGGGAGGTTCTGGTAAAAAATGCTGTGTACATTATTTGCTGATGGCATTATAAATTGAGAAGCCCTTTAGAAAGCCACAGATATATTTATATGCATGGCATTATATATTCTTTTATGAAAACATTCGAATAGACCATAATAAGCTAAAAATTAAAAATATTTTATTTTAATCAATATTAATAGCAAAAAGTTAGAGATACAAGTCCAGCAAAGTAATTATTTTATGTTATAGTTTATCAGCAAATATACTGCAACAATATAAATATAGCATGCATGCATAGGTCATATGCATAAATAAAAATAGTAGTTGGATAAGTGACTTTTGCATTTGAACAACATTTATTTATTTTGCCTTTCAGTTACACTTCTAAAATTATCCCATTTTAATGTCATCAATAGATAATGTAGACACAACTGTACCTTTTCTTCTGATAATTCAGTATCTTTAAAGGCTCTTCATTAGTTTCCTTCATTTCAACATCCTTACACTAAAATTTTGGAATACATGGATGACTGGGTTAAGTGGGTATGATATTATTAACCTCAAGCCACATGCCTTGAAGGTTGTTTTAACAAATAAATATCCAATATGTATTAATGTTCATATATAGTTCCTTTTACTTACTGAAAATCAATATAAGGTAAAAAGTCAAAGGCCAACATGTATATGTGTCTTTTTTGGCATGCATATGGAATCTGTTGGCAGCACAATATAATGAAAAAGAACTCATGGCCAACAGGTTGGTCGTGTTGATTTTACAGATGAGAGAACCCTGGGAGACAGAGAAATGAAGTGGTTTGGACAGGGTTACAATACCAGTTGAAGGCAGAGCCAGGATTAGCATTTACAGGTTCTGAGTAAGTTCAAAACTTTTTTATTCACCCCTTAGGCAGAATGCTTTTCCCATCACCCTGAAATGAACTATCAGCTTCCTTCCAGCCTCAGAGCCCGTGAAGATTTTTCTCTACCTGCAGCGTCGCATTTGCACTACATTTCCATGTCTAAGGAAAACAGTAGCTTCCATCCTAGCCAGCAGTTACTATGTTGTGCACAATTACGCAGACATAATAAATGCATGGTTCTCGGGTGGTCATGTGTGCATGTTCTGATTGGCTGCATCTTCTCAAAATCAGGAATTCTGCTCCTCAGCTCTACAGTATGAATGTGTTCACTTAGCCAACGGCATTCCTATCTGTCACAACAGCATTCCTGCAGCCCTCTCCCCACCATCCACAGGCCGAAATCCTGGTCACAGCAAGCTGCTCCCACTGGGGTAGCTTCCAAAAACCAACAAAAGCAAATTAGTGTTCCTGGTTTGCTTCAGAAACAAACAGCAAAGAAGCCTCTCCAAAAATGCCTTAAAAAACAAATAAGAGAGAGAAAAAATAACTTCAAGGGAAAACCTACCACTACTCATGAAGGAGGCTCCAGGAGAAAACTTCAAAAAAGATAAATGGTTGCTGAGGACTGTTTGCCCATTAGCCTGTGGTGGGCAATTAGGCAGCAGTGGAAGAGAGAAGGAATGGCTCAATTCACTTGAGGGTCCTAGGGAGCCAGCCTTGAAAGAATTTTAAAAAGAATACAGTCACTTGATTTAATTAATATGATGAAATGAACATTGATTATATTTAATCTCTCCATTGACTTGCAGTTTTCCCATCATTTATACATGGCTTCCTCCTTTGCTCCATTTGTGCTTGACCTTCTTATTTCCTCCTCTGTGCCACTATGGTAAAGAAGCCCTCCTGCTATATCTCCCATTTACAATGCGGTGAGAGAATTTCTGGGTTTTAAAAAATCATGAGGGCAGTAGGCAATTGTCAGTCAGAAAACTCTTCTGAGTCTCTTTGGAAAACCATTATTTTATTACCCTTTTCCAATAATACTGACCTAGAAACCTAGACAGTAAATATTAACTGAGAACCTATTTATGAATCAGGCACAAGTCTAGCCATCATGGGAGGTCCAAGTCTAAGTAGTGCTTTGTCCTTGTGCTCAAGAATTTCATGGTTTGAGAAGAGGATGTGAAGATTTGCTGGTAAGGTTCCAATTTAGCAAATCTGCCTGGCTACCCTATTTGTCTTTCCTCCTCTTCTGGCTCCTTGCACCTAGGCCATATTTTTCATGAAAAAGGCAGTCCTCTAAGAGAAAAGGGCTCTAAATTGTGGCTCCCAAACATGGGTCCTTGGAGCAGTACCTCCAGAATAACCACTGTGCTTTCTGAAACTACTTCATCTAGTACGAGATCAGAGTACCCTGGGGAGAGGACTAAGATGTCCATTTTACAGATGCCTTCTAGGGAATTCTGGTACTTCACCAGGTTGGGAAATCAACATCAGAGGTACCAATAATGGACAGGAGGGAGTGACTGTGGAAACAGGTACAGTAGCCACTGGCGCGCGCGCACACACACACACACACACACACACACACACACACACACACACACACACACACACACTACTGTAACGGTTAAAGACTTTCAGCTGTGGAGTCAGATTACCCAGGTTTAAATCCTGTCTCTGCCACTTAGAGCTGTGAGATTTGGGGCTTGTTTTAAAACCAACTGGTCTTTAGTTTCCACATTTTTTTTAAATGAGAAAAATAATATGACCCACCTCATGGGATTATTATACTGATTAAATTAGTTAACGTATTAAAACCATTTAGAATGGTGCTAGAGATACAGAAAATACCGAATAAGTATTACCTATCTTTATTATCACTATAATAAGGAAGTTTATGCTTAGAGTCTTAGGAAAATACAGGTGAGATATATCTTCTCTATTTAGTCCTCTATATTAAATAAAGCATTAAAAACCTGCTGATACAAGAGACCTTCTAAATACTAGGTGATTTTTGAATCGTGTTTCAGAAGAGGCTTGTAGGCTGTTTTGTGTTTTCTGTGTTCAGCAGATGGTAGTAACTAGCCACTACCCTCATCATTACACTATACTGCTATACATTCTATTGCTTTCCATTTCTTCAATATAAAGATCTCAGGAACAATGAAAATTATAAAGCATAGAAGAACATTAAACAGTTTTTAAATCCCATTAATTGTCCATTTCTCATCATGGTCTTAAGTGAGCCCCAAAGTAATAATGTTCAATTATATTTGAGTCAATCAAAAATATTAATATTTCTTCTTATCATTGGGCAGAAGTTGGTATTCTCATTCCAGGACGGTTTCTGACTACCAGATTGGTCTTGGGCATGTCCTATAACATCTTTGGGCTTAGTATTTTCACTGATAAATAAGATTGGGTTGACCTCTTGGGATAACTAGAGTCCCTCATACTGCCTGTGGTTTCTTTCACTCTGCTGTTTGTCCAAATGTGAGTAACAATAAAGGAAGAATTTTCACTAATAAGAAGGAGTCCAGTTTCAGGATGTCAGCTGGACCACATGCATAGCTTGTAGATCTCTCCTTTTTACTCTTTGAGATATTCTTTGTTTTCTGCAATAGCTAGACCCAAGGCCATTCCATTATTTCTAATAGGTAGGATAATCTCATGTTTCAAAAGTATCAACTATATATAGTATAGTTCAATAAAATAATACATGGGGAATAAAATATTCAATAAAATATTAGTACATGGGGAAATATTTCCATGATAATAAAAGATTGAGACATGCCATGTTAAATTTAAACTGGTTCTTTTTTTATCTACTTAGAATCTGCAACACGTGAATGTACACTGAATTACCAATAAGAGAATATAGTATAAAATGCTTCCAAAATATTTTGGTCATGGAACCCTAACTTTCAAGAAATATTCCATGGGATCAACATTTCAAAGAGTACAGTTTTGCAAATGCTAGAGGAGTTTTGACCATTTTTGACTTTCTAAACAAGTATCAACCATCCAATAATCCAGTTTTCTACCTGAAGTTCAGTGAAAAGTAATGCCCAAAGAATCATTTATCAAAAATGGCAGATTGAAAAACTTTATATTAATTTATTCACTGCTACGCTGTAACATATTCCACTGTTTCAGTTCAGAGATCTCAAGAGTAATGTAAATTTTCTGAATATTTCATTTAAGAATGTATACAAATGTCAGATGTGAGGAAGAAATCTTAAGCTGAAATCATTCCCTGGTCCCCGTCGCCTCTCCAGGTCTGCTGTGTTGATCCTCAGCAATGCTCGTATGCCAAACAAGGCTTAACTTCCTTGTTTCTAAGGAAGTTTCTCAAATGTTGCCAATCCTAACTTAGTCTTTATGTATAAAAAGGAAAATATTGAAATTCTTATGAATGCTTTTGATTCATTGGGCCAAAGGAGCAATTGCCAAGGGCCTATCAAGCCCTTAAAGTGGAATGACCAGCAGTTCTTGTACCAGTGTGAATGTTAGGTTTTTGTCCTAAATAAAAGAAAACTACTACATTCTCTTCTTAAAAAGGGAGTGGGATAAAGAAAATGATATAAGAAGTCTTTACTTCCAATAGATGTCCTATTTCTGGAAAGATGTTAGGCCTTTTACCCAATGACCTACCCTTTAAGTTTCAAACTTCAGTTTTTAAAAATATGTTTAACTGATTAAATCCCATACCATTTTCTTAAAATAAAGGGACTTTTCACTAGCTTTTACTGTATGTCGACTTTAGTGGAACCCTGAATGGGTTCAAATAATAATTCATCCAAGCCAAGATTTCTTTTTCTGCACATTTCTGTTTCTATTTTGAGGCCAGGGGAACACACAAAAGAAGGTGGGGTTTCTGGAAGTCATCATAAATAAATAGAGGTTGTTATATGACCTCCCTTTCTTAGAAGATACAAGCTGTGATATTTTTTAGGATAGGTATACTTGGCCATGTGATATTTCTTTGATCAAGTTACGTGCCCAAACCAGAATTGCTCTATTTTTTTTTTAAGACATCTATTTAGAAATCCAAGCCGGGCCGGGCGCAGTGGCTCATGCCTGTAATCCCAGCACTTTGGGAGGCTGAGGTGGGCGGATCACGAGATCAAGACCATCCTGGCCAACATAGTGAAACCCCGTCTCTACTAAAAATACAAAAATCCGTGGCGCGTGGTGGCACATGCCTATAGTCCCAGCTACTGGGAAGGCTGAGACAGCAGAATCTCTTGAACCTGGGAGGTGGATGTTGCAGTGAGCCGAGATAGCACCACTGCAGTCCAGCCTGGGCGACAGAGGGAGACTCCGTCTCAAAAAAAAAAAAAAAAAAAAAAAATCCAGCCATTGGCAGTGTGAATCTGGCTGCGAAAATGATGGTCCAGTTAAACCTTTCATCGGTAATACTAAAAGTCGTTTAAACATAACACATACTATGGTTTTTGCTTTTAATACAGTGTTTTTTTTTGTTTCCAGAGATGTAGGAAAACAGTAGTGGATATAATGTCAATGCTCATATATTGGCTGATAATTTTTTTAAAGTAACACATGTATATAATTAGAAATTTTAAATTGTACATAAGTACAAAATAAATTATAAATATCTTGCTACTGTACCCTCTGTAGAGGTAACTGCTACTAACAGTTTTGTGTGTGTGATGCCTAATGATGCCAGTAATAATATAATAATGATTGCCATCATCTATCTATACTCTCTCTCTATTTTTTATCTTTCAGTTTGAAAGTCGTTCAAATTTACAGTTTTCTGAAAAAAATTATATAGCATGCGTACACTTGTATACCTGGCCATTTTCACATAACTGTATAGCTTGCATCTCTTTCCATACTAATAATTATGGATTTACTTCATTCTCTTTAATGGCTACATGATGTTCTGCTATAAGATCTATCATAAATTAATCAATGGGGACAGTTTATAAAGCTACTTTATACACAAAATGAGGATATATTTTCCTGGTCTTGTTTTAGTCCATTGCTAATACAAAGCAGTATATTTCCAATAATGTATTTCCTTTTATTAAAGTACAAATATATCCTTTAGATGCATGATCCTAAACTGACAGTTTTTTGAAATGTCTGTAGCCTGAGTATCCTGTGGCATAAATAATAATTAGACACTATCTGAAAGTCAGAAGTGTCAGTTATTCTCCAAGGCCATATTTATATAAGATTTGGAATCAAAAATTTAAAATTCTGTCATGACCTTTTATCAAAGAGGAAAACATTTGGCCAAATTTACTTATAATCACAACTTAATATTGTAATCTTACTGTCAAGAAGGTTAGACTAGGAAAGGAAAGAAAAGAAACAGATAATTATTAAGTGGGTTTTATGTGCCAAGGATTGGGTTAGATGGTAACATACGTTACCTTTAATTAAAGGAGTATCATTATTGATTATTTAATAATTAGCTCTCCTGAAGTTATTTCCAACCACCGTGACATAAATACTGCAGACAGTCAAGTCTTTATTACTCCCTTAAATGTCCTCCTATTGTAACAATTCTGCCCTTATGAATGATAATGAAAACTGCTAAGAAGGAGATAATGTTAAGGAGGCCAGGATGGACTGAGATTCTTTCTGATATTAACAATAAACTGACAGGTCACCCACAAAAATGTAAAAGGTACATTAAAATTAAGTAATTCACCCAATCCCCAGCAAATTTCAGTGATAGCCTTGAGAATAATTGTGGTCACCAGCTACAAAGCTTAGGAAAAATTTAGGACATATGCAAGGATAATTAAGAAATAGGCAAATTAAAATTGAAATGATGACTTATGACAATGGCAGTGCATCTCTTCACTGACTGCTATTGGGTGGTATCTATTCCCTCATCACTTTGTTGTGTATACCTGTGAGAAACCTTTGAGAAATTTCACTTCAGACAGTAAGAAAGAGGTTAATGAGTCAGACCTTTCTGCTTTTCCCAACTGCTATTTTATCTCTGACGGTGACGTTCTCACCTGAAATTTGGCGAGTGGGTGATTACGAGCATGACGTATTGAGCACAGGAAGAATTCAATAAATGATTGCTATTGTTAGGATGATCACTATTACTACAATTTTAGTTATGGCAATTCAAGCATTTCCAGCTTCTCTTAATAATAAAACTATCAATTATCCACTTTCTGTAATTCTATTTCCTTTTAAGTCTATACTGTTTCTCAAAGCAACACATTTTCTGTTTGCTGTCCAAAACATAAAGTAGCATTTCCTTTCTTTTTGCATGTCTTAATGACATGACACCTCCTTGTTATCTCTTTTCCGATGAGAGGAAGGTGACTGTATGACTATCATGATATAGAGGCGTGGAAAGAGTGTGGCATGAGGTGTCAGGAAGATGTGGATTCAAATCTTTTCCTGCCTCTGCTGTTAGATGAATAGCAGTTCCTGAGGCTGTGAAGGTTAAGTGACGTTACACATGTAAAGCAGGTAACAGAGTGCCTGGCAGATAACACATAGTCAGGAAATCGTATTTTTCTACTCTAGCACTATTCCTGTCTCATATATTCTTCCTTTCCCTCCTTTTTGGAACCCGCATAAGGGATCCGTTAGTTCTGGAGAAGCGCTATCCAAGAGAACTTTCTGAAGTGTTGGCAATGTTCTTACCTATGTAGCCATTAGCCATGTATGGCTATTTAAATTTAAATTCAACTTAAACAGAATTACATTACATTTAAATTTCAGTTCCTCAGTTACATTTCTAGTGCTCAATAGCCATGTGGCTAGTGGCTGTGTATTTTGGACCGCACAAATACAGAATACTTCCATCACTGCATGAAGTTCTGTTGGACAGCATTGCTCTTAAACAATAGGTTACAAATGAGGTTTAGTGTGGCTACAGAGGTGAATTTTTACATTTTATTCATTTTAATTAATCATAACCTAAATTGAAATAACCACAGATGACCAGCGCTACCACATTGGACAGCACAGTTCTAGAGTGTGCCACAACTGCCTTGGAGGTTTTAATTGGCATTTTACAGTTTTATCTGAAGCCAGTGATTCTGAGGAGTGGGTGGATGATTCTGCAACTCCAAGTATTTGTAATGCGTTTTGGTTCCCTCTCCTCCACTATGACTAGGCTAAATCAACCCAAATCTGATGGTCTTACATGCTTAGCTATCCCCAGGTTTTTGATTTGAAAACTCTTATATATCCCATTGGATTTTACTAGCCTTACTTATTTTATTTTACTACAAAATCAGTAAAAGACATTTTGTGGTGTGCCTGACATTGTTTGGTGAATGACAAGGTTTGGAGGAAGTAAATGGGAAAATGACAGCCTGTAGCAGAAGGTCTTAACCACAGAGACTCAACACATTGAGGTGCTGTGATCATTTCTGAGGTGTGTGGCGAGTAATTTGTTGCTATTGATAAAGTGTCAACATTTGCAAATTATTCCCTCTTTTTATTTTAAGAAATTAAAAGTGTTGACCACTGAGATAATAATGGTCCATTCTTCATTTACGTTTTGGTATGCTCACTTGAATGAGAAAGGTGATGTGGAGTTGCGTCTGGCATGCTGGTGGTGGCTCGCAGACCTGGGCTCATTTATGAGATTGGGTCATTGATCAGAATGTCATCCATGTGTGTCAGCATGGAGAAAACTGTTAAAAGCACCATGAGCAATAAGATGTCAAGCAATACATTATACTGATGCCTGGTCATGGAGACTAACCATATCTCTCTCACTGCCTGAATCTTGTTTAAAAAATTAGATGGCAGTGATTTAGTAATTAGACTGTTTAAGTGTAAAAAGTACGACTTAAACGTGTTTTCAAGGTGATACAGGGTCAAGGATTCGTCTTGTTGACAGAGAGAAGGGAAAGGTGATGCAGTGGAAGGGGTATTAGCGGGGATTAGGACAAAGTGGAAAAGCACAGTCTGGAAGGCTTCACAAGCAAAGAGAGATTTAAACATTTAATGGAAAAGGAGGAAAAGGTCACACAAAGACATCTCTGAAGGTCAGGAAGTAATATAATAATGCTAACAGCATGCAGAATGATTATTTAACTGAGTTCCGTGAATGTGTTCAGGTTTTTGTTTGTAGATTCTGAAGACACTTGTGTTTAGAATACACATAATGAGGGAATTTGGCATCTGTTCTTGTCTGCTTCCTTTACTTTACTTATGGGCAGAAGAAAATTGTTATGCCACGTTAGAAATTCTCTTTGGACTCTCTAATCTTTCTGCCCTGATACAAATAAATAACCATCTACAAAAAAATGTTTTATCCTGAGGGAAATTGTGATCACTTCTAATTCACCTTGTTATTAAGTAAACTTAAAAATTGTTGTTAAGGTATAAATCAGAAGATGTATACCTGTACTTACCAGTTTTCTTAGGATAGAGTCTGAGTTTATTCTAGAAAATGGCAGATGGGCACAAAGACCACATCAGAACTTCTTACTGTTGGAGAAGAGTGAGTTTGGCTAATATAGTATCATCTGCACATTTAGTTTGTTCTTTCTTTGCTGACAGTTACATGGATTTAAAAGCCTATTAAGAATGAGCATGATCTGTCTATAAGCAGTGGAAGCACATGATCTGATGACTGTTTTATAAACAGACCTAAGCTTCATTCTAGACAGAAATAGATTTTCACTTATTTTGAGGCTAATTATAAATTGGAATGGTATTCTTTTTGATGGACAATTCAATTGCATTTAAATTCAAACAAACATCTGCTGTTTATACTTTATATCGTGCAATCTACCTGAATCTAAACAGAAGCTATTAAAGATCTGTGGCTAGAGAATCTTTGTTCTCTGAAGACTTTAACGGAAAAAAGAGCATTCTCTAAACTCTCATTATTGGAACCAGGTTATAGTTGCCCTTGAACATCAAGGATGCTTTTCTTTGTCCACAGATATATTAAAGGGGGTTGTGCACAGTTACCACAAACACATTTTGCTACACAGGGATCTGTTAAAACTGTTGGGCATTTTTCAAATAATGTATGTGTTTTAAATGAGTAACACAAATATGCTATTAATATATTTTTGTTCAGATACTGTTTTATATATGAATTTAGCTCATATATATTTACAAGAACATTTAAATTCATAGATGTATTAATTCTGTTAATACAGGAATTCATTCATAGCTACATCTGATATATATGAGACACATATTCATACATGGTAATATTTATGGAGAGATGGAGATGCATATATATGTATATAATAAATCAGTTTCACAAAATTTCAAAACTGATGGGAAATAATTAGCTACGGCTTCTACTTTTGGATGTTATTCTTTATTCTAAACAAATCTTGCTCACCTATAGAACACTTGATAATATTATAGATTACATGGGGACTAAGTACTCACGTGTTGCCAAATGCTTGAAGAATGTTTGTGGTTTTCACCTGAGAAGCATGTGAAGTACTGTGACAGAGAGGTCGAGGAGCAGTGCCCAAGGATCATTACAAAGCTGTGGTCAAAGACATATAATATTTATAAGTGTTAATTTTTAAAATTATAGAATCAGACAACTGGCATTTTCCTCACAAGTATTTAGGCTAAATTTGTAAAATGACAGGCAGTTCTTATGGGATGATACTCGGTCTAAATTAGTCCTGATATGTAACTTACAACTTTGAAGAGGCAACTGATACTATTGAATGGTTCTTTTTTTCTTTTAAAAATACTACTAGGATGATATACCTTGTTATTTGAGAAGATTTTCATGTTAAATCTGCATAAAATTATAAAAACATTTTTCATGAGCATGTAGCTTTAAGTAACACTTCAAGTTCTTCACATTATTAAAGTATTTATTTACTAATTATTTGTTTGACAGACTGTGGTTTTGAAGCAGCAAAATGTGTAATCTATGTTAACTCAAATTAAAGATTCAAAAACAAACATACGCACAAGCATAGATAATACTTGGTAGTATATTTAAAGCCGTTTGCCAATGTATCCCTTCACAAAAGAAAATATAACATTATACATGTTACACATCCCAGAATATGCGTAATAGCATAACCAGAACGTATTCTTTTCCAAGCCAATTTAAGAGGAAGCCAAATTGTAATCAGAAATTTGCTTTAAAAGGTGAAATTGAAGTCAAAGAAATTGCTGCTTTCTGAAAAATGTTTCTTAAGAAAATAATATGCAATACACAAGAAAAACAAAGAGTCAGTTCCTTAATTTTCAAAGAGCTTGTAGAAATCAATAAGAAAAAACCTAATACATCAATGGAAAAATGGACAAAAAAGATAAATACTTGAAAAATACAAACAATTCACATAAGTTCAAATGACCAGTAGATATATAAAAAATATTAAACATCAAATATAATTAAAGAGATGAAAATCAGAATAAGATGCAATTTTTAATCTATGAGTTTGGCAAAAAAAATTAGAAATTTGCTAATACTTCTCATTGGTTAGGATGTGAAGAAAGAAGCTGCAATGATCTGAATATTTGTGTCCCCCTAAATTCATTTCTTGAAATCCTGACCCGCAGATAATGGTATTAGAAAGTGGGAACTTTGGGAAGTGATTAGGTCATGAGACCCAGAAGATACCTCTTCCATATAAAAACACAGCAATAAGGCACCCTCTACAGTCTAAGAGGCAGCAGGCCCTCACCAGACCTGAATCTGCCTGGACCTTGATTTGGACTTCTCAGCCTCTGAAGATGTGAGAAATCATTCCTGTTGTTTATAAGTCATCCCGTGTATGGTATTTTGTTATAGCAGCCCAAATAGACTAAGACAGAAGCCATGTCAGACATTATGAATGGAGCTATAAATTGGCACAATGTTTCTGAAGGAAATTGGCATGATTAATCAATATTTTAAATTTGTAGTACCATTAACCCAACAACCTCACAGCTCAGGATTTACCCCAGTAACACACTTGCAAAAGTTTTCTAAGATATTTGAACCAGGTATACCTTGTAATAGCAAACAACTGGAAAACAAAACAGTTCCTTTCAACAGGAAACTGTAGGGAAATTAAGTTTTAATGTATTGAACAAAATACTCTGCATCTGTGAAAAGAATGGGTTAGCTGTTGGTGCTGATGTAGAAAGAGTTCTAAGATGTATTAAGTGAAATACAAACCACGCGTGCACGGGTGTGTGTGTGTGTGTGTGTGTGTGTGTTTAATCCTCTGGGAGTATATGTAATAGTCATATGTATTTTACTAAAAAATACAGACAAAATTATAGGCAGTGTGAGATGTTTAGCTTTCATTTTACACCTTCCTATACTATTTGAAAAATGTTATGCCATTTTTCTGGATTTCACTTAATTAAAGTTAAATATATTAAAAATATATATATTTAAATATGTTGTGCATATGTGTATATGTTTGTATATACACATACACACAAATACATGCATATACACACACCCCTGCTTCCTGCTTGCATGTACACACATACACACACACACACACACACACACACACACACTTTTATAAAGTATCCCTTAGCTAAATAACCTGAAGGGCTCCTCTCCGCTATAAGGAAGGTATCACTTTGAAGTCTATATTAGTGGAAATTTTGTTTTCTGAGCACTTCTTGATTGGGTCACTGACTTATTTAATTCAAAATCCTCTTCTACTTTTGGTATTGCTTGTTATGTGACTTTGGACCAATTAATTAACCTTTTAGAGCTTCTAGGTTGTTATTGTTATTGTTTGTTTTCATTGGGAAAATGAAGGAAATGCCTGTTTCAGAGATGCTGTAAGAATTGTATAATAAAACAATTATGCACATAGTTCAATGCCTGGACCCTAAAGAATGCACCATAGCTGTTGGATTGTTGCACTCATCCAGTTCTGTTTTTGTCTTTTTTCCACAACACCTCTTCTCCTGGTCTTCATTTGTCTGTCTCTTCTACCACATGAGGCTCTGCTTCTGGAACCCAGAGTTAAAATGCTTCAGTCAACCCTATTATGGGTTGAATGTACTCTTCCGAGGTGGCTTGAGAATCTAACCACCATCTATAAAATTGTTTCCAGAAAGTGACTCACACATTAAGTTTTGGAACACAATCTGTTGGAAATTGGAAGGTACCTGGACTGTGACTAACAGCATCAAACAAAGATGCATTATTTCTCCATTTTGCCTATTATCTACAACTCAGTCATGCTTTTCACTGCCTTCAAAGGGTGTGATTGAGCTCTTGATAAAACCCTTTCAATTCAAATGCTATGATAGCCAAAGCAAAGTATTCATGGAGATTATGCTTTGCCTTCAACATAGGGAACTGGAAATGTAAATTTATTAATCCTTGCTCTGTGCCAGACACTGTGTCAATTGTCTGATACATGTTATCTCATCTAACGGTCACAGTAACTCTAGGAGGCAAATATTCTTCTCTCCATCTTGGAGAACAGGTAATAGGCTCAGGGAGGTTAAGTAACATAGACAAGGTCATGTAGCTTGTTAAGTGGCAGAATCAAAGTTAAATCCAAGTCATCCATATGATGCCAAACCCATGTTTCTTCTGTCGATTGCTAACTAATTGAGGTTTTCTACTCCAATGACTTCTATATCTTATTTCCAAAGCTGTTCTTTATATTTTTCTGACTGTTGGCATTGGCATTGCAACATTTAATCCATTTATGGTCCTCCTATATAGCTTTAAACTTGCTACTTGAAGAAGTAAATCTTTTTGACCCTGGTAGAGTAATTTTTCAATGACCATCTTATAGAAGAATACCTTTTTCGTTGTCAAGATTCATTATTGTTTGGATGGCTGCCATGCACTTGTAAAGAAGCTGGATGGAGTTGGGAGTGGACTTTCACTGTCTCAACATGCTCACCACTCTTCTCCATAACTGCGAGAGATGGACCATGGATCCTGAGATGCCATTCACAGAAGCACATTCAATAAAATTCTTTTAGGCGGTTACAGCTACCAGGTCATAAGTACTATTTCTCTAACATGGCTAAATACAAGATTTTAGGAAATACAGGATCCTTAAGAATGGGTTTCTTATTGCCTTTTTCTCTTAAAGACTGTGATTACTGTCCTCCTGGTATGTTCTACCTGGGTCTCTGTTTACTTCATTAGCACTCCCAAACACAAATGTGAAGTATTCAGAGTGGAGTTTTTTATGCCATGTTCATTCTCTACTTCCTGTCAAAATCCCTTCATTTTTCAAACATAAGAAACATGGTGTTTTTATGCTACCCACCTTCCTTACTGTATTATTTGCTAAACTGGGGCTAGATAGAATTATATTCTGTACTTTATCAATTAGCTATTGCTACATAACAAACCACCCTCAAAAGCGGTGTTTGAAAATATCATCCATGTATTTAGCTCATAATTATGTGAATCAGCAATATAAGCTCCGGTCAGCTGACTACTTTTTCTGGTCTTGGCTAGACTTCTTTATGAATTCATGGTCAGCTATAGGTCAGTTGGTCAGTTGTAGAGCAGCTTTAGCGATCTTAGTTGAGCTCTCACATGTCTAGGGCCCTGGGTGGGATAAATGGTGTGGTTTGGCTCTAATCCACGTAGTGTCTCATCCTGCAGCAGGTTCACACAGGTTTGTTCATGGCAGCTGGGCAGTGTTCTAAGAGAGTGAACAGTTGCAGGCAAGGCCTCTTGATACCTAGGCTCAGGATGAGCACACTGTCACCTCCACTATATTCTGTTGGCCAAAACAAGTTGCAGGGCCATTCTAGCCAGAGGAAGTGGAGAAATACACTCTGCACCTTACAGAGAGGAGCTGCAAAGCCACATTGCAAATGGTATGGACACAGGAAGAAGTGGAGAATTGGAGCCCTTTCTGCAAGCGATAAACCGAAACTTCCTCTTTATTGCTGTTCTCTATCTCTTGCCAAAGTGACTTTTAGTTCTTCATTAATCTGTGCCAAGGTGCTGTTGTGGTGAGCTAGGTGATTGTAGTAACAGATATACAATGGTTTATTTGTAATATTTAAAAGATATATTTTGAAAGAATTTGTGGTTAGAGTGGCTACCACAAGCCTTTCTACAGTGGAAAGGCTGTAGAACATGCTTATCTGCACAGGAGCCCAGCTAATCATTTGTTGTTTCTGAACTGCTTGTCTGAGGAGTTTGGAGTTCCTGAGCTAAGCATGAGGGGGAATGGGCTCACCAAACTGCTATAATGAAATGGACTCTTTCTCAAATTGTCTTATTAAAAAACAGTAAATTACCAAGGTCGTATAGACATTTTCCTTCTACGTGTTTATTCTCAACTCTCACTGCTGCCTAATAATTATAGCTGCTCCAGAAATTAGGTCTTTCTGGTCTCTCACAGGTATTTGCAAACTAGCGTGCTATCCTGGCTAGACAGCTAAATCACTTGATGCAGGTAAAATACACATCTCTAGAAAATTCGAAAGAAGCATTTGCAACTTTTGTTTTACAGAAGATTAATCCTCTTTGTTGTTCCTTGAAAAATTGATTTTGAGATGATAGATTTGATAAACCCTCCTTATTAAATTAATCATTAATACTTGCATTCAATAACCACAATGTTAATATATTAAAATGTCTGGGAAAACCTGCCCTAAAAAGCCATAGCTACTTAATGGGCTAATTTTTCTGCTGTTCCTTCCCACACTAATCCTGAGATCTGCTTTCCACCCTCTGTGCACTTCTGTAGGTCCCCTGGAATCTAACCCCTGTGGAACACATCCAAGCTCTGTGCCCCCTGACTTTTTATTGGGTTTGGCCAATAGAAGATAACCTGTAGAAGATAAAAGAACAGGAGGAAAATAGATTTTCCTTCCCTGCATTTTTGCTGCTTTGGTGCCAATTCACCTAAAGTAGCTGGGCTCCTCTATGAATATAGCTCTTGCAGAGCAGGCCCTCCCCATGGCTCCAGCTCCCCCTGGGCTGTAAGAAACAATATTTCTTCTTCGCCCACTTCAGCATCAGGGATGTTAAAGGCTTCCCTGTTATTGCAACTCCCTCGGTGTTTCTCCAACCCTTGATTATTTCATTAACCCTGCGGGCACTTCTTTAAACAGTTCCTTCATCAAAGTCTGTTCCTAGGAGTTTTATCCTGGGGTCCAAGGACCCCAATGACATCTGTAAATGGAAAAGGGCTAGTGAACTTGGATAGGAAAAAAAATAAATTGTGAACTTGTGTAGTTAAAAAAAATTTACTCCTTTATTTTCGCTAACTTCTAAAAGAAATTTAGCACTTCCTTCAGTTATGAATGTAAACAAAAGACAGTGGCAGTATCTCTGATTTTGTCATCAACAGGTATCGCAGATGTTTTCATGTCATATTACAGATTTGTAGACATCTTGAAATACTGTTTAATCGTTATCACTATTTTGAAACTGTGTTAGTAATGAGGCCCAATGTTAGATCACATTATTTAAATGGATTGATAAAGAAAGCACATTTATTCCTATACTAGAAATTTGTCTTTAAAATATTTTGTTAACTGAGTTTCAATTTAATTTGTATCCTTTTGCAATCTTTATGCATTTTATTTTATATATTTTCTGCAGTGGGGTCCATAGGCTTCACCAAACTCCCAAAAGCTTCATCACTGATGCACAAGCAAGCGCACACACACACACACGCACAGACACACGCATGCACACGCACACTCACACACACGCAAGTGTTTAAGAACTCCTGAACCAACTGAGTGGATTATAATTCTGCAAGGCCATGACTGATAAAACACAAGTTCCCAGTCTGTTTGACCAGGGAATCCATTTTTTATGTTTGTGGATTAGGATTTTATGGGACTAGTCTTTCACAAAATACACTTAGGAATAGACATCCTACAGAAATGACCCATCATATGAGATGTCCAGAAATGGAGCAAGCAGTCATGGAGCTATCTGGTCAGAAAGGGACTGTTGCTTCCTGAGTCCCACTGGGTACAGGACTTGTGCTTCTCAGACCTTCTTTGCCCCTTATTTTTTCTCCCAACCTGTTTTCTTTCCAGATACCACAGATCTTTTTCTTAGGTTCACTACTCTTGCCATCCACTACTTTTCCCTTCATAGCCCCTGGATAAAATTGTCTCCCAGTGTCCTGAATCCTATTTCATAAACCGTCTGTGTTTATTCCCATGGTGAGAAAAGACTTATGGGGTATACTATTTGACTACAGGCAATCACACCAAAACAAAACAGTTATTCTGTACCATCAAGAAGGTACAGTATCCATTTTCCACCTGGGAAAAATCTCTCAGCTTCTCTGCATTTGTCACTGGAAATATGATTTAGTCCTGTCAGGGTAGTCAAACACATCTTTTTATTGTTTATCTCTGGTTCCCTACTAATTAACCATGCAGAACTGGAGATGACCGCAATTGTGCTATTAACAGATGCCCAGTCTCTTCCATTAACTGTGCTCTTCGAGAGTGACATTTTCCTTTTATTTATTTTAGTATTCTCAGGTCCTGATACCAGGAGCTCAATTATGCTTATTGGATGAATAAATGAGGTGCAAATGTAAGCTGGGGCAAGAAGGGTTTGCTTTGTCAACAGATTTAGTGACTAAAAAACCACACTGAAGGAAACTTAAGGACAGCATTCATATTTTATTCATCATTAGACCCACTAAGGACCATGGGCATAGTGTTGGCTGCTTACTGACTGGGCCATGATCCCAGGTTCCATCTTATACTCCTGAGAGGCAGAGCCAGAGTTAACACATTTAGCCTTTAGAAAGACACACCATAGTGCTGACCATTCTCCCTGAAGATTTTGGTTTTCTGCAGATATTTACAAAATCTTCACAAGGATTGTGACAATCTTCTTTGATTTTTCTGGTCCCATCAGTGCCAAAACTTATCAATCTATGTTAATAATATATGCAATTTTAGGTATATGTTTTCAAAAGTCTTACTAAAACAACTACTCTTTGAGGAGTATTTTCTACTTTTCATCGGTTTTCTCTGTTTTAAACCTGTAACTTTTCTGTCAAAGAGATTTGTAGTGTCTTGTTTTTCCGAAAGGTTTTTAAGGGTCTTCCTGAAGTTTGAGTTCTCTTCATGTTTTCTCCCTTTGATTTTTATTTTTTGTCGCCTGTGGCAGTACTTTTTAAGGATTTTTTCTTTTTTTTATTGAAGTCAGCATTTTGAACTGTGCTTCATATGGACAGTTTTCTGACATCAAGCTTGCGTGTGTCAGCTGGCTCCAAGTTAGCCTTCAGCTTTGAAGAAGAGGCTTAAAATCAGCTTCCTGTGCATGAACTTTAGTGGTTGATAAGTCGATCATGTACCCCTGTCTTGCCAGCTTTGGTCATCACTAACTTTATCATAAAGCTCAAATTCGGTCTGGTAAGTAAAACTGTAGAGAACTTGGGAAGAGATATTGTCCTGCAAAATGTTAATTCTTGAATTTATGGTACATATATTTATTTGAATTCCTCTTTTTATTTCTTTGGTTACATTCTCTTACTCTTTGCTTCTGCTTTATCTTTTGAAATAATGTCTATTATAATTTGTGAATCTTAGCAATAACTACAGATTGTTTTTTAATGTTTGCTATATGGTTGTCATTAAAATGCCAAAGCATTTTAATTCAGGACAACTTCAGTGTTAACAGAAGAAAAGATGAAATACTATTTGGGAGGGATAGCATTGGGAGATATACCGAATGCTAGATGACGAGTTAGTGGGTGCAGCGCACCAGCATGGCACATGTATACATATGTAAGTAACCTGCACAATGTGCACATGTACCCTAAAACTTAAAGTATAATAATAAAAGAAAAAAAAATAATAAAATAAAATTAAATTTAAAAAAAAAAGAAATACTATTTGCTATTAAATTTACATTGTTTTCACTCTTTCCCTGACTCTGACTTCAAAGACCAAGTTGAATGTTATGTCTTTGGTGAATCCATTCTTATACTTTTTACCATTGGAATTGATTCTTTTTCTATCCTCTGTGCTATGGACGTAATCATAATAATGATAATTGCACCCATTGGGCACTTAATGTTTGCCAGGCACTATGCTAAGTACTTTTCATATAATAGCTAACTTAATTTTAACAATAACCCTGTGAGATAAGTATTATACTATTCTTGTCTCCATTTTACATATAGGGAAACTGAAGTGCAGACTGTGAAAATGACGTTTTATCTCAGATCTCTTTAACTTCCAAACCCTAGCAACCACTCAGCATTGTTGCCTTAAAAGAAAACTATACCTTATACCTCATTTCATTCCAAGTCACCAAACTTCTTGTCACACGGTAGATGCTCAATAAATATTTGTTGAATAAATGACTATGAAAGAAAATTCTTCACATCAATGACAGTTATTCAGTTGAACTGTAAGTAGAAGTCTGGAACCTGTTAACATCCACAACTCATCAAAAATTTGCTCTTTTATTCTCCGTTACTCCCATCTTGATCTCCTACTTCCTGTCACTCTAAACCAATCATTTTACCTTCCCTAACTTCTACTTGGTTGTTCCCTCTCCTTTCTTGCTGCTCGGTGAAGACATGAGAATGGCAGAGGGAACCCTGCTTGGTTTGTGTAATAGCAGCAGATCCTTGTTCTGATATCTGAGGTCACGAATACCCACTTTTTTCCTCCCTGTTGCACCCTGGAGAGCCCCTGGCATTTCCCAATCTTGAGCAGAGTAGAACATCAACCCTTAGTCTTACAGTCTTCTCAGATTTGGTAGATCTGCCCTTTATCACTGGGAATGTCACCAACTCTGGAGACTTGAGGAAGAAGGTACAAAGCTATTTCATATACACCCTGCCCCCTCCATGTGCTTCTTAGCAGATGGTAAGAGTATGTTTAGTTTTGTCAGAAACTGTCAAACTGTCTTCAAGGTGGCTGTATCATTTTGTGTTTGCACCAATGAATGAGAATTCCTGTTGCTCTACATTCTCACCAGCATTTGGTGGTGTCAGTGTTCCAGATTTTAGTCATTCTAGTAAGAGTGTTGTGGGATCCCATTGCTGTTTTAATTTATGTTCCCTGATGATACATGATGTGGAACATCTATTCATATGCTTATTTGCCATCCATATATCATTCTTGGTGAGGTGTCTATTGAGGTCTTTGGCCCGTTTTTTAATCGGGTGTTTTTTTCTTGTTGAGGGTTTTTTTTTTTTTTTTTTTTTTTTTTTGATGGGGTTTTGCTCTGGTTGCCCAGGCTAGAGTGCAGTGGCGCGATCTTGGCTCACTGCAACTTCCACCTCCCAGGTTCAAGTGATTCTCCTGTATCAGCCTTCCCAAGTGTCTGGGATTATAGGCCTCCGCCACCAAGCCCGGCTAATTTTGTATTTTTTTAGTAGAGATGGGGTTTCTCCGTGTGGGTCAGGCTGGTCTCGAACTCCTGACCTCAGGTAATCCGCCCACCATGGCCTCCCAAAGTGCTGGGATTACAGGCGTGAGCCACCGCGCCCAGTCTTCTTGTGGAGTTTTAAGAATTCTTTGACTGTTTGGTATAACAGTACTTTATTGGGTACGTACTTTTCAGAATATACACACAGACATACACACATATAGTAACACAGTAATGTTGCTATATGAATTGAAATGTGTCTCTCTAAAAGATATTGAAGTCCTAATCCCCAGTACTTGTGACTGTGATCTTGTTTAGAAACAGAGACTTTACAGATGACCAAGTTAAGATGAGGTCATTGGGATGGAGCCTAATCCAGTAGAACCACATCTTTATAAAAGAAGACAATTTGGATACAGAAACACACGTATGAAAATAAAGGTAGCTATTAAGGTAATGCATCTTCAATTTGAGGAATGTCAAAAATTTCCAGCAAACCACCAGAAACTAGGAAAACACCATGGAGCAGATTTTCCCTTCACAGACCTGAGAAGGAACTGCCTTGCCAACATCTTGATCTCAGATTTCTAGCCTCTATAACTGTGAGACAATAAGTTTCTGTTGTGTAAGCCATCCAGTTTGTGGTACTTTGTTATGGAAGACCTAGAAAACTAATGCAATTATCTATGCAGATTTAGCCATCTCCCCGTCTAAAACATAAACACAGACATCAACCAAGAAGGTATCTGAGTAGTGACAATAGATGCCAGAGAGGTCACAGACGCAAAGTCCAGTACTTTGTTATCAATAGGCATGCATGCAGAGCCTTTTCATTCCTTTTAAATTTCTAATTCTATCAACTATCTTTCTGCTTTTCAAATCCATAGCTGCAGTGGATGAGTCAATGACCAAGAAGAGTTTCTGTATAGACACTGATTGGAAGGTACCAATCACTGATAAGATAGCAGGAGAGGATCAAAGAACTTGTGAATAGTAAATAGTGTCAGAAACAATCAAGACATATGCCTGCTTGCGAAGAAGCCACAAAAAAAACAAGATAAGCATGGTCTGGCTCTTCAGCTGTAGACTTTGCCCTGTAGTCTCCCTGTCTCTGCATCCCCAGAACCCAATCCTTCATCTCATTCCACATCTCTGCTTTGGTTCACATCAGATATTACGCCAGCTTCTTTCATCACTTTATTTTTCTAATTGTCTTTCATGGCTCGATCATGTTATTCATTCTGAATATTTAACTTGGTAAACCTATTGGTTCAATATGTGTCCTATTCCCAAACAAGCTTTTCCTCCAAGCTCCTCCTGCCAGCCAAAGGTGTAATAGGATGAATTTGTTAAAATGCCAAAGACCACAAAAAGCAAAGTGATCAGGAGCTCATTAGGGTAGAGGCATACATGCTTGAACACATGATTATCATCAGGGCATCATTGTATTATGAAAGTACAATATGATTATTTCATTGACTCTGAGCCATAAAAATATCAAGGAAACAGCTACATATAAAATAATACAGCTTAGAAAAGCTCCTACTTCTGTTGTACAAGTTGTTAAAAGCTTAATTGCTTTAAAGTCATGATTGTCCAGATTAACTCTTTATGATTATTGGAGAGCTGTTTCTGGTTTGCTCTGATTTGTGATGTGTCTCTTCCTTTTTCCTTCCTTTCCTCTTTCTGTTCTACCTTATGTCTTTCTTTCTTTCTCTTTCTTTCTTTCTTTCTTTTCTTTCTTTTCTTTCTTTTCTTTCTTTTTCTTTCTCTTTCTTTTTCTTTCTTTCTTTTTTTCTTTGTTTCTCTTCTTTTTCTTTCTTCCTCTTTCTCCTCTTTCTCTCTCTCTGTCTCTCTCTCTCTCTCACACACACACACACACACACACACACAAACACATGCATGCATACATCTTCTTCTAAAAATATGAGGCCAGCAGTGCGTGTGTAAAAGGTAGATATCTGCACTCAAGATGCAATTTCAGGACTGAAATAGGCCCACCTGACAAAAGAATCCCCACATCCACCTTGTAGCCCTTCAGTACTTTGCAACCTTCTTTTCTACTATAATTCTAATGATATATGACGTTGTGTGAATAAGAAAGCATTTTGGAATGAAGTCACTGAAACTGACATTGAATTGAGTCCATACATTATATATTTTATATATATAAGAATCATATATATTTTATATATATAAGAATCTTATATATATTTTATATATATAAGAATCTTATATATATTTTTATATGTAAGAATCTTATATATATTTTATATATATAAGATTCTTATATATTTTATATATATAAGAATCATATATTTTTTATATATATAAGAATCTTATATATATATTTTTATATATAAGAATTCAAGAAATTGAATCCATACATCATATATTTTATATATATAAGAATTCATATATATGTGTGTGTGTACACACACACACACACACACACACACATATATATATAACCTTTTGTTACTTTAACTTATTGATGGATATGTCATACAAGTGATTGAGTCGTACCAGCAGCCTGGAACCATGCCTGTAGATCAGCTGCTTTACCAGGAAGAACATTGGTTTTGTATGAAGACAAATGTAGATTACTCCTGGCACTGGTACTTTTGACCTGGGGCAAGTTTACTGCTTATTTCTTTCCTTGGGTTAATCTATGAGGACTTAATAAACTATTGTCGGAAAATGGTTGCACAGATCAAATAAGATGTTAAATGATAGCTCTGTCCCAGAACCAATAAGCCTTGGTAAATGTTTGTTTATCTCTTTTATTTGTTAAATCTCAGTCAGTTCCTAGTTGAAGTCACTCATATGTAGAGAAAAAATAGCTGATGTTCACTGTTACATTGCAGGTAACTCAGATGTAGCTTCCTCCTTTTTAGTTTAGGGCTTTGACATATTTGAGTTTATCAGATGAATTAATTGTCACCCTGGAAGGCTGAGACCAGGATGCCCTACTGAATTGCAGACAAGTGGAGTTTTTTTAAGGGGACTTAGAAAAGAGAGTAAAATAAATATAGAAGAGAGGCAGGAGACTGGCTATAACAAATCTTGGCAGTCTGAGTTCACTTGGCCAGAGACTAGCCCTCTATGGAGTGCCAAAGTGGGTCCCTGTATGTAAGGATGAGGTTTCACCTAGTGACAAATAAATGACCATGAATAAATTATTCTCTCTGTATCCATCACAGCTCCTAGAAAATTGCCTTGCATATGGCAGCTCTCAGTGTTTAATGAGTGAATGATTTATTCAATTAATCACTGAATTTTAAATGGATGGGCCATGAGAGATCGTATAATCCCAAACTGTTACTTTACACCTAGGAAACTGAAGCTTACTTATTGTCTTACTGAGCGTATACTAAAGAGACTAGACTTTGGTCTACTGACTCCAACATGAGGCTCTATGCTACTGCTTTGGGGATACAGGATATACAGAACCTTCATTTCAAACTAGAATCAGATAAAGAGTTGACTTCTTCCAGCTGCTGCCTTTTTCTTTCTCCACAGATAAAAATTCCCAGGTGTCTTTCTCATGGCTCTAGGACTAAAGATCTATTTGTTTTCTAATTAAAAACACCCCAAGCATCAGATGCTATTTCTTTGTCTTAGTGGCTCAGAATATCTAGGTGCCCTGTGGTGTGCTATGCTTTTAGGTCTCTCCATGTGGTCTTAAAAAAATGGGGGATGCAGTTTATGGTCATGGATAATACATACTGAAATTTGACAAAGGTCAGTAATTGTGCCCCAAGATGCCTTGTGCTATACAGGTTGTGAGGGTGTGCTGGTGTGCAGATATTGGCTCAGTCTGTCACAGCTGATCTCCTTTATTTCCCATTTGTCTGCTGTCATTTGTCCAGACTCTATACTTTATATGCATACTGTTCACTTCTGCATACCTTTGGTACTAGCATTTGGCTAATCAAATTCTAAGATGTCTGCAGGACTAGCTGAAGTCATATTTGCTGGATGATGAAGCTCCCGTTCCTTGACAATTACAGTCATATTGGTCTCCTTCTCCACTGCATTCTTAAAACCTTTGAAGTCTGACCATCCTTTATTCTTTATTATGTGTGGGACTGAATATGTTCTATGCTTGTATCTTCTCTAGAAGACTGATAACATATTATATTTTCATTGAATGAATGTTTGGTCAAAGTCTGCTTTGGTTAGCGTTGCCAGATAAAATATAGAACACTTAGTTAAATTTGAATTTCAGATAAAGAATGAAAAGCTTTTTAGTATAAACCTGTTCCAAATAGTGCATGAAACTTTATTGTATTAAAATTCATTGTTTATTATCTGAAATTCAAATTTAACTGAAGTTTTATTTTTATTTGCTAATTTTGGCAACTCTCTTGGAAGTGTTTTTACTTCAGGCCTCTCTTAGAAAAATTCTTCTTTGTGGCAAAGAATATTTGAGGATTAAGCAATCTGCAAAACTTTTATCTTAACCTATAAAGCATAGGTCTGCCAGGATTTTTTGATTAATCTGCTCCAGTTTTTGCCTGTGTAATCCTCACACTCTCATTTAATAAAATTTATTGTAACATAAGTTTTATTTTTCTTATACAGAATATAATCTATGTAAAGTTGTATATCTTGAATATACAAATACTTTTCATGAATGCTAGATTTCCATGGTTACATATAAGAATAATTAGCATGTAGAATTCAAACAAGAAAGCACCACCAATAACTGACATATAAATGCATAAACATCACTATAGTGTCAGTTGTGTGAGAGTAACGATTTGCCTGTGTTTCCTTCTGTCTCCCATCTCCAGTACCTAACACAAGTGGTAGGTGCCCTATAAGTAGCTGGCTCTTACTCTGCCTTCTCTATCTCATCCATCCTTCTATAGACATTGGAGTCACAGGTCACCAGGATTTCTTCCTTTATACTCTGCTTTCTAAGTCAGTGGTTCTCAAAGTGTCATCAGTCCCTTGGCCAGCAACTGTCGGCCACACCTGAGAACTTGTAATAAATGCACATTCTTAGGCCCCATTCCTGAGAAAGGGATGAGAAACTGCCTGAGAAACACTAGGGGTGAGGCCAACAATCTAGGTTTTAACAAGCACTGCAGGTGGTTCTGATGCACTCTTAAAGAACCACTGGGAGAACCAATGGTTCCCTGTGTTTTTATATATAAAATACAGATAACGGATGTGTAGGTAATGATCACACTGCTGAAATGAACTTGATACAAATAAATCTTAGTCACTAGTGAGACTTTAACAGGCCTTTCCTCTGTTTTACTTTTTACCCCCTTTCCTCCCCTTTGTCTTTGTCCTCACAATCTAAGGCCTTGTTTCTTCACTTTTACCAAGTAGTATGTTGAAAAGAAAAGGCCTGGCCATTCGTCTCCTCCTCCCCTCTTCCTCCTCCTCTTTGCCTTCCTTGTTCCCTTCCTCCTCTGCTTTCCTCTTTTCTCCCTTCTCTTTTTCTCTCTCTTTTATTTGGCTTGAATGTCGAGCTTAGCGGTTGAAATCCTTCAACAGGCAGTTCTCTCATCCTGTCTGTCACTCACATAAATGAGCCTGGACTAGCATTGTCTTGACTGATCCTAAAATTTTATTTTCAGCACACCAAAACCAGCTTTTCATGACCAGCTTTTCATATCCACCTTCTTGATTCTTTAGCTTCTAGACAGTTGTCTCCATCCATTCCTCTTTCTTAATCTTTCAGATCTCTGCTATTACTTGCTATTCTTGCAGGTCGTTATCCAAAGAGCACGCCCCATTTGATGTATGCATTACCTTCACTAAAATCCACTTTTCATCGCCATTACTCCCACTCTTTCCAGGCAGGGATGCTTTTAAATACACACACATATTTGAGGAAATGAAATTTGTTGCTTATACTTTCCAGAATTGGCCATTTACTAAGATTCTGTATATCTAATTCATAATTACTTTTGTTTCTTGCATAGGACAATTCTTCTATTTCTTATTACATAAAACTGTGCCCCAGCAGTTTATCCCTTCAGGAGATGGCAATTAGGAGAAGAAATATTTTCTAATTCTTACCCTGCTTTCATTGTTTCTAAAAAATCTGTCTGAGGGTAATCCATAGGCTAAACAGAAATTATAAACTCCCTTTGAAAATTGATTCTTTTTTTAACATAAAATTCACATAACATAAAATTTATCATTTTAAGAATTTTAAAGTATGAATAATTCAGTGGCTTTTAGTACATTCAAAATATTGTGCAAACATCACCACTGTCTAATTCCAGAACATTTCCATCACCCCCAAATAACTCCCATACCTGTGAGTAATCAATCCCAATTTCATTCTACTTTCAGCCCCTGTAAACCACTGATCTACTTAGTGTCTCTCCAGAGTTTCCTTTTTTGGAGATTTTATTTAAATTGAATCATAGAATATGTGGCCTTTTGTGTCTGGCTACTTTCAATTAACATAGTGTTTTGAAGGTTTTTCCATGTTGCAGTATGATCAATACTTCAGTCTCTCGTATGACTGCATCATATTCCACTGTAAGGATATACTACATATTGTTCATTCATCAGTCAATAAACATTTAGGTTGTTTCCACCTTTTGGCAACAATGAATAGTGCTGTAATAAACATTTGTGGTGAATTTTTTTGTGTGAATGGTTATCTTGGTTTTTATATACCTGGGAGTGGAATTGCTGGGTCATATGGTAACTCCATGTTGAAAGTTTTGAGGAACTGTCAAAAGTGTTTTCTACTGTAGCCGTAGCAGTTAACATTCCCATCAGCAAGGTGTGAGGCCTGGAATTTCTCCATATCCTTTCTAGCTCTTGTTATTCTATGGGGGGAGGGTGTGTGTGTGTGTGTGTGTGTGTGTGTGTATTTTATTACAGCCAAGCTAGTGGGTATAAAATGGTATTTCATTATGGCTTTAATTGGCATTTCTCTAATGAATAGTAATGTTGAGCATTTTTTAAAATTTATTTTTTTCACACTATTGCTGGCTTGAAGATTGAACATCTTTTCATGTGCTTATTTTCCATTCATATACTTTGTTTGAAAAAATGACTGTTCAAACTCTTTGCACGTTTTTAAATAAGGTTTTTAGTGTGATTATTGTTGAGCTGTAAGGGCTATTTATATATTTTGGGTCCTAGACCATCATCAGATATATGAAGTGCAGATATTTTCTT
Organism: Homo sapiens; assembly: GCF_000001405.40. Lineage (NCBI taxonomy): Eukaryota > Metazoa > Chordata > Mammalia > Primates > Hominidae > Homo > Homo sapiens. The sequence continues at coordinate 47,232,869 of NC_000015.10, forward strand.
CCCTTATGTGGGTTGTCTATTTACTTTCATAGTGTTCTTGGATACACACACACACATACACACAAATTAATTACTATGAAGTTAAACTTGGTAATGTTTTTGTTTGCTGATTGTATGTTTGGTGTCATATTTAAGAAACCATTGCTTGATCTAATGTCATAAATATTTATACCTGAATTTCCTTCTAAGAATTTTATTATGCTCTCAGCTTTTGCATTTAGGTAATTAATCAATTTTGAGTTAATTTTTATATATGCTTGAGTCTGGGGTCCAAATTCAAAGTTTTGCATGTGAATATCCAGTTGTTCCAGCACCATTTGTTGAAAAGACTATTCTTTCTCAATTAAGTGGTCTTGACATATTTCATTGAGAATCAGTTGATCATAGGCATGAGTTTACTTCTGGGCTCTATTCCACTGATCTCTATGTCTGCTTTTATGCCTATATCACAGTATTTTGATCACTGTACTTTCGCAATAAGTTTTGAAATCAAGAAATGTAAGTCCTTTAAACTTATTCTTTCTTTTCAAGATCATTTTGGCTATTTGGGATTTTTGAATTTTCATATGAATTTTAGAATTAGCTTGCCAATTTACGCAAAACAGCAATTAGCATTTCAGTAACGATTGCATTGTATCTGTCAATTTGGAGAGTGAGGCCATCTTAATGATATTGAGTCTTCCAATGTATGAATATGGGATGTCTTTCCATTAATTTATTTCTACAACTTTTTTTGTAATTTTCAGTATTTAAATCTTTTACTTCATTACTTAAGTTTGTTCCTGGGTATTTTATTCTTTTTGATACTATTGTAAATGGGATCGTTTTCTTAATTTTCTTTTCACATAGTTTGTTGTTAGCTTGTAGAAAAGTAGCTGATTTTGTATGTCGATTTTGTATCCTACAACTTTATTGAATTTATTTATTTATTAGCTCTAACAACTTTGTGGCATTTTGGGGATTGTCTATATATATAAGATCAAATCATTCACAGACAGGTAGTTTTACCTCTTCTTTTTCAAACTGCATGTCTTTTATTTCCTTTTCTTGTCTTATTGCATTAGCTAGGAACTCCAATACAATGTTGAATACACATGGTGAGAGAGGACATTCTTGCTGTGTCCCTGATCTTGCAGGGAAAGTTTCCAGGCCTATTCTAATGTCTGCTGCCTGAGAAAATGGATAACAGTTGGGACAAACAATATACCAACCAAAACTCTTGGGAGGAAGGGCTGGGAATGAGATGTTTTGGGAATAAGGGTTTTGAAAATGTCTGACATATTTCTGGGATCTCAGCAGTCAAATGCAGTCCCAGGGCTGTTCACAAGCTCAGGAAAGACCTAAGAAGACCCAAAGCAATCACCTCTGGCAGACCTCTAGGCTCTGTGAAACCAGGATGTAAAGTCTAAGGCAGAGACTAATGCATTTATGCTTGTAAATGTTATACATACATATATAAAAATATATATTATTTTAATATGTATTATTTCAGTAGCTTTTGGGATACAAATGGTTTTTGGTTACATGGATGAACTGTATAGTGTTGAAGCTTGAGATTTTAGTATACTTGCTGCTTGAGCAGGGTACATTGTACTCAATGTGTAATCTTTTTATTCCTCAGTCCTCTTTCACCCTTCCCCTTCCTGAGTCTCCAATGTCTTGTTATACCACTCTGTATGACTTTGCATACCCATAGCTTAGCTCCCACTTGTAAGTGAGAACATATGGCATTTGATTGTTCATTCCTGAATTACTTCACTTGGAATAATGGCCTCCAGCTCCATCCAAGTTGTTGCAAAAGACATTAGTTCCTTCTTTTTGTGGCTGATTAGTATTCCATGGTGTATATATTATCACATTTTCTTTATCCACTCATCAGTTGATGGGCACTTAGGTTGGCTCCATATCTTTGCAATTGTGAATTGTGCTGCCATAAACATTCATGTGCAGGTGCATTTTTGATATAATGATTTATTTTCCTTTGGGTAGATACCCAGTAGTGGGATTGCTGAATTGAATGACAGATCTACTTTTAGTTCTTTGAGAAAACTCCAAACTGTTTCCCATAGAGATCAGATTAATTTACATTCCCACCAGCAGTGTATAAGTGTTCCCTTTTCACCACATCCACCCAACATCTACTGTTTTTTGACTTTTTAATAATGGCCATTCTGATTGGGATAAGATGGTATCTCATTGTGGTTTAAATTGCATTTCCCTGATTAGTGATGTTATACATTTTTCTCATGTTTGTTAGCCATTTATATATCTTTTGAGAAATGTCTATTCATGTAATTTTCCCACTTTTTATGGGATTATTTGTTTTTTTCTTGCTGACTTGTTTGAGTTTCTTGTGGATTCTGGATAACAGTCCTTTGTCAGATACATAATTTGCAAATATTTTCTTCCATTTTGTGAGTTGTCTGTTTACTCTGATGATTTTTTTTATTATGTAGCTTTTTAGTTTAATTAGGTCCCATCAATTTTTTTATTATGTTGCATTTGCTTTTGGGGTCTTAGTAATAAACTCTTTGCCTAGGCCAGTGTCCAGAAGTGTTTTCCCTAGGTTTTATTCTAAAATGTTTATGCTTTTGGGTCTTAAAGTCTTTGATCCATTTTCAGTTGATTTTTATAGGTAGTTAGAGATCAGTTTCATTCTTCTACATGTGGCTATTCAATTTTCCCAGCATTGTTTATTGAATTGGGTATTCTTTCTTCGATTTATGTTTTCCTATGCTTTGTTGAAGATCAGTTGGTTGTAAGTATTTGTTTTTATTTCTGAGCTCTCTATTCTGTTCCATTGATCTATGTATCCACCTTTATGTCAGTACCATGCTGTTTTGGTTACTATAACTTTGTAGTATAATTTGAAGTCAGGTAATGTGATACCTCCAGATTTGTTCTTTTTGCTTAGGATTTATGCTTGTAAATTGCTTTTGACAGTGTTCCATGGGGTAACAGCTTTAGCACTAGGTAATTTCCCAGTCAGGTTGGATAAATACTGGCCTTTTGAGTGGATCTTCCAGGGAATCATTACTACATAAGAATTCTTTGTTACTTTGTTACATTCTGCTCCCTCAGATATTGGTACTTGGAATGATGACTGTTATTTTCAAGACTGCTGTTGAGCTGGGTAGCAAGGGATAGGACTAGGGTAAATCAAAACACAAATTCATGCTTCTTACAGAGAGTTAGCCAGTTTTTAGTTTGCATGCTTGTGTTAAAAATGTTATCTGGATTGCATCAATCTTTGGTTAGATTCCAGAGTTCTGAAAAGGTTGATTCCAATAGTTTTGGCCAGATTTTTAAATTATTTTCAGGGAGAATCATGTTCTTAGAGTCTTTTAATCTGCCATTTTCTGTAACATCTGGGAATTGATTATCGAAGAACAAGATCTCCCCTTTCCTGGATAGCTTGATAAATGGATCACACCCACTGGGCATGTTTAGTCTGGCCAGAAGAAAGAGGATTCATGTGGGGTTCTCTCCACCCCCATGTTGCCATATTTTTCCAGAGTCAATATAATAGAATTCTAAGTATTTAATATTATGACTCATAGCATTTTATGTAACCAATATCAGTAATAATGCAATTAAAAAACAAATGCTAAATTTATACAGCAGTTTTAAAATGGTAACAATGGGAATGTATATTATCAGTTTATTTTTCTCCCTACCATACTGTGGAAGAGGGGTTTTTATTAACCTTCTAACATAAAGGATGAACAAAATTATGAGTAAATAATTCTGCCTGTCTTCAGATGAATCCTGCTGTTGCTAGAGGTTATCAGAAAGAATAATTGATTGAGTGCATCCACTATAGATGTAGTTAGGCTAAGGTCAATCACTTTCTATAAAAGGGAATAAGAAAAAGCTGAGGAATTATTTGCCTATCTTGGATATCAGCTAACATTTCCTTTAGGAAGGGGAAGGACATAGATTATGAAGCAACTTGGGCAAATAGCACGGGACTGGGATTCAAGATATAGTTCAAATCACTAATTCTATGTATAGCCTCTAAGGCTCTCTGAAGCTTAATTTTTGTATAATTTCTGAAGGGATTTGTTTAGGCCTAGGTTGCAAGCAAGAGACAATGACATTACATCCTCCTGCTGGATAATGCTTGTGTTCTATTGAATCAAATGGACACATACACAACAAGATTATCACCGACTTTTAGAATTTTTGTGTTCTTGAACAAGTTTTATTAGAGTTATTCAATGGCATTGGGTAGAATTAGCACACCAATAGGAATAAGGTTGAACTAGAAATAAGTCTAGCTGTGCTATACAAAATCCTGGTCAAGTTCTCACTGTGGTCATACTTATTTTGGACTGCCAGAGCTAATGGAATTCCATACAAGGAATTTAATAAGTTCTATTACAGGTCTAAGAACATGGGTAAGACATCTTGAGGCTCACCATTTTACTTTATTGGTTCAATATGCAATAGTTATTCCACTTAAATGATCACACTGTGATTTTAGGATTGTCTGGCAAACCCTAGAGGAGTTCTATTTTGCCACGTTGGAAATGAGACTGTCATGATAAACGTTTCTAGTAATTTTTTTCACTTATTGTTCTCTCAAATTGCACTATGTAGAGAGGCAAGAAGTAGTGTACAATGAGCAATGCACTATGACCGAAGGGATATGAGTGTTATTTTCAACGCTGCCTCTAACTCGGTGGCCTTAGCTGCTTGAATTGGCTTGGTAGTCTGGGTCCTCCTCTATTAAATGGATTGGATCAGTGGCTTTGCAAGTGTGATGTGTAGAATTCAAAGGGCTCTGTGAAGTTGCTTTGGGCTGCTCTAGGGTTTGAGAGTAGGTCTGTATAGGTAGGACTCTACACCCCCTTTTAACTATGACCGTTTTAATTGTTTGTTTTATATATTTGAGCCTCTGAGCACAAAAATCTTTGAGGGAAGATTCTGAGGCCCTGGAGGTCTGTTTCTGGAAGACTGCTCTTACAAATCTCTTTGGCCCATTGTCACTGAACTCCATGTTTCTGACTTAAGCACAACAAAACTGTACAACTTTAAAATTAATGGGAGTTCAACAAGTAGCAACCAAAGAACTAGCAGCACTCTTTAAGAAAGGTCAGCGGTTACAGGGAATTGTGGGATGGTACAGTGTATGGAGCATCCTTGTCAAGTGCGCATTTATTGATAATGATGATGACACAAGTATTCTGACAGTAGCTAGATATTTTTGGTATATACATGTTCTTTTTTGCTGTAGTGCATTTTTATTTTTGTCATATTTTGCCAAACAGTAAATAAAGACATCATTAATATTCATGAGAGGTTGCAGGAAGAAAATGTTGAGTTTATTTTGCTTTCAGGGACACAAACCACTGAAGAGAATACGCTGTAAACTCGTCATTGGAGAATAAAATAGCAACAACAACAATAATGATCTACCTAATTATCCAGGGCACACTAAAAGCACACAGAGTTGCCTAAACTCATTTATGAAAGTGAAACACATTGTAAGGCCCCATATTTCACCTTTATGTCCTTTGATTTGACCCCTCACCCCCCAGAGTATACCTGAACCCATTCTAATTTTCTCACATATAGCAGAAACTTAAACTTAGATACAAAGCCAAAAGGGCTCCTTGGTACTATAATACGAATTATATTTAGCTGCCAATATTTGTATTTTCTCCAATAGATTGTGCTTTCCTTGGGGCCAAGGAATCTGTGTTCCCAAGAGTGCCTAGCACAGTATTTTGCCCATAGTTGAAATTCAATACGTGATTGTCAAAGTGAAAAGTTAAAGGACGTTTAGACAAAAAAAAAATCTAGGTCACAAAGGCATTTTTGCAGAACCCATGTAGATTTTCTGGCCTGAGTTTGCTGGCAGCTATGCTTAGGCTGGGACCAGTGGAAATGGGTCTAGAGCCTGCCTCAGAGTGGCCGACAAGTCATCTGAAGAATCAAGATGAGAACTTCCATTTCAAGCAACAGGGAAGGTGCTCCTCTCCTCTTTTAGGATTCATTGACACTTAGGAATAAATATGCCACTCAACTGAAACCTCCTTCAGTTTGCATACTTGAGAAAATGATCACATTCTTCAGTACAGCGATCTGCAAGCCACAGGCCATGGGCTGTTACTGGGCCACAGACCAGGTACCTGGCCACATAGCAGGAGGTGAGCAGAGGTCAAGGAGCTAGTGAAGGTTCATCTGTATTTATAGCCACTCCCCATTGCTCACATTACTGCCTGAGCTCTGCCTCCTGTCAGATCAGATGTGGCATTGGAGTCTCATAGGAGCATGAACCCTATTGTGAACTGCGCATGCAAGGAATCAAGGTTCTGGGCTCCTTATGACAATCTAATGCCTGATGATCTGTCACTGTCTCCTGTCACCCCCAGATGGGACCGTGTAGTTGCAGGAAAACAAGCTCAGAGCTCCCACTTATTCTACATTATGGTAAGTTTATAATTATTTCATTATATATTACAATGTTATAAAAACAGAAATAAAGTGCACAGTAAATGTAATGCACTTGAATAATTCCAAAACCATCCCCCAATCCCACAATTTTTTCATGGTCTGTGGAAAAATTGTCTTCTACGAAACCAGTCCCTGGTGCCAAAAATGTTGGGGACAACTGCTTTAATAGAAATCCTACTTCCCAAATGCTTCCCATATTATTCTAAAGAGCAGACAGGATTGAGAAACATGAAGATCTGGAAAGAATATGGGCTTCGGAGTTCACGTCTTAGGTTCAAATCCTTCTGTGTCCACTGGCTGTCTCCATCATACTGAGTGTAGAGCAGTGTGTAAGAGCCTGGCTGGCTCTGTTACCATTGCATTGTGTGATTGTAGAGCTCTCTGTATATCAGTTTCACGTATGGTAGATGGGTATAATACTAATACTTGCCTTACAGGGTTGCTGTGATGATTACAGAAGTTGTATGTGTAACACACGAGTAGTATGTGATCAAGGACTTAGTTCCTGTCTCATTGTAAATTCTATACAAGTAATTTGTATTGTTGTTGTTATCTACCCAACTAAGCTTCAGTTACATCATCTGTAAATGGGGTGGTAATATTTATCTTTAAAAGTTATGTGAAGGTATAAAATGACATTTTAGAAATCCTTGATATATCATAAATATTCAATAAATTTGAGCTTTTATTTGTATAACATGATTATTATCTATTTGGATCTCAGTAGTTGATAAAAGCCTGTTCTATACATATGGTAATTGGTCATCCTAAAAGAGAGGCACACAAGTGGTCTTACCATTCCCCAGTTGTCCGTGTACCAGCTTTCTACCATGAATTGTTTCTCTCAGAAAGAAAAATTTGTTGGTCAGCTTGTTGGCATTTTACTACTGAATATAGAATTTAGGCTCAAGTAGACTTATAGGTTTTTGGCTTGATCTCTGAATGAGGACCTCTGATACAGAATCTGGAGTTTGATCATAATCATATCACTGAGAAAGGGTAAATTATTTTACTTCCCTGGCTTTCAGATTATTTTTAGGTAAAATGAAGGAACTATAATGGAGCTATGATGAAGATTGAATACACTGGTGCAGTAAAGCACTTAATACAATACCTCTGGTTGCTTAGGAAATTTTAATCTCCTCCTTTCTTCATCTATGAAGTCAAGCCTTTTCACTAGATTTCCTTTTTAAGATCATTTCCAACTTCAGCATTTAGTCTCTATGATTTTGTACATCGTGCATTGGGATCTCCATGGAATTTTTGCATCTTGATATCTTATGTCATTAGAGGAATTTTAGTGCAACAAAACAGTACTCTAATGCTGTTGAATATTAACATTTATTTTCTTACAATTAGTTAAAATTAGATTGCCTTGACTATGCAGAAAAGGGCAAATATTTGAATCATGTACATAATGATTGGTATTTGCCAAAAATTCAAATTCATTGATTAGTCAAGGCCAAACATTTTGAGATCATCCAAGGATCTAGAGAAATTAATCCCATTATATGAATATGTTTTCTTTGTAAATCCTACTGATGACTGTTTGGGGAAAATAGTATATTAAAACATAAATATGGTTCAGAGAGAAGTCTTTTAAGCCAAAACATTCTAAAAGGTTTTGCTATAGTGTCTATCCATACATTCTGAAATGCAGGTTAGATGTGTCATCCTTGCTTAACCACTGAGGAAATTAAAACACCAAAAAGAATGAGAGCTTCATCTATCTCCTAGCAAGGAAGGGACCGAGCTGAGATTAGAATGCAAATGGCACTATTATCTAGACTTAAATAAAACAATGTGTAACCCAAAATGTGTATTTATAAAATATTTCTAGAGTTAAATGACTCTATTGGAGTGTATTTTCCCACTTACTATTCAATATTCCATTCGCATTTAACTCTAGGAGACACTGTAAGAACCACGGAGTGTTAAACTTGGGGCTTGGGAATCAGAGTCCATCCTTGAATTTCACAAAAGAAACGACCGAAATCAAAAGAAGGCAAGATACAGCTGTTCGCATTTGCAGACCTGTATGTAAGTGGTCACCACCTATGTGGTACAGAATGCGACATGTTTTTGTTGTTGTTGTTGTTTCATTTTTGGTTTTGTTTTTTAATTCTGGAGCTTGATTTTGTTTGCCTGGAGCCACAGTAGGGTTTGTTCTCTATATCTCCTCCTCCCCTTTCTCTCCCCTAGCTGATTTCCATGCATTCTGGTTCCAAATACATTCTAAGGCCAAGTACATTGAAGAGAAATAATGCATACATGACCCAGAGTGGAGCTTAACTTAGATTGTCAAACCAACAGGGAGAGGAGAAAGAGAGATAGGAAGTCAGGGAAGGAGGGAAGAAGAAAACGATGGAAAAAAAAAAAAACCTCTTAAAAATCAACCTGTGAAACAAAACACTGCTTGCCAAATATGTGTCTGGCTCCTGTGGACTTTCTAGTTCTGCCTGATTACACATTTCCCCAGTAGGTTCCTGAATCTAAAAGAACTTACCTAGCTGAATGTAGGGGCAGGTTGCATAGAAAATTCTGTGTAACACATGAATTTCCCTCCCTGTATTTCTGGCCCTTGTCCTTTGAGTTTCCTGGCAGAGTCAGGATTACCCAATCTGTACAAGCTTTGTGTAAAGGAAGGAACCTGAGTCTGGAGTAAGGCAGTCACGGGTATGAATTCCAGTTTTGCTATTTAGAACTTGTGTGGCCTTGGATAAGTCACTCGATCACTCTGGAATTTGAAACCCACCTTTAACATGGAATAAAGATAATTTCTTTTTTACAGTGTTCTGACTATAACAGATAATCTATATAATGCCCTGAATCAGGGGCTATATCAGATTAGGTACTTCATATTTACAAGGGATTACTATTAGTTGGTACAAAAGTAATTGCGGTTTTTGCCGTTAAAAGTAATGGCAAAAATCACTATTACTTTTAATATTTTTTTAAAAACATGCACTTGGCTATTTTGAGGTATCAACCCATTTTTGCCTGATTATCTGAAATTACTGTCAGTAGTTGCTTTACCAAGGTTTTAAATGCAGAACAGCCACAGGATCCTCAAAGCTGAGCTGCTTATTCTGAATTTTCCTCCCAGTTGTTCCTTTGTGTTCTGCATAATACTTTGTAGACCTGGGTCAGGCTCAATCAAGTAAAACTTCATGCTAATGACTTAGGGTTGGTATGTGATGAAGAAGGAGCCATAGGGCATATGCATATGTATGAAAACTTGGGGGTCAGGCTTGAAGTTTTGTTAAATCTGCAAAAAACAGATATTGCATTAAACTACAAACTAATGACAGTTTGCTCAGGGGGTTGAAGGAGAAAATGTTATTGGTATCCTTACGGTCAACTATATGCAGGATTGGAAATATATTTCTTTTTAAATAATATTATTTCCGATTATAAAAGCAACCCCTGATCATTATACAAAATCTGGAAATTTTAAACAAGTAGAGGTGACTCTCATTAACAAGAGAATACATTACATTTTAGTACATAACTAGGTGAATGTACTATGCATAGTATAGATGTATACCTACTATGTAAACATTTCTTAGAGAACTGAGGTTAACCCCTATTATTAAACAGCTGTGGTCTATTACTAAAGCTGTTGATCATAGGTTGTTTGAGGATGTACTAGCTCTATATTACATTCTTGAAACTTCACCGTGTATATGTTCAGCATCCTGGAAACACACACAATCACTTATATATATTCACAAGGCTATACTGAGCACTTTTGCTTTGTGGGCTGCCTGAGAAATTGGAATCTCCAAACCTGAGTGGTTTTGGAATTTGAGAAGCCAACCAGTGAGAAATACAATTTTAGTACAAAAGGTGGAAGAGGATTCGAAGTAGAAGAAATAGCAAACAGTAAAACCTAGACTAGGAAAGTTCACTGTTGCGCATACCCAGACTTCACTCTCAAAATCTCCTTGCATCTCATAGCATCAACCCATGAACTGGTTATTTGTGTCCCAATATAACTTCTTACATCATCATTATCTGTGTCAGATTTTAAGAGCCCAGGAGGCAAGAATTGGGGCAATTTGACTATGTTTTTCATAATACCATGCAGAAATTGAAAAAAAAAAAGGCTTGTAATGATTTAATCGGAACCCAGCCCTTTGGGGAGTATTGATTTTAACTTGAATAGTTACGTGGTAGGAAGATAATGGAAGTTTTCATTAGGCAAATTCAAGTCAGTATTGTTTTGTTCAATGTAAAACAGACAATAATAATTAGGATTTAAGACATACCAGGAAATAAGAAAAAGTGGCAGAAAGTGTTTTTACTGCTCTGTGTACAATGCCTTGATATGGAAAATGATTTTAAATGGCAGAGCATAATGAAGTGGAGATCTCTGGTGTGTGAGTTTTAAGCTCTAGCAACTGGTGCTTTCTTGGGAAAAGAAAGCAATAGATATGTTGAGTGTTCTTGTTGAGTGCACTTGTCCAGTACTTGTAGAAGGACAGAATTTCATTAATCCGCTCATTCATTTATTTTTCATGAAAATGATTGTTGAGCACCTACCATGTTCTAGGCTGCATTCTACATGCTATGGATATAGCAATGGACAAAATTTGACAACAGTCCTTGCATGGAGTTTACAATCTCAGTGGAGAAGGTGGAAAATAAACTAAATATATAATATGATATCAGGTAGTGATAAGTGGTATAAATAAAAATAAGGCAGAGAAAAGGTTGGAGAGTATGTGGTTATGCTAGTTTAGACAGCATATTTGAATGAAGGAGAGAGGAGAGTCAACAGTAACCAAAGGAAAATGAACCTTGGAGGCACTTACCAAACATTGGGAAGGGCCATAAGAAGAGCTGAGGAACTTTGTGCTCAGAATAAAAAGGTCACAGCATGGGGGAGTATGAGTGGCATGGACTTTAGAATCAGGTAGATCTGGATTTGAATCTTTTCCATTGAGCAAGAACTTTGTGACTTAGGCCAAATTGGTTAAACTCTATGAGTCTCTGTTTCATCATCTGCGAAGAAGAATATCTTTTCTTCAGGGTTACTAAGGATTAGTCATGCATCAAAATGGATAAGCTTAGTTTTCATTCTAATATCCTCAGCCCATTTCTTGATTATAAGCATGTGTTATAAAGCAACTTACAGATATGATCTCATTTAATCCTCAGAACAATGTTGTGATAAATAGTATTATTACTCTCATTATACAGATGTGTGAAAACTTAGGCACAGAGAAGTAAAGTTACTTGTCCAGGTTTGTACAGTTAAGTGATGGCGTCATGTTTAAATGCCCAAGGGACCTGACTCTGTCATCCAAGCCTTTAGGCACTGAACCTGCCTGCCTACCTGCCACAGCATTTTATTTTTAATAACTTCAACTTTTATTTTAGATTCAGGGGGTATATGTGCATGTTTGATACATGGGTATATTGCATGATGCTGAGAATGAGGATACAAATGATTCTATCACCAGATAGTGAGAATAGTACTCAACAGTTAATTTTTCAACCCTCTGCCCACTCCCGTCATCCCCCTCGCGGTAGTTCCAGTATCTGTTGTTGCCATCTTTATGTCCATGAGTACCCAATGTTTAGCTCCCACTTATAAAAGAGAACATGCAATATTTGGTTTTCTGTTTCTGCAATAATTCGCTTAGGATAATAGCCTCCAGCTCTATCCATGCTGCTGCAAAGGACATGATTTTGTTTTTTTTTTTCATGGCTGTGTGGTATTCCATGGTATATACTTACCACATTTTCTTTATCCAATCCAACATTGATGGGCACCTAGGTTGATTCCATGTTTTTGTGAATGTGTATAGTACTGCAATGAATATACAAGTGCATGTGTCTTTTTTGTGGAGTAATTTATTTTTCTTTTGGTATATACTCAATAATTGGGTTTCTGGGTCAAATGGTAGTTATGTCTTAAGTTCTTTGAGAAATCTTCAAACTGCTTTCTACAGTGGCTGAGCTAATTTACAATCCCTCCAGCAGTGTATAAGTGTTCCCTTTTCTCCATAGCCTTTTTAATAGTAGCCATCCTGATGGACTTTACTGTCCTCAGTTATGAAGTGAAGGCACTGGAGGAGATGGTCCCTCAACACCATCCATTCTTGTGTTCTCTGATCTGTGGGCACAGTGAGGAAGAAATAGGTGTTGTCTGAGAAGCAAGTCAGAACTCTCAGATGGGGCCAGAATATAGCTGTTTGTGAATGTCAGCTTCTGGCTACAGCACAGAATGATCTAGAGCATCTGGATATCTGTACTAGTAAGGAAGATGTTCTACTGTTATGTATCCATTTTATTATTCACAATCTCTTTCATGAACCTGCCAATTTTCTGCATGCTAAGCATGGAGTATAGTTTGGTGTGGACAAATTGGTGATCTTTGTGATGCTTATTCTGAAATTTTGATCCTCTTGTTTTCAGAGATCTGTTTGTATCCTGAACATTAAATACAAAAAGGTGAGAGGATTCTAAGCATAAGAAATTGCAAACACAGAGAGTAAATATCCATCAAGAAAAAAAATTTGTGTATAGATAGCAGTAGTGGAATGGTGTGAGTGGAGAGGATAAGGACACAGGGACATCACAGAATTAAAAAAATCATAAACATGCTTCGTGGGAATGGAAAAGTCATAAGACTCTGAAGCTTCTTTCAGGGGTCAGATGGTTTCTCACGACCTTTCCCCTGTCTTTCGGATATATGCTCCTCTCTCAAGTATACATGAACTTTTAGCAACCTTTCATAATGCTTTAAAGAAACAAGGCTGCCCTAGTCTGGGTCCTAGCAGGGAACAAATTTACCCCAGACTTAAAATAAAAAATGTATAGTGAGTGACTACTAGCAGAGGTGTTGGCTGCATTAAGTGGATAATCAAGGGATAGAGATGCTTCCAGAAACAAGCAATTAGTGGGGAGCCATGGGTGTCTCTGAGAGTGAAGGGGTAAAGAGAGAAAACATAGGATTATTAGAGCCTAGTTGGAGCTGGGTGCATGAAGGAGGAAGATTCAGCCAGTGGGAGCTAAAGCATGAGGGACACAAGTACAGCCTACGGTACAGGGCTGAAGGAGGGAGGGATCAGGGAAGAAATCCACCCATTATCTTATATCTTTGTAGACTAGAAGTTCAACATAGTCATAGCCAAGGTGTCCAACAGGGTTGCATTCCTTTCTGATGATTCCAGGGGAGAATCCATTTCCTTGCTTTTCCAGCTTCCGGAAACTACTTACATTCCTTGACACATGGCCCTTTCCTCCATCTTCGTAGCCAGCAATGCAATAGAGTTGAGTCCTCTGACCCTTCTCCCATCATTGCGTCTCTTTCTCTGACCACAGCTGGGAGACGTTCTCTACTTTTAAGATTGCATGTAAGTACCTTGGGTCCACCCAGATAATCTAGAATAATCTCCCTAACTCAATGTCCTTAACTCTAATCACATCTGCAAAGTTGCTTTTGCCATTCTGAGAATCAGGGCATGGACATCTTTTGTGGGCCATTATTCTGCCTACTATTGCAGTCTCCTCGTGAGGGGATTTCCTCGTGAGGCACATAGCAGGACAGAGAGGGAGAAAACGGGTCTGGGTGTGTGGCGGCCAAATGACGAATAGCCAGCACAAAGGCAATTTGACATCTATTTCTCATCTCTAAAATGCACAAATAGGTTGAACTTGGTTAATTTTAATGTTATCAATCTATTGACTTTCATATTTATTCAGTTGTTACTTGACCACCTGTTATATAACTAGACCTTTGCTAACTGCAAGTAGAAAAACTACACTAGAAATATAAGATCCAGTCTTTAGTCTGAGAAGTGTGTATCATCTAACTAGGTCAAGGGCTGTTAGACCTGAAACGACTAATAAGAGATTGAGGCCTGAGGTATTGGAGGAATGAGGAGAAAAGGGAGACGAGAAAGTTCTGTGGGAATCATGGAAGGTATTTCATGCAGGTTATTTAAATTCATCTGAATCCTGAAGCACGATTAGGGTTTAGGTTGTCAGAAGGGAGAAAACATTCTGACAATCTAGAAAAAGAAAGCAAAAAATGCTGGAATGAACATATGAAATTTGCATATATTGTTCCTCCTATATAGCAAAAGTGAAAAAAAAAACTGTCATCCATTAAATGGCAATCATGCTCATAAAAATGTATAGGAGCCTACAGAGTGTCATTAAGTTTAAGAAAATATGATTTTACATGAATTACTTAGGAATAGTATTGAATATTCACTTCAGCTGACAGTGGAACTATAATAGTCGTCACTGATAAACATACTCCTATTTGTTTTCTTATCTATCTATCTGTCTTCTATAAATCCATGAATACTGGCTTTTTTTCTTTGTCTCATTTGACAGTGCTTAATTTCTTCCAGTTCCCAAACTTCTAGTCTTTGTGCATGTGTGTGTGTCATATTTGATTCTAAATATGTGAGAAGAAATAGTCTAACTCTAAAAATTCCATCAGTCACTTTACCATTTGTGAGATTATCAGACCGTGTGGGGTCAACTAGTTTTTAATAACCCAGAATGTTTGCAAAGGGTAGTGAGCTGGGAACTGTGTCAGACTTGAGGGTCAAAAGGCAAGGGAAGGATTTTTAATCCCCTCCATTGACTATGGGGATGTAGACCTCCTAACCTCAGGTTCAAATCTATAAAACATTTAAAATAATGACAGAATTAATATGAGAAGGAAGTGGTTCACAGTAATGACATTACTCCAAAAAATTCAAAGTACCTTATAAATACATGGTAGTCAGCCAACTGAAGCATCATTACCTAAACATAGCCATGAACCCAGTGGAACCCAAAAATAGTTGTCAAAATATCAGCCCAATGAAAATCAGAGACAATTCATTCTTACTTATTCTTAAATCAAAAAAGAAGCTAGGTTCCCCATATTCTAAGCTTTATCAACTTAGAAGCAAAAAAATTAAAAACTATTCAGGAAAGACAACAGCTATTATCCAACAAAGCATTGTATCTCATTATCAGGAAACAAATGAGAAAAACATTAACGTGAAGAAAACACTCAAAAGTAATGAAAGACAGATGCCTGTGGGATTAGGGAAAACCCAGCATTCATGGTCATTCCCCGTCCTACAGAAAGCCCAATTTACCCCAAAGTGCCCAGAAGGCACCACTGTTTATATGGACTGGAATAATGAATATTTGTAATGATTACATTAAATTACACAGAACGGTTAAATTATGTTTGCTATGATTTGCCTAAGACAACAGAGATATACCTAATATATTCTAGAGAGATATTAATTCTAAATGATTAAAATTTTAATGACATTGGGAGTCTTCTGCAGTTTTTTGGGAAACTTAGCTCTCAGATACTTAGAGTTTTATTATATTATTCCACTGATTTACAATGTAGAATGTCAGACATGACAACCATTCATGTGCCTGACTCCCTAATAGTTAGAGTTGAGTAAGAGATAACAGTGGCCTCTAAATTCTGGGCATCCTATCACTTCTCTTGGAGCATTTTGGCTGGCTTTGGCTTTAGAACTGGGGAACCTCAGTGGCATTACCAAAGTTGAGCAGCTTTATCACATGGACGCTTAATAACAATTACCAAGTTCTGAAGCTTCAGTTAACAGTGGACTAGGCCAGGCACGGTGGCTCACACCTGTAATCCTAGCACTTTGGGAGGCTGAGGCGGGTGGATCACCTGAGGTCAGGGGTTAAAGACCAACCTGACCAACATGATGAAACCCCATCTCTACTAAAAATACAAACATTAGCCGGCCATGATGGTGCATGCCTGTAATCCCAGCTACTCGGGTGGCTGAGGCAGGAGAATCGCCTGAGCACAGGAGGCAGAGATTGCAGTGAGCCAAGATCATGCAACTGCACTCCAGCCTGGGCGAGGGAGTGAGACTCCGTCTCAAAAACAAACAAACAAACAAATAAACAAACAAAACCAGTGGACTAGCTGTGCTCTAGGACCTTATAGTTGGCATGCATCATGACAGTTCACCTGTATTACTTATAGTTCATTTGCACTCTTATTAAATATTCATGAGTGCCTAGTCTCTGCAGGGCTCCGTGTTAGGCCCTGGGGATGCAAAAATGAATGGTGGGATAACCTGAAAACAAAATCATGTTTTTTTTTTTCTGTGGGTTCCTCATCAACCACCCCCCTACTCTCTACCCACCCCCCATGCTCCAAGAAGTTAAGGGAGATGGGAATGTCCTGGGTTCTAGGGTTTCTTATGTTCTAAGAAAAGGTTCAAATACTTGTGATTCAAGGAAGCACAGGGGTAGGCTGTGGACTAGGAGCCTAAGTGTGCTGAATCTATTTCCCAGAAGGTGAAGGAACCAGAGAAAGGATGTGGGAAGAGGCAGCATAGAATAGGTGGTGGCTAATCTTGAGAAACATGATGAATAAAGGTCCTTAGCAAAAGGAAGCATGGGGAAAAATATTCTGTGAGCAGAAGGGTTCTTGCCTTTTCTAGGACTGTTTGAATTTGGTTAATAAGCCTCTCAGCTACAAGCTCAAAGGAGTAAAAACAGAGACCACTTCCCACATTTCCAGACAGTCTAACATCTTGGGACTATCAAACAATTCTGGGTCAGTGACAGTCTCGGCAGGCACCTAGTAAGGATTTGGAAGAAGATTTAATTTGAATTTAAAACACAAAATAAGGTGGTATTTCATCTACCTCAGAGTTATGAAACAGATTTATATTCATTACAAGTGACCAGGTCATGGATCCTGTTCTAGAGGAGCTTGTGGTCTACAAGGATCATTTCTACAAAATAAAACTAATCACTTTGTCAGATTTTTACTGGCAGGTTTTCTAACCTTCGCAAAAATCCTGAAACACAGGAATGATTGTCTATATTTTGTAACTAAAGGAACATCCACTATGATATATCTATTAACGGAAATGGATACAAGTCACAGAAGTAGCACAGAACAAGACACGACATACTGTGCCATGGAGCAACCTAACTCTCTGGGATGTCTAAACTTAGAGCATTAAAAGAGAGAGAGAGAGAGAAAGAGAGGGAGAGGGAGAGAGGGAGGGAGAGAGAAAGAGAAAAAGAGAAAGAGAAAGAAAGAGAGAAAGAAGGAAAGAACCTTTAGCAAATCCTGAAGAAAGAAAGAAAGAAAGAAAGAAGGAAAGAACCTTTAGCAAATCCTGAAAGAAAACACCTTTGATTGCTATTGTGGAGGAATGGCTCTATTATGTATATTTGTTTAAAAACTTTCTTTACGTAATTTTTCAAACATTTGGAAATTGTATAAAATGAGTGACAGCTCCTTTAAATAGCAATTGCTATCACTAGCCCTCAGTTTAACTGAATGTTATCTTTAAGAAGTGAAAGGAGTAAACAGTTTCTGCTGTGACTGAAAGATGTGCCGTAGAAAGTGGAATGAGCCACCCCAGATTGAGAGCTGAGGACCAGAGGGGACAAAGGTCACTGCGTATGGCTCTCTTCTGTCACATGCCAAGTGCTATTTGACACAGTTGTGGAAACTCTAGCATGAATAGTTGCCATGTTTTCACCTTAGAAATTTTCCAGTTACATTTTCAAAAAGGTGGAAGGATGACATGCAGCGAATCCTTTATCTGGTTTATAATGTAGAAAGATACGATTTTAAATAATTAATGCATTAAAAGGTTTTGGCACCTTGCTTCACATTTGCTTTTTATTTTCCATCTTGAAGTATCAGATCAAAGCTACCTAAGATCTGTCTTTGAGAGAGCAGCTCCCAGAGGTAGCAGATAGAAAAGGATAGGTCAAAAGGTGCCAGAAACCCCCAATACAAGAAAAATTGCAAATAAAAGTAGTCAGAAGCCTTTCCTTTATGAAAAACAGATTTCTGTAAGATAGACTATAGCAATTCACAATTCTAGCCTCCTTCTGAATTGTAGGCATCCTTTCTATGATATTCCTAACATGAAGGTTTTCTTGCCTCTGCTTGAACTCATCCTTTGTGAGGCAGATTCGTCATCAGGAAATCTGTATCTGTCGCCATGTAAGTTCTACTCATGAATCTTGTTTCTAGAGCATGGCGTATAATATCTACTCTAACTTCTATATGAAAGCCCTTAAATAATTTAAAGATGACTGTGATCCTTGTTCCCAAATACTTTAATTTAGGTTTCCTCAAACATGTCATATTGGCTGTTCTCTTCTGGATGTGCTACCATTTCCAATTGCCATCCTAAATCATGTATAAGGGACTCAAGATCTCTGACTCGGTTAGTATAGTAGAATTATTGCTTATTTTGTTATTTATTTTTATTTTCAAATTAATGACTGTGATCTTTTGAATAACACATTATAAAAGTTCAAGTCATCCAAATAAATACAAAGAAAATAGCAACAACTGTACCTATAAAATATATCTCAGCAATGTCTACTTATTTTCTTCTATATTTGTTATTATAGCTATTCTGATAGGTAGGTAGTTATATTTTATTTTGGTTTAAATTTGCATTTCCCTGATTATTAAAGATATTGAACCTCTGTTCATGTGTTTATTAATATTTGCCATTTGTATGTCCTCTTCAGTAAGTATCTGTTCATGTATTTTATCCACTTTCTAATTGGATTTTTTTTTTTTTTTTTTTTTTTTTTGAGACGGAGTCTCGCTCTGTCGCCCAGGCTGGAGTGCAGTGGCGCGATCTCGGCTCACTGCAAGCTCCGCCTCCCGGGTTCACGCCATTCCCCTGCCTCAGCCTCCCGAGTAGCTGGGACTACAGGCGCCCGCTACCACGCCCGGCTAATTTTTTGTATTTTTTTAGTAGAGACGGGGTTTCACCGTGTTAGCCAGGATGGTCTCGATCTCCTGACCTCGTGATCCGCCCGCCTCGGCCTCCCAAAGTGCTGGGATTACAGGCGTGCTAATTGGATTTAAAAAAATTATTATTGAGTGTTGCGATTTCTTCATTTTAATTTTAATTTTGCTTATAATTCACATAATAATTGTATATGTTTATGCTATATAGTATGATGTTTCAATACATGTGGACATTGTAAAGTAAGCAAATCAGGGCAGTTAGCGTGTCCATCACCTCAGACCTTTATCATCTCTTTGTGGTGATAACTTTCATGATTTACTTTTCTAACTATCCTAAAATACACAACACACTGTTATGAGCTGTACTCCCCCTACTATGTAATAAAACATTAGAACTTACTCTTCCTATCTAACTGTTACTTTGTACCCATTAACTTACCTCCTTTACTCCCCTCTCCACCCCTCCACAGCCTTTAGTAACCACCACTCTACTCTGTAGTTACATAAGATCAACTTTCCTAGATTCCATATGTATGTGAGATCATACAATTTTGGTCTTTCTGTGTCTGACTTATTTCACTTAACATTATGTCCTCTGGGTTTATCCATGTTATCACAAATGACAGGATTTCACACCCTTTTATAGCTGAATAGTATTCCATTGTGTATATATGCCACATTTTCTTTATCCATTCATTCATTCATGGACACTTGTTGATTTCATCTCTTGGTGTTGTGAAAAGTGCTGCAATAAATATGGGAATGCAGGTATCTTTCTGACACACTGATTTCAGATCCTTTGGATATATATGCAGTAGCAGAATTACTGGGTCATATAGTAGTTCTATTTTTAATTTTTTTTTTAGGAATCTCCATACTGTTTTCCATAATGGCTGTATTAATCTACATTCCCACACCAACAGTCAAGGATTCCTCTTTCTCCACATTCTCACCAGCATCCATTATTCCCTGACTTTATGATAATACCCATTCTAACTGGGGTGAGGTGATATTTCACTGTTTTGATTTGTATTTACCTAATGATTAGTGATTTGTATTTGTATTTACCTAATGATTAGTGATTTACCTAATGATTATTTACCTAGCGATCAGTGATTTTGCTATTGAGCTTTTTGAGGTCGTTATACATGCTGCATGTTAAACTCTGTCAGATGCATAGTTTGCAAATATTTTCTCCCATTTTGCAGGTTGTCTCTTTGCTTTGTTTATTGTTTCCTTTGCTATGCAGAAGCTTTTTGCTTTGATGTAATCCCATTTGTCTATTTTTGCTTTTATTGCCTGTGCTTTTGTGGTTCTATTCAAAACAATACTCACCCAAGGAAATGCCATGAAGCGTTTCCCAAGTGTTTTCTTTCAGTAGTTTTATAGTTTCAAGTCTTACATTTAAATATGTAATTGATTTTGAGTTGATTTTTGTATAAGGTAAGAAATAAGGGTCTAGTTTCCTACCTCTGCATATGGATATCCAGTTTTCCCAGCACCATTTATTGAAAAGACTGTCTTTTCCCCAACATATGTTCTTGGCACCATTGTGAAAAATAATTTGGCTGTGGATTTGTTTCTGAGTTCTCTATTCTATCCCATTGGTCTATGTGTCTGATTTTTTGTGCCAGTACTATGCTGTTTGGGTTACTGTTGCTTTCTAGTATATTCTGAAGTCAAGTAATGTGATTCCTACAGCTTTTTTCTTTTGTTCAAGATTGCTTTGGCTATCCGAGGTCTTTTGTGCTTCCATACAAATTTTAGGAGTGTTTTTCCCATATCTGTAAAGAACGTCGTTGATACTTTGACAGCAATTGCACTGGATCTGTACATCACTTTGGGTAGTATGGACATTTTAATGATATTAATTCTTTCAATCATTGAGCATTGAGAATCTTTCTATCTCCTTATGTCCTCTTCAATTTCTTCCTTCAGTGTTTAATAGTCTTCATTGTAGAGATCTTTCACCTCCGTGGTTAAATTTATTGCTAGGTGTTTTTTTTTGTAGCTATTGGAATTACTTTTATTTCTTTTTAGGCTATTTCATTATTGGTGTTTAGAAATGCTACTGATTTGTGTGTGTTGATTTTGTATTCTGCCACTTTCTTGAATTCATTTATTAGTTATAATAGTTTTTGGTGAAGTCTTTGAGATTATATATATATATACACACACATATATGAGTGTGTATATATAGATGTGTATATATATGTATATATATGTGTGTGTGTGTATATATATATATATATATATAAATGATTGTGTTGTCTTAAAACAGGAACAGTTTTACTTTCTCCTTTCCCATTTGGATGCCCTTTATTTCTTCCTCTTGCCTAGTTGCTCCGGCTGGTACTTCCAGTACTATGTTGAATGAAAGTGGTAAGAATGGACATCCTCATCTTGTTCTAGATCTAAAGGGAAAAGCTAAAAGCTTTTGATATTAGTTGTGTGTTTGTCATATGTGAACTTTATTGTGTTGAGGTGTATGTTCCCTCTGTACCTAATTTGTTGAGTGTTTTTATAGTGAAAGATGTTGAATTTCATTGAATGCTTTTTCTGCATCTATTGAAGTGATCTTATGGTTTTTGCTTTGATTCTGTGAATGTGATGTATCATGTTTACTGATTTGCCCATTTTGAATCATCTTTGCATCTCTGGGATGAATCCCACTTGGCTATGGTGAATAATCTTTTTAATGTGCTGTTGGATTTGATTTGCTAGTATTTTGTTGAGGGTTTTTATGTCTGTGTTCATCAGGGATATTGACCTGTGGTTTTGTGTGTGTGTGTGTGTGTGTGTGTGTGTGTGTGTGTGTGTCCTTGTCTAGTTTTGGTACCAGTGTAATGCTAGCCTTGTAGAATGAGTTTTGAAGTATTCCCTCTTCTTGATCTCTTTGGAAAAGCTTAAGAAGAATTTGTATTAGTTCTTCTTTAAATGTTTGGTAGAACTCAGTAGATATGTACCATCAGGTTCTTGGCTTCTATTTGATGGGAGAATCTTGATAACTGCTTCAATCTTGTCACTTGTTATTGCTCTATTCAAGTTTTTAATTTCTTTATGATTCAATCTTGGTAGGTTGTATGTGCCAAGGAACTTACCAGTTTTTTCTAGATTTTCCAATTTGTTGGTATACAGTTGTTCATAATAGTCTCTTGTGATCGTTGTATTACTGTGGTGTCAGTTTTAATGTTTCCTTTTTCACCTTTAATTTTGTAAATTTGAGTCTTCTCTCTTTTTTTCTTAGTGTAGCTAAAAGATGTGTCAATTTTACTTATTTTTTTAAAAGAAAAACTCTGTTTCATTGATCTTTATTTTTTTAATCTCTATTTTGTTTATTTTTGCTTTGATCTTTGCTATTTTTCTCCTTGTACTAATTTTGGATTTAGCTTGTTCGTGTTTTTCCAGTTCCTTGAGACGTAACATTAGGTTATTAGAGACCTTTCTACTTTTTTGATATAGGAGATTTCTTTATATATTTTGATATTAGTCATCATATATGTGTGTTGTAATTATTTTCTTCCAGTCTGTAGTTTGTCTTTTTATCCTCTCAGTGTGATTTTTCACAGAGAAAAAGATTATTAAAAATTTATCAAAATAGTTTTTAATTGTATCACTTTTTCTCTTTATGGATTATTCATTAAGTGTAAAGTATAAAAATGCTTTGAATAGCCCTAAATCTCAAAGTTTATATTGTGCTTATCTCTAAAAGTGTTATAATTTTGTTTTACATACATGTCTGTAATCTATTTCAAGTTAATTTTTCTGTAAAGTTTGAGGTTTTGATTGAGGTTCAAAATGAACCTGTTACCAATGGATATCCAGTTGCTCCAGCAGCCATTTATTGAAAAGGCTATCTTTGCTCTCTTGAATTGCTTTTTCACCACTCTAAAATATGAGTGGAGCATTTTTTGTGTAGGTCTATTTCTGAGTTTCTTAGTCTGTTCCATTAATCTATGTGTCTGTTTCTCTACTAACAACATAATGTCTTGATTACTGTAGCTATATAACAAGCCTTAATATTGGGTAGAGTTATTCTTTTCATATTATTCCTCTCTGTCAAAATTGTTTTAGCTATTTTAGGGCTGGGGTCTTACCATATAAATTTTAAAATAACCTTGTCTCTTAATAAAAGAAAAAAAATTTCAAAAATGTACTGAGATTTTGATAGAAGTTGCGTTAAACCTGTAGATCAACTTAGGGAGTATGGACATACTATGTTGAGCTTTCCAATCCATGAATATGGTATGCCTTTCAGTTTATTCATGTTCTCTTTCTTTCATTATCATTTTGTAATTTTCTGCATACAGGTCGCATAACAGTTTTGTTAAGTGTATACTTATGTACTATATATTCTTTGGAGCAGTTACAATTTTTCAAAAATTACAGTTTCCATGTGCACATTTTTAGATATAGAAATTGTGTTGATTGATGTGCTGATCTTGTATTTTGTGACCTTACTGAAAGCACTTAATAATTCTAGGCCAGGTGTGGTGGCTCACACCTGTAATCTCAGCACTTCGGGAGGCCGAGGCGGGCAGATCATGAAGTCAGGAGTTCGAGACCAGCCTGACCAACATGGTGAAACCCTGTCTGTACTAAAAATACAAAAATTAGCCGGGCTTGGTGGTGCACGCCTATAATCCCAGCTACTCAGGAGGCTGAGGCAGGAGAATCACTTGAACCCGGGAGGTGGAGGTTGCAGTGAGCTGAGATTGTGCCATTGCACTCCAGCCTGGGTGACAAAGTGAGATTCTGTCCCAAAAAATAAAAATAAAATAAAAAATGCTAAAATATTGTGTATATATTTATTTGAAGTTTCTATGTATTCCATCATGTCATTTGCAAATCAGAACAACATAATTGTCTTTCCAATCAATATGATTTTATTTATATTTCTTACGTTGTTATACTGTCTTGACCTTTCAGTATTAGGTAGAATAACAGTGAGGAGAACAGAATTCTTTTTTTTTTTTTTTGAGACAGAGTCTCGCTCTGTTGCCCAGGCTGGAGTGCAGTGCCACAATCTCAGCTCACTGCAAACTCTGCCTCCCGGGTTCATGCCATTCTCCTGCCTCAGCCTCCCAAGTAGCTGGGACTACAGGTGCCTGCCACCACGCCCAGCTAATTTTTTGTATTTTTAGTAGAGACAGGGTTTCACCATGTTAGCTAGTATGGTCTCCATCTCCTGACTTCGTGATCCACCCGCCTTGGCCCCCCAAAGTTCTGGGATTACAGGCGTGAGCCACTGCACCCGACCAATTCTTTTCTTTTTCTTTAGGTAGGAACTTCAATTATTGATTTGAAACTTTCCTCATTTCTAGTATAAGCCTTTTGTGTTACCAGTTTCCCTCTCAGCACTGCTTAAGATACATATCACATATTTTGATATGTTCTATTTTCATTTGAACTCAGTAATATGTGTATTTAATAGACTTTTTCTTTGAACTATAGATTATTTAGAAGTGTGTTGTTTAGAGGTTTTCCTGTTGTCTTTCTGTCATTGGTTTCTAGTTTGATTCCATTAAGGCTGGGGAACACAATTTGTATGATTTCAATTCTGTTAAATTTGTGAAATGTGTTTTTTTAGGATAGGATATGGGTCTATCTTGGTAAATGTTACATGAGAACTTGAAAAAAAAAAATCCTGGGTACTCTGCAGTTTGGAAGTGGATTGTTCTATATATGTCAACTAGATTCTGTTGTTTGATTGTGTTCTTCAGATCATCTGATTTTTCTGCTGAAGAAGAGTGTTAATGTTCCCAACTATAATTGTAGATTTGTCTGTTTCTCCTTTCAGCTGATCAGTTTATGCTTAATGTATTTTGAGGTTATGTTTTTTAGTGTATACACATTTAGAATCATTGTATTTTTATTGATTAATCATTTTATCATTATACTTATCTCTAATAAATTTCTTTCCTCTGTAGCCTACTTTATTGGATATTAATACAGCCACTTGAGCATTTTTGATTAATGTTTATATATCTTTTGCCATCTTTTTATTTTTGATTTGAAGTAAGCTTTCCATGCTTCACTTAGGGTGGGAAATTTTAAATATCAGAGCTTTCTTTGTTAGCAGCATATAGTTATGCAATTTATTTAAATCTGCAGTGCCAATCTTTTTTTGATGGGTGTGCTTAGACCACACATTTAAGATAATTATTAATATGTTAGAACCGAATATATTTTGATGATTAGTTTTTATGTGTCAATTTGACTGAATTAAGAGATGCCCAGACAGGTGGTTAAAACATTATTTCTGGGTATGTTTGTGAGGATGTTTCCAGAAAAGGCTAGCATTTGAATCAGCAGACTGAGTAAAGAAGATAAAGATAATACTTGTCATGTGTACAGGCATCATCCAATCTGCTCAGGACCCAAATAGAACAAAAAGGTGGAGGAAGAGTGAATTATGTCTACCTCCTTGAGCTGGGACAGCCATCTTTTCATGCCCTCAGTTATCAGATCTCCTGGATCTCAGTACTTTGGTCTCTAAGACTTATAGTAGTATTATCACGTGCCCTACCCCGTCTGACCCCCTCTCCAGTTCTCAGGCCTTTGGACTCAGACTGAACTGTGCCACCAAGTTTTCCTTGCCTTCCAGCTTGCAGACAACAGATGGTGGGGCTTCTCTGCTCCGTAATTGTGTGATCCAATTTCCATAATAAATATCATACATATTTATTATCATATACATAACACTTGGCTCTGTTTCTCTGGGGACTCCTGACTAATATATATTTTTATATTTTTGACAACATTTTATTATTTGTTTTCTGCTTGTTTCCTTTCATTCTTCCTCTGTTTTTCTTTCTTGCCTTCTGTGTATTACTTAACACTTTTTAAGAATTTCATCTTTATTTATTTAATGTTTTTGAGTGTATATTTTTGTAGAGTTTTTGTAGGGGTAGCCCCCTGGGTATTACAGTATATATATGTGATTTACTCTATGCATATGAACATTTTACCACTTAAAGTGAAATGTGGGAAGCTTTCTTTGGTTTACGTCCTTATATCTTTCTCAGTTTTAAATATCATTTTGTTGCGTGTCAGATGAAGTTATAACCTTTATTTCAGTCATCAAATCTGATTTACAAAAAATAATGAAAGAAGGATAGTCTATTGGATGTACCCATACTTCTGCTCTTCCCATTGTTCATTCTTCCTTCCCAATGCTGCAAGATACCTTTATTTATGATTACCTTTTTGTTTAAAGAAGTTATTTTAGCGAGTCTTTAAGGATATGTCTGCTCATGACAAATTGACAGATTTTTTTACACTTCTTTAATGTCTGAGGAGGTCATTGTTTCCTTTACATTTCTGAAGGATAATTTTACCAGATATAAAATTTATAGTTGAGAGTTCTTTTTTTTTTTTCCAGCACTTGAAAAATGTGGTGCCACTTTCTTCTGGCCTCTCTGGTTTCTGATGAGAAATCCAACTGTCATTCAAATGGTTTTCCCCCAATAGGTAGTGTGTCATTTCTCTGTGGCTGCTTTCAAAATTTGTTCTTTGTCTTAGAGTTTTCAGAAGTTTAATGATGATATTTCTTGGTATGCATTTCTCTGGATTTATCTTATTTGGCATTACCAGAGTCTTGAATCTGTACATTGGGTTTTTTACCCAAATTTGGGAAGTTTTCAGCTGCAATATGTGCAAATATTCTTTCAACTCCATTCTGATTCTCCTTTTCGTAGACATTGATGATATGAGTGTTGGATTTTTTGTCATTGTCCCATAGGTCCCAAAGGCTGTGATTTTTTTTTCTTTTTTGTTTTTAAATAGATTATTTTCTCTTTGTTGTTCAGATGGGGTAAACTGAGTAAATTATATTGATCTGTCCTCAAGTTCATTGATTCTCTCCTGTCATCTCTATTGTATTGAGCCCATTTAGCATGTTTTTTTTTTTCCATTTTGGTTATTGTATTTCCAGTTCTATAATTTCTATTTGGTTCTTTTTATAAAATTTATATTTCTTTGCTGATATTTTCTACTTTATATTTGTTTCAAGAGAGTTTATAATTGATTTTTTAAAAATATTATACCTTCAAAATCCATCTCAGATAATTTCAACTTCTGATTCATCTCATCTTGGTGCTGTGTCAGTGCTTGCCTTTTCTCATTCAAGTTGGAATTTTCTGATTCTTGGTATGGGGTAATTTTCTGTTGCATCATGGACATTTTGTCTATTATGTTAGAAAGCTCTGCATCTTATTTAAATTTTTATTTTAGCAAGTAGTCATCTTGTATAGGTTTAACATGCAGGTTCTGGCCTATTTTGTGGGTTTTGGTTCCAGTCATACCTTAATTTTCATGGTCTTTGTGATATTATTTAGGCCCTCTTGGTTTAGTTGGTGTACTGTGGACCCCACTGATCCATGCTAGTACTGCCTGAGGTGGTAGAAGTTCTTTCCCCACCAGCAATCCCAGTGTCTTCTGGAGGGGAAAAGAAGTCTCGAAGAGATTTCTGTGATGTGATAGGATTTTTCTGCCTGTGTCATTCATTCAGTCATTGTGATGTCTCTGTACAGGTTGGAGGGATCTCAGGCCCATGGGGCAAAAGAGGCTACCATGCTGAGCCACTTGTGGAAACGTCTGTCTTGCTTGTGTTGGTGATTGTCCTGGTATTTCTTGGAGGGGAGGGATGGAATGGGGGAATTTAAAACCTGGGAGGGAAAAATAGTGCTTTCCTTGGACACTTATCAGTAGCAAGACTCCTGATTGATCCCTCTTGCTAGTGGTGCCAGTCTCATCTGGTGTTATCAGAGGGACAGTAAGCCTAACTGGCTACCTTTTGTTGCAGTTTCGCATCAGAAAATACTGAGGGTGGGTAGGCTTTTTCTGTTGGGAGGAGGGACCTAAGGTACCGTATTGCTTTGCCGTTCCTTTATTTCTGCTGTCCCAAACAATTTACCTTCTTATCATTTTTTAGAGTTATCCTTTGGAGGCCTCTGGATATTATTTCCAGGGTTTATAATTGTACACAGCAATGAGGAACAGGGAGAAATAAGTCTATGCCAGAAGTCCAGCTAGTGCTATTTTTAATTGGCTGTGTGGCTTATTTTACTAACCGAGTTTTGCCTTGTTTGTTCACTCATGTGTTTGATTATTTATTGTCTAGTGCTCCCCATTTTATTAAAAACCAAGATAGAAGGAACCACATCTGTTTTGCTCTCTATTGTATTGGTAGCACCTGTAACCCGACCTGCCAGGTTAGGTGAATATTACTAAAAATTATTTCATTTGCTTTCCTCTTGGTTTGTGCTTCTGATTTCCTTTTCAAAAGCCAGGCTTTCTTTTAAAAAGTGCATTATTTTCCTTTTCTTTAGAAACTATAATTTTCTGAGGTATGTAGAATTTTTAGTATTTAAATGCATTTGGTCTCAGCTCTGTTTTATTTGATTTTGCTTTTTAATGGCTTCGTTGATATATACATCACCCATTTAAAGTGTATAATTTAATAATTTTAAGTGTATTGACAAATATGTCCAACCATAACCACAGTTGATTTTAAAACATTTTCATCACCTCCTAAAGGAAACCTATACCCTTTAGCTATCACCTATTGACCTCCTTATTTCCTCCTCCCCAGTTCTAAGAAACTAATGAATTCCTTTCTGTTTCTATGGATGTGCCTATTTTTTACATTTCATGTAAATAGAATAATATAATAGTGTGTTTTCTGACTATCTGCTTTCACTTAGCATAAAGTTTTTGAGGTTAATTCATGTTGTTGTATGCATCAGTATTTCATTCCTTTTTATGGCTGAATAATTTTTCATTATATGAATATACCATATTTTGCCTATTGTTTTTCTATTTATCAGGTGGTGTACATTTGAGTTGTTTTCACCCTCTTGTGACTATGAATAATGATACTATAAACAATCTTATACAGCATCAGTGTACAAAAATCACTAACATTCCTATACACAAAAAACAGTCAAGCTGAGAACCAAATCAGATATGAACTCCCATTCACAATTGCCACAAAAAGAATGAAATATCTAGGAATACAGCTAACTAGGGAGGTAAAAAAAATCTCTACGAGGAGAACGACAAACCACTGCTCAAAGAAATCAGAGATGACACAAACAAATGGAAAAATATTTCATGCCCATGCATAGGAAGAATCAATATTGTTAAAATGGCCGTACTGCCCAAAGCAATTTATAGGTTCAATGTTATGCCTATTAAACTATCTATTAGTCTGTTCTCACACTGCTATGAAGAAATACTCGAGATTGAGCAATTTATAAAGAAAAGAGGTTTAATTGGCTCACGGTTCCATATGGCTGGGGAGGCCTCAGGAAATTTGCAATCATGGTTGAAGGCATATCTTCACAGGGAAGCAGGAGAGAGAATGAGGGCTGAGCAAAGGGGGAAGCCTCTTATAAAACCATCAGATCACATGAGAACTCACTCATAATCACAAGAATAGCATGGGGGAAATGGCCCTCATGATTCAGTTATCTCCACCTAGTCCCACTCTTGACACATGGGGATTACTACAACTTAAGATGAGATTTGTATGCAGACACAGGGCCAAACCATATCAAACTACCATTGGCATTCTTCACAGAACTGGAGAAAACTATTTTAAAATTCACATGGAACCACAGAAGAGCCCTAATAGCCAAGACAATCCTAAGCAAAAAGAACAAAGCTGGAGGCACCACCCTACCTGACTTCAAACTATGCTACAGAGCTACAGTAATCAAAACAGCATGGTATGGGTACAAAAACAGACACATAGACAAATGGAAGAAAATAGAGAACTCAGAAATAAGGTCATACACCTACAACTATCTGATCTTTGAATAACCTGAGAAAAATAAGCAATAGGGAAAGGATTCCCTATTCAATAAATGGTGCTGGGATATCTAGCTAGCTGTATGCAGAAGATTAAAACTGGACCCCCTTTTTTACATCATATACAAAAATCAACTCCAGGTGGATTAAAGATAAATGTAAAACCCAAAACTATAAAAACCCTGGAAGATAACCTAGGCAATACCATTCAGGACATAGGGATTGGCAAAGATTTTATGATGAAGATGCCAAAAGCAGTTGCAACAAAAAGAAAAATTAACAAATGGATTCTAATTAAACTAAACAGCCTCTGCACAGCAAAAGAAACTATCAACAGTGTAAGCGGACAACCTACAGAATGGGAGGAAATGTTTGCAAACTATGCATCTGACAAAGGTCTAATATCCTGCATCTATAAGGAATTTAAACAAATTTACAAGAATAAAAAACACAATCCCATAAATAAGTGGGCAACGGACATGAAAAGACACTTTTTGAAAGAAGGTATACATGAGGCCAACAATCATCTGGAAAAAAGGCTCATTACTGATTCATCAGAGAAATGCAAATCAAAACCACAATGAGACACCATCTTATACCAGTCAGAATGACTATTATTAAAAAGTAAAAAAATAATAGATTCTGGCAAGGTTGTGGAGAAAAAGGAGCACGTATACACTGCTGGTGAGAGTGTAAATTAGTTCAACCATTGCGGAAGATAGTCAACCATTGAGGAAGATAGTGTGGCGATTCCCCGAAGACTTAATGGTTGACTATCTTCCACAATGGTCTCCAGCTCCATCCATGTTGCTGCAAAGGACATGACCGTGTTCATTTTTATGGCCACATAGTATTCTGTATTGTAGATGCATGACATATTCTTTATCCAATTTGTCATTGATGGGCATTAAGGTTGATGGGATCCATTACTAGGTATATACCCAAAGGAATATAAATCATTCTGTTACAAAGATACATGAATGCATCTATTCATTGCAACACTATTCACAATAGCAAAGACATGGAATCAACCTTAATGCCCATCAATGACAAATTGGATAAAGAATATGTCATACAACCACAATATAGAATACTATGTGGCCATAAAAAAGAACAAGGTCATGTCCTTTGCAGCAACATGGATGAAGCTGGAGACCATTATCCTTAACAACCTAACACAGAAACAAAAAAGCAAATACTGCGTGTTCTCACTTAAAGTGGGAGCTAAATGATGAGGACACATGGACACATAGAGGGCAACAACACACACTGGGTCCTATTGAAAGGGTTGCAGGAGGGAGAAGATCAGGGAAAATAATTAATGGATCCTAGGCTTAATATCTGGGTGATGAAATACTCTGTACAACAAACCCCATGACACAAGTTTACTTATGTAATAAACCTGGTCATTTACCCCTGAATTTAAAAGGTTTTTTTTTTTTAAATATTGTGCAAGGTTTTTGGGGGACTTGTATTTTAATTTCTCTTGAGCATATACCTTGGTAATTGAATTGCTGGGTTATATGCTAACTTCATGTTTAATCATTGCAGAAGTGACAGAATAATTTTCAAAACAGTTGTACCATCTTACATTCCCATCAGCAAGGTACGAGAATTCTCTCTCTTTATATCCTCTTCAACAATTGTCATTGTATATATGTGTATGTGTGCATGTTTTATCATAACCATTCTTGTTGTGTTTCCCTGGCTAGAACTTCCAGTACACTATTAAATAGAAATAGCAAGAGTGGATACCTTTGGTTTCTTTCTTTTTTTAGAGTGAAAGCATCTAGTCTTTCACCATTAAATATGATGCTACCTGTGGGTTTTTCATTAATGTTCTTTATCAAGTTGAAGAAGTTCTCTTCTATTCCTAGTTTGTTATGTATTTTTGAAAAAGTATGTCATGAAAAAGTATTGGATTTTGTTAAATACTTTTTCTGTGATTTTTGAGATAATCTTTAAAAAATTTTTCTCTATGGATTTAGTGTGATGTATTGCTTTAACTGATTTTTGGGAGTTAACACAGCTTTGAATTCATGGGATAAATCTCATTTGATCATGATACACAATTCTTTAATATGTTCCTGGATTCAGTTTGCTAGAATCTTCTTGAGGATTTTATATCCACGTGCATAAGAGATACTGGTCTGTAGTTTCCTTTTCTTGTGATGTCTTTGTCTGAATTTGGTATCAGAGTGACACAGGCCTAAAGGAGTTAGCTGGGATGTGTTCTCTTCTCTCCTATTTTTTGGAAGATTTTGTAAATAACTGGTATTAATTCTTCTTTAAATATTGTGTATTACTACAATAAAATGGGGAAGCCATCTAGGCCTCAACTTTTATTTCTGGGTGGTTTTTTTATTGATAATAAATCTCTTCATTCATTATAGTTTATTCATATTATTTCTCTTGAGTCAGTTTTGGGAGTTTGTGTCTATGATTGTATCCATTTTATTTAAGTTATCTAATTTATATTTCAGTTATGGTACTTTGCAATTATAGAAGGCCAATGTGATTTTTAAAAATAATTTATATTTCTTTATTAATATTCTCCATTTGGTGTGAAATTGTCCTCATACCTTTTTTGTTTTACTTTAATTATGGTTTCCTTTAGTTCTTTGGACATACTTACAATGGCTACTTTAAAATCTTCTCTGTTAAATCTAACATCTGTTTACTCTCATGGGAAGTTTTTGTTAACTTATTTTTCTTAGTATTTTTTTCTTTTCAATGTATAAATTATAGTTTCCAGTTTCTTTGCATGCCTCTCAATTTTTTTTTGTTGGAAACTAGACATTTTAGATAATAAATTATAGCCATTTGGGGTACCGATTTCCCCCACTGTGGGGATTGCTATTTTTTAGGTGCTTGTTTACTTATTTAGAGACTGGCTGGATTATTTTAGTGACATCTGTATCCCACAGTGTTAATCCTCTGCTCTTGCTCCTCAGAGAGTGCAACCTTTGTTGTAACCATAGTCACGTTGGGATGACAGTGGTTTTATCAGGCCTCTCTGTCGCTGTTTCTTTTCTTAAACACGCTTAGTCTTGAAGCTCCACTACTTGCTGGCTGATTCTTCTATTGTCTGGAAATGTCCTAAGGCATAAGGTTCTTAGCAAACTGATGTAATCAAATGTAGTCTCTTTTGGGGGAATAATTCTT
The DNA here is from genome assembly GCF_000001405.40 of Homo sapiens. Taxonomy (NCBI): domain Eukaryota; kingdom Metazoa; phylum Chordata; class Mammalia; order Primates; family Hominidae; genus Homo; species Homo sapiens. The sequence goes on from NC_000015.10 coordinate 47,266,077, forward strand.
GAGGTCAGTTTTTGAGACTGGATCTGATCCCAGCAGGGCTCTTCCCTGTTGTCACTTTTCCCCATTCTGACAATCTGCTCCACAGTTTTGCCTATCTCTCCAATGAATCTCCTAATTTACTGCCAATTGTCTTTTTTTGCCAGTTGTCTTTTTGACTACACTTTTTTTTTCCAGAGCCCCTTAGACTTGAACTTCTGCACACCCTGTTGCAAACAAAGTCTGCTCCTTTGAAAAGAAATTAGTAACTGTCTGTTTTAGGACTGCTCTTCCTCTCGGGCAAAATCTCTAGATTTTGCCAAGGCTCTAGAACTGTTGGTGGAGACAGAGCTTTCCTGAAGTTCTTTTCTCTAAGTGACAACTTTGTTTTTGGAACTGAATACTTGGTGGGATGGAGTGGGCAAAAGCCTTAAGTCTTTTTTGGTTTGCCTTTTCCAACATGGAACCACTGCCTTATAAGCCGTAATGAGGGCAGTTGGGGCCCCAGTATTCTCAGCAACACCATGCTTAAGACAGACCTTCCATCCCACAAATAGAGGCTGGGCAGAAGAAGGGAACCCCTATTTCTCATCCACATTTGCCCAGGGCTTAGCCTGAGCAACAAGTAGATGGTCCAGGATAAGAAATACTGATATTCTGCCCCTCCCAGGAAGATAACCATCTAGGAGCTGAGGGATGTGGGAGCCTATGTTCTTAGACATGCACTGTCTGGATTGGAATTTCTACCATGCTGAGCTGGAAAGGGAAATGGAAGGAGAAGATTCTTGTTCAAATACCGTAGATTTTTGTTGTCCTGTCAATTTTAGTAGATTTTTGAATAAATGTTTTCTCATTTTCTCTATGCACTTAGGACTATTTCTAGAGACTTTAAATGTTTTAAAACAATTTTCATCTGTTTCACTGGGAAGCTGGTTTATGGAGCTCCTCTCTGTGTCATGCCAAAGCAGAAACATCTCCAGTAATTCTACCGGGGCTTTCTTTATTTCTGAGTTCTTCATTTTGCTTTACGCCTTGGTTGCTGGCATATCGTCACTGAATCATTTGTTTCTTTCAAGAAGAATTCTTGAACATTCTCTGAGTTTCTTAATGATCAAGAATATCTACATAGTACTTTTGCACTTGAATGAGATTAGACACTTAAAATATTCTTGATATATACTTTTGTTTTATTTAAAACTTTGTAGATCTGTTTCCATTGTCCTTGTCATTAAAGGCTGTTTTGGGGAAGTCTCTTTTTTTTTCTCTTTCTACTTGGAAGTAACTTTATGTTTTTTTCCTGTACCTTTTTTTCTTTATCCTCAAAATTAAGTAACTTATTAAGGATATATATTAACTTTGACTGTTTTGCATCCTGGTCTATGTTATGTCTTTTCAAGCTACATATGTATTTATTTTTTCTTCACTTAAGAGTACATTTCCCATATGTCTCTGAATGTATTTTCTGATCTACTTATGGGATTCTTTAATTTTTAGATACCAGTTATCCAGATTGAATTATCTGTATTCTTTGTATCTATTTTTTGACTTAACTTATTTCACAATTCTAATCTGGTTTTTGTTGTTAAAAGAATTTTAGATATCTGACTGTATTTTGGTTCTCCATCTTTTCTCCTTAGCTTGGCATTCTCCCTTTTCATCTTTTTATCTGTTGTTTTATCATCTTCTTTTTGAACTGATGTTTTACTCCATTCAAATTCTTATTAAGTTCTAGAGCACATAGCACTTTTCCAGATTCTGCTGTTCTTAGATTGGATTTTCTTTACAGGTGGATTATTTGACTGCTTTTGATTTTACGTTACTTATCTTTTTTTGTTTGCTTTTTTTCTATTAAAGAAACATAACTGCATCATTTGTATGCTTTTCTCTTTGTATTTTTCTCAAGTTTTCATCATCAGTTCTGTCTAGGCCCTTGCTACCCATAGTGCAGTCTTCAAACCAGATATACTGGTGTTATCTGGAAGCTTATTAGGAATACAGAATCAAAGACCCCACCCAAGACCTACTGAAACAGAAACGGCAGTTTAACGAGGTCCCCAGGTGATCTTTATGCACATTAATGTTTGAAAGGCACTGCTGAAACTTTATTGCACATTGAAATAACATAAGGGAGTTTAAAGAGTACTAATGCCTGAGATTCTCACTTAATTGCACTGAGATATGGCCTAGGCATGAGAATTATTCTAAAATGCAGCAAAGTGTGAGAACTACTGACCTAGACCTTCCATTTACTGCTAATATTATGTAAATCACTTCTTTTTGTCCTTTTTATTATTTCATTCATTTTCTTAATTTCTTCAGTTTTGTCATCTGTCCCTTCCATTCTACCCTCCTTTGTGCACACCCAACAAGGGATATTGCTTTCTGTTTATTCTGTAATCTGCAAGTGAGTGTTAGGAGGGCAGAGGTGGTAAGCAAGGAGGGAAAGTTAGCTGTAAATGGTAGTAGTGGGTTCAGATCTTTCTTTTGAGATTCCATTAAATGTCTGACCTCACCAGCCAAGGATGCATCCCACCTCTGTGTATGTTGTCCTTGGAAATGGCCAGCACTTACGCCCATCTCCTTGGAATGCTACTAGCTTTCTCTCTTACATATTGTTCCTTTCCTTATCCCATGACTGCCCATGCAACTTGGACCTGCTTCTCCTTTAGTGAACAATTCTTAGGATTTGTGGACTTTCTTTTCTTAATACTAATTTTGTGGGTTGATGTTGGGGCCAGGAGTAATTTTAAGCCATTTCATAACTGAATTTTCCGCTTTGAGTAATTATGTCTCAAGATTGCTTACCACCCTACCCTTTTATTGCTGATGAATTTTTGCTTTTTTTCCCTTTACTTTAATAGGGGCTTGGTTAGAGAGGCCTTGCTTAGTTTTACTATTAATCTAGATGTTACATGGCTATTCACACAAACTAAATTTGTGTTAGTATTTTCAGCAAAAACAGTTGACATTTGGGGCATACATTGAGTAGTAAGCTCTAGACTCTAGTCAGAATTGCTTTAAATCCCAGCCATTTTATATATGATTCTGAGAAGTTTTCTATATTATGTTTTTATGTATGCTTTATTTTTTTAAATGTTAGTTTACTCAAGAAATGTAGGCCTGTTTTCCAATTTATAAATAATGTATGCCTGTGTATGCTCTGTAGCAAATATGTAAAAATAATCTGTCTTTCAGAAAGGGCTACTTACATATTTAGGAGTGTTTATATTAATCCTATTTTCAGTGCACCAGATGAGCTCTATCCAAGCACCAACAATTCTTATTTAGAATTTAAATAACAATGTAGCTCATTAAAAAAAAAAGAATTATAGTTAAAAAATATAGCTCAATGTAAGGTAAAGCAGCTAAACATACTGATTTTTTAAAAGCAAAGCAAATTTTATTACACATAAAATTAATATATCAATATACAATAAGTTACACTGTTTTATCTTACTGTACATTAATTCAAGAGGCTATTTTTACTTTTATCTTTAATCCCACTTCTATTTTTAATTATATCTGTTTGATATTTTATAAATTAAATTGTTTTTAGCTTTTGGTAAAGTTTTTCTGGGGTTAGCAGGGTTTATCAGCTGCATTTCTAATGAGTAAATGTTTAGTAATGTATCTGAGGTCACTGACAAGACATATGGAAATAGATGACACGAGATACTTCATTCATTCCATGTTCTTTCTAATAAGGTAATTCATTGCTTTAATTGCATGTTATAATATCAGCAGATTAGATAAATCCTTCCAAGTAAAAGCTATCTTTGTTGTCTTTAAACATCTCCAAAGTTTTTCACAATATGAATTAGCTCATATATACATTTTAATGTATCTTTTTTTTATTTTTGCCATCATAAGTCTGAGGTCACTTGAAATTTAGTTGCAACTACAAGTCAGTTTGAGGAGAATTAACATCATAATAATACTGAGTCAGATAAATTTATTTAGATCTTTAGTTCTCTCAGATACGTTTCATAGTTTCTAGATTACGGAGTTCAAACATCTTTCATTGTATTTATTGTAGTTTTATGTTTGTTACATTTTATTTAACATGTTTATTAAATAATATATATTTGTATATAATAAAATATGTTATAAATATATTTATTATAGTTATATTTTATTATATGTTATATTTGTATGTATATGTATATATGTATTTGATTTTGTCAATGCCATGTAAATGCTATTTTAAGAATTTTATTTTCTAATTATGATAGTATATAAAATTATATTTAATATTCATATATTGACCTTCTATCCTATAACCTGGCCAAGTACACTATTGCTAGTAATTGCTTTATAAATTCTTCAGGATTTTCTACATAGATAATCATACCATCTGACAATTAAAATAGTTTTCTTTAAATCTCAATCTTTATGCCTTTTCCTTCTTTTTTTTTCCTATGGCAGTGGCCTCTAGTAAAAATGTGAATAGAATGATGACGTGACAGAAGATATCCTTGCCTTCTTCTCAATCTTAGCGGAAAAAAATTTAATATTTTGCCATTAACTTTGATGTGAACACTAAGAAACTAACCATGTAGACTCTGTAATTAGTCTTTTACTATATTTGCTTTATCACAAACTATTTAGCAATTCATCTATGAATGGATCAACCCATCGTTTTAAAAAATATATATTACAGGCCGAACGCGGTGGTTCACACCCGTAATCCTAGCACTTTGGGAGGCCAAGGCAGGCAGATTGCCTGAGGTCGGGAGTTCAAGACCAGCCTGGCCAACATGGTGAAACCCCACCTCTACTAAAAATACAAAAAAAAAGCTGGATGTGGTGGCGGGTGCCTGTAATCCCAGCTACTCAGGAGGCTGAGGCAGGAGAATTGCTTGAACCCGGGCAACAGAGCAAGACTTCATCTCAAAAAAAAAATATAGATATAACAAAGTAAGTTACAGACATCTAATACCTCACTCCAAACAGCTAAGTGTACAAAGCATTAACTATGTATGGTTCATTGCTTATTTACAGTCCTCATTTTGTCTTTTGTGGTAAAGTCTATATTTAATGAAATACACAAACCGGAATTGTATTATTTCATGGTTTTTTGACAACTCCATACACCTCCATGTAATCCAAACTCTATTGTGAAAGACAAAAAATGCAGTGGAAGATTAAGCAGATGATTTTATTTAGGCTGTTACAATAGGGAAAACATTAATTAATGAGAAACATTTCAAAGAAAAGGAAGTGGGTCTAGGGTTTTACAGAGGTAGGTAAACAAGGAGGTCATCCACAAGTCTTATGAGAGCCGTGCGGAAGGACAGGGCTGGGTCTTACCTGGGAATATGCAAGGGAAGGGTGGTCACTGGCAGTTAGCTGTGTCTAGGTAAATAAAAGTGTGTGTGTGTGTTGGGGGATTCTTAACCATCTCTGTGTTTTGGGAACATAGGGCTCAGGTAAAGTTCAACATTATCAGTCCACACTTTTGTTTAAGAAGAATATTATTTGTTGCTGTACAGCTCAGAGAAGATAATAAACATCCTGAGTGTGGCAAAGAAGGGTCTGAGAAATAGTCTCAGAAACAACTCTTGTTGGTGCTCTTCCTGTATAATCAGTTAAAGTCATCTTTTGAGAATTGGTGGCAAAGGTCAGTTGTTTTAGAGCCCCCCAAATCAGGCATGTTTTAAAAAGGTATGGCAGAACTGAAAAAGAGAAAATATTAATATAAAAGGTTGTATTAAAGAACCAGGAGTGAGACTGGTGGTTATCAGTCCAGTGGATTCCAAGAGGTCAGTGGAGGAAAATATTTTCATTACACAGCACTGCTCTTGCTTTCAAGCTGGAATATTGATGCATTTGGTAAAGTTCACATTCTTATGTAGGGGTTTGTATGACCCAAGCATTTCACTAGACTTTCTTTCCAGGATGTATTTTGGATCATCCATCATCTTCTGTTGTGGTGAGTCTTTTCAAGGCTTACATCAAGTTTCCAGAATTCAGCTCACAAGCCTTCTTCAGATCCCAAGTAAAAGGGCCAAACACAAAGCTGCTTAGAGCCAAGTTAGAGATCTGGCAGTTGGATTTTAGGTGTCTGATGATGAGCTAGAAAGGAGAGAGAAAAATGGAAAAGTTAGTTTGGAGACATGTTGCCAGATACTGTAGAAAACTGGAATAAATGAAAATTTGGTAAGGACTTTTAAGTTTTACAAGTAACAGAATCCAAGGCAACTTACTACTAAGTACTAAAACTATATTTTTCCCATAGTAGGGGAGAAGTCAATTAAATCTCTACTCAAAAAGATGGAGTTTGCCTATGTATCTCTTACCTGCAATTTAAAGGGTTGCAAAATAGCACAAAGACATTGAACAAGGCAGATTCTGATCACTCAGAAGAGTGTGCTATATATAGATGGTTCATAGTTTTGCATTGTAGTACAACACTTCTCTACAGTCACCCTGCTTTTGATCAAAAGTAATCTCAAAGAAAAATCATTCTTGATCACAGAATAAGGCTTATCACATTACATTTGGCTTGATTATTTACATAGATGCAACAAGAATGGTAATTTACAGATGTGAGGGTGATCTGGCTGCGACATCTGTCACCTCATTGATTGCCAGAGTTGATTCGGCTGATCTGGCTGGCTAGGCGGCTGTTCCCTTCTTCCCTCATTGCTCCATGTGCATCCCTCCCAAAGCTGTGCATTGGGTGGAGGAGGACGAACATCCCCAATAGAGGAAGACCAATAGAGAGTATACAAGTAGCTGTGCTCCCCTGCTAGAACCTCCAAACAAGCTCTCAAGAATGGTGATTTACCAGGCAGACCTTAAATTTGCTTTGCTGGAAATTTTTGTGAGGAATTTCAGATTGGACTTTTAAAAGCCTCTTAAGGATAGGAGGACAAGCCAAAGATTTGTCATCTAATTTCACCTGTAATACCTGTAAGTTTGCAGGAATTTCTTCCCAAGATCCCCTCAATTTCCTAAGTTTCCAGAGCCTCCTAGGACATGACCTTCTTTACTCGCCTGTAAGGTTGGGAACCCTGTAAGTTTATTCTATTTGTGCTATTGTTTGTTTCACTACTTTGTGGCTACACCATTTGTTGTGGATCTTTTAGGGAATTCTAAGGCAAGATGTGCTCTTAGTTTTGCCTTTTATTTCTAATGTTGATGCCCCAAGAGTGAGATATCCCTTCTGAAGTGGGAGCCTTCTTTTGTCTTGCCTTAAAAAAAAAAAGCACCACAGAAGTCTTTTGTACTTACAGTGCCCAAGCCAGTTGCCCAGACAACAACATCTCTACTCTTCCCCAACAACATTAATTTTAATAGAGACTACCTGGGTTTGGGTACTTAAAACTTGTGTTAAGAGGACCTGAGAAAGGATAGAAATCAATAGTCTCTGCTGTCCCTGTTGAATAAAAGCTTTTGATAGTGCTAATAGCTATATGAAAGGCAAAAATCCTCACTTAAATGATCAGTTGGCCTTGAAAATAACACCAAATCAACATAGGTAATTTCTATTTGTTCATTTTTTGCAGTCTTTAGCCAGAATTCTATCCTTAGCCGGAAAATATGTTAGTCCCCACATCAAATAATAAGCCTGCTATAATTCCAAACCACTTAGCAACCTTTTCTGTGTCATTCAGGTGTAAATTAGTGAATGTTATGTTTCCTAATCAGAGTTGCTATCATGATGTATTAACAGGGAAAGCTAATTGAATAGCAGAATTCTTTGAGTGAAGCAGCTCTTTCAGTTGGCACTGGCTTACCATATCATGGCAGTATTTCATTAAATCTTCATAAAGTACAACTTTATTTAAAATGTAATAATTGACTGTCAGTGGAAAATAAGTGATAGGCATAGTGGGGAGTAAGAGAAACTTCTGCCAGTGACTATTCTACCTGCTGTTTTTTTCTCACAGTCAGAACATCTCTTTGGTATGGGAGAGACAGAAACTGAAATGTACTGACCTCTTTGTAGAGCTTGGGGGTATGGACCTAAAGGCTTCAGAGAAACACAGCACATGCTGAGCAGCCCACAAAGCCCCCATTATTGCTGTGTGGGCAACTCCGTTTGCATCTCATTGAAAATGTTGTCTTGCACATCAACATACGCAATTAAAAAATAAAAGAGGAAAAACATCCGCCTGCTTGTTTAAGATGCTCAGCAAAAGAAGGGAAGCTTGAGATTTGAGAGAAAAGGGAAGGTTTGTAGTATCAAACTTCCATCCTCACCCCCCTACTGAAACTTGCCTGTAAAGCTACTTTTTAAAAAGCCTTGAAAAGAAGAGGAGGGAAAAGCCCTGAAAGAAGCTTTCATGTCTGCCAAAATGTAAGTTCATTAACCAGTATATAAAGAAATGAAATTTTGGTTCACTTGCTGTAATATTAACTTAAAAATAAATTGAATACAATGTATTTAATTTCTCATGCTGTTCCTCCAGGGCACAAGCTCTGTTTGTGAGCTCAATAAATACATAGTAAAAATCTGGAATGATAGAGAAATCGAAATAAAAGCTAAGAAAAGTTGAAAAGGAATCAGAGAATTAGGGAAAGGAAGTAGACTGTGTGAAAAGAAAACAGAGGAGAAATTAGGGAATGAAACTTCTATGAGGTTTTCAGAAGTTGTATGTAAAGTGTTGCAGTAAGGGAAAGTATCTTAGATGTTGCCTTCACTCTCTGCCTCACCTCTTCTGCCTCTGCCTCTCCAGCTTTGTGTAACTGAGTTCCCTGATGTTCTATCACACCTCCCTCTCCAGGGACTGTTCATCTCAGCCTCCTGGACCATTCATATCAATCAGGAAGTTTGATGGTCCACTCTTTCAGCAGGTGAATTTGTCTATGAAGATAAGGAATCATTACCTGAACTCCACCTAATTTCTGCTAGAGGGCAGGTTCTACAAACGAACCTATGGATGTGTTCTACCCACCTGCACTGAAGCTGCAGTTTAGATTTACTGGGGAAGGTGAGAATGGATGAAAATGAAGAAGATTACATATGCTGGATGCAGTTGACTGAGAGTAGGAAAATAGACAAAGGAACTGTTAACAGAATCATTGATATCCAACCCTGGAAATGATGGCAGTGGTGGTCCAGTGGGAAGAAACAACACTAACAGATTTTGTATTTGGAAATAGGGTGTCATATTTAGCTTCATGATTGCCTGCATTTTCTGTGAGCAAGAGATGCAATCACCTTGAAAAATACAAAATACAGTTATAATCACCACACAAATATAGAATACATATGTGCTGAGAAAGGAAAAAGAATAAAATTAACATTACTAGCAGTCACTGTTAGTATAAGGATACCTTATCTTACTGCACTCACTTTATTGCACTTTGCAGATGTTGCATTTTTTACAAATTGAGGGCAACTCTGTGTTGAACAAGTTTATCAGTGCAATTTTTCCAACATGTGCTCACTTCATATCTGTGTGTCACATTTTTGGTAATTGTCACAATGTTTTATTCTTTTTCATTATTATTATATTTGTTTTGGTGATCTGTAATCAGTGATCTTTGATGTTACTATTGTAATTGCTTTGGGGCATCATAACCTGTGCCCATATTAGGTGGCAAACTAATTGATAAAATTTGTGTGTGGTCTGACTGCTCCACCAACCTGCTATTCTCCCTTCTCTCTCTCCTTGGGCCTCCCTATTCCCTGAGACAAAACAATTTTGAATTTAGGCCAATTAGTAACCCTACATTGGCCTCTAAGTATTCAAGTGATAGGAAAAGTCATGTATCTCTCACTTTACATCGAAAGTTAGAAGTGATTAAGCTGAGTAAGTAAGTCCTATCAGAAGCCAAGACAGGCCGAAAGCAAGGCCTCTTGTACCAGTTAATCAAGTGTCGAAAGCAAAGGAAAAATTCTTGAAGAAAATTAAAAGTTCTACTCCATTGAACACATGAATGATATGAAAGCGAAACATTTTTACTGCTGATATTCAGAAAGTTTCAGTGGTCTAGATAGAAGTTCAAACCAGCCACAGCATTCCCTTGAACCAGAATCAAATCCAGAGCAAGACCATGAATCTCTTTGATTCTATGAAGGCTGAGAGAGGTGAAGAAGCTAAGAAGAAAAGTTTGAAGCTAGCACAGGTTGGCTCATGAGTATTAAAGAACCTCTGTAACATAACATAAAAGGTCTCCATAACATAAAATGTCAAAGTGAAGCAGCAAATGCCCATGGAGAAACATCAGCAGGTTATCCAGAAGATCTGGCTAAGATCATGGAAGAGGGTGGCTACTCTAAACAACAGATTTTCAATGCAGCTGAAATGGCTTTGTATTGGAAGAAGATGTCATGTTGGATTTTCATAGCTAGAGAGGAGAAGTTCAAGTCTGGATTCAAAGCTTTGAAGGACAGCCCAACTCTCTTGTTAGGGACTGATGCAGCTGCTGACTTTAAGTTGAAGCCAATGCTCATTTGCCATTCCAAAAAATCCTAGGAGTCTTTAAGAATTATGCTAACTCTGCTCTGTTTGTGCTCTATAAATGGAAAAATAAACCGTGGATGACACTACATCTGTTTACTGCATGGTTTTAGCGAATATTTTAAGACTATTGTGAAGACCTACTGCTCAGAAAAAAAGATTCACTTCAAAATATTACTGTTCATTGACAATGCTCCTAGTCACCCAAGAGCTCAGATGGAAATGTACAAGGAGGTTAATGTTTTCATGCCTGCTAACAAAACATTCATTCTGTGGCCCATGGATCAAGGAGTAATTTCAACTTATAAGCGTTATTCTTTAGTAAATAATTTTGTAAGGATATAGCTGCCTTAGACAGTTATTCCTATGAAGGATCTGGGCAAAGTAAAATGAAAACCTTCGGGTAAGGATTCACCATTATAAATGGCATAAAGAGCATTCATGATTCATGGGAGGAGGTCAAGTTACCGACATCAACAGATGTTTCAATGAAATTGATTCCAACTCTCATGGATGACCTTGAGGGGTTAATACTTCAGTGGAGGAAATAACTGTAGATGTGGTGGATATAGCAATAGAACTAGAATTATTAATAGACATGAAGCCTGAAGCTGAGACTGAATTGCTGCAATTTCATGATATAACGTTAATGGATGAGGAGTTGCTTCTTATGGGTGAGCAAAGAAAGTGATTTCTTGAGATGGACTCTACTCCTGGTGAAGATGTTATGAACATTGTTGAAATGACAACAAAAGATCTAGACTATTATGCAAATACAGTTAACAAAGCAGTGGCAGATTTCAGAAGATTGACTCCAATTTTGAAAGAAGTCATACTGTGGGTAGAATGCTATCAAATTACATCACATGCTACATAGAAATCTTTCATGAAAGTGAGAGTCAATCCATGCAGCAAACTTCATTGTTGTCTTATTTCAAGAAATTGGCACAGCCACCCTGGCCTTTAGCAAATCATCACCCTGATCATCAACAGAGAGGCAAACCATCAACAGAGAGGGAAGACCATCTGCCAGCAGAAAGACTGTGACTCAGTGCAGACTCAGATGGCCATTAGCATTTTTAGAAATAAAGCATTTTTAAATTAAGGTATGTATATTATTATTATTATTATTATTATTATTATTATTTATTATTATTATTATACTTTAAGTTTTAGGGTACATGTGCACAATGTACAGGTTAGTTACATATGTATACATGTGCCATGCTGGTGCGCTGCACCTACTAACTCGTCATCTAGCATTAGGTATATCTCCCAATGCTATTCCTCCCCCCTCCCCACACCCCACAACAGTCCCCAGAGTGTGATGTTCCCCTTCCTGTGTCCATGTGTTCTCATTGTTCAATTCCCACCTATGAGTGAGAATATGAGGTGTTTGGTTTTTTGTTCTTGCGATAGTTTACTGAGAATGATGATTTCCAATTTCATCCATGTCCCTACAAAGGACATGAACTCATCATTTTTTATGGCTGCCTAGTATTCCATGGTGTATATGTACCACATTTTCTTAATCCAGTCTATCATTGTTGGACATTTGGGTTGGTTCCAAGTCTTTGCTATTGTGAATAATGCCACAATAAACATACGTGTGCATGTGTCTTTATAGCAGCATGATTTATAGTCCTTTGGGTATATACCCAGTAATGGGATGGCTGGGTCAAATGGTATTTCTAGTTCTAGATCCCTGAGGAATTGCCACACTGACTTCCACAGTGGTTGAACTAGTTTACAGTCCCACCAACAGTGTAAAAGTGTTCCTGTTTCTCCACATCCTCTCCAGCACCTGTTGTTTCCTGACATTTTAATGATTGCCATTCTAACTGGTGTGAGATGGTATCTCATTGTGGTTTTGATTTGCATTTCTCTGATGGCCAGTGATGGTGAGCATCTTTTCATGTGTTTTTTGGCTGCATAAATGTCTTCTTTTGAGAAGTGTCTGTTGATGTCCTTTGCCCACTTTTTGATGGGGTTGTTTGTTTTTTTCTTGTAAATTTGTTTGAGTTATTTGTGGATTCTGGATATTAGCCCTTTGTCAGATGAGTAGGTTGCGAAAATTTTCTCCCATTTTGTAGGTTGCCTGTTCAATCTGATGGTAGTTTCTTTTGCTGTGCAGAGGCTCTTTAGTTTAATTAGATCCCATTTGTCAATTTTGGCTTTTGTTACCATTGCTTTTGGTGTTTTAGACATGAAGTCCTTGCCCATGCCTATGTCCTGAATGGTAATGCCTAGGTTTTCTTCTAGGGTTTTTATGGTTTTAGGTCTAACGTTTAAGTCTTTAATCCATCTTGAATTGATTTTTGTATAAGGTGTAAGGAAGGGATCCAGTTTCAGCTTTCTACATATGGCTAGCCAGTTTTCCCAGCACCATTTATTAAATAGGGAATCCTTTCCCCATTGCTTGTTTTTCTCAGGTTTGTCAGAGATCAGATAGTTGTAGATATGCGGCGTTATTTCTGAGGGCTCTGTTCTGTTCCATTGATCTCTATCTCTGTTTTGGCACCAGTACCATGCTGTTTTGGTTACTGTAGCCTTGTAGTATAGTTTGAAGTCAGGTAGTGTGATGCCTCCAGCTTTGTTCTTTTGGCTCAGGATTGACTTGGCGATGCGCGCTCTTTAATTACCTTGGGCAGTATGGCCATTTTCACGATATTGATTCTTCCTACCCATGAGCATGGAATGTTCTTCCATTTGTTTGTATCCTCTTTTATTTCCTTGAGCAGTGGTTTGTAGTTCTCCTTGAAGAGGTCCTTCACATCCCTTGTAAGTTGGATTCCTAGGTATTTTATTCTCTTTGAAGCAATTGTGAATGGGAGTTCACTCATGATTTGGCTCTCTGTTTGTCTGTTATTGGTGTATGAGAATGCTTGTGATTTTTGTACATTGATTTTGTATCCTGAGACTTTGCTGAAGTTGCTTATCAGCTTAAGGAGATTTTGGGCTGAGACAATGGGGTTTTCTAGATATACAATCATGTCGTCTGCAAACAGGGACAATTTGATTTCCTCTTTTCCTAATTGAATACCCTTTATTTCCTTCTCCTGCCTAATTGCCCTGGCCAGAACTTCCAACACTATGTTGAATAGGAGTGGTGAGAGAGGGCATCCCTGTCTTGTGCCAGTTTTCAAAGGGAATGCTTTCAGTTTTTGTCCATTCACTATGATATTGGCTGTGGGTTTGTCATAGGTAGCTCTTATTATTTTGAGAGACGTCCCATCAATACCTAATTTATTGAGAGTTTTTAGCATGAAGGGTTGTTGAATTTTGTCAAAGGCCTTTTCTGCATCTATTGAGATAATCATGTGTTTTTTGTCTTTGGTTCTGTTTATATGCTGGATTACATTTATTGATTTGCATATATTGAACCAGCCTTGCATCCCAGGGATGAAGACCACTTGATCATGGTGGATAAGCTTTTTGATGTGCTACTGGATTCGGTTTGCCAGTATTTTATTGAGGATTTTTGCATCAATGTTCATCAAGGATATTGGTCTAAAATTCTCTTTTTTGGTTGTGTCTCTGCCCAGCTTTGGTATCAGGATGATGCTGGCCTCATAAAATGAGTTAGGGAGGATTCCCTCTTTTTCTATTGATTGGAATAGTTTCAGAAGGAATGGTACCAGTTCCTCCTTGTACCTCTGGTAGAATTTGGCTGTAAATCCATCTGGTCCTGGACTCTTCTTGGTTGGTAAGCTATTGATTATTGCCACAATTTCAGATCCTGTTATTGGTCTATTCAGAGATTCAACTTCTTCCTGGCTTAGTCTTGGGAGAGTGTATGTGTAGAGGAATTTATCCATTTCTTCTAGATTTTCTAGTTTATTTGCGTAGAGGTGTTTGTAGTATTCTCTGATGGTAGTTTGTATTTCTGTGGGATCGGTGGTGATATCCTCTTTATCATTTTTTGTTGTGTCTATTTGATTCTTCTCTCTTTTTTTCTTTATTAGTGTTGCTAGTGGTTTATCAATTTTGTTGATCCTTTCAAAAAACCAGCTCCTGGATTCATTAATTTTTTGAAGGGTTTTTTGTGTCTCTATTTCCTTCAGTTCTGCTCTGATTTTAGTTATTTCTTGCCTTCTGCTAGCTTTTGAATGTGTTTGCTCTTACTTTTCTAGTTCTTTTAATTATGATGTTAGGGTGTCAATTTTGGATCTTTCCTGCTTTCTCTTGTGGACATTTAGTGCTACAAATTTCCCTCTACACACTGCTTTCAATGCGTCCCAGAGATTCTGGTATATTGTGTCTTTGTTCTCGTTGGTTTCAAAGAACATCTTTATTTCTGCCTTCATTTCATTATGTACCCAGTTGTCATTCAGGAGCAGGTTGTTCAGTTTCCATGTAGTTGAGCGGTTTTGAGTGAGATTCTTAATCCTGAGTTCTAGTTTGATTGCACTGTGGTCTGAGAGATAGTGTGTTATAATTTCTGTTCCTTTACATTTGCTGAGGAGAGCTTTACTTCCAAATATGTGGTCAATTTTGGAATAGGTGTGGTGTGGTGCTGAAAAAAATGTATATTCTGTTGATTTGGGGTGGAGAGTTCTGTAGATGTCTATTAGGTCTTCTTGGTGCAGAGCTGAGTTCAATTCCTGGGTATCCTTGTTGACTTTCTGTCTTGTTGATCTGTCTAATGTTGACAGTGGGGTGTTAAAGTCTCCCATTACTAATGTGTGAGAGTCTAAGTCTCTTTGTAGGTCACTCAGGACTTGCTTTATGAATCTTGGTGCTCCTGTATTGGGTGCATATATATTTAGGATAGTTATCTCTTCTTGTTGAATTGATCCCTTTACCATTATGTAATGGCCTTCTTTGTCTCTTTTGATCTTTGTTGGTTTAAAGTCTGTTTTATCAGAGACTTGGATTGCAACCCCTGCCTTTTTTTGTTTTCCATTTGCTTGGTAGATCTTCCTCCATCCTTTTATTTTGAGCCTATGTGTGTCTCTGTACGTGAGATGGGTTTCCTGAATACAGCACACTGATGGGTCTTGACTCTTTATCCAATTTGCCAGTCTGTGTCTTTTAATTGGAGCATTTAGTCCATTTACATTTAAAGTTAATATTGTTATGTGTGAATTTGATCCTGTCGTTATGATGTTAGCTGGTTATTTTGCTCGTTAGTTGATGCAGTTTCTTCCTAGTCTCAATGGTCTTTACATTTTGGCATGATTTTGCAGCAGCTGGTACTATTTTTTTGATATAATGTCTGTGCATCTAATAGAGCACAGTATAATGTTAACATAAATTTTATTTTCGATGGAAAACCAAAATATTCATGTGAATTTACTGCAATCTTTGCTTTGTTGTAACATTCTGGAACCAAACCCACAGCATTTTTGAGATATGCCCATTCTTATTATTTTTCATTTCTTTATATTTCCACGATACATCTAAATATAGATATTTTTATCCCAATTTTACAAATAAGGATATTAAAGCATATATAGGTTTACCCTAATTATAGAACTAGCAAGTAGCTGAATCAATTAATTCAGCTTAGTTTTACACTATACCCTATCCTTCCTCCATTACAATACTATACTGCCTGGCATGGAAGAGTAATAATTGTCCTTATTACTGTAAATTATGTGATAATAATGTGCTTAGTATCCTACTCTCTAAACACAAAGAATTCATGTGTGCATATACATGTATAGGTACTCACTGAAAACAGGACATTTGCTAATTTTGACATAAAAATTATTGTTAGGATCATTATCAACTCCACTTTGTCATGATCCCTACCCTATCCCCACCAACAATAACCACTTTAATGACTTCTAGTAGCATAGATGCTTTTCATCTGTTTTTGAATTTTGTGTAAACGGATTTATGCAGTATGTGCTCTTTGTGTCGGCTTCTTTTGCTCAACATTAGGCTTGTGATATTAATCCTGATTTTCACAATAGAATACTATACAGCAGGGAGAATAAATACTCACAGTATCCTATTATATTTTAACACAAGTTATTTATTCTACTGTTGATGAACATGTTGGTAATTTTTAGGTGCCTACTATCGTGAGTACTGTTGCTACAAACACTCTTATAAGTGTATTTTGGTAAATGAGTGGACACATTTCTGTTGGATATATGCCTGCGAGAGTATGCATATATTCAGTTTTTTAGTATTTTTAAAATGTCTGTGAACAGTGTAGACTATTTTATTTCAAAGCCACTCAAGGAAATTGTACAGAACAGAAGGTGATAGCACATTTGAGGGTCAGTTAGTGTGGGGCACTATACTGGAAGCTTTTCTGGCTACTTTTAATGTAGATGATGCTATGATGCCTTGTCTGTGTCTTTCCTTTGTCATTGTTCCTGACATCAGCCCCAAGGCTCAAACCATCTTTTCCCTTTTCTAGGTAGACGCTTACCAGCACTGTTGGGCAGCAAAGTATGCTTTTTATGTGACCTATTTCCCAACATTCTCATGCCACTTCTCTGACTGCTGTGCCCCCTCTCTCCTGCCAGCCAAGCTCCTTCATGTCCTCACTCTCCTATCTTCCCTGTTTTTTCACTATGATTTCCTGATGTTGAGCTTAACAGGGGCTAGCATTTCTAGAGTCCAGAGAAACTTTTAGTCCTGGTTTCTCAAAGGCCAGACTGTTGGAAAGCCCTTCACAGTGGTTTCCTTTCTGTCATTTGAGACACAGTGGTGTCCCATATTCCACCCCACCCTCATTTTCCTCTTTTTTAAATTCCTAAGCCCTCTAAACCCCAAAGTGGCAGGACCTAGAATGTGGTTGTTTGGCAGACACACCAGGCACAATCAGCAGAAGGAAAAGTATATGCGTACATGTGTGTGTATATGTTTTTTCACTCGAGCACATGCCCTATCCTGAATCATTAAATTTAAACACTCATGGAGGCTGTGACACCACAAGCTGTTTGGCATTGCGAACTCTAGGCACATACTGATTAATTGGTTGAATTGTACTTTGACTTTCCGTTGGAGGTTTTGGTGTTTACTTACAGCTTACATCTGTCTCCTCTCACTCAATTCCTGCCACTTTTCTTTCCAAACTCTCATTTTCTTTTCCTACAAATCTCTTACGTTGGCAGCTTTCACATTCTACCCGAAGTGGCCTGAGGAACACTTGAGACTTTTCGACTTCAGAAAGAGAGCCAGGCCTCATCAGTAGTGGGTGGGCTGAGGCTCGGGTTGTTGCCTCTACTTTCCCACCATGCTAAGAGAAATGTCCAGCTGGAGACAATTTGAGGCTACACCAGAAACACAGCAAGCACACCAGCTTAACACTTCTTATATGTGTGAGCCTGTCTCAACCCTGTGTTTAATCATAGCCCACCTACTCACCCTTGCCACAGCTGGCACAGGCAAACCATTCACAGACAGCAGGAGCTGCAGGCTGTTGCACAGACAGGGTCCTGATCACATCTGCTGCCGCTGTTGCCCATACCTTACTCGGATAGGAAGTCCTGGGTGTATAACCTCCATTTCTATTTGACCTTCTACTTTAACTCCCTTTCTTGGTTTAGTGGGCTTTGGCTTCCTTTTTCTGTCATCACCTCTACCCACTGCTTTTGGTTCACTTGAAGAGCCGAGATCCTAGGAATCCCACAAAACTAGCCTTTGCCACCAAAAGTGTCTCCCTTACGCACAACACATCCAATTCAGGAAGGTTCAGACAGGAATCCTTTTTTAAAAAAGCTCTGTAAGCAAGAGGCATATCTCAAATAGATCACATAGTATCATAGATGTGAAGATGTTTGAACATCTGCCAGAAGATGTGCTTGAACCTATTGTTTATATGGTGACAGTTAAACACTTGTTATCACTCACATCATATAATTTTTAAAAGAGAAATTTAAAAAGTCACAAAGTGTAATAGAAAGAACACTGGGTTACACTGAATCTGCAGTTGTGGTCATATGTCACTGGGCCCCCGTTTCTTAACCACTAACATAAGTTTATTATGATGGTTGATTCCCAAGGTCCTTTCTAGGTTTTTAAGTCCGTTGTACTATGAGTCTATTAGTAAATGATTGTGCTGCATGATCTAGGTTGTACTGTAAATTTGAGATTCCACTATAAATTTTCTGAATTCTCTTCTCAGTTGCCCTAGAATTGGAAAAGAATAAGACCAGTTTTCTAAGATAATTACAAAAACTATGTCCTAGTGAATGTGCTACAGAATTATGAAAAGTTCTGAGGCACTGTCTGCCATGGCATTCTATTGTCGGTTTTGCATTGTTTTCCATATCTTCTTTTTAACTCAATTTCTTATATTTTCTAGCAGAAATGGGACAAGGTTTCTTAAAGTATAACAACCGTGATTTCCTTTATCATTCTGTGCTTTAGAACTTTGCTTCAGGTACTTTTAAATGAGCAGACCCGAAATCTTGAAATTAAACTGCCAGTTATTAGAGATGATATTTCATGCCTCACATGGGGCGCATCTCCTTTTCATATTGCATTTGTGATAGACAGTTCCTTGCATGAATAATAGAATGGCCCTGAATGAATTCACGTCAGCTCTGCCTCAGGGAGAAACGCAAGGTGAGCTCCATGACTCCTAGTGTGATCCTTTGCCTGTTGACATTACTTTTAAACTTTTCTTCCCAAGACTGCAGCCATGTGTATTAAATAAATGATAAACACCATTTCTCTCACAAGGCTGGCTCACCATTTGAGCTACAGAGAATGCTTTGCAGGTAGTTGAGAGGTTAATATTGCTGAATTATTTATTTATTCTGTGTAGTTTAAACATTCCTATTTTCTGCCTTTCCCCCACTCTGTCTCTCTCTCTCTCTGTCTCTCTGTCTTTCTCTTTTTTTTAACCTTTCTAGTGGCTGATTCAGAGTAGAGGAAATATATAATCTCCAGCAAGGACAGATCACAAAGATGGCCTCTGTCTTTGGTTGAAAAGAAAAAGAAAATGGGTAACAAACCTTGTTTCTTACTTTATTGGAGAGGAGTTCACAGTTTGTTTGTTTTTTTCTTTCTACAAGAAAACAATTTGAAGAATATAGATGTTTGAAAAAAAAAAGGGAAGGAGAAAGTAATAAGTGACCCTACTACAGGGACAGACCCTGAAACTGTGCAGATCTCCTGAAACCCCTGTTGTTTATCATCTGCATCCAGTCTGCTATTGCATTTTTTTGAATAATTCAGATGAAAAGTGGATGAACTGAACGAAGACATTCCTGAAGGGTAGACAACGAGAAGAACTGCAAAAAACGTCACTTACTGTGAGGAATGAAATTGCCAGGTGGCCACTCCAGAAATGCCTTGACTCACTTGTAGAAGTCCTTCAAGCATCCCTAAGTTTGCAAATGAGAAAATCATTGCACAGGTTCCCACCCTTTTCTCTAGTCTCATTTCTATCCTAACTTCATACTTCAGGTTATACTCTTCTTGTTAACTTTTACTTTAACAAACATTACTTTTACTAACTTACTAACTTATTACTAACATTTTATTGGATATTGGAAGATTTTTTTTAAAAGCAAAGGTTCTCTGATAACTTTTATGAGTGATAATTAACTAAGAACAACCAAGCTAGGCTTATGCGCCAGCTTAATCATTCCATCCCATGTGTTGACTCTATGCCTTATTCAGAATGCAGGTTCTTAAGAGGACGTGTCTGAACTTTAGGACTCTGGGTTGGACCTGTCTAGCCTTCATGGTCCCTTATCTCCTTGGTCTCTGAAACCACTTGTCTGACCTACAGAGAAATGGGAACCTAAACTCTGAGTAGATTCTTCCAGTCTACAGAGATTCTGAAGCCCCATTTCCCAGAATGAACTTGCCCAGTGTGCAGAGGGTCTTAGGGCTATATGGCTGACTTGAACTGGTCTGGAAAGTTCTCAAACTTTTGGTCTCAGTACACCTTTACACTCTTAAAAATTATGTTTACAGGAGTTCTATCAATACTATATTAGATGTCAAATTTCAGATTATAAAATATGTATTGATTCATTTAAAACAATAATAAACACATTAATATAAACATATGTAATGTATTATTGTGAAAAGTAGCTATTTTCCGAAAGAAAAATATTCCATGTGAAGAGTGGCATTGTTTTACAATTTTTTTTGCAAATTTCTTTCATATTAATATTTGATTTAATAGAAGACAGCTAGATTCTAATATCTTCCTCTTCATTTTAATCTACTGCAATATGTTGTGTTATGTGAAGTACATAAAATTTGGCCTCCCATAGATAGGCATTTGGAAAAGGGAAGACTTCATGAGTGACCTGAAATGGTCTTGGAGGTCTCTAGAGGTTCTAATCTCTCACTTTGAAAACTTCTGGTTTCTTAGGGAATATCCTCTAGCTCTCAATGGGCCAGCTATCTTTTTTGTCATCTAAACCCCCTCCCTTATATTCACTGTCCTAACCATTAAAGTGGCTGATACCCTATCTTCTGCATGAACCAATGTGACATTAAAGAGATTTAAGCCACCTGTTTCAAAAATGGAGCTATTCAACCCATCAAGGTGTCTAGTGGAAGACATTTCTAGTGTTCTCTGACATACATTTCTCCCCCTCTTCCAAGCACATGGAAGAATGTAGCTCTCAGACTCTGTGTAATGAGCAGGGCCATGTGAGTTAGGTCTGATAAACAAGCTCTAGGGAAACGTGTAATTTTAGGACTTAGGCAATGAAAACTCATATGTCTGTCTCTCCTGATGTGGGAAGAATAAAAGATCTGTGTCCCAGATGGTGCATTTAAGAGATGGTAGAGTCCTTATCAGTTGCATCATTGAGTTCCTGTGTACGGAAGAGCTCCCCAACCTGCACTGGACATGTAGTAAGAGCAAGAAATAAGCCTTTGTTAGGCTAAGGCAATGGTATGTAGTGGCTGATTAGTTACTGCAGCATAACCTAGCTCATACTTAAAAATACATATAGTCTTTGAAGGAAAAGAATCCTTAAAAAGCATTTATAAAACCAATGCTAAATCTTTGAATGTCAGAGTCCTAGCTCATTTGAGCGCCCTAGATTCTAATAACTCCAGCTGACTCCACCTGTTTCTTCACCTGCCCCTGCTGTCTCCATTGTTCTAGGTAGCTGGGTTCCATAGCAGAGTAGAAAAAGGCAAATGGAAGTCAAAGTGATGGTCTTCATTGTTATACCTCAGAATCAGCTCTGATCCCTATACTTACACCTAAATTGTTCCACATCCACAAAGTAACTTCCCTTCCTTCGTTGCTAATTTTTCAATGACACCAGCATTCTCTGAGATCATCTAAGCTTAAAAAATCAGGGGCACTTTGACAATTTCCACTTATTCACATTCACTTCATTCTGTTCATTTTTTCTGGAAAACCATTGGTTAGGCCATTCTTGCATTGCTATGAAGAAGTGCCTGAGACTGGGTAATATAAAGAAAAGAGGTTTAATTGGCTCATGGCTCTGCATGCTTTACAGGAAGCATGGTGCCGGCATCTCCTTGGCTTCCAAGGAGGCCTCAGGAAGCTTATCATAATGGTGGAAGACAAAGGGGGAGATGGTTTTTCACATGACAAAAGCAGGAGCAAAAGAGAGAGACAGAGAGAGAGAGTGCAGCGGGGTGGGGGCACACACTTTAAAATGATCAGATCTTTTGTGAAGTCAGAGGGAGAGTTCAGTTTATCACCAAGGGTATGGCCCAAGCCATTTATGAGGGATCTGCCCCCGTGATCCAAACACTTTTACATTTCAACAGGAGATTTGGGTGGGGACATCAATTCAGACTATATTAACAAGTCTCATGTCTGTCCATTCCTCTCAATTTCTACTGCTGAGATTCCATTTCTATCTTGGCTTGCTGCTTGAAATATGGCCCCATGTCCCAAACTAGTTAATGCACCGTCAACATTTCTCTCACATTCCAGTGCCCTGTGGTGGAGGGGAAAGGTGACTAACTGAAGATCTAACCTGGGCAGTGACTATAGTAGTTGTTTTGCTTGCTCCGTTTTACTTAATCCTCACAATATCTCTTTAAGGTAGATATTGGTAATTTGATTTTACCAATGTTGAAATTAAGACTTGGAAAGTTTAAGAAATGTATCTCAGTATCACAGTGCTAGTAAATAGTGGAGCTAGAATTGAAACCAAAGTCTGGTTATCCCTCCACAGAATTTCTATAATGGCCTTTTGCCATTCAATAAATACTGAATGGTTAAGTGAGTGAGTTAGTGAATGAATGCATGAATTCATGCATGAATACATGAATGAGAGGAGTAGTGGGCAAAAGACTTGTAATATGATTTTGTGCACTTTTGCAAGCAGAGGTCAGTTACTTTTATGGCTGTAGTAGCTGCTGTCACCACTGCTGTGAATATTCCATCTTCATGTCTGTGACCGTCCTTCCACCTGTACACTCCACAGCCCACACTCTTACTTAGGACAGCCGAGCACAACTTAATCAACTAGTATTGAAATAATTCTGATTGGGAGCATACTAATGCTTCCTTCAATTAGTTTCCTCCAGAGTTAATCCCATTTACTTTTCCTGTTTGGGCAACCAGCTGTTTGAGGTTGCTGGGCAACCCAGAGTTGAAGGGCGGGAGGGTGGAGAGAGATTGAGGCCCAGAAGCTTCAACCAAGGTGAAGATTAAATGAGACTCAAATGTCAGAGAGGATTTATTTTAAGGCACCAACTGATTATTGCAAAATGAACATTGAAAAGGTGAGCTAACACGCCTGTAATCCCAGCACTTTGGAAGGCCGAGGCAGGTGAATCACAAGGTCAGGAATTCGAGACCAGCCTAACCAACATGGTGAAACCCTGTCTCTACTAAATATACAAAAATTAGCCGGGTGTGGTGGCCTGCACCTGTAATCCCAGCTACTCAGGAGGCCAAAGCAGGAGAATCGCTCGAACCTAGGAGGCGGAGGTTTCAGTGGGCCAAGATCGTGCCACTGCACTCCAGCCTGGGTGACAGAGCAAAACTCCATCTCAAAAAAAAAAAAAAAAAAAAAAAGAAAAGGTGAGCTAAATTCAGTTCAGCATATTTGTTTTTCAGTATTTATAATCTTAAGGTAATCTAATTTTTCTTCTGAAACAGTGTAGCAACAAAGAGCCCAGGGGATTTGATTTTGAGTGAAAGGCAAAAAGTGAGGCTTCAGGGAAAGCAAGAGTGGTTGTGAAATGGCAGCTTTCCTCTGGGATGGCTGTGTTGTTTCTATAGAAGTGGATTAAACAATGGAGTGTGTTCAATCCTGCAGAAACTTCCCTAGCACAAAGCAGGGGGCCAGATATTACAGAAAATACTAATATTGTAGAGAGGCAGAAAGAAAAAAATCACAGAGGTGGGAAAATCTTAGGGCATTATGAGCAGACACTAAAGATCAGAGAGGAAATGGAATGTGAGCACTCAGCCCCAGCCTTATGCATTCTAGATCACCATCTGCAACCATGACAGTCCTGGGAGTGTTGCTGGCGGCAGGCTGATGCTTGAGGGGTGGGGAGTGCGCCACTGTAACTTCATCCTGGGAGGACTGAAATAATTGCTGGGCTCCTTTCAGATGCACTGGGTGAATGTAAAAAAGAAGAGTGGTTCAGTAATCTTAAAAGTAAAGAAAAACTTCCAGGTGATCTTGAGGAAAAAAATGTCTTTCTCTTTAAAGCCTCTGCAATACTTCCGCAGCATACTGCCTATGGGACAGAATTATTTTTCATCTAAGAAATACAAGGATACATTCACATCTCTGGTTTAAGGCCTATACATAAGAGAAATTGAAGGGATCGCTGTGAAGCTTTCAACGAAAGCTAAAATTCCAAATCCCACTGGAGTCATTATGCCACCTTTGGCAAATCAGTTACTAAACCCAGATTTGAAAATAATGCAACATTTTTTTTTCCTGAAACTAAAGTAAGAATGTTTCATTTAGCATCCAGTCTCACATTCTCAGAGGGCAATTACTTCCAACACTTCCATGGGAATTAAACTGAAATGAGAGAGGAAGAGAGAGATTGAGAAACTGGGAGATGAAGAATTGTTCAGTTCTGTGTAAGTAGAAGAATGACAGAGCTGAAAGAAACAGACATGTTTTTTAATAAAATAATAATCATTGAATCATTTTAAAATCCAAACTTTAAATACATATAAATCATTTATATATATGTATATCACCGGAAATGATTTATATTAATTACTACAAATATATAACATCAATTTAATTATATATATATATACACACACACACACATATATTCAAATTTAGAGTGACATCCTTTCTGCTACACTAGTGTCATATCACTTATTTGAACAGTAACTGAGACATCAAGATGAGGCAATAAAAATGACCGCAGTCTCGTGAATGAACACTTTGTTAGTCTTCTCTCCAATACATACAGCCAATATGTGGGACCGGAAAAACAAAAACTTAACCATTCGCATGGGTGCATAGAGTAAGTAAAACATTTATTGCATGAGGTTATTTAAGAAATTTGTAGCCAGATAACAGAGTTGTATAATTCAGGTTCCTCTACAAAGACATGGAAATAGCCCTCTTATACAGAACCATTTATGTGATACCGTCTCTTGTAATGAATTTCTGTTCTGGCAAATACAGTCTTTCAGTGATGTATAGCTAGGCTATTCCATTACGTTTCAGGTCTTCATTCAGAGTAATAGAAGAAATATCCACAGCATAATATTCCTCATATCCAACTTGGATACTTAATGGCAGGCAAATTAATGGAGAAAAAAAGCCCGAAGTCTAAGATGGAAACTGTTGGAAGGGCTATGAAAATTTGAATGATCCTATTTGGAGTTCCTCAGTGCTATAAGGGCAAAAAGGTCTCCTTTTCAATATAAGATTACTAAACATGAATTGCCTTTGTGTTCACATGTTGTAACTGGAGAAGAAACTTGGCTGATGCCTGAGGTTGTAAGTCTGTTATCTGAATTTCTCTACCTCCCTCCCTCACGTTCAGAAAACTGTCTCAGGAAAATGGGGACCTGAGGATGCAGCCCTAGAACTCCAGCACTGGACTCTCACCTGCAGATGGCATCTAGGATCTGACTGAAAATGATGACTGGAGCCTTTAGGAAGCCCATGTTGTTGTGTGTCTTTTACTCTCTTCCCTTCCTAACCAGCTGCCTTGATTTGAAGCATTTGTCTCAGTTTTCTATGGGAATTCTAGGGAATGGGACCATGTCCTTTTAAACTGGTACCAACTTCACTCCCAGATATTTCTCTACTCTGCCCTACATATGCCACTGTGTTGTCCCACTATTATCTATAATGCTTTGATTTTTCTCTCTGAACCTCCTTCTAGCACTCATATCTTCAACATTATTACAGAAAGTTATTTTTATCATCATAATGTTTTGATAATACCATAACACTGTGATAGACCTTTTGTTGTGTTTGGTTATGTCTATCTAATCTATATCTGTCTTTAGCTGTTCTTTATTTCTCTGTCTCTGTCTCTCTCTCTCAAGTCAGAGTGTACAACAGTAAGCAAAGTTTGGCCTCTGTTCTCGCGTGAAATCAAGTTAACATGCTCCACCTGTTGATATGTTTGTAAGAGAAATCTCATGTATATGCACATATGCAGAATTTCTGCTCTTTGCTTCTCAGGAAATCTCTTTTCTCCAATGTAGGAAGAACACATTAAAATGAATAAGTCATGTTATTTTTAGAAAACAGAAAAGCAAATAAATGTGTGAATAGAATATGCACTGTTTCTGTGCTTGAAACATTGAACATTGAATATTGATTGAAAGGCCACCATGAACTTTGAAAGACCACTGTGTTCAGAGAACTGTGATAGAAACTAAAAGAGTATAAAAAGATGTGATACTTTCATTTTTGAGAGGTTTACAGTGGGATGCAGAAAAAAAGAAACCTGTAAATGTGAATGGCAGTGTGTTTGGTTAGTACCTACTGGCTATATAAAATTGCTTTTGGATGTGTTTCATGATTCCTTATAAAACGAAGACTTAATAAGTTTACTTGGCAGCTGATGGGCAAAGTTTTAAAAAAAATCAAATGAGTTTTTTGTTTTCCTTTAAGCAGTTCCTGGCAATGCTTTCTTTTTTTTTATTTCAAACAGATGAGTTTTTAAAACAATGATTGCATTTAGAACCTTCAAGAAAGCTTGTTAACCATGGATTTGATGAGCCGGGTCCTGAGATCTGAACTGGGAGCTAGCTTGGTGCACACATGGCAGGGCCAAGGAGGTCTTGGATTTCCATGTAAGGGATACACAGACAAATAAACGTGATAAGGGCAAACGTTAGCCTTGCACCCTTTGAGTAGCAAATCACAGCGTATATTGTGTAGTCCATGAAGACTGGTGTCATCCATCCCAGGGCCTGGGTACTGTGTACAGGGTGAGCAATGACTTAGATGGAGAAAATATTTATCATTTGTTTTGATCACTTTTTCATTGCAACCACATTTCCTAAGGAAATGGGTATACCAGTTCAAATATTTGCTCTTCATTTCATGCTGCTTGGCAGTCTTTGCATCCTTTGCTCTCTGACTTGTTCGCCTGGCTGTGCAGTCTGTTTCCCAAGAGTGCTCTTGATGAGATATTTTGTTTTTATCAGGAAATTGATTTCTTGCATCTTTTTCTGAGATTACTGAATCCAATATTGGAGTAGAATGACTCAATTCTTGGAAAAATGTCTAATTTGGGACTCTGGTGGTTGATTTTTATTTTCCAGAGGTTCAAAGCCGAATTTGAGCATGTTGGTGGGAGAGGCAGAGGAGATGCCTTGCGGCCCACCTGGTTCTTCCTTGCATGAAGCTCTCATCCTCCTCCAGCAGTGTGCCTCATCACACTGGGCTCTGGGTGTATCTTGCTTCCACTGGAGAGAGCATCCTGCTCCAGTGTAGCTTTTCACTGTTTCCCTAGTTCTAAATCTTGACTGAGGTTTCTTGGTCTTATTCTTTAATTCCTTAAGCATCCTGGCAGTTCCTTACTGGGCTGTCTGCCTTTACAATTGTGCGTTGTTGCATTTTTGGTGAGATTAGCCTAAATTCACCACTCTTCCTTGGTGTCGAGAGGTGGCTTAGTGCCCTAAGCTTTGGGTTAATAAAGGCTGGACTCTTGAGTCCAGGACTAGCACAGCTGTCTGTACTCTGTGTCTTCCCATAAGAGATGCACCAAGCAGTTTTATTATGTGTAAGGGCCTTTGCCATGATACTTTTGAGAAGGGCGATGTGTATATTTATATTTCACCTTGATGTTTTATTCATGACTGATACTTGTTTAGTCTATGATGGCAGTAGGGAGTAGGAAAGCAGTCTGTGTGTCTGAGTCTGGTTCATTTAGGTCTTAAACTCAGAACTGGTTTAATGCAGCACGTGTATGTAGTTATTATAAACAATGATGGCAGGAATGCACAATTTTCTGCAATTAAAATGCCCAGTATATTCAATTCACTGGATTTTACCCTGTGACCACTGTGCTGTTTCTCTCTATGTGAAGAAATATACTCAATTAAGTGTTGCATAATGTGAGCTTTGTCAGTCCAAAAAATTTTTTCAAGTTGCTTGTGGTGTCATTGGTATTTATTCTGCAACGTCAGCAGTGCTTGCCGGCCAAATGCAGAGTGCAGGCTGTGGTTGAAGCAACTTTTTTTTGTTGTTGTTCACATTCCAACATTCTTAAGAACTGCCTGAAAAGAAATGTTGGAACTGCTTTCTAAAAGTACTTTTCAGAGCCGTGCACTATTGGAGAAGTTAAGAACCTTACAGTTCCGAAGGAAAAACAAAAAAAAAGACTGTGGGAATCTCTTTTATTCCTACTTTGTGACAATGCTAGTTTATTTAAATCTCTCTCTCTCTTTTTTTTTTCTTGGAGTCTTTCTCTGTCGCCCAGTGCAGTGGTGCAATCTCAGCTCACTGCAACCTCTACCTCCCAGGTTCAAGCGATTCTCCTGCCTCAGTTTCCCAGGTAGCTGGGATTACAGGTGCGTGCCACCATGCCCGGCTAATTTTTGTATTTTTAGCAGAGACAGGATTTCAACATGTTGGCCAGGCTGATCTCAAATTCCTGACCTTGTGCTTTGCCCACCTTGGCCTCCC
This sequence comes from Homo sapiens, assembly GCF_000001405.40. Taxonomy (NCBI): domain Eukaryota; kingdom Metazoa; phylum Chordata; class Mammalia; order Primates; family Hominidae; genus Homo; species Homo sapiens. Next base: position 47,294,482 of record NC_000015.10, read on the forward strand.
AAAGTATTGGGATTACAGGTCTGAGCCACGGTGCCCAGCCTTTAATCTCTTTCTCAAACCTAAGAAATAAAATTTAAAATGTTACAAAAAGCGTTTCCGTGTTCTCATTTTCTGACTTCCTCCTGAGGTAGGAAAAGAATAACTCTTGTAAATAATGAAATGATTCTGTCTTGCACAGAACACAAAACAAAACATTCCAGTGCACTCTTGATAGCATGCCTCTGGGTCCCTTCCTGCAGGATTCTCCTTCTGTACTTTGCAGAGACCTTCATTTTTCCCCTACCTATAATTGAAAGGCTACCTATAAGGTGAAATGTATACGTTGTTTAAATGTTTATTCTTTTCAGCTATTGGCCAACAATTGACAAAGATGGAGATGAGAAGCAACAATCTTAATATTTGAAAGTGTTCATTCTCTTTTTCTCTGCTCAGTCTGGAACAAAATCTGAAGCATTTAGTTCTCTTGTGCAATATTTCCTTTGTCCTAGCTGCCTCTGAAAGGAATCATTAATACCCTTTTAGCCTTAGCTTAGCCCTAGGCTTTAACAGAGTAGGGAGAGCCAAGAGAAGCAGAAAGACAATAGGCCGGCAAGAGGGGGCATCAGGTTTGAAGTCCCCGTTGCTCACTTTTCACTAGCTGAAAGGCCTGTGTTTATTATCTGCAGCACATTTGTCAGCTGTAAAACAAAGGTAAATACACATACTTATGTATCTTATATGGAAGATATTTGTTTATATTTTTTAGTCTTTGTTGTATCTTTGCAGGTTTAAGAGCATCAAGTGAGCTCATGTATTAGAAGTTATTTTTGAAAATTACAGATTAGATAAACATAAGTTATTAATCTTATTTTTCCAACTTCAGCGGGAGCCAGGATTCCACAGTTTGAAAAATGGAGACACTCTCCTTCAACTCTTCTTTTCCTCTCTCTAAATTAACAGTGGGTTAGCATGAGAAGTTTGGTCCTTTTCAAGGCCTAATTTTACTGTGAGTTTATAGGACCAAACTTCTGAAAGAACTGTGAGTAGATCTTTAGATTACTCTCCTAAAGAGATAGCAAGACCTATCCAGAGAAATAACCACTGTGTGTGAAGGAGGAAAGAAAGCCCCTATGGCAGGGAAGTGGAGATCTTTAAAGCAATGATTTGGGAATTGTATTTAAAAAGAAAGATACAGAATGTTCTCTTATGGTAATGTGAAAACTTCAATGTTAGAATTAAGCACAGAGTTAAAATGAGATACAAACATAATCAGAGTTACGTTTAAAATTTGCTTTGACATATAGTTGGCCCCACAGTTAAAAGCCATTTAGTTGGGAGCCAAACCAAATGCCAGAAGAGCTTGTTTCTCCTGAATTTAGCTAAGAGATTTTTCTTAGCCTTTCAAACTCACCTGTCACAAGTAGGTTCCATTTTTAGCTCCACCTCTGAAACATTCTGTGATTCAGGTGCCCAGTGCTGCCTCCATGACTAGCCTATTGCTCTTCTGCCAGCTCCCAGAGCCAGAAATTTGGTGGTGCTTTTTCTTGGGTACATTCACAGAATCTCCCTTGGCCTCAAAGGGCCCAAGTGTCAGTTTTCTGATGTAATCAGAATATAAGTCATGTATCAAGTTTCTAGTTTAGTTAAAGACTTGCATTTCAAATTGAGCTCCTTTCCTCTACCTTCCAACCCAACCCCATTTTCTTTACCTGGTTGTTTATGTGTAGGAATACTTGCTATCCAATGTAGGAGGTCACAACAGCTACAGACAGGAATAATCTGATGATGGGTTTTGGAGAGATGAATGGAGAATGGTGAATGTGTGGATATAGTAATAGGCCTAACTTCATCACAGCATGCCTGCTTTTAGAAATAGCAGTTGCCACCATCTTGCCCCCTTTGCAATAGATATTTGCTTTATGACATTATGAAAAATCAATACAACATAAGTGTGGCATGCTGAAAATTAAACAGTCACAAAAACCCATGGCTGTGTGTGCAACTGAGCCTGTCCAGATAACCAGCTGACATTTATACATTTTCTTATTCATTGAAGCCTGTGTAGGTGAAACAGAAAATAAAGCAAGGGGGAATGTTAACTGAAAAACAGTTTATATGCCTGAACATATTTTATAACAACATAAAAGTGAAGAACCAGATACACTGTTTTAACTGGGGATTCCTTCAGAAAGATGGGATATAATCTGGTGAGCGTTTTATCAAGATGTGAAGCTTGTAATAGAAAAATACTCTTTCCTTTAGTGGATGAGCAAACTCTGCCATAAATATTCACACAATTGGTTACCAAATATAATTTAGGGCCATGTTTGAGGAACATTTTCCATATGAATATGTTTCAACACCTGCATCTCTTTAAAGCTCACTGTTCAGTAAGGGGAGTTGGTAGGCACGTGGCTGGGTGGAAAAGGAGAGAAGCAAATGGAATTCTAAACATCATCTTTACATTTCGGTCTGTAAAAAGGAAAATAAAATGGCTGTAATTATAACACAGCCCTTTCTTCCCCCCGCAAAACAGTTCTCAAGCCCATTTTGAGAATTTCTTTCCACTTGCAAAATGAATCATCAGAGAGAGGATATTTTGTCTTATTCAAGGGCACACAAACCGCAGCCAGAATTCCCCATTGCAAGCCAGTTTGGTGAATAGATTACCATCAGTTGATGTATAGTGGAATGCCGAGTCAGATTCTTTGAAAAGGAATAAATAATATATTTTAAAATATATATTTGTCTTGGAATATTTAGGCCCTAAAGGCATAAAACATTTTTATGATTTCTCAATTGCTTTATAAAACAGATGTTTCGACTACAAATGTCTGTTAGTCCTCAGTTTAGTTTCTTGCACAGGATTTCAGAAACTCTCACTTAAGCCACTGTTAGCAGGTGATTTAGCACTCGTCAGTTTGTCTAGCCTTTTCATATAACCCGTTACTTTTTTCCTCTCACTGTGATCTGTGTGATACTATTTCTCCCCCCACAAAAATGTTCATAAAGAGATCATGAGCATAATTATCAAACGACATGATGTTTTGCCTAAAATGGAAAACCTTGAAGGAAGCATTTATTTACTCATTCGTTGAATACTTAATTCATGTTTACTCAATTCCAGACACTGGCCCAGGTGCTGTGGCCACAGCAGGGACTTATAGGTTTCTCTCCGCAAATAACTACGGTTATTACAAAATAAGGAAATAAATACACAAAATGAGTGTCCATTGTGATAAACACTCTAAGGCTGACTAAAATACTGATGAGGTAGAGTTACTAAGAGTGTTAGCTAAGGGTTCCTTTGTGTGATCAAGGGAGCTGCTCTATGAAGGGGTCATTTAAGGTGAATACAAGGAGCCGGGGATGGGGCAATGGGGTGATAGTTTCATGCAGAGAGGAAAGCCAACACAAATGAGAAAAGAAGGAGGTTGGCATGTTTCAAGGACAGAAGGTAAATCATTGTGGGGCTGAAATGAGGGATAGAGGAGTTGTGGATGAGTTTGGAGATGTGAGGAAGGACCAGAACATTCTGATCCTTATAGCCTGCAGTAAGAGTTTCGGATTTTACTCTAAAGTGTAACGTAAGTAAAATGACATGATCTGATTTATACTCTAACAGGATCACTTTAAAAGGGAACAGTTAATGACTAAGGCAGTATTGGTAAGTAATGGGAATGATGTGGTGAGAAGAAACTCATGGAGATGTGACCAGAAGCCCTCCTGGGTTAGGGCGGAGCTCGCACTGGGAATAGGACTGTACCTGCCCTGCCATCTCCTAGCCCTGTGGAGCTCCCAGGTGTGGTTGTCAGTGACCGACTTGTAACTTCCTAAGCTCAGCTCAATATAGACAAAACAGGTTTGTTGTCTTTTTTTTTTTTCTTTTCTCATTGAGCATACACACCTATATTCTAAACATCAATAAGGGGGAAGTCAAAAATACCAAAAACATTTAGGACAGCTTGCAGCATGAGTCTACCTACAGGAAACAACTGTTTGATATGGAATAAAATGGCATATAGAGTTCCCAGCAGTGTGACTTAATGACTGAATTGTGTCCACTGGATAGAACATTCACCCCAAGCCTTTCATAGAAGTCATTGTGTTCTTATTCGCCCAGTGGTAAAATGACCCATTACGTCTGTGCAATGCTCCATCAACTCTGTTTTCACATCTGCCCTCCAGCAGGCTGCAGGGGTGGTGAGAGTGCCAGTTTACGGTTGTGTATTAAGCCTCGGTCTCTTGTCTCTCCTCCTATTGCAAGGGCTTCCTTAGCTCCTTCTGCAATAACCAACTCTTCTGACCCAGCTCTGGGCCCAGCTTCTCCAGCATGTTGCTACTACTTTTCTCCTTACTTTTTGCCAATTTGTGAAGAGGATAATGAAGATAATAATATTAACTTATATTAATTGAGTCTTTACCTTGCTTTAGACATTGTGCTGCTTTACCTAAATTGTCTCATTTATTCTTTAGGGCATCCCTAAAGGTATTCTCCATTATCCCCATTTTAATAGTAAAACTGAGTATCAGTAAGACTGTGGCTTGTCCAAGGCCATGGAATAGGTAAGGAAGCAAAGAAGTCCGGAGAAGAGACAAGGATGTAAGCAGAAGGTGCAGCGGGAAGGCTGGGATGGCAGATGTCAAGGTGACTGCTGGGTGGGTGGGCATCAGGTGAACATATGGGTTAGTCTAGCCACAGTGACATGCAAATGAATCATAAATGAATCAGCTGGTCCTTAGAGACCAAACCGACAAGACACACCATTGCTTTCCAACTAATCCTTTCAATTTCCTGTGTTGGTCCACACAAACTAACCAGTTTGGGACAAAACTCAGTTTGCTTGGAATAATTTCAGTCATTTAGGAACCTCCGACCTACTTTATAAGCCAAATTTGCCTCACAGCACATAACCTTCGAAGACTGTTTTTATCTAAATTAAAACAAAAATGGTGCTCATCCAAATTTTCATTCAGTGTAATTTTGGATTCCTTTTGGGTATTTACCTTTGGCAGGGAAAGTAAAGCTGATCTGCTCGGCCAATAAACAACAGTTGTTTCAGCAGGGACTGCAGGAGGGCTTTCAGTTAAATGAAGATGAACATTTTAAAAGTAAATTCAGCATACATGGAGCTACTTCAAAATATGGACTGGTAAGGAAATAGTTAATGAGGCTGACATAAATCAGAATATGTGTATTGTTATTCTTGATGACAAACTACCCTGGGTGGAATCTATTAAATACACTTGAGTAACCTACATCCATCAAAAAGCTGTTTTTCCCTTAGAAGCTACTGTCTACCAGAAGCCATCTTGCAACTATAGATCCTGTAGGTACTTGATGAAGTACTTGTAAGTACTTAATAAGATCCTGTAGGTACTTGATGAAAAATTGCAGGCACATATGTGTGAGCACTAAAAACAATACAGAATTAGTGTGGAGAATTATTAAAAACATGTCCATTAGTTATCTTAAGAAACCCTAGCAATTGTACAGAGGAGCCAGTCTCCTCAGCTAATGACTGTGGGGCGTATACATTAACAGATTAGCATAAATTTATCCTTGATGTAGCTATTAGTTGGGTGTTAGGGAGCCTCAGAATATTTGGAGAGTCTGATTAATCTGAGCAAACTTGGAGAATAATAGGATCGTCAGATCACTGGGAGCAGCTTTGTCCTGCCTGGTGGGTGCCCTCCGCAGCTCAGCTGCTGTGCTTTCCTCCTCCTCACGCTGAGGGCTTTCTGCAGCAAGTGGTTTTAATGTCTGCTTTTCCAGTCTTCAGGGCATTTCATTCTTGGCTGATTGCTCTTGTATTGTCTGTAGTGCCAAGTGAACCTGGGCCACTTGAAAACTTATGAAAAAGGGAAATGGAGAGTTTTACCCATTTTAGGTCAGTATAAAAGAATGCAGTCAAGTTAAAACACGTATTGAGTGCCTGTTATGTGTACTGCATAGTGTTGAGTCCTGGGGGGGTGGGCAGTGTTGGGGGAGGCACGATCATAAATAGTAGAAAAAATAAAAACGTGAATAAAACGTGTCCCTGCCATTAAGCTATACACAAGCTTATGTCCTACAATCCTTTTTCTACTTATATAGCTAGGTGCTTTTTTTAACAGAACAGACAGATTTGACATTTTAAAGGATTTCCTTTGAGGCTCCCATTCTGGTACTCATAGGTTTTAATTTATTAATCAGTAATAGGTGATTGTTTGGGAACATGGAAATTGTGGATCCATTTTTAAAGAGGCTCAGGGAACATGTGGACTTGCATTTCCCCTGGTCACTCAGCAACTTTTCCTTCTGCCACCCATCTGCCTTCTGTGCAGTCCCCAAAGGCTAGGCTTAGGCCAACACAGCTGTTGTATGTCATGTAGCCACCAAGCTCAGTCCATGATGCTGCATCTTAAATATGGTATTGTCTCTGACCATCCTTGCCATTGCCCTAAACCACCTGCAGAGGACTACTGCATCTTATTGCCTGCAAGAAAATAATTTTAATACTAAATTCTGGAAATGACATGCTACTCACTTGCTTCCTCCATGGAAAAATTATATCTTGAGATACAAGGACAGGCAGCATAGACTGTGGGTATAGAATGTGGCTGGGGCTGCATGAAAAGAAAAGTTATTGGGAGCTAGACAAAATGGAGTTCGAGTTCTTGTCTTTGGCAAAATTGCTGTCTCTTTCTAGGCCTTCATTTCCCGTTTTTAGGTGGTTGGAGTCAGCGATTTCTAAGACACAAATTGAACATTCAGTGGCTCCATGATTCAAGTCAGCAAAGGTCAGAAAGGCAAATAGTGTAAATAGTGACAGCTAGATCTCCATTCCCCTCAAGAGTGAACATGCATCAGGAAATGCTAGAGGGAGCAGAGGCTCCTCAGTCTATGCCATCCAGACTATCTACTGTCAGAAACTAGACATACAGAATCTCTAGTGTTGGGGCATCTGGGGCTTAACACCAGGATAAGAGATGGACTTGAGGCTCATCAGAAATGGAGCAGAAGCGACAACAGGTAGCTACTGCTCTTCCCTCCACCTTGGCTGTTTGTGAAGAGGCAGGTGGCCCTGAAGGTCCCTAGGCAGATGTCCAGCTGCCCTGGGGGAAGCCTGATTTTGAGTGTTGCTGCTCACCTGATCTAAGCTCATTGCTGCCTTTAGCAGGAAGCAGGAGCTCTGGCTGCTGGGCCACAGCCTTTCTCTGCACTGACAGCTGCTGCTGCCACTCTCTGCCAGGTGATTTTCCCTCTTAGCAACAGCTGTGAGAGGGAGGAAACGAGACGGGCAGTGACCATAGGGCAATTCTCTTAAAAATAGCTCCAGGGTTTGTGCCACAGCATACTGATTTGGCCTTTGGGTGGATTTAATTTGCATGGCGAGTTCAAGAGTCCCCCAAACTCTGAAGGAGAGAAAAGCAGCAATATTTATTTGGGTCAAATGCAATATATAAGACTAACCTGTGTAGAAAATATTTTAAAATCTAGGCTTTTATTCAGAGACTAGAGGAAGTAGAAAGCAAGTGAAAGAAAAAAGTTGACAATCACAAAAACAGCAACAACAGTAACAACCAAGTAAATGCTGAATATGCACCAGCCCCATGTTAGCCCCTACTGCATACAGTTTATCCCCTTAATTCTTGTAAAATCCCTGAAAGGTTAAAGAAACTGAGGCTCAGAGTGGTTAGTTAATTTGCTCCAATTTACACATTATGAGAATGTGTCCTAGGTGCTGTGATTGACTTAATTCTTCCACTATTTCGTTCTTTTTAAGATCCTATAGTCGTTTGCTGCCCTTTTAGGGTTATATTATCCTAGAAAATAGTTTTTATTCTAATAATTGTCCATATGTAAGCCCTTTTCTGTCTCTTGCAAGTTTTGCAGTGACTAATGCAAACTTTTCTTATACAATTTAGATCAGATCCTGAAAAATGAAAAAAGAAAAGCAAAAAACAAGAGAAAAGCATACTAACTGTGGGAAGCAGAATAATGTTCCCAAAATATGTCCACATCTTAATCCACAGAACCTATAAATATGTTGCCCTACATGGAATGAGGGACTTTGCAGATGTGATTAAGTAGGGATTTGGAGGATATTCTGGATGAGTGGGTGGGTCCATGTAATTTTAAGGATTTTTACCAGCAGAGAAGGGAAAGGGAAGAGAGTCACCAGTGAGAGAAGGGGATGTGATTACAGAAGCAACGCTAGAGAGATACAGTAGGAGAAGGATTCAACTTGTCTTCGACAGATTTGAAGATGAAGGAAGAAGGCAATGAACAAAGGGATGGGGGTAGCCTCTGGAAGCAGGAAAAAGCAAGAAAATGGATCCTACAGAAAGTAATGTGGCCCTGTCAATGGAGCTTGATTTTAGCTTGGAGAGACCCATGTTATACTTCTGAACTACAGAGCTGTAAGAGACTACATTGGTGTTTTAAGCCACTGATACATGGTAATTTATTATAGCAGCCACAGAAAGGTAGGTAGTACACTAACCAAGAATAGGCAGTGTAATTTACCAGAAGAATTCATGGCGAGGACACACCACTCTGCTAACTGAGCTGGACTTGGGCCTATGCTGGTTGTTTCAGGGCAGACTGAAGATTCTGATTTAATTTGTCTTACTTCTCCAGATACATGTGAGAAATAGCCTTTTCTTTTAGAATAAGGGAGAACAGGAGCAAAAGTATGCCTAACAAGATGTCTAAAGATACGTAGAAACAGACCTTCATCACCGCCTTGTTCCCCAAAAGTCTAAGACAACTGGTGAACTTGTGGAAATATTGAAAGCACATTTCTTGACAAAACAATCTGATATTATGCATAGGTTTCACTTTCGAGGTAGGTGTTGGTGCCTGTATGGCAACGACTTGGATGCTACATTTCTAAAGGTTTCTCATGATCTCTGCATTTACTGTTCCAGTTTCTGGAATGTTCTTTCCCATGACTTTTACATGGTTTACTTCCTCACTTCTTCAAGTCTTTGCCTAAACATCACCTTCGTAGTGGGGCTCCTCCTCATCAACCTATTTAAAATCATGCACCGTTTCTTGTTTTGCCTTCCTCTGTGGATCACCATTGGATGTAGTAAATGTCTGACATTAATTTTCTTGGCTACTTCTGTCCTCCCATTAAAATATATGTTTTATATGGGCAGGATTTTCATCTGTTTGGTTTGCTGAGGTATTTCCAGCAGTGTCTGGCATTTAGTGGAAATTCATTCTATATTTATTGAGTGAATAAAGAATTGTTAGACTTGGAGGGAGTGTTGGTGAAGTGTAAACCTTCCACGAATGATGACACCAGTATATAAGTTTATACTCAGTGTTGATCATGGCACTATTTCTTCAGTTCCAGGAAAGGCCAGTCAGTTCTAGGAAGGCCAAATAATGAGGCTCTGAACTGTGCTTATGCCTGAGAGCTCAGATTAGATTTTGCTGCCTCTCCTGATGACAAAATAAGTTTCCCACCCTCTCCCAGATCTGCCTCTCACCCCTTCATCACTGTCTAGTCAGAACACACGGATAACTACATAGGTTACAAGGCTGATCAAATGTGGAGGGTGTTACATTTAAATACACCATCTTAGGGATTCAGATTAGTTAGAGTGTTTTAGCATGAGTTTTATACCATTATGCATACATTTTTTCTCCAGAAAGGGGTTGTCATGTTATCTTAGTTATACTATAAGTAGCACCTCTGGTAATTCTGTGTATAAAAGTTTCTTAGCCGGGCACAGTGGCTCACACCTGTAATCCCAGCACTTTGGGAGGCCAAGGTGGGAGTTCAAGACCAGCCTGGCCAACATAGTGAAACCCTATCTCTACTGAAAATACAAAAAAATTAGCCTGGCATGGTGGCGGGTCCCTGTAACCCAAGCTACTCAGGAGTCTGAGGCAGAAGAATTGCTTAAACCTGGGAGGCGGAGGATGCAGTGAGCTGAGATCATGCCACTGCACTCCAGCCTGAGCCTTCTAACTAAAAAAAAAAAAAAAAAAAAAAAAAAAAAAAAAAAATTCTCTTAGTGTAAAGGCACCTATTCTTTCATAAAAAGGAGTCAGAAAACAGACACAAAGAAATAAAAATGACCACAAGCACTTTAGTATTGGTAAAACTACTCCAGGTCTTGTCCGTATTAGGAATGTCCCAAGATGATCCAAAATATTCCAAATTTCATTTAAACTGTTGCTACACAAGTTAATATTTCTTATATACCCATTACTTGTAAAACTCAAATTGCTAGAAAGTCTCTTGTTCTGAGGATTGATGTATATTTTTTTCCTAAATTGCATTGAGTTGAAATTATGAACAAGATTCTTATCTGAGCTACCACCTCACATAGGCTGCTGTGGTGACTAACAGTGGACTGATTATGTGAAATGGGAGGAAATTTGCCTACAAGACCTGCCAAGTTTGCAATCACTCAAATATATTCAACAACAATATTCAGTCCTCCTGAATTATTAATGAAGCAAAGCTGAAAGACTCACCCTGACCATCTCTATTCATACTTAGATGAGAATTTATTAGGGAAACAAAAGTATATGCTGAGTGTTGTTATATTAGCACCTGTTTTTCATTTATGTCTTCTGTAAAGATTAGAAATAATCATCTGGGTTTCTTATTAAAAACGTAAGTTCACGGGCCTCTCTCCAGATCAACTAAATCAAATTATCTAAGAGTAGGGCCCAGAGAATCTACACTTTTAAACAAGGTTTCCAGGTGATTATTATGTCTTTTAAAATTTGGCCAACTGACTTAGAATATAGTGTGACTCTCTTCCACTATAATTACTCTCCTTGGGTTGGTGACTGGTGAGTAGATGGAGTGGTGTGGCATTGTCATGTTACTGAGTGTGGCCCATGGGATGACCTGGTGATCACGAAATGATTAGGAATATCTATAGAGCAATGTGGCATTGACTATTTAGCTCCATCTCCTGAGCTGAACCAAAGCTCCTTTGTGAAAAAAGCCATGATCCCTTATGGCCATTGCCCTAGAATTAGCACCATCTGGAAAAAGAGAGCAAGAAGAGCATTCCTTTCCTTGGTTACCAGACTGTGTTCACTAAAAATAAGGCTGTTTTCTATTGTAGAATGCTATAACTCAGAGCTGCTTGTTTTGTCTCATCTAAATTTTTGCATTTTTATACTACAGTCAATTAAGTAGAATTAGTTTAAGGTAGTATTTTTTTCTTCTGAAGCACATGTTAATGAAGAATGTCCCTATCTTGCCAATTGTGCTGTCATACAGTGAAAAATCATTGCATGTTCTGACCTTTTCTGACCACATGGCAGTTCTGGCTTTTGGACCACAGGCCAGGATACTTCTGTGAAGGTTGAGATGCCAGCAAGGCAGCCAAGATAAGTTCTTCACCCACAAAGTAGATCTTCTCATATTGGCCAGAGCCTCCTTTGATCCAGGCCTTCACAGATTTTACATTCTCAGTGCTAGCACCTGCTATTGGCCTTCTTTCCTACTTTGTATCACAATAAATAATAAGAGGTTTATTGGTAACTCATCTTTTTTTTTTCTTTTTTTCTTTTTGAGATGGAGTCTTGCTCCGTTGCCAGGCTAGAGTGCAGTGGCACGATTTTGGCTCACTGCAATCTCTGCCTCCTGGGTTCAAGTGATTCTCCTGTCTCAGCCTCCCCAGTAGCTGGGACTACAGGCACACACCACCATGCCCAACTAATTTTTTTGTATTTTTTAGTAGAGATGGAGTTTCACCATGTTGGCCAGGATGGTCTCGATGTCTTGACCTTGTGATCTGCCCACCTCGGCCTCCCAAATTGCTGGGATTACAGGTATGAGCCACCGCGCCTGGCCCAATGGTAACTCATCTTCTAGCTGGCTCTGGTATTAAGGGGCTTTGCAAGGAATTTTTTTCTTTCCTCTTTTATAATGTTTTAATTACAGAATTAATATGTATTCATTGTGAAAATAAATAGAAAATACAGTTAAAAGCAAGTAAACATAAGTTGATGGCCAGGCATGGTGGCTTATGCCTGTAATCCCAGCACTTTGAGAGGCTGAGGCGGGCAGATCACCTGAGGTCAGCAGTTCAAGACCAGCCTGGCCAACATGGCAAAACCCTGTCTCTACTAAAAGTACAAACAGGTGTGGTGGCACATGCCTGTAATCCCAGCTACTCAGGAGGCTGAGGCAGGAGAATCACTTGAACCTGGGCAGTGGAGTTTGCAGTGAGCCAAGATCGTGCCACTGCACTCCATCTTGGGCCACATAGTGAGACTCTGTCTCAAAATAAAGTAAAATAAAACCATATATTGATACAAATAAACAATGAGGTCAATCATAATCTTACCAAGTAGAGGTATCACTAACATTTTCATTTCTAACAAATTATATACATATCCTTCTTAGTATAATTTTTAGAAGATATGCAACTCTTCAACTCAATATAGGTATGTGTATCTTCATTTTGAAAAATGATGTTTTTTGACAAAGCAGCTTATATATGTGCGTATGCCACTTTGCTAGTGGCAGTGTATTTTAGTATTTAAGTACACAAGCATAACATTATAGTTTTTACATACACAACCCAAATGCCTGTGTTTGAATCCTGGTTTCACCTAAGGTAGTAATTTAAATTCTCTGTGCATCATTTCCTCATCTGTTTAATGGGGATAATAATAGCATTTATCTTATTGGGCTGTTGTGAGGATTAATGAGATAATCAATTTTCTGTTAATCACTTAGAATAATGCTTTACACATAGAGAACAGTCAATAAAATGTTATCTGTTACTATTAACAAATTCCTTGTTGTTACTGCACATTCATATTAAAGAGTTTATTAACTGCAAATTTATGATATCATTTGGGCAAACCAAACCTCTTAGAATTAGTCTCGTCACTTTTTTGCTAGGAGCTGAAAAACCATCAAATGACAGGGAACCTGGAAAAAGATTAAAAATGGAAACACACTTGAAGGATGAGTGGTGATGAAATTGGTGGTAATTCTCAGATTTTTCTTTGTCTTGACAGGTCCTTCTTTTTTCAGGCCTAAGGAAAAATATGAATTTTCTCAGCCCAATTAACAGATGATTTTTACCTAATTTCTGCAGGAAGCTCACAGATGTACTAATCTTTGAGCTTAGTACATCTCATTACCTTTGGTAATGGCCAGATTTCAGAACATAAAGTGGGGAATTCAGTGACCATCACTAGGAGCAGTGTTCATTCTAGGCTACTGTCTGATATCAGCTGAAGTTGGTTAAAGGGGGATACAATGAGGAAAAGAGAGCAATTTTAATGGTTTTCGTCTATATCTTCCCTTCATTTTCTAAATGTCTTTTAGTTTCCTTGCAAATGAAATACAATGACTGACTGTTACTTGCAGAATAGCAATTATAGTAATTATGCTTCATTACTTAAAACCGTATTCTCAAAGATATTTACGAGAATTACATAAAAGAGATCTGTATGCCATGACATACTTGTTTGATCAGAGTGTATTTTGTTTACCAATTTAATCAAGAATCTTATGATGCACAGAGAAATTCTGGTGATTTTTTACATGTTTGTTGCCTGCAAAAATTTCAGAATTTGGCCTGGCTATTTTTTTTTTTTTTACAGATAGTTGAGAGGTAAGTCACTTGACACTAAGTCTGTACATTTCAGGGTATATTTTATAAAAAAGGAAGCATCTTCTAGTATTTAAAAGAACAGTCTTCCAATATTTAAGTAGTGGCCCAACTGTAGCCTTTTTTCTCTGGTGTACATATTCTACATAGGTGAAAAGACCCTCTGTTCAAATTCCAGCTCTGCCACATAGTTGCCACATGGCCATTGTATGTTGTTGGATAAATTACCCTTCTTTCCAGGCCTCAGTTTCCTTATATGCCAAATGGGAATGGGCCATCTAGAAGTTAAATGAGAATAATATATACTGCATCTGGCATAACTTCAGGTATATAGTAAACATTCAATAAACATTAAGGCATTACCCTTCCTTATCTTTGGAGTATTAAAGTATTATACTTTACCTATAATCTCTAAAATAAGTGAAGATTTGAGTAGAACCTTCTTAAGTAAGCCAAGAAAATCCCCTTGAAATCTTCAGAACGAATCCCGTAAGACACAGATAGGTCCAAAGGCTCTTTGGCAGAAGAGTTTCTCAGAGAAACCTTTGGAAAAATGGCCCAATGCTCTTACAGAACAAGGTTGACAATGCCGTGAAGAGTTGTGTTGAGCTCTTCATGCATCTCTGTAAAAGAACTATAATGATCACTGACAGAAAGTTGAAATAAAAATGTTGCCCATTTCACCTGTAACTTTAGAAGGAGGGTTCATGGGAGAAATTACATGAGTGCTAACTCATCTCTCTTAGGTTGGAACTATTTTGGACAGTAGCTAAAATCAAATAAGTGAAGCTACTCTAGTTACTTAAAAGTTCTACAACTAACCCATTTGAACATTTTTATTTTCTTTTCTGTCAGTTATTGATTTGGCATCATATGGAGTAAACAAAGTTAAAACACACAGCTGCCAAGTCTCTTAACATCTTCCAAGGTGAACACTTAAGTTGCGCCTCCATTACTGTAAGATTGACATTTATTTTTAGAGATGTGCTTATAATTAGAAAGTGCAGATATTCCTTGGCTTACAATAGGAGTATATCCCAATGAACCCACTGTACATTTAAAATAAGTTGAAAATACATTTAATACAGTAGTCCCCCCCATCAGTGGTTTTGCTTTTCACAGTTTCAGTTTCCCCATGTCAATCACCATTTGGAAATATTAAATGGAAATTCCAGAAATAAACAATTAATGTTTAAAATTTCACACTATTCTGAGTAGCGTGATGAAATCTCATGCTGTCCTCCATCCTGTTCTGTCCCACCTGGGATGTGAATCTTCCTTTTGTCCATTGTATCCTTGCTGTGGACATTGCCTTAGTCACTTAGCCATCATCTGGAATATCTGATCAACTGTTGGGGTATCACAGTGATTGTGTTCAAGTAACCCTCATTTTACTTAATAATGGTCCCAATGCACAAGAGTAGTGATACTGGAAATTTGGAAATGCCGAAGAGAAGCCATAAAGTGCTTCCTTTATGGGAAAAGGTGAAAACTCTCAATTTAACATGGAAAAGACACAGTGTATTTAGGATGTTTTACTATCCATGGTTTTGTCTATCTACTAGGGGTCTTGGAACATATGAACATATTGCCCTTGTGTAAGGGGAACTACTGTACACCTGACATACTGTACATCTTAGCTTAACCTAGCCTACCTTAAGCATGCTCAGAACACTTATATTAGCCTACAGCGGGCAAACTCATCTAACACAAAGTCTATTTTATAATAAAGCGTTGAATATCTCATGTAATTTATTGACTACTGTACTGAATGGGAAAACAATGGTTGGATGAGTACTCAAAGTATGCTTTCTACAGAATGTGTACTGCTTTCACACCATGGTAAAGTAAAGAAACCCTAAGTTGAACCATTGTTAAGTTGGGGACTGTCTGGATATCATTCTTGAGGAGAAAGTAGGGCCATACTTCTCAGAAGATGGCCTTGACTGACTGTACAAGAAAAGGGAACATGGTTCATCTTCTCACTCATTTTCAGCTTTCTCACTATAAATTCTAAATTTCTGGTTCTGTGTGGTGTGAGAAAGATTCTTGTGAACAAGTCTTTTCAGGTTTGTGGCAGGTGGAAAAGATAGATGAATTGCATCTTTTTCATGTGGTAAGTGTTTACTCAGCACCAACAAAACTACATGCCCAACACTTAGCGATGAAAGGGCTGTAAGCTCAGCTTGGGTTTAGAAACCATATGCCCCATCATATAATGAACTGAAAGATAAAAGCAGCCAATTTCAGAGGCTGTGGGATGGGGCAGGAGCTGTGGTGCTAATAATGGGAAAGATGTTAGATTTCTAGTCCAGGTTGTTTTAAGCTATTGTTTGTGTTTGTAGAGTAGATATGACTTATTTTAAATAGTCATTACTTATTTGCAATGAGCCAATTGCTCTTTTCACATTTGTTCCCATGGTTTATTCAACTTGTAGGCTACTTTGGAGGAGTTTATAAAGTCCTGAAGAAATTTCATGGGGACAAAATTAATGCTGTCAATATATTCAAATATAGTTCATGTTTTTTTTAACTTAAACTTAAGTACCTTTTATATAGTGATAGTGTTATTGTTATGGATATCTGGGTACTAGAAATTTTTGTCTCGCTTAATTCTCACAACAGTCATATGAAGGAAGGAGTATTTTCTATATATTATCTATGAGAAAACTACAGCCATATACAGCTCTTTCCAAATGTTACACTATATCATAGTCTATGGGAGTACTCAGGTAAAACAGAAGGAAAGAAATATCTGAGTATTATCTGCAAAAAGTAGACATGTAAGTTCTAGTTCCTTCGTTGTGCCGTTTCTTAACAAATTCATGCAAGATTTATGGTCATAGCTTAACACAGGATTTCTTGTTTGATTAGGATCAATTATATACTGCCTAAATTCTTGGCCAAAACTGAACAAAAGTACAACACAATTCATACTTGGTAGGTAAAATTCCAAACTAAGCCTGATATTACTTCAATTTGGAATTTCAATCAAAGCTCGATCATTAAAGCCTCATTGTCCTCCTACTGCCTGTTCAAGATATTTTATCAACAGAACGTGAGACAGATCAACCCAAGGAGACTGACTTTTGTTGCATCTTTCTACACATGCAGTTACTTGATATGTTTATTTAGGCAGCAAGAAGGATGCATTATATGCTCTCTTCCATAAAAGTTTACATAGGTAGAGTAGGATTCGGTTGCCCATACACTCAAATTGAGACCCTTTGTGAGAGCTCACATCAGGTTTTCTTTTAAGGATTCAGGAGTTATTAATGTAATTGCTATCTCAGAGACACAGCAGTCATTTTAATACCCTTATTTGTCAAGTGTTTTCACCTCTTGATTCTTGAATATAATCTACTTTGGAGCCAACAGGGGATCATGGGAGGACATTGAATGTAATGCCCGCCAGAGGGGTTATGTGGATTTTTTTTACATATATTTTGATATATTCAGTTCCAGAATCAGGTCATTTTGTAGATTAGCAGAGTGATATTTACCCTGAAGTAAAGGGTGTATTTCCATTTCTTTCACAAATTAAAAGTTATCTTTTGCATTTGAAAATTTTAGATTTGAAAATCTTTTTACTTTAACTTTGGGTCTCATTAAAATTACAGAAGCAGGAATGAAAAAAAAATCTATATATAGCTTTTTCTTCCACACAGCAGTTAACAACAAAAGTCAAGGAGTACCCTAGGCTGTTCATATTTCGTCCTTGCCTATGGGAAATCTCTTTCGGTGAGTTTTATCCTGTGTCTACATGAGGCAAACCAAATGTCTGTAGCAGCTAAAAGCCACGGGAGGCAGTTCCTGGCAATTGGTCTTAATTATGGAGCTATCTTCAGTGACCTTGCCATTTCCTGAAGCTCTGTGTAAGGAGACTTTCCAGTTTGCCATCTT
The DNA here is from genome assembly GCF_000001405.40 of Homo sapiens. Taxonomy (NCBI): domain Eukaryota; kingdom Metazoa; phylum Chordata; class Mammalia; order Primates; family Hominidae; genus Homo; species Homo sapiens. The sequence goes on from NC_000015.10 coordinate 47,311,963, forward strand.
CAGCAGTTTTTATCCAGTATAGCACCTTACTGGTATTAGCTAGGGCAGAGGCAAGGTATGGCTTCACTTCTCTGGTGCCTCAGCTCTGACTGTGATGTTGGCCTGACCACCCCAGTGATGGGCTAAGGTTTAAATTGCAGTTGCAATTGACAGTATTCATTTTTGCTTAGGCGTCTTTCTAGGGTTTTTTTTTTTTTCCCCATTACCATTGTCCTCACCTAAAACACTTCATTTTGCTGCTGGATGACAGCGATAGCTCCTTCTGTCTTTTTGTGTTTAGTCTCTTCCTGTCTCCATCATGTGAACTTACAGTTCTTCCTAAAACAGTGTTCTCACTCTGATACTGCCCTTCCTAGTTGCTCTGTGTATTCCACTGCATATATGATTGAGCATAATCTTTCCTTATTCTCTATAATTGAATTCCTTTCTTTTTACATGTTTATCTTTATGCACATCTGCTCCAGTCGGGCTGTTTTCCTCGCCATGATCTGTCAAAATGATAATTAGTCATGTCTTTATGGATTCTGCCTTCTCAGTTTCTTGTGTTAATCCCTGAAGAACCTCCAGACATGTGCCTGGACTGTGCTTGCTTCCCCTCTTTACATTCTTAACCTTGCCACAATGTTAAGGGTGGAGTCTTTAGATCAGCGCTATCCAACAGAAACACAACACAAGCTGCATAGGTCATTACGTGTGCAATTTTAACTTCTCTAATATCTATATTAAAAAGATAAATTAAAACAGGAGAACATAATTTAAACAATATTTTTATATAACCCAGTATATCTAGTGTATTATTTAAATGTATACTCAGTATAAAAATTATTAGTGTGATATTTTACTTTTGTTTATAAATCCAAAGACTTTTTTTATAAGGTATATTTATATACTTATAGCACATCTCAATTCAGATTAGTCACATTTCAAGTACTCAGTTGCCACATGGGATTGGACAGCAGAACTTTAGACCATTTTAGGCCAAATATTTTCCCCTTTTTATAGACTTTATTTTTTAGAGCAGTTTTAGGTTCACAGCAAAATTGGTAGGAAATACAGAGATTTCCCATGTACCCCCAGCCCCACACATGCATAGCCTCCCCCATTGTCAACATCTCCACAAGAATGGTATGTTTGTTTCAGCTGATGAATCTTCATTGACACATCATAATTGCCCAAACTTCATAGTTTATGTTAGGTTTCTCTGTGCTACCGTACATTCTGTGGGTTTGGAGAAATGTATATGGGCATTTATTTATAGTGTCATACAGGGTATTTTCATTGCCCTAAAAATCTTCTGTGCTTTGCCTTTTTATCCTTCTCTCCACCTTTACCTGATGGTGACCACTGATCTTTTTACTGTCTCCATAGTTTTGCCTTTTCCAAATGTCATATAGTAAGAATCATACGGTATGTAACCTTTTCACATTGGCTTCTTTCATTTAGTAATATGCATTTAAGCTTCCTCCATGTATTTTCATAGCTTGATAGCTATTTTTTAGTGCTGAATATTATTCTATTATTTGGATATACTATAGTTTATGTATCCATTTACCTATTGAAGGATATCTTGGTTGCTTCCAAGTTTTAGCAATTATGTTTGTTTGTTTATTTGTTTATTTAAAGCCAGTGTCTCTCTCTGTTGCCTAGGCTGGAGTGCAGTGACACCATCATAGCTCATTGTAACATCAAATTCCTGGGCTCAAGCAGTCCTCCCACCTCAGCCTTCCGTGTAGCTGATACTAAAGGCGAACACCACCATACTCAGCTAAAAACTAGCTGAGTATAGTGAGACAGTGCTGCTGTGTTGTGCAGGCTGCTCTCAAACTCTTGGCTTCAAGCAATCTTCCTGCCTTGGCCTCTCAAAATGCTGGGATTATAGGTGCAAGCCACCATGCCAGGCCCAAATTCTGGCGTTTATGAATAAAGATACTATAAACATCCTTGTTCAGGTTTATGTGTAGACTTAAGTTTTCAGCTCTTTTGGGTAAATAGCAAGAAATGTGATTGCTGGTTTGTATAGTAAGAATATATTTGGTTTGGTAAGAAACTGTCAAACTGTCTTTCAAAGTGGCTGTACATTTTTTATTTCCACTAGCAATGAATGACAGTTTCTGCTGCTCCATATGCTTTTCAGTGTTTGGTGTTTTTAGTGTTCCAGATTTTGGTCATTCTAATAGGTGTGTAGTGTTATATAATCTTAATTTTCCTTTATCTGATGACATATGATGTGGAACTTCTTTTCATATGATTATTTGCTAGCTATATGTCTTCTTTGGTGAGTTGTCTGCTAAGATCTTTGGGCCATTTTTTAATTGAGTTGCATGTTTTCCTATTAGTGTTAAGAATTCTTTGTAGACCGGGCGCGGTGGCTCACGCCTGTAATCCCAGCACTTTGGGAGGCCGAGGCGGGCGGATCACGAGGTCAGGAGATCGAGACCATCCTGGCTAAAACGGTGAAACCCCGTCTCTACTAAAAATACAAAAAATTAGCCGGGCGTAGTGGCGGGCGCCTGTAGTCCCAGCTACTTGGGAGGCTGAGGCAGGAGAATGGCGTGAACCCGGGAGGCGGAGCTTGCAGTGAGCCGAGATCCCGCCACTGCACTCCAGCCTGGGCGACAGAGCGAGACTCCATCTCAAAAAAAAAAAAAAAAAAAAAGAATTCTTTGTATATTTTGGGTAACAGGGTAACAGTTTTTAATCAGATACTTCTTTTGCAAATATTTTCTTCCAGCCTGTGGCTTGTCTTTGCAGTCTCTGGACATGGACTTTCATAGAGCAGACATTTTTAATTTTAATGAAGTGCCAATTATCAATTATTATCTCATGGATCCTGCCTTTGGTGTTGTATCTAAACAGTCATCATCAAACCCAAATCATCTAGGTTTTCTTTTTTTTTTTTTTTTTTTTTTTTTTTTTTTTTTGAGACGGAGTCTCGCTCTGTGGCCCAGGCGAGAGTGCAGTGGCGCAATCTCGGCTCACTGCAAGCTCCGCCTCCCGGGTTCACACCATTCTCCTGCCTCAGCCTCCCGAGTAGCTGGGACTACAGGCGCCCGCCATCACGCCCGGCTAATTTTTTTGTATTTTTAGTAGAGACGGGGTTTCACCGTGTTAGCCAGGATGGTCTCGATCTCCTGACCTCGTGATCCGCCTGCCTCGGCCTCCCAAAGTGCTGGGATTACAAGCGTGAGCCACCGCGCCCGGCCCTAGGTTTTCTTAAGTGTTATTTTCTAGGAGTTTTATAATTTTACATTTTATATGCAGATTATGTTTGCATTTTTTACATTTTGCATTTTGAGTTAATTCTTGTAAAAGGTGTAAGATTTGTGTCTAGATTCATTTATTTTGCATGTGGATGTCCAGTTGTTTCAGCACCGTTTGTTGAACAGACTATCTTTGCTCCACTGTATTGCCTTTGCTCTTTTGTCAAAGACCAGCTGACTACATTTACGGGGGTCTATTTCTGGACTCTCTATCCTCTTCCATTAATCTATTTGTCTGTTCTTTCACCAATACCACACTGTCTTCATGATTGTATCTTTTTACAGTAAGTCTAGAAGTTGGTCGGTGTAAGTCCTCCAATTTTGTTCTTTTCCTTCAATATTATGTTGTTTATTCTGGGTCTTTTGCCTCTCCATATAAACTTTATAATTAGTTTGTCAACATCTACAAAATAACTTGAAGGGATTTTTATTGGGTTTGTGTTTAATCTGTAGATCAAGTTGGGAATAACTGACATCTTGATAATACTGAGTCTTTCTGTCCTTGAATATTTCTCTATTCATTTAGTTCTTTTTTGACTTAGTATGAGAGTTTTTAGTTTTACTCTTATAGATCTTGTATATATTTTGTTAGATTTTTACCTAGGTATTTCATTTTGGAGGGTGCTCATTTAAATAGTATTGCATTTTTAATTTTAAATTTCACATTCATTGCTGATATATAGGAGAATAATCGACTTTTGTATATTAGCCTGTCTCCTGAAACCTTCCTGTATCCTTAGTATGATAGCTTATTAGTTTCGAGAGGGTTTTTTTTTGTGTGTGTGTCTACTCTTTTGGATTTTCTACATATATGATCATGGCATCTGTAAACAAGGACAGTTTTATTTCTTGCTTCCCAATCAGTATGCCATTTATTTCCTTTTTTTTGAGACAGAATCTTGTTCTGTCACCCAGGCTGGAGTGCAGTAGTGTGATCTCTGCTCACTGCAACCTCCACCTCCTGGGTTCAAGCAATTCTCCTGCCTCAGCCTCCTGAGTAGCTGGGATTACAGGCACCCGCCACCACGCCTAGCTAATTGTATATTTTTATTGGAGACAGGGTTTCACCATGTTGGCCAGGCTGGTCTCGAACTCCTGACCTCAGGTGATCCACCTGCCTCGGCCTCCCAAAGTGCTGGGATTACATGCTTGAGCCACTGCAACTGGCCTCCTTTTCTTATCTTATTGCCTGAGCTACTACTTCCAGTATAGTGTTTAAAAGCAGTAGTGAGAGGGGACATCTTGCCTTGTTCCTCATCTTAGTGGGAAGGCTTTAAGTTTCTCACAATTAAGTATGATGTTAGCTGTAGGATTTTTTTGGGGGGGGTTTTGTAGATTTTCATTATCAAGTTGAGGAAGTTCTCTATTCCAGGTTTATTGAGAGGTTTTTTTTTTTTTTATCATAAATGGTTATTGGATGTTGCCAATTTTTTTTTCTCTATCTGCTGATATGGTCATTGATTTCTTTTTTAGCTTGGTGATGTGTAGGTCACATTGATTGATTTTCAGATGTTGAAATTGGACCAACCTTGCATAGTTAGGATAAATCTCACTTGGTTGTGGTTGGTTTTTATACATTGTTGGATTCTATTTGTTAATATTTTGTTGAAGTTTTTGCATTCATGTTTATAAGAGATATTAGTCTGTATTTTTCTTTTCTTGTAACATCTTCGGTTTGGGGACAAAGGATAATGCTGGCCTCATATAACATGTTTAGGAAGTAGACCCTCTGCTCTAAGTTTTGAAAGAGATTGCAGAGAATTGGTATGAATTCTTTCTTAAACACTTGGTAGAATTCACTAGTGAATCTGTCTGGGCTGGGTGCTTTCTGTTTTGCAAGGTTATTAGTTAATCAATTTCTTTATAGATATAGGCCTGTATGATTGTCTATTTTTTCTTGTGCAAGTTTTGGCGAATTGTGTCTTTCAAAGAACTGGCCCATTTTATCTAAGTTACCAAATTTGTGGGCATGAAGTTGTTCATAGTATTCCTTTATTATTCTTTTAATGTCTTTGGGACTGGAGTTATGGCCCCTCTTTCATTTTTGATATAGTAATTTATGATGTCTCTCTCCCTCTATTTTCTTTTCCAGTTTGTCTGGCTGGAAGCTTGTCTTTTTTACTGATCTTTTCAAAGAACTAGCATTTTGTTTTGTTTTCTGTTGCCTGTTAGATCAATTAAGAATAAGAAAAATAATGTTTTTAATTCTACTTTCACTTATCCTTCTCTAGTGGTCTTCCTTTCTTTATGTAGATTCACATTTTCAATCTATATCATTTTGTTTTACTCTGAAGAACTTTTAGCATTTCTTACAAGGCAGGTCTACTGGGAAAAAGTTCCATCCATTTTTGTTTAAGTTTTTATTTCTCTTACACTTTTGAAGAATAATTTTGCAGGGTACAGAATTCTAAGGTGGTTAGTCCCCCACTCCCAACTCAATACTGTAAATATTTCCTTCCATTCTCGTATTGCTCGCATGGTTTCTGAGAAGTCAGATATGATTCTTATCTTTGTTACTTTAAGGGTAAGGTGTTTTTTCTCTCTGGCTACTTTCAAAATTTTTTCTTTATCTTTGTTTTTCTGTAGTTTGAAATGTATCTGCCCAGGTGTAGTGTTTTAGGCACTTATGTTGTTTGCTTTTCTCCGAGCTTTTGGGATCTATAATTTTGAGTTTGTCATTAATTGGAGAAATTCTCATCCTTATTTTTGTCACATATTTCTTCTGTTCTTTTGTTTTTTTCTTCCCCTTTGGCATTCCCACTTTCTGCTTATGTTACTCTTATTACATTTGTCCCACAGTTCTTTTTTTTTTTTTTTTTAGAAATTATGCACATCTTTATTTTAATATTTACTTCCCGATTGGCCTTCAAAACATCTTGACAGTTGGCCCCTTCCCCTGACCCACATACTAGGCTTATATTTTATTTTTTGAATTAATTTAAATGAGGTAGGCATAAATTTTGGATACTGAATTTTTACCTTTTATAGAAGTTGCGAATATTTTTTCCCACTTTAAACTTTTTTTTTAAATTTTTCTTTTTTTTAAAATTTATTATTATTATACTTTAAGTTTTAGGGTACATGTGCACAATGTGCAGGTTAGTTACATATGTATACATGTGCCATGCTGGTGTGCTGTACCCACTAACTCGTCATCTAGCATTAGGTATATCTCCCAGTGCTATCCCTCCCCCCTCCCCCCACCCCACAACAGTCCCCAGAGTGTGATGTTCCCCTTCGTGTGTCCATGTGTTCTCATTGTTCAATTCCCACCTATAAGTGAGAATATGCGATGTTTGGTTTTTTGTTCTTGCGATAGTTTACTGAGAATGATGATTTCCAATTTCATTTATGTCCCTACAAAGGACATGAACTCATCATTTTTTATGGCTGCATAGTATTCCATGGTGTATATGTGCCACATTTTCTTAATCCAGTCTATCATTGTTGGACATTTGGGTTGGTTCCAAGTCTTTGCTATTGTGAATAATGCCGCAATAAACATACATGTGCATGTGTCTTTATAGCAGCATGATTTATAGTCCTTTGGGTATATACCCAGTAATGGGATGGCTGGGTCAAATGGTATTTCTAGTTCTAGATCCCTGAGGAATCGCCACACTGACTTCCACAATGGTTGAACTAGTTTACAGTCCCACCAACAGTGTAAAAGTGTTCCTATTTCTCCACATCCTCTCCAGCACCTGTTGTTTCCTGACATTTTAATGATTGCCATTCTAACTGGTGTGAGATGGTATCTCATTGTGTCCCACAGTTCTTTGATACAGTTTTCTTTTCTTTTCTTTTTTTTCAGTTTTATTTCTCTTTGCTTTTCAGTTTTTCAAGTTTCTGTCAACATATCCTCAAGCTCAAAGATTGTTTCGTCAGCCATGTCCAGCCTACTAGTAAGCCCCTAGAAGGAGTTTCATTTTGGTTCTTTCTTAAGATTTCCATCTCTCTGCTTACATTGATTGTAAGTTCTTGAATGTTGTCTACTTTATTCATTGAAGCCCTTAGCATATTAATCATAGTTGTTTTAAATTCCCAGTCTTATAATTCAAACATTTCTGCTGTATCCCATTCTTGTGTTTGCTCTGCCTCTTCATGTTGTGTTTTTTGCCATTTTGTATTCCTTGTAATATTTTCTTGATAGCTGGACATTTTGGACTTGGTAAATGGACAGCTGTAAGTAGGCTTTTATTGGTGGTAAGATGTGGGTGGAGGACTCTATAGTCCTATAAGTAGGTCTCAATCTTTAATGAATACATTGGTCTCTAGACTGTGAACTGCACAAGTATTTCTCAGGTTTTGTTTTTCTCCCCCCACCCCAGGGAGAAAAAAACAGGATGGGGTGGAATAGCCAGAGTGTGCCGGTGTTGGATATTTCCCTCCCCCCATTTCAGGTAGGCTCTGATAAAACCCCAGCAGGTTAGCTTCGGGTTAATTCGTTTCTCCTGTGGGCACACCTTATTAAGAAGAACAGAGTGCTCTGGTGTATTTCAAAATGGTTCCCTTTCTCGTCTTCCTGCTTGAAGCATGAGGGGATTATTTTTTAATATTTACTATAGAAACCTGGTTGAGCTCATGCAGGTAAATCTCACAATATTGTTCCCCACCTGTGCCTATGACAAGTTCCCTGGAGTTTTTAACTTTCAAAATTGTCCACACTGAGCTTTTGGCAATTCATCAATTACAGTTTGGGTTTCCTACTTGTCACTGGTTCCCAGGGCACTTTCCACCTGTGAGTCTCTAAGTCACAACTCCCTGTATTCACCTATTTGTGTCTCCTGTCTTGAAGTCAGTGCTTTGTCCTGTGCCCTCCTCTCTCTTGAGGATCTTTAAAAACATATGTTCACCTCTTTCTTTGTTGTTAGGACAGAGTGGTATCTTTCAAGCTCCTTACACCAGAAACCAAAGCCCTCAAACTTTTTATTCCCTCTGCCTTTCTGTTGCCTGTCTCTGACTGCTCAGTGGATATCTCTGTAGGGATGCTCAACAGTCTTCTTCAGCTTATCATATCCAAGGAGACCTCATGAGCTTCTTCTCTGCATTCCTCACTACAGCACCATCCTCTTGGTACCCCTGGCTAGAGACCTTAGAATCAGTGTTCAGATTCTCTCTCTATTGTAAAGAGTCTGTCATTAAGATATAATAGTGTTCTGATTTTGTTTTGCCTATTGTCCCTGTTCCTTATTTTATCAGTGCAGCAACAAAATTTGTGTCACCCAATTTCACTTTATATGCAGTGATTCCACATTACCTGTTTTTAAAGCTTTAGCTCCCCAACATGTTAGAAAGATCATCTTGCCCTGGTCCTGTTAGCTTTTCCAGCTGTAACTTCTGCCCCCTTCTCCCTATGCACCATATACTACAGATGTCCACATGTTTTGTAACTCCTCATACCTTACCTCTTTCATGCTTTACTAACTTAATGCATGCCATTCTTTAGGCCTGCAATGCCCTTTCTCCTGTCCTTTTGAAAATAATTTCACTTTATCCATTAGGCTTAAACATTACCTCCTCTCCAGAGTCTCCCTCTTCCATGCAGGAAGAAATCAAGTGTCTCCTATTTTGTTTTAGCACTTTACCACCTGTATTGCTTGTATTCCTTTCCTAACTCTCCAGCCCGCCCCCCACCTTAGATTTATGTATTCCTTGAGAGTAGAGAGAGTAAGTGTTCACCTTTGTATTTCTATCATCAAGCACTGCCTGTTACCTGGATAGCAGTGATTCAATACCTGGGTGTTCACTGTGCTGCTGATTGGCTTATTGACCTCACTATGTAGCTTGATACTTATATACACTGTGATTACTTTAGAAATATTTTTTCCCTCTATGTAAGCTACTTCATAACAGGGCTCTATCTCTTTATTACTCATGCAGTATTAACCAGATAAAAATTAATATGAAATATATATATGTACATCCCTGGTTTCATCCACTTGGTTCAACCAAGGGAAGCCCATCTTCCTGGTAAAGAGTATCTGGTACAGTCAAGGGATTCCCGTCTGTGTGGTCTCTGCCTTTCACTAAATCATGTGCGACAGAACTGAGTATTATCCAAGTTGCAGACTTTGGATCTTCCCCAGAAAGGAACACAGTGACTAATATGAAATATTTTATTTGGACACTTTAGATATAGATAATGAATACACGTATTTCATTGGCCATCCTTTATCAATATTTATTGTTTGTCTACAGAGTGAAAAAATGTGGACATTAACCACAATCTCAGAGTCAAAAATAAGAGGTCAATGTCTGTTATAATTTTTTTAATTTCCATGAAGAAATGATATGTAAGTTACGTTTTTTGTCATCATTTTAATTAGAAGAATATGTACATTTTTTATATTCCACATAAGAAATGATCCCATAGTACAGATAATATACATTTGAAGAAGTGTTAGTTCTTTATGAGGAAAAACTTATTTTTACCTTTCAGTATAAGGAGATATAAGCATGTATAGTTGTTTCATGTTACTTATATTAATCACCACATATTTACATGTCTAAAACTTCTTTAGCTACTGGTTATTTTTATTATGATGATAGTTACAGAGAGTGGCTACCTACCATTTCAGTCCTGTTCTATTGGGCTATTTTTTAAATGCTTAATAAAACAATCTTTCTCCTACTCTGCTACTCCCCAGAGAGCTGGAAAGCCCCTTCCTGATTGGAGGACATCATTAAAAACAGTGGGGGGCACTATCAGTTTATCAATTTAGCACTTTTGATTGTGAAAAGTCTCTTTTAGCCATTTTGTTGATATTTAGGGTAAGTCTATGCTTAGATAAAATAGAAAACTGTATTTGAAGACTTGAAAGCTCCTTTGACATCTATTGAATAAGACTCCAACCCAGAAGGCAGGCGGATGGCAATTTTCCCCCATTTTAAAAAGCTTTATTTTAAAATAATGTTATGCTTATTGGAAAGTTGCAAAAATAGTACAGAGATTTCACTAAATATACTCTTCACTCATTTTCCCCTAATACTAGGAAATTAACTTTGGAAAAATACTATTAACGAAACTTCATATCTTATTAGCGTTCACTAGTTATTTTTTTTTTTTTTTGCCTAATGTCATTTTTCAATTCTAGAATCTGATCCAGGATCTTATACTGTTGTTTCTTTAGTCTGTCCCAATAATTTGTGACAGTTCCTATTTCTTCCATGTCTTTTATGATCTTGATACCTTTAATGAGTTCTTGCCAGATATTTTGTACAATATCTATCAATTTAGGTTTTTCAGGTACTTTCTCATCATTAGATTGATGTTATACACTTTTGGTGAGGGATACCACAGAAGTAATGTTGCAGTCTTCTCAGCGAATCATATCGGGGATACATGATGGCTATACATATGTATTGTTACTGGTGACATTAACCTTGATCACTTGGTTAAGATAATGTCTTCTGGGTTTCTCCACTGTGAAGGGCCTATTTTTCTATTTCTCATTGATAAATATCTTGGGGGAGATACTTTCAGTTAATGTTAACATCCTATTTCTCCTCAAAAATTTGAAGTGATTTTAGTGTTAATTGGTGGATGTTGCCAGCAACTGTGATATTTCCCAAATGGTGATTTTGTATTTCCCTCGGATGGCAATTATTTTTGTGTTTTCCTTCCCTAAGAGAACATATTTCTATGTATACCTAGATTCCAAGGGAAAAGTCTAATTAAAAGTTGATGTATTTGCAAAATTTGTTACCGCATAAATTTTTTAAACCTGCTCATTTTAGTCTCTTAGTCTTTGTCCATCTATGTATCTACCTACCCACCTACCTATCCATCTACCTGTCTTGTTTATAAATTCATATTTATCAACTCATATCATTTACTAGACTATTATAGCTGATAAATATATATCTCTCATCTTTTCATATTGTCTATGTAAGTGTTGTGGCTTTTTAGCTCCCGTAGTTTGGGGAGTAGGAGGGAGTGGTGCCCAGCGGCTTCTTCTCTCCTGTTGTCCAGGTAGTAGGAAGGAGTGTTACAGCCCTTTGACTCCCACCACCCACAGCTCGGCGAGCAGGAGAGCTACAGCTCTTTCGCTCCTGCATTTTAGCATGTTCCAGGTTCTTATCCTGCTATCAAGAGGTCTAGGGTACGTGAACACCGGAGAATGAGTAAGGCAGAGTAGAATTTTATTAAGTGACAGAAAGAAAGCTCTCAGCATCAAGAAAAGACTCAAAAATAGGAAGCCATCTGTAAGGCTGAGTCCAGGGTTTTTTATGGGCTTAGAATGGGGAAGTGCATGCTGTTTGGTCTATGGGTGGGCTTGGGAAAAAGCACCATTTGACTGGTTAAAAGGCATCATTCAGAAGGAACCAGTCGAGAGAGAAAGTGGATAAGATGGGGATGGAAGTTCTCACTCTGGTCATGGATTCTATCTGAAACTGGCAGCTTGATTTTCAGGCTTTAAACTATCCTTGGCTTGAAGGCGGAGTTTCACCAGGGATCTGTCCTTGTCTACCTAGGAATTTGTCTGTCTCCTGTCACTGTGATAAAGAGACGTGGCACATATTTATGCTTTAAAGACTGACTGGAGTCTTAGAAGTTAATACGAAAAGAAAAAGAAGAAATGAAAATAATTAACCTGTTTCTATTTTATATCTACTAAAATTATCACCTCTCCATTTTATTATCTGAAGAGTCAAACTGCTTTCTGAGTTAACTAATGTCATTGTCAAAAGGAATAGGCATGAGGAAAGAAAAGAAAGACAGTAAATTTGTTTGGGACACAATTGACATATACAAGTGGCAAAAAAAAAAAAAAATCCAATGATAAAACTGGAGTTTTCCAGATATTTTTGATACCATGGCACCTAAGAAGAAAGCTCACATCTAATGTTACAGGTGTTTTGCTTGGTTTACTGTAGTTTGGTTTTCTTCTTTTTGTTGAGTACATAGACTAGAGGACCAAAAGAAACAAATCTAAAGACCAAACAAATGCAGTCAATACATCAATATATAACACAAGTTCACACAAATTTTCACAATCCAGATATAACCATATTAATATTTTGTTATACCTATTTACCTATATATTTCTTTTTTACAACTATGGACCTACAAATATATAAAAATTGTAGTTCAGTGTCTTCATTTTTCATTCTTCCAGCAAAAATGGCTTGACCTGTATTTACCTAATTTTGAGGTATATATCTTTTAAGATGCCATGTCAGAAAAGCATATCGGTTTCAAATATAAACACTAAATAAAAAAGACTTAGAATCAGATCTTAAAAACTGCGGACTTCAACACTTCATAATTAACAGCACTCCATAGGGAAAATGTTATTGGTAAGTTCTAAGATCGGTAGGAGCAACAATTTATTTAACAATGATTATTTATTCTCTTACGCAAATACAGGGAAGCCAACTGGTATATGAGAAAAAGATATACACATATATATGTGTCTGTACATATATATGTATATATATAAACTATTATATTTAAATATATGCTATTTATACTATCTACATATATACTTTATATATATGCATATGAATGTGTGCACATACGTGTGTATATATATAGTAATGTACGCTATTATACATGTGTATGTGTTTATATATATCTAGGTATATATAGATATAATGAGTGTAAGATACACTGTTCTGTATTCTGCTTATTTCACTTAGGACTATATTGTGAACATCCTTACATGCCAGTAAATATAGTTTAACCTCATTTTTTAAAGGCTGTTATCTCATTGTAATGAGGTTCATTAATTTATTTAAAACCATGTATATATTGGTATTTGATTTTGGCTCTTATATTTGCTATTGCAGACAATCCTTTGATGAAAGTATCTTGTGGCACTTCCCCCAACTTATTCAATCAGTTGTTTTTGTATAGAGTAGGCAATATTTAATTATCCATTGACCTTAACTATTGCTTGACCCTTTCAAAATAAGAGCACAGGGTGAAGCGTTTTTTTTTTGTTTTTTGTTTTTTGTTTTTTAAGACAGAGTCTCGCTCTTGTTGCCCAGGCTGGAGTGCAGTGGCGCCATCTCGGCTCACTGCAACCTCCACCTCCCGGGTTCAAGTGATTCTCCTGCCTCAGCCTTCCGAGTAAACTGGACTACAGGCGCCCACCACCAGGCCCGGCTAATTTTGTATTTTTAGTAGAGACGAGGTTTGGTCATGTTGGCCAGGCTGGTCTCAAACTCCTGACCTCAGGTGATCGCCCGCCTTGGCCTCCCAAAGTGGTGGGATTACAGGCGTGAGCCACCGCGCCCGGCAGGGTGAAGCGTTTTAGATCCAAGCTCTGTCAGTATTATTTCCTTTCACATATTGTAATGAACTGTGACAGAAATGCCCTTTAAAGTGTATTACCTTCCAAGGCCTCATCTCTAAAAGTAAAAACAACCTTAAACCCTCTTTCCCATTTAAATCTCCTTTATGTTGTTCCCTTGGCCACCAATACATTCCTTATTGTCCCTGCTCTCTTCCGTGGTTGTTGGGTCTAAATGCTCAGTCTCTCCATTTACCATACTGTTTTCCTCCTTGCATATCCTCTTTACCTCCAGTTGCTAAGTCATTAGTGAAGAGACCAATTTACATATTGATATTTCATTTGCCTTTCTGATTGTTATTTTCAGGGCAACTTCTGGAGTTAAAAAATAAAATTTAAATGCTCATAAGAGATATAAATTTGTTACCTCAAGCGGTTGCCCAGGTACCAGGAAAAAAACAAAAACAAACAGAAGAAAACTCATGTAACTAGTTATTAGAGCCTGCATAGTTAATTGGATTTGGATTTGTAGGAAATTTCAGAAAAGTGCCTGCTACTAAATTACTTTGAACATTAGGGGTCCGAATCAAAGCTGCTGTCCACTCTTCCCAGTGAAAACCTCCCTAAGCTGTACTGCATTGGAGGGGAAAAACTACATGTTAAACCATTACCGAGACGGATTCTCTAATGCAATTTTCACTAATTTCTTTGCTGCTGGCCATGAAAATAACTGGAACTCAATTCTTTCACAATCATGCTTAAAATCTCAAATCAGAACAAATGTAAGGAGTTACAGAAATGTTATAATAAATGCTATTTTATTTTACTTATGGCAATAATGACTGTGCTTTTAACAAGTGCAGCAGTCACACTACCCTCAACCAGAAAGAAAAAGAGATCATTTTATTCCATTTGGCTTGCCCTGTTGAAAGCATTTGATATGCACATTCTTGTTCAAAAGGTGTTGCTTTTCTAAGGCATTCACTTGGTGTGTGAAGATCAGAATTGCAAACAGGTCAAATGTGAAGCACATCTTTCTCTTCCTCCATTCTCAAAATTTGCTTATTAGGTTGTAGCCTGGTTTACATTTACATTTTTGTTAGTAAGTGCTGAGTTGTTTACAAGCAATGTTGCCGTGCGAACCTTGAAAATAGCTCTGATGGGGAATTTTGAAAGTGCCAAGCTAAAGCTCAGAATGTGGAAATCAAGTTTGTAACATCTTGGCTGTTAAGCACCGCTTGTTGAAGGCAAGTCAGTGACTTCCTTAGAAGTATGTGTATGTTGAAGTAAGTGGGATTTGTCATTTGTCAGCGGAGAAAGAAATTCTCCCATGCCAGATTCTGTTTGCTCCCCTCCCCACCAAAGCCACACAAGCCTGGTTACTCACATGACTACAGTTAGTAGGTCACTGGTGACTCCCTGGAAAATTCTAAATACATAGCTCAGATTCTGGACCTATACTGTGGACATCTGGAAGTGCCATTTCTAGGAGACTGTCCTCATTAGCCAGAGTTTTATGCCAATTCATTCCTGGACAGTAGAAGTCAGCCCAGAGACAGGTGAGACTGTGCATCTTGGATGATCAGGTATTGATTATATTAATGATGCCTTTGGAAGGCAGATACTACTGTGTGGATACCCTGCTCAGGCCTTGGCATCCCCTGGAACTGGGCCAGCATCCTGGCTTCTCGCTTACTAGGTAGGTGACCTTGGTTTAAGTTATTTAGCCTGTTTTTTTTCTGAAGTTTCTTCACTTGTAAAATGCTGATAACCACTTCTAACTCATAGATTTATTATAAGAATTAAATCAGATAATAAATGTAAACCAGTCAGTGGCTTAGTGCCAAGCATTGATAAGCATAATATAAATAGTAGTTCTTTTCATTTCATTAATTGCCATACCCTCATATTTTCTAACTTTTTTTATTAAAATCCACAGTTGTGGGACAACCTGTTCCCTTAGTCACATTTCAATGTGAGCAGGCACCTATATGTTTGAATTGAAGGTTGTGGTAAAATTACTTTATATTTCTATGTTCAAATATTTTAAAGGTATGTTAGTAGGAAGCTTATCTTTGTATTTACCATACAAGCCTTCTTCAGATAGTGCTTTTTGTCTTTTGACTTGGGACTTATAAGTAGAAAATATAAAAACAAGGTAAATATTAGATGGTATGCAAGCCACAACAAAGAACATCTCACTTAGCTGAGAACTCCTTTCCTCATTAAGGAAAACATGGCATGCTGTGTTGGACTGGGAAATACCGTTGGTAGTGGTGCTTCTCTCTATGGGGGAAGGACTGCAAAACTGTCCATGTTTAGACACTCAGGAGTGCTTTGCAGGCAAGCTAAGACCTTTTCCAAGAGAAAGGGTGGTGGTGGTCAGGGGAAGTAATATTTATTGAATGCCTACTAAATGCCAGGATCAAGGTACTATTAATAGTTTTTTTCATTTAACTATCTCAGCGTTATACCTATTATGTTTGTTATCATTATCTCCATTTTATAAATACGGAAAATGAGGCTAACATTTTTGTTCATGGATCTACTGCAAGTGAATAAGAGAATACAAATTTGAATCCAGATGTGCTAGCTTTGAAATATATTCTCCTCCAGAGTGTTGATCTTGGCTCACAGATGGAAAGAAAGCTGCAGAACAAATTGTTAAAATCTGGTAATTCAGGCACAAAGACAAAAACCAATTTTAAATTTCTATTCAAAATACCTTAGATGAAGTAAAGAAGGCAGGAAACATAATATTTCTTAGGATAATCATGTAGCTAGCAAGGGTATGTGGGCTCTTCTTTGATGCCAAGTTGACGTGAATTCTAAACTCTTTACCAAGGGAATCTATTAGGATATTTAGGGAAGCTTTTTCAAAACACTTAAGCTTGGAACCTGTTCCTGAAAATCCTGATTTTCCCACCCAGGAGAAATAATTATGCTGTTGGGCAGTTAACTAGACATTACAGAAAAGACAAAGCTTTCTTTAGTACAGATCAAGGTCCTGATGGAGCTTGAAGGCATAAAGGTGCAATTCCAAATACCTCAACTGCTGTAGATGAAGGGGCAGCATTTGCTCTAGATCCTCATCACAGCATTTCCTGGTATTCTTTCAGGTAGGTGACCAAAGCTCAGCCTGCAGTTCCTCTGACCAGGCTTCCAGCTCAGGTCCTGCCCATAGAGGTGGTCCACCTGATGCAGCTGGCCAACTTCTGTCTCCTACCACAATAAGCTCTAGTGAACCCCTGAGCCCAGTAGCCTCTTCATCCAAGCAAGCTCTCACCAGCTTGCTTCTGTGACTCACGAAAAGGAGGAAGGAAAGAAATGGCCCACCAAAGAGAGATGGTGATGGAGTCCACTGTTGGGGAAAACAGTCTTATATCTTTCTTTTCATTTTAATCTTCAGTATCTTCTCAGTTAATTATTCTCCATTGAGTCATATCATTGGAGTAGACTTTCATCAATCAAGACATAGTTCATTCATCACTATAATAAACTTTAAGCTTCTTATTTTATGAGTCTCGTTTTAGCCAGATTACCTTGGTGTAGATTTTAATCAATG
Organism: Homo sapiens; assembly: GCF_000001405.40. Taxonomy (NCBI): domain Eukaryota; kingdom Metazoa; phylum Chordata; class Mammalia; order Primates; family Hominidae; genus Homo; species Homo sapiens. Next base: position 47,329,029 of record NC_000015.10, read on the forward strand.
AAGATAAAGCTTATTCATTCTTTGGGCAAAAATGTTTGAGAACTTAAAATGTGCCTGACATGGTTCTTGGTGCTGGCCATACGCAGCTGAACAAGACAGATGATATTCTGTACTTATGGAGCTTGCCCAGTGGTGAGCAAGGCAGAGTGAGAGTAATTTATTTCAAGTACTACAAACACCAAGGAAAGGAACTGCAGGATGCTTGTGCAGCAGAAAGAGCTGAGGGGTCAGGGAAAGCTCTGTGGAAGGAGTGTTTAAACAAATGGAGAAACCACCTTCTTCTCATTTTCTTAACCTGTTCACTAATAAGCTGCACAGCTCATAGCATGAACCTGTAACAAAGGCAGCATGGTTCTTGTGGTGATCCTGTATGTACTGACTATAATAGACAGATATTTAGAGATAGAAATAGATGAGAAACTAAACAGGCGTATAAGGTTCTGGCCTCATTACCTCAAGCCAACAAAGTAATACTAATGTCAGAATATTTTAGCTTAAGTAGAGTAAATCATTGGGATTTACTTTAATAATTGCAATATAACAAAGTATGCATTGTTGGCTGCCTTTAGATAATTTAGTTCTTGCGTTTTCCTTCCCTGCCTCTGTATCTCTTTTCCCTCCCTTTGCAGCAGTGTTTCTTTTAGGAATGGTCTTCAGACCTGCCTCAGATTCCAGTTGGGTGGATGCTAAAAATGTTGTTTCTTAGCCTCTACCACAGACTTACCAAATATATTTAGGGTTGGAACTATCTGTGTTTTTTAACAAGATCTTTCCTGCACACTAAAGTTTGAGAAACAGAACTTGATAGTCATATCTTTCTACTGTTGCCTCATTAACATAGTCATCATCTCCTCAACTGGCTGATAAAGATGCTATCTAAGAACTGCACACCGCCTTTGTGATCAGCTTCCTGCCTCCAGGCTGCACACTTGGTAAGGTGACAGATTAAAACCGTGCTAAACTGCTCATGCTGTACTGCCTCTATTTATAATGAGCATCTATATTTATAATGGCACCTTTACTGATCGTATATTTACCTCCTCTCTCTCCCACCTGGGGATCCATCTCTCACATAAAACATGCACAGTCTCTTGTTAGGCTTTTCATTTTATATTCTGCTTTTCCCATTTTGCTCTTCTTTTTTTCTCTCTTGGTCTTGCCTAGGACTGAGCATGTATATGTTTGCATGTGAATACAGAAATGGGTGTCATCTCTGTATGTATGTATTTCTAAGTGTGTAGACATGATGGAGGTGACCCATAGGTAACCAAGCCCTCTGTTTTCTTTCTGCCTTGGGTAAGGCATTCACAGACATGCACTATCTCCTAGAAGGGATCATTAAATAGGTCAGACCTTCTATGGAGTTGGTGAACAGTGGTGATAGTGATGAGTCACTGATGGATGGGAGAGGCTATCATGGCTGAGGAGGCAGGCACTAAAAGGGCATCTCTGCTTCCATATTTTCCATGTTCTAAACTTGGCTGAGGAGCTTGTCAGGGCGTGCAGAGGTGAGGGAGCCATAGTTCATGGTGTTAATATCCCAATCACCACTCATTAATTCAGCCAACATTTATTGAGTCCCTACTATATATCAGAATCCGTGGACTCACAAAGGTAAGTAAGACATAGTCCCTGTTTTCCAGAAGTATTGTTTGAGAGTGAACTCCACACGCAAGCAATGAATTCTCAAGAAAGAATGTTGTGGGATCTCAGAGGTAGCCATGATTTTTTGGAAAGATCAGGGACGGCTTCTCTGAGGAAATGACTTTCAAGTGGGCTTTGATGAGTATGTTGTAAAGTTCCAGGTAGACAAGAGTGTGAGAGTCGCTGCTTATAGGACATGAGGTATGGACACCTACAGAGGTAATGTTCATCAAGAATGCATACCTGCTTATGGATATGAAAGGATGAGACACTATGCTGGAAGTGAGTCTCCTCCTCCATTTGACACAGTCTTGTTTGTGTTGCCCTATTTCAGTCTTTAGCTGTGACAAAAGCATCAAGGTCACAGTAGTACAGGACATGAGTTTAATTTCTGATTCTGTCACGAATCTCACTGGCAAATTCTACTTGCATTTAATTTCACAGTATACTCTACCACATCTCAGGCCACAGTGAAAAAGGGTCACCATAGGAAAATCTGGATAAATGTTACCTCAATAGTCCAAACCTTGGGCAGCCCATATTATTTGGTTAAATTTTCTTGAGTTAACACCTATGAACATTGCCCTGATCAACGATCATATATTTGTGTGTGTGTGCCTCAAAAGGGCAGGCTTTAAGGAAATAATAGATATATATGCAAAGATATATATGGAAGTAGATTCAGCATTATTTAGAATAGTGAAAAATCAGAAACTAATAAATTATGAACAGCTTACTTAAGTAAATATTGTATATTCATATGATAGAATGGGATGCAATAAATATATTTTTAGTCTTAATTATATAGGGAAATGTTAACAGTATATCTTGGGAAAAACATGTATAGTGTTATGTGCCTATAAAATATATACAGTGTTATATCATTTTTTCAAACAAAGCATAGACATATGCATAAACATGTGGGTGTGGAGACAGAATTATTTAAAGAAATGCAACAAAACAAAATAACAGTATCTTTGGATGGTGTAATTACAAGTGGTTTTTATTATCCTCTTTATACTTTTCTACATTGTCAAAAATTTCTTTAATGCAAATACAGTTTGCAAATAAAAAGACTGAGGGGTAAATATAAACAGAAGCCAAAAATAGATCTGTGGTAAACATTTCTGTCCCTTGCCATTATGAGAAGAGACAGCATAGAAAAACATGCAAACAGCCAATAACCTATGTTTGTAGTTACTTAGTGTGTTTACAGTTCTCGTATTGCATCAGCAGAAACCTAATGGAGTGATGGCTGAGTCATTTACATGGTCTTGGAATGAAGAGCTCAGTAAAACAGTCCTGCCTGTTTCCTAAAACCATGTACAAGTTTGGCACAAAACTCACCTCTCTTTGTCTCTTTATTATTATTCTTCCAATGTGTTAGGGTTTGGAATGAGAAGTGCTGAGTCTGTTTCTAATTAGTTTACTTATCTGAAGAATGAGCGTAAATGGCATTAATGCACCTAACAAGACATCTTTGGTAATTCTACTTTTCCTTAACTAATAGCACTACAGCATGCGGCAGTGCCAACAAACACTGCCCGCTTGTTTACATAATAACTGAGCTTGAATTGGTTTGTGCATATTTATGTGACCTTGAGTGGAGATCAGAAAATGCTTGCACAATTGAAGAAATACTCAGGTTTCCACTCTAGCCTTGCACATGTCGGCCAAGGCAGGCTGCTGAAATGTTGAGTCTGAACAGTGAGTCCGTGAAAGAAAGGGTTCCTGTCCCTGACAGCTTATCTTTAAGTTCAAGGTTTTCACCTAATTGTCTGTTGGTGTTGTTGCTCTGGTTATACATAACCAGAAGGAACTTGGGAACATGTCCCTAGGTGGCACAAAACGGGGGAGATGACAGTTTTTCTTTTACCATGCAAGCTGTGTTTCCCCACTTTGGGATGTAACTCAAGATGATTTTCTAAGTCCACTTAAGCTTTAAATCAAAAACAACACTTCACTCTGGAATCTAGCTGTGGCTGTGGGATCATTTTTTCTTAAGGAGTGATATGGGTGAGAGAGGCATGCCTGGCCGTGATCTTAAGAGCCTTATCTGCCAGATTAGCCTTTAGGGCTGTTCACAAGATAATCATGCTTTTTGAATAAAGGATTGTGATGGCAGATTAAGACCCTAAATGGGAGGGTCCTGAATCACAGAACAGATCTGCATATGTGCACAATATAGTGCCCTAAACATAGGCACCATTCAGCCACAGGCGCAAGTAGACAGTCATTTATCTAGTGTTACCACCCCCAACAACTAGTGCCCATCTATGGAGCTGGAAAGACAAAAAACAGAGAAAGTCACAGCTCAACAGAATCAAACAAGAACTTATTGTAACCTAAGATAATTAGATAATAGTAAGATAAGAACTTGTTACATGGAAGCTGTCACTTTCATCGTTGTGTATTGTTTTTACTGGGAGGAATTTGTGAGCGAGGTGAAAGAGTGAGTTTGGCCACCTTTGATTATTCTTTATGACTCTTAAATTTCACGATTTAAAATGACCTCTGTTCAAATCTACAGTGCTTATTCTGGCTAGATAAGTCATGATTAACAGATTACAATTTAATGAGTGAATATTTGTTGTTTGTAATAGTGCACATTGTTGTGAAGTGTATATCATAATGTAAAATAGAATAATTGATCAAAACCTAAAGAAAAATGGGTTAAAAACTTGAAGAAAAATTGTATGGACCATAAATGATGTAAGTTGAGGCATGCTAACATAGTTCCCCTTTAGTGAACATAGCTGTGTAGTTCAGATCAAAAGGCCATACAAAACACCCCACTGTCCATTTTGTAAGGGCTTATTTGAGTATCTAGATGACAATAATGTCATTAGTCCCAGACCCAGAAGTACCACCTAGAATTTGATGGCAGGTATCAACATGTAATGGGATATTGGGAAGTGAATTTGATGGCATACATCATTCACTCAGTCAGTCAGCAAAGATTGATTTAGTACCTCCTCTTGCCAGGCACTATTCTAGTTGCTGGAGACCATCAGGAAACAAAACAGACAAAACCCTTAATATCATGGACATTACATTTTAACTGGGGGAAGGCAAACAATAAATAAGTAAACATATCCATGTGTGCTGAGGTGTTATGATAGGTATATTGATTTTCATCCACAGTTCCTGGCTTACAACTCCCGTAGTCCTTGTTATAATGTTGTGGTATGCGGGAAACATAATCTCTCTCTGACCTTTTCCTGTCCTCCTTTCACCTGCCGAAGGCAATCTAATCTGATTGTGGGTCAAAAAACCCTCATTCCAGAGATATTTCTGCTGCATACTCTAGAGGAAGGAATGCTAACCAGAGAGGCCAAGAAAGATCTGAACAGTTAGGTCTTGTTGGGTTAAATCATGCACTTTTTATTTTATCACATTTCTACGTGGTTGTCAATTTGCCTGTGTAATAAATTCTCCATAAAATGACGAGAGTACTGGATTTGCAGAGCTTCCAGATAGCTGAACATGTGGAGGTTCCTGGAGGGTGGTGCACCCAGGGAGGGCATGGAAACTCCACGCCCCTTCCCACATAGATTGCCCTACACATCTCTTCATCTGTATCCTTTGTAAAATCCTTTATATTAAACCACTAAATGTGTTTCCCTGAGTTCTGTGAGCCACTCCAGCAAATTAATCAAACCCAAAGTGGGGTTTATGGGAACCCCCATTTAAAGCCTGTCAGTCAGAATTTCTGGGGCCCAGACTTATGACTAGTGTCTGGGAGGAGGGAGAACAGTCTTAAGGACTGAGCCCTCAACCCATGGGATCTGACACTGTCTCCAGGTAGATAGTGTCAGATTGAATTCAAGGACACCTGGCTATTGTCTACTGCTTAGTATTTGGGAAAATCCTCCACACATTTGGTCACAGAAGTCTTCTGTGTTGATTACTGTTATTTTGTTGTGAGAACACAGGAGAAACATGGTTTGAGTTTTTCCTACACAATTGGTGTCAAAAGTGGGATTTGCTAGAAGGGCCCTGGCCCACAGAAACATGTGGTTTGGAAAGAAAAAGGATGAAAGAATGGAGGATGAGGAATTTAATTGCTGGGTGGCTACCTGGTCACCCATGGTACAAAACTGTAGTTACACTCCATTCCATTACTAAAGGTAAAAGTTACCAGTGGAATTAAGGGATGATGGTAGTCTCAATTCTTAAGGAATTGCCTTATTGGATATGCAAGAGAATTCAAAATAATAAGAACCATGCTAAATACACTATCCCTTGGTTATTGCTATCTGTAATAGGTAAAATGAAAGTAAAAGAGACTTCCGAGTCAGGCCTTGAGGCTGTACTAAGGTCAGATGTGTGTCTCTCTGAGCTCAGGCCTCTAGCCTGAAATCTACCCACAAAGGCGAAAATTATGTCAAGGCAACAGAAAGTACCTCAAAGACCTTTTTTTTGGTCACCAAGAAGTTAGTCAGTATGGGGGAAGGGCAAAACCAAGAAACTATTGAAACTAGAGGGTATAGTGTAAAGGAATTATCTCGTTTTGTGGATGGGTATCATAAACTCCCTGAGGAACCTGTTTTAAAATAGACTGTGAGAGTAACTAATTTAAGAGCAATGTCTTTGGTTTTAAATGCTGCAGAGAAGAACATGTTTGGGTTGATGCAGAATCCACATCTGTGAACAATCACAGATGGATATATATGATCCAGATACAAAAGAGTTTGTTCCCAAGGAAGCAGCCAGTGTAGTGAACTGAATAAAAGCCACTGTAAAGTCAGTTTACAGTGAGAGGAGGGACTGCCCAACTCTCCCTATAAATGCCAAGTGGAGCACCTCAGATGAAGCAGCTGATATGCTTCCTATGCAAGCCATGTTGGACTGGCCTTATGATGACTAGGATATTTGCCCCCTGAATATGTCTGTTACCCAGATTATGGTAAATTCTGTGATTAAGGAAGTGCCTTCTACATGGGTGCCCCACACGATGTTATTCCTGCAGAAATGAACAACAGTTCAAGAAGCCTTACCTGATTTGTGGTCTCAACTTCCACATATGGGTCTCACTGATACTAAGGACAGTAAAGGGATTAAAAATAAAATAGGAAGAGAAAAAGGGGAGAGTCATAGGACTCATCCAAGCAGGGTAGAAATATTTAACTGGTTAGTAAGAAATGGCATGAATAAAATGGAAATTGATGGGGTTAAGACGGAGCTCTTACTACAACACTGTGGAAGGTCAAGTGGACCGGATGGAGCCTGTGATGTTCCCCCAGCATAAAAGGGCCTTGAACCAGTTTGCCATATTCCCTCCAGTATGGAGAAACTTAAAAAGTCAGAAGGCAGAGATTACAAAGAGAAATCTGATCTGACATTGCCTGAGGCATATTAATCAAAATACAGATTGGCAAAAGGGCTAGTGTCCTTCGGCTCAACCCCTGGCTGGGCACCTAAAGCTTTTTGCACAAGAAAGAGAAGTTCCTGGAACTGGAACAGAAAAATGTAAAGGTTTATGTGATTATGAAGTTGGTATATTTCAGCATGGTTTGTGTGAAGTGGTTGTGTCTCTTTTACCTGATTGTGTCGTGGGAATGGACATGGTAACTGATTGGGGGATGTTTCCCCTACCTAACACTGTAAAACAGAAGGCCTGTAAACCTGTCCTTCAGGCAATTGGATATGCTAACTGGGAATCTCGGGAAGATTGCCCAAGTCCACATAGTGCAGAGTAGAAGCTGGAGTGCTGGTAGGGACAAATTCTCCACTTGATAATTATCTGTGGAGCTGTTACTGGGGCTCATGGCAAAAGCCTGTGAGCACCTCCCAGCAACAACTACTGGGACTTTGGACTGGAGAATTTTCACTAGAGGTGCATTTACTACCTTGTTATTGGACATTAACTGAAGCTACCCCTATGATCGAAGGACACTGAAACTTGAAATACCCACGATGCTTTGGGTGATAGCAGAGAAATGCTCTAATAGGGACGGCAGTGTCCAGAAGTGTTTTGTAATACAATGGAAATGGTTTATACAGGAGTGTGCTACCTGGAGGATGGAAGGAGGAGATATTTACAGGCAAGGAGACTCTTTACCCCTAGAACTGACTCTGAAACAGTGTGGGGTGCTGTTGAATTCTATAGACATTTGGACAGTGCACCATGACCATCTCTCCACTGGAGCTGCTTGGTTTACTGACAGCAGTTTCAAAGTGAATGGACAACATCCTGCTTGGAAGGCTGCTACTTTGTCCAAAGTAGGTAAAAACAGATCAGCTCAGTGGGTTGGACTGCATCCTGTTTTCCTAACAGTAATGGAAGAGTTTAACAGTGGTGGAAGTCCCTGTGTTTGGGTTTTTACTGACTCAAGGGCAGTGACCAATGGCCTGGCCATACACTCAGGCAACAGGGTGATGGAAATCTGGCCTATTTAAAGGAAGTTTGAGGGGTGCATCAAGGTAGAGCAAGTAAATGCCCATAAGAAGAACCCTAGTCCAGTTTTGGAAAGTGACTGGAATCAGCAAGCAGATATCCCCATGTGCTCTCTTAAGGCAATCACCTGGGTCCATGAAATCAGTGGATATGGGATATGGGAGTATTGCAGCAGTGCAGAGATGGGTTGAATCTAGACATGTTACTCTTGCACCCTCAGGCACAAAATGCCAATAAAAACGGTTTTGTTTATCAGCAAAAAAGAGAACGTTGATGGCCATGGGGCAGATTCCCTGGTGGAAAGGCCCTGATTATAGCTGGCAAGGAAAAACTGATGCTGATAACCCTGAGGGCTACAAATGGGTCTTGACAGGAATAGGCACTTTCTCTGAAGTGGGCTTTGCTTACCCAATGGAAGATGAAAATGCTCAGAGGGCTATTTAAAAAAAACAGAATATATTGCATGGATTTGGATGGCCGATCATCATTTCTTCAGACCAAAGAAAACACCATACCACCCATAATTTCCAACAATGGGCAGAGAGATATGCTCCTTAGAGTAATAGTTTGATAGAGAAGTAAACAAGCAATGGAAGCGTCAGTTGTCTGAAACAGGGAGAGATGAAAGCATGAAGGCTGGCTTACATGCCTTCATGAGTGTGCTCACACTCAGCGTGGGGAGGACTCAAGGAGTGTCCCACTAGATTTTTCTCTGTCTTTATGGTTGATCTGGGGAAAGAGACTGGGGAGGATGCTGCTAAGACTATGCAGTGCTTGCCAAGGGAGGAGTATAATGATATAATGACTATATATATTTTTCTTTATTCCCCAAATCACCTCAACAATTTTTTCCTTCCCCCAGAACTCCTAAGGACCTGATGGAGGTCGGTTTTGCCTTTACCCCATCTAGAAAAACTGAGACTAAGAGTGAATGCAGCTATATTGCCTGCAGGCAAAAATAGCTCACTAGTTCTGCACTTTTGTAACCTTACGCTATCTGAATGGAAATGGACTGAGGAGAAGGCACTTGCTAGAGTAGCGGTGTTGCCTACAATCTAGACTGACACAGTAGCAATTAAAATGTCCCTTCCAAAGGGGAAAAAGTTTGGGTGTTAACGGAGAGAAGGAGAACTAGTAGCTGAGAGTAAAGAGATGAATAAATGGGTTATTAATTTAGGAAACCCAATATTAACACCTTGAAAGAGGTTCAGACCACTGTTTGGTATACTTGTCTCTTAACTCAAGTATTCCAAATACCTGAAAGAGTGAAGTTATATGTTTGCTGAGACCACTTCTGTTTTTGGATGCTGCCAAGATTGAAGGGGATAAATGCTTGAGGGGATGGATACTCCATTCTCCAGGATGTGCTTATTTCACATTACATGCCTGTATCAAAACATCTCATGTACCTCATAAATGTATACACCTACTATGTACCCACAAAAATTTTAAAAATTAAATTAGAAAAAAATTATGGGAAAGTTAAAAAAGAAAGATTGAAGGTAGGCCTGCAAACCTGAGTAGCCTCACCCTGGGAGACATTAATACAATATAATGGACTGGACTAGTTATTAATGACTGAATGAGGTTCTAGTAATGTGGCAGCATCTTTTGAGTTGTATATTCTTTTGATGTAGGGGATCCATGTTCAAAAACCAAGGGGCAGCCTGTGATGTTATGATAGATATATTGGTTTTTAATCCACTGTTTCTGGGGCACTTTAGGCCTTAGGAATAGAATCTCTCTCTGTGACCTTCTCCTGTCGTCCTTTCATCTGTCCAAGGCAGGATTCTAATCTGATTGTAGGCTAAAATACCCTTATCTCAGAGACATTCCTGCACCATACCATAGAGGAAGGAATGCTACATAGAAAGGACAAGAAAAATCTGAACAGACAGACTTTGCTGGGTTTAGATCATGTACTTTTTGTCCAATCACATTGCTACATGGTTTTCAATCATGCCTATGTAATGCAGCCTTCATAAAAACTCAAGAGGACTGGGTTTGGAGAGCTGCTGGATAGCTGAACACGTGGAGGTTCCTGGAAGGCGGCACACCCAGAGAGAGCATGGTAGCTCCATGCTGCTTCCCCCATACCTCACCCTACACATCTCTTCATCTGTATCCTTTATAATAATCCACTAAATGTAAGTGTTTCCTTAAGTTCTTTGAGCTGCTCCAGCTAATGGGGTCATGGGAAGCCCAGCTTGAAGCCAGTTACTCAGAAGTTCCAGGGGCCCAGACTTGTGACTGGTATCTGGTGGGGAGGGGTCTTGGGGACCTCTTGGCCTTCAACCCATGGGATGTGACACCATCTCCAGGTAGTGTTGGAATTGAATTCGAAGATACCCACTTGGTGTAGAGGGGAAGCCTCTGCACATCTGGTCACAGCAGTATTCTTCTGTGTTGATGATCGTTGTTGTGGTGTGAGAGCAGAGAAGAAACATGGTTTGAAAGAGTTTTTCCTGACACATATACTATGCCAGATGTTGAAAATGCTATAAAGAAAAATTGGGCCGGGTGCAATGGCTCAAGCCTGTAATCCCAGCACTTTGGGAGGCAAGGCAGTCCAGCCCAGGAATTAGAGACCAGAATGGGCAACATGATGAAACCCCGTCTTCATTAAAAATACAAAAATTAGCCGGGTGTGGTGTCACATGCCTGTAGTCCCAGCTGCTGGAGAGGCTGAGGTGGGAGAATCATTTGAACCTAGGAGGTGGAGGTTGTAGTGAGCTATCATGCCAATGAACTCCAACTTGGGCGACAGAGTGAGACCCTGTCTCCAAAAACAGAAAGAAAGAAGGAAAGAGAGAGAGAAAGAAAAAGAGAAAGAGAGAGGAAGAAAACAACAAAAAAAGAAAAATTCAATGGGATAAGGGAGACAGAGAGTGTGGGGAATTGGAAGGTCACTGATTTTTAGAGAGTACTGTTTAATCACGTGACCTTTGAGAAAAAACCTAAATAAATGAAGAAGCTAACCAAGTGGTTATCTGCAGGGAAAACATTCTAAGCAGAGGGGACATTAGGAGCAAAGGCCATGAGGTAGAGGCATGCTTGGCAGTTTTGAAGAAGAGCAGGGCTGCGTGGATGGAGCAGAGTAGGCAGAGAAGATAATGCAGTCTCAGAGCTGAGTGGGAGCCAGCTGATGAGTGTTAGGCCTTTATTGGAGATGTTGTCTGGAAATTGAGGAGAATGGAGAGTGAGCCATGTAAACCATTCTTCAGAACAAGCATTGCCTGTGAACCAGGCAAAATAATTTACTCAAGTGCTAACTTAAAAAAAAAAAAAGTGTCAAAGAGAAATGTGCTTGGAAGAATGTGCAGTTGGAATGCTAACTGCTGCAACCATCTCTGAGGAGAACAGGGAACCCTCCAGCCTTTCCAGTTAATCATGGATCGTTATCTACAGTCTGTTTCCCTTTTCATCAAAGTAGTCAGCTCCTGCTGTCAGGAGAAAAGAATATATATCTATGATTTTACATTCATAGTTAAAAAAAATCATTCTTTCTAGAAAATATTAACTTTTTCCAAGGGTCTGATCTAGAAGCCATCAGCTGAATCCCAGGAGTGGATTTCAGCTGGCTGATGAACACATCATGCCTACGTGAGATTGGGGAGTGAAATGATGATGTGGCATCACAGCCCCAGGCTTAAAATAAACTGTCCTAAGCAAAAGAAAAGTAAGGAGTAGGAAAGTACTGATTCGAATAGATAGAGAAATACCACCCTCACTCTGTCCTTTCTGAGGTCCTGGTGTTTCCTGATGAAATTCTCAATATCTCCTGGTGCCATTAGAATGGGAGGAACTGTTGGGAGTGTTAAGTGCTGAGATATTTATAACTGCAGCTTAAGTGATCATTCCAAAACTATCTAGAATAAGTAGAATTTTTAACCCACTCTGAATCTTAATGCCTTGAACCCTTCACACAGAAAAGAAGGTTCATATATATGAAATTATTTTAGATTTAGAGACCTCTCATGTCAGTCAGTGGATTCAGGTTATGTTTTTTAACAATACCAAAGGATCAAAAATAGAGTTAGGGGCTGGGCGTGGTGGCCTGTAATCCCAGCACCTTGGGAGGCCAAGGTGGGCAGATCACTTAAGGTCAGGAGTTTGAGACCAGCCTGGCCAACATGGTGAAACCCCATCTCTACTAAAAATACAAAAATTAAGCAGGTGTGGTGGTGGGCGCCTGTAATCCCAGCTACTCAGGAGGCTGAGGCAGGAGAATTGCTTGAACCCGGGAGGTAGAGGTTGCAGTGAGCTGAGATTGCGCCACTGCACTCCAGCCTGGGTGACAGAGCAAGACTGTCTCAAAAAACAAACAGACAAAATAAAACAAACATAGAGTTAAAAATGAGACCCCATCTAATTTCTGTATGTTGGAAGTAACACTTGCTTAGAAGACAAAGGTCTGTTTTCACTTCCATCTTGCCACTGAGCAATTGTATGATTGTGGACAGATTGTATTCTCCCAGAACCTTCCCATCTATAATATAGGGATAATTATAATTCTCTGTCTCTAAATTTTTCTGAGTATTAAAGTTGAGATGTGACTGAGTACTTTTTTTAACTATAAAATTATAAATAAATATAGCTCTGTAGGATTGAAAGAATCTGTCTGTCGTGATTCTCATACACAGTTTCAATGAGGCACTTGTTATTCCAGAAAAAATTACTCAGAGTAAACTCTATAGCTATAGGGCTTCAGAGGGCACTGCTTTCAGACTTGTGATATTCCTTGTGCCTTCTGGGAAGGTCAGTTTCCCCAATAGTGAGCTCATTTTTAGTTTGCCTCCCACCCCTTTCCCTCCTTTCACCTGCAGATCTGAGAGATCACCACAGTGCCAGACACTTTTGAGCTACTCCAACTCTGGGCCTTTAAATTCAGTGAAATCATTCCATGTCTTCCCTAGCACATCCTTTACCCTGTGTTTTTTTTTTTCCTTTTTTTCTTTTTTGTTTGTTTGTTTGTTTGTTTTCAATAAAATCCAAAAGGAAGGCCTTTAGCCTGATACAGCCCAGTGCTTTAGGTTCCTGTGTTAGCAGACTGGAGACTAATATAAACAGTACAAGGAAACTAGAGACCCAACTAGTGGAAACCAACAACTAATCTCTAACTAGTCTTTTCTCTCTAAACCAATCACATCCATCTCCTTTGTCTTCTTTCCGCCTAAAAGTTCGTTGCCTGCACTGCAGCAGGGCAGTCTGAATTCCTCTGATTGTGAGTGCCACTAGATTCATGAGTTGTTCTTTGCTCAAATAAGCTCTATTAAATTTGTCTGAAGTTATTCTTTGTAACAACTGCTAATCAGCTAAGAAGTAATGGGCAATAACATCTTGTTCTGTAGTTTTCAAGAAACACTATTAAGATGTTCTGAGTGAATAAGTTCTGCAAATCTGTCTTACCTCCTTAAGCAGGAAATTTTAACAAGTGTTTATTGTTAAAGTGTTTCAAATGGTTATTGTTTTAAAAATGTACTACCATTACTCACTTTAGCATAGTATTCTGAACATAGTTTAACCTTTTTTAAAATCTAAAATTATTATGAGCAACAGTTATCTTAGTGCAGTGATTACTAAAATAACTTTTGCTGGGTGCTTGCGTCATTGACCCTACACTAAATCGCTCAAATTACTATTTTTTTATTTTTTTAAGACAGTGTCTCCCTCTGTCACCCAGGCTGGAGTGCAGTGGCACAATCTCAGCTCATTGCAACATCTGCCTCCCAGGTTCAAGTGATTCTCCTGCCTCAGCCTCCTGGGTAGCTGGGATTACAGGCACATGCCACCACACCCAGCTAATTTTTTTGTATTTTTAGTAAAGGCAGGGTTTCACCATGTTGGCCAAGCTGATCTCCGACTCCTCACCTCATGTGATTTGCCCGCCTCAACTTCCCAAAGTGCTGGGATTACAGGCATGAGCCACTGCGCCCAGCCCTCAAATTACTTTTAAGACATCTAATATGTTTGCTTCTTTGCTTAGAGTTACCTGTATCTTCCCTGTTGATTTCCTTTTAATGTAAGCCCTCATCTATCTATACTTTAATCCCTATTATAGGGCTCCCCAAATTTAGAGATTTCACTGAAAAGTCTTCAGTTTTTTTGCCACATCCATTTAATCTCCGTTATTATACACAATTCTTTTTTAAAAAAACGATGGATTAGTTGGATTTTTATTATTATTATTATTATTATTATACTTTAAGTTTTAGGGTACATATGCACCATGTGCAGGTTTGTTACATATGTATATATGTGCCATGTTGGTGTGCTGCACCCATTAACTCGTCATTTAGCGTTAGGTATATCTCCTAATGCTATCCCTCCCCACTCCCCCCACCCCACAACAGTCCCCAGTGTGTGATGTTCCCCTTCCTGTGTCCATGTGTTCTCATTGTTCAATTCCCATCTATGAGTGAGAACATGCAGTGTTTGGTTTTTTGTCCTTGCGATAGTTTGCTGAGAATGATGGTTTCCAGCTTCATCCATGTCCCTACAAAGGACATGAACTCATCATTTTTTATGGCTGCCTAGTATTCCATGGTGTATATGTGCCACATTTTCTTAATCCAGTCTATCATTGTGGGATATTTGGGTTGGTTCCAAGTCTTTGCTATTGTGAATAGTGCCGCAATAAACATACGTGTGTGTGTGTCTTTATAGCAGCATGATTTATAATCCTTTGGGTATATACCCAGTAATGGGATGGCTGGGTCAAATGGTATTTCTAGTTATATGGGAGAAAATTTTTGCAACCTACTCATCTGACAAAGGGCTAATATCCAGAATCTACAATGAACTCAAACAAATTTACAAGAAAAAAACAACCCCATCAAAAAATGGGCAAAGGGTATGAACAGACACTCCTCAAAAGAAATTTATGCAGCTGAAAAACACATGAAAAAATGCACATCATCACTGGCCATCAGAGAAATGCAAATCAAAACCACAATGAGATACCATCTCACACCAGTTAGAATGGCGATCATTAAAAAGTCAGGAAACAATAGGTGCTGGAGAGGATGTGGAGAAATAGGAACACTTTTACACTGTTGGTGGGACTGTAAACTAGTTCAACCATTGTGGAAGTCGGTGTGGCGATTCCTCACTTGGATTTTTTTTACTTAAAATTATTTTAAAAGGAAATCTTATCACTACTGTGTTATCAGTATAGCTGCCATTTATATTTTAGTGCACATTTAAATAAATATCTGAGGACTTCTGCTTCTGGCCAAGATAAAGTAAAAAGGAATAGATTTACACTCCTGTGTGAAACAATCAAATAACAATGGATAAAATATATGTAATAATGGTTCTCAAGATACTGTATGTCAAGTAGTGAAGGACAGTGATTCCTGAGGGGTGGGGAAAAACAAGGTAGGGCCTATGGGTGCTCCGGCTTACTCTTTGGAGAGTTTCCAGGCCACTATGCAGGGAGGGAGACCAAGGAAGATCATGGTATGCTCCCTGTGTTGAGGATATGAAACTGAGAGTCTGAGAAGACCAAGGTGGCTGAAGTTCTCAGGACAGAAGTCTTGAAAAGAGAAAGCCACATGGAAGAGAACACTAGAGATCTGCAGAGGATCTCTTTTGAGAATTCAGTTAAGTATTGGTCAGTGCAATGTTGTACTGGATGTTCCAACTAGCAAAATATGGCAAGAAGAAAAGGTCATCTTGGAAGGAAAAGAAGTAAAACTCTTTTGTTTGCAGACAACATAAATATCTATGTAGAAAATCTAGTGGAAAAAGCTCCTTGAATGAAGAAGTGAGTTTAGCAAAGTTATATAATAAAATATCAATATACAAAAGTCCAATTACGTTTTTGTATACTAGCAATGACTATTTGGAAATTGATATAAAAAGTTAAAGCCATTTAAAATAACATAAAAAATGTGCACTTCGGAATAAAGCTGAAACAAGTATGCATAATTTAAACCCTGAAAACTAGATTTCAGTTGGCTGATAAAAACTACAAAATATTGCTAAAGGAAATTAAAGAAGACCTAAATAAATAGGTAAATATACTGTATTTATGGGTTGGAAGACTATTTATTAAGATATCAATTTATCCATATTAATCTGTACGGTCAACACAATTCCAAGTCAAATTTCAGTAGACTTTTTTGTAGAAATTGACAAACTGATTCTAAAATCCATATGGAAATAAAAAATGATCTAAAATGATAAAATGGTTTTGAAAAAGATAAACATAAGGGACCAACACTAACAGATTGTAAGGCTTATTATAAAGCTGCAGTAATCAAAACTGTGGTATTGGAGTAAAAAGATCAATGGAACAGAATAGAACGTGCAGAAGTAGATCTGCTCATGTATGGACACTTGATTTCCAACACAAGAGTAAATACAATTTAACAAAGAAAGTACAGTTTTTTTCAACAAATGGTGCTGGAATAAATGCCTAGCCACATGCAAAAAAAAATTTTGATTTATACCTCATAGCATACACAAGAAATTAACTCAATATTGGATCAGAGACCTAAATATAAAACCTAAAACTATAAAACTTCAAGAAGAAAATGTAAGAGAAAACGTTTGTCTCCTTGAGTTAAGCAAAGATTTCTCAGATATGATACCAAAAGCATGACCCATAAAGGAACTAATTGATAAAATAATAAAGCTGAGTTAAAGAAGCCACAGCAAAAAGAATCTGTATTGCATGATTATATTTCACAAACATATCTAAGGAAATTTATCTGTTGTGATAGAAAACAAATCAGTGGTTACCTGAGGATGGACAAGTGTGGGGGTGGTACAAGGAAACATTTGGGAGTGATCAATATGTATGTTCTCATCTCGATTATGGTGATGGTTTCATAGGTGTATACACATATGCCTAAATTTATTAGGCTATACCTTTTAAATATGGCCATTTTATTATGTCAATTATACCTAAAACAGCTATTAAAATATTAAATATATAACTGTTATGAAATGTTTGTACCCATATCACTAAAAGTCATCTTGTGCATTACCATCAGGAACCCTGTTGCTACCTATGTCAGATTTAGAGTTTCCCAAAGGAAGAGTAACACAAAGACTTAGTTTAAAAATTCTGGTTTTGCTAACCTTATTACATAGGTGAGTTTGGATTGACAAACTCATGGGTTACGTTAATGTCTCCTAGTAAGTGTTAGGACTCCATGAGACCAGTTTTTCATGTAGCTCAAGGTTTTTCCTTTCAAAGGGAAAATGGAGGCTTGGAAGGCCATGGAATAGTGTCAGGAGACCAAGGGTTTTTGGCTTGGCAGTACCGGAGTTTTGTCTCCATTTGTTCCATGTGTCTAAGAAGGTCACTTAATATCATCTCTGGGCCACATGTGGAAAACAAGAAGCTTAAATTTAATCCCTAAAACTTTTTCCATGACTGTCCTTTTGTCTCCGGGCTGTAGCTGTGTTGTAGAGGGCTGAGATGACTGGAAGTTCAATTACCAGATGATAGCACAAGGTAATGGGAGAAGAGTTACATGACTTTAAATAAAATTCACATAAAGCCAATTCAAATTTAGAAACAGAATGATTATAGTGAAATTCTATGGTGACATAGTAAGAGCCGAAGAAAAGAATTGCTTATCTCTTTCTCTATTTTTATAAAAAGAGTTTTAAAAGCACATCTTTTCATCTAAGAATGGTCCCAGGTTTCTATCTTAAGTAAATTTTTATATATTTTTTTCTTACAGCATTAAAAAAAGAAGTTAATACTGTCAGAGCTCTCCCTAACTCTGGCAGAGAACTGATGACTGTATAATTGATGACAACTTGCAATCCTACTATGGGTTTTGTGATTCCACTGAAGTATATTTCTTTTTATTTTTTCTTTTTCTTCTTTTTTTTTGAGATGGAGTCTCTCTGTCACCCAGGCTGGAGTGCAATGATGCCATCTCAGCTCACTGCAACTTCCCCCTCCCGGGTTCAAGCGATTCTTGCACCTCAACCTCCCAAGTAGCTGCGATTACAGGCACCCGCCATCATGTCTAGATAATTTTTGTATTTTTGTAGAAATGGGGTTTCACCATGTTGGCCAGGCTGGTCTTGAATTCCTGACCTCAGGAGATCCGCCCGCCTCAGCCTCCCAAAGTGCTGGGATTACAGGCATGAGCTACCACACCAAAAGAGTTTTTCTTAACATAGTCTAAGGTAAACCAAATTACCTTAGAATATCAGGGACAGCTTTAGAGTGATGGTAAAAATTAAAATCTAAATTAAAATCCAAACCTCACATACTTGATACTTCCAACAAATGGACACCTATTTGCAGCCAGTGTTGAAAATTAGAGTAGGCTCTTCTGAAAGAACATAGCCATGTCCCTCCAAATAACAATTGAGACTATTGATCAAAATTTCTAGTCATTTCAGACTGCAGCACTTGTTTTAATGACCTGCTGGGCATCCATAATCACAGTGCAGGCACTAGAAAGCTGGAACTAACTAGAGATATATAAAAACCCACGGGTAATAAAAGTGTTCAAAGTAATAGTGCTTTATTCTCTGTTTTTTGTTTTTTGTTTTTTGTTTTTCCTAGTAAAAATCTGCTCCTCTCTTGAAAGGATGAATGCATGGTGTATCTTAGAAGCTAGATATGAGATATGGAATCTTTTCTATGTCCTGTCATTTCCTTCATAATGCCTTTTCCCTTTCACCAAATCTGTCATTGGAAAACAAGTGGTCCCAGATTCACTGGATCTCTCTGAAAGAAATGGGAGCTACTACACCCAGAAAATTATGATTAATAATAATTTAGTGTGAATTAACTTGGTGTGGTATTAAGAAATTCAGTGGCATTTCTATAATACACAGTAAAATCTGTGGTTCTATGGGGTCATTATTTGGGACAGGAGAGTTTCTGAGTCCCTTCCATCTTGTTGCATAAATGCTTCCATACTGTTTCCTGGAAGTCTCCACTCTTTGCCCTGTTTTTCTTCCATTAAAATCTTGTTCATTTGATGTAGCTCAATAATAATTTTTCCAGTCAGAATAATTTCAAACTGCATCCTAAGTGATACACCTAACACATATATTTAGGTATAAGGCTGAAATATTTGCCTCATTCCTTACAGAGAATTTGTTAATTTGCTCTTCCTTTACTTCATTTAACAAATACTGATTGTGCTTCATGAGCTCTAGAGCCAACCAGAATGCTTGGGTTTAAATAGAGCTAATGTCAGTTACTAGCAGTATGACCCTGGAAAAGTTACCTAACATCTCTCTTCCTCTCCTTCCTCATCTGTAAAATGGAGACATTAGTACTTCATCATAGGGATGGTATAAGGATTTAATGACTTAATATATAAAACTCTCAGAACAGAACCATACACACATAAGTACTGCATATGTCGGCTATTTTTATTACTGTTGCTACTATAGGTTGAGCATGCCTAATCCAAAAATTTTAAATCCAGAATACTCCAAAGTCCAAAATTTCTTGAGCACCCACATGATACCACAAGTGGAAAATTCTACTTAATCTGTATTACTGTGAGCCAGGCAACAGGAATTTGAAGGTGTACAAGAGAACTTCAACTGTGAAGCCAGTACATATGTGATTTCATGAAACCAGGCCACCTTGACTCAAGAGTACATCACACACACACACACACACACACACACACACACACACACACACACCACACACACAGAGAGAGAGAGAGAGAGAGAGAGAGAGAGAGAGAGAGATTTTTTCCTGCTATGCCAGACCAGATCAACAGTGATGAATTCTATGGGAGGACTCACGGAGAGCTTTTAAGAGGAGTGAATATTTAGGTAGCATCCTGATGAGAGTTGTCCTGTAGAGGATGGAAGAGGCATTTGTGGTAGAGGAAACAACATGATTACAGAAATTAGATCCCTTCTGTGGCTGCCCTTGTTCTTAGCCAAGCAGTTGCTGCAGCTACCCTGTTGATCTGCTCTTCAAGGATACGGGATAGGAGGGCTGGAGCAAGGGACCAGGGCATCCATGGGCATCATCTACCATGCTTCATTCTCCCCACCTCTTCCAGAGCAGACCTAGATGAGGCTTACCTTTTTTTTTTTTCTACACAGTATAAACACAGAGTGGTTCAGCCATAGTCATTTATCTAAGCCTGCTTCTCCCATGCAGAAGGGAATCATGTTCATTAGGAGCAATACAGCCAGGAATATTGATAACAGCTTTGTTCTGTAAAGCTGAAGGCACTTTTTGTGGATTTGATTTTATTTCATCATCAGAGAATGCTCCTTGAGATTTTGCAGGTGCAGGATAACATCTCTGTGAGGCAGAGGCACTTTTGTTTATTTGTTCGTCCTTCATGACTCTACAGGGCATGTTGGTGCATCTGGTTAAGCCCAGAGAAGAGACATTCGCAGATGTGGGCCCCACCACCAATTCAGTATGCCAAGATGTATTAGATATAAAGACAGATAAATATTACCCAGTGGTTCCCAGTAGTTCTGCTGCTTGAAGGGCCTTTGTCTGATTGTTTTAAAATGTGAATGCTATTTTCATAGCCAGTATTGTGTGGGGCTGTAGTATAAATAAGGTGCTACAATGAATTTTAACTGCATTTAAGCAGAGATTGCTATTACCAAAAGATGCGGAAAAGAAAGTGGAATTGAGATCATTATAAAAAAATATGGATCTAGAGATAAAGCCTAATAGAAAAACAGATTTTGGTAACTGCCTGGAGTAAATTGAAATTTGGTCTCAATGCTAATGTGGTAGAATATATTCAAGAATAAAATACTGACTTAATCTTGGTTATTACTACATGGAGATAAACTCCTCATCCATGGAAGATGAAATAACCTTGGAAGTTCTCATGCCATTACTGTGTAGTGTACAACAACAACAGCAACAACACAACAACAGGAAATTAACTAAATGGGGTCTCTTGTTGGAGAATGACCTTTTGTCAGCTTCAGAACAGTTGACTCATTTCAGAAATCAGCATAATACAAGAGTATTTCATTTGTTAAACATCACTGGAAAAATTTTTGTGTGTGCACATATATGTATGTGGTCCCATAAGTGTTTTCATTATAACCGGGTCATGTCCCTTAATCACAAATCAAATTTCTACTAATTTCAAATCAAGTTTCTAATAATTTAACTGCTCTTAGATTAGTACACTATCAAAATAGTCCTTTATTGTTGTCAAACCTGCTCTGAACTCCTTAACCAGGGCAGTCACTAGGCCAGAAACTAAGCAAATAATAGGGGCTTGCATACATCAGCCTCATACCCTGCATACAGCATATAAAAATAAATGTTAGAAAGTTTAATTTCAAACAGTAACTTGAACATGGGGTCAAATACTTGAATATCTTTGAAATTGGATACTCAAGGTATTCTGTTAGCAGGGGCTTATTTTCACATGCATTGTTTCACATGCATTGAAACATGCATTGTTTCAAATGACAGCAGCAAACCACAGACGCTTCAGTCATTTCTCTGTCCCTTTCTACCAGCTGTCTCCATATACCTGGGCTTTCCACTTAAACACGATTTTGATGTTTGTTTTCGTGCGGAGGAGACAAAAATCCAGATGTTTCCAATGCAAAAGCTTGTTCTCATCTTTATTATTAAAAATGGTAAAGCTTCATTTGTATTTTATTAAAATGATTGGATAACTAGTATTTTTAAAAGAACTGTAGCTGTTTTGGCTTTAGCTATTGAGCTTAAGACAGATGTTGTGGGTTCAAATTGTTTGAACGTTAGTGAAAGTACGACTGTTAAGGAAAACAGTATTATGAGTGGCTTCTTTATCTTAACTCATGAGGCCAGTCTGTTTGTAAGGTTTTCTGTGCCTGTTCAGAGGTGGAACTATATCATATGTATGACATGCTGGTTTGCTTGTATGATAACTTTCATTGCCAAACTCCTGAAGTGTTCTATATTGGCTACAGTCAGGGTCAGAATCAAGGTCAGACATTTTTGTTGGATTGATATTAGCAGTTCAGCCTGACTCTTCATTAAATACCCTGCCCAGCTGTCAAGCTAAGCAGCCTCTTATCTCTCATGAATACCCAATGTTTTCTTGTCTCTGTTTCTCTGCATATCGCCTTCTTCCTAAAGAAAATGTTCTTTCTCCTCATTTCTATGTGTTTATATCATATCTATCCTTAAAGGGTCAATTCAAATGTCAAAATTCTTTGAAGAATTCTGTAAGTATGCCATGATCATCTTCCCTATCTCTGGATAGATAAAGGTGTGAATTACTGTTTTTACCACTACTTATTGTAAACTATTAATTGAGTTCTAAAGGTTAATCTAGCACTATAATAAGCAGTTTAGTGCATCGTCTCATTTTGTGATGCTTTTGTTTCTATTTTAACAATAGTGATGATAAATATTAAATCTGTGTTCTTTAATATGAAAATTCCCTCATGTATATTATCTCATTTAATCTGCAGAACAACCCCATAAGGTAGGTGCTATTGTTATTCCTGATTCAGCTAAGAGGTAATCCTTAGAGAGGGCATAACAATTATCCAAGGTCAGGTGGCTAGTTTTAGACCTTCTTCCTAACAAATAGGCTAGACTGTCCCTCAAACCTGCACCTCCTTTACCATATCACTTGCCACTTGCCACTTGGTTGTGTAATTACCTATGACCTGAATTACTGTACTTGTTCCTTGAGGGCTAAATTTATGTTTGAGTCTTCCTGGTGTTCTAACCATGACTCAAATCAGTGCCTCACACAAAAGTAAGGGTGTTTCAGAACTATCTGGTGAACAACTGAAAATTTAGAACCTTTCATATATTCTTTTATAGCTCTGATATGGAAGATTTCTTGAGAGGAAAGTACTATGTTTAACTGTCATCCAAATAAAATGGAAAATATAGCTTTGACCAAAAGAAATGATGTGTTCTAAGAGAATAAAATTAAAAGAGGATTTTAAAATCTGTTATCCAGTAGATCTGAAAATAAATAAGAACTGTCCTCTTGCTGAAGGAGTAAATGCCTTTAAACTTTCACAGTCATCGTATATTGCACATAAATGTGGAAACTGGAAATCTGTTTCCCACTGAAAGTAAAGAAATTGTGTTTGAATAAAAGAAAAATTAATATTAGTGAAACAATGACTACTAAAAATGATATTTTAGTAATGAACACAAAGTGAATAACATTATCTTTTTATCTTTTTATTTTTATTATATTTCTTTACATTTATAGTGTACCAAACAGTTGAATAATGGACTGATTTCCATCAAGATGTTTGTCATTGAATTGACAAAGACTCAATATTAAAGTAGGAGAAGGTGTTGAAGATAAGATGTCTTATCTAGAGACGAATAACCTTTTTTATCTTTAACAAGCTGTCTTATCTTTACTACCCTGCCTTGGAAACTCAAGAGAGTAGCAGCCTTGAATACACACTGTTATTTCCTCCTTCATGGCCTGAGACTGATTCAGAGAGGAAATGCCCCATCAGAAGGATGGATGTAGTTCGGGCTAATGAGGCAGCAGGTAGACCCATGAGGAGCTGACCTTGAATGGATGAAGAACTTTCTATTCTGGATCAATTATCGTAATTATTCTAACTCCATCCTCAATTGTACATTGGATGCTAAAGAGAGCTAGTTAGAATTCTTTTAGCCACCTCCAGTTCATGAGATAAAAAGAGATAGGGGTGAAGGCTTTAGTTGATTGACAGTTTTTAATGGTAGTTTTGAGGGTCGAATTGAATAGTATATACTGCAAGACTTTTTGAACATTAAGTATACTCCCAGTATTGGATATATTATGCTAATAGACTCAGTCACCCAAGAGGGTTTATCTCCTTGCTTCCTGCCTATGCAGTTAACATCATGTAGATACAACAAGGCTGATAGAATTTCATGAAACGGTTGTTGAATGTGCACAGTTTGGATACTGGGACCTTAATATCTAACATGTGATCCTCTATACAAATGTTTATTTAACTGTACACAGATGTCGTAAGAGGTACTATTAGGGTTTTGATTTGTTTTCATTTTCAAATGGTAGTTTATTTTGTGTGTGTGTGTGTGTATGTATGTATGTAAATTTGAATCTCATTCAAATTCTATTCATAAAGAAATCTTAAGGATTAACCTTTATAGGCTACCCCAAGGGCCTCACAAAAGATCCTGAGTTTTATGATGGTGAATTACACTGACATTTCCTAAAGAGTTACGTGTTTTGTCTTTGTAATGGAGGCCTTAGATTTCTTTAGAACTGCATTCTATTTAGAAGACCACCCACTCGTGCCCTCCCCAATTCATAATGAGAGCAAATTCAAGGGCTGCCTAGAGCCAATGAAATAAAAATCAAATTATTTTTCCTGGCATTCATGGTAGAACATGATTTTTCTTACACTTTTCCCTATACCGTATGCTTCTAACAAAGAGTTGCACATTCCTTGCTTTCTACCTGGATACCTTTCCACATGCCGTTCCATTGGGAATGTGTCAACTAAGGTCATACGTTACCTTCTTCCTGAAGAATTCTATGATTTCATCCAGACGAATTGACCTCCTCATCCTCTAAACTTTAATACCATGTTACATCTCCTTGTAACCCTTATCATAATATTTTAAATTTTAATATCTGATCTTCCCAGCTTGAAGATAAACTGCTGGAGCCTGGGGAATATATTAATCTTATCTTTGAGTCCACCACAGCTCCTGGGGCAATGCCTAAAAATGGTAGTGAGTAAACATTTATCTAGAAAGAATGAATGCACTGTCCTTTTCCTAAAGGCAACAGTGAAGCTGAATTTGTATCATTTGTATAAAACACTGGGTAAGGTTTTAAAGACTGTTACATGCAGAATCTTTTCCTTTTTTATTGAAAGCATTGACTTAGAGACGAGATGTGCAGGCAATTATGAAGAATATATCTTAAGATGAGTTTCAAGATTTTGAAAGATATGTTTCCTAAAAAAACAGAACTCAAAATATTATTTAGTTCTTTTCTGTGGAATTCTTAAGTCATCCCCACTTATAAGCTCTCTCATTCTCTCTCTCTCTCTACATATATATATGTATAGAATGAGAGTGTATATGTATACATATATATATGGAATGAGAGAGTGTGTATATATATATGGAATGAAAGAGCTTATATATATGGAATGAGAAAGCCTCTCTCTCTCTCTCTCTCTCTCTATATATATATATATATATATATACACACATACATATATATGGAATTAGAGCTTATAAGTGGAGATGACAAGAATTATATATATATATGGAATGAGAGAGAGCTTATATATATATATATACACACATGCATATATATGGAATGAAAGAGCTTATATATGGAATGTGAAAGCTTATATATATATATATGGAATATATATATATGGAATGAGAGAGCATATACATATACCTATATATATGGAACAAGAGACAGTTTTTAAGTAGAGGTGACTTAAGAATTCCACAGAAAAAGAACTAAGTTATATATATATATGGATATTATTTATATATATATACACACATATATGAAAGGAGTGTGTGTATGTGTACATATATATATACACACACATATATATGTATATATACACATATGTACATATATACACACATAT
Organism: Homo sapiens; assembly: GCF_000001405.40. Classification (NCBI taxonomy): domain Eukaryota; kingdom Metazoa; phylum Chordata; class Mammalia; order Primates; family Hominidae; genus Homo; species Homo sapiens. Next base: position 47,354,629 of record NC_000015.10, read on the forward strand.
TTCTGAAAGTTTTCCAAAAGTATCTCCCTTCAATGAGGAGGGGTTAGTGTGCATCAGCTGAATGGTGCCCACAGTGATACAGGCTCATGGTAGTTCTGGCAAATGTAGCTTCCTGCCAGTCTGCACCAAGCCGACTTGCATGGTCTACAACAGGCCTTGCAATCCACACTGTCTCTCCATTGCTGGCAGCTCACCGGCAGGAAAAAAAGGTGACAAAACGAGTTTACTTAACAGCCTTAAGCTGCCTTAAATGTGTGTCTTCAGCCCTACGGGACAAAATCACTCAAAAATTTGTGAAATTGTTCCATGAATTCATCAGATGTGTTATGTAGTATTTGAAATCAACTTAGGACAAGATCTAAGAGGCCAGAAAGGAGTACTTAAACACGGAATTAAAGATGGCAGTGCTTTAGTTTTTCCATCTGGGGCACCAAACTCTAAATTGTGTACCCTAGTTCTGTGTTCTGAAATTATTTGCGTCAGAGGTCTAACTTGATGTTCAAGTGGTAGAGAAAAGAGGGAGAGGCTAAGGGAGCTGGAGACAGAAGTTGGGGCAGAAGGAAAGGGGTAATGAATGAATGATTCCAAAAACAGAATTCTCTATCAGTTAAATACAGATAAGAGGACTAAGAAACTAAAATGTTGAAACAAAAATTAAATTATAAAGAAAATAGTACATGCAGATGATAACTTTACCTCCTCTAAAATTTCTTATTGTAGCTATTATTTTTCTTCTGTTTCTAGATACAAATGAAAAGCTTCATGTTTTATTTATAATGATGGTGCCTAAGAAAGACATTCAGAAATCAAAGATCAGAAGTGGGAAAAATAATTTAGATTTGAGGATTGGCAGAGTAAAGACTGCGTGTGTGTATGTGTGAGAAAGAGAAAGAGAGAGACTTTCACACATGTCAGATGTGTTTTACCATCGTAGTCTTTCTAGAGACAAACATCTGGTTTGCTCTAACTCCTTTTTCTGTGTCCTGTAACCTTCCTATCCATGTGCTTTTTCTCTTAGGACCACACTTAACCTGCTTAAATAGCTTTTAAGCCACTTTGGGAAGGAAAAAATAAAGAACCCAATACACTTGACTGCAGAGTTAGAGAACTGCTCTCTTAAATCTAGCAGCCTTTTCTAATGATTTATATTATAACTCAGAGTGTGTCAGACCTTTGTACTAGAAGGGCATGTAAATTAGAAGACCATGTTTTCCCAGTGCAAAGATTATAATTACAAAAACAATTTCAGGGCAACATTTTGTTGTTTTAAATTGCTCTTCCAAGTCTCTGTTTACAGTATTTCTAAACATGACATTCTATACTGCATACCATGGTAGGCATAGTGAGCTCTGAGAATTTCAGAGCTCCAAAGAGGGACAGTCTAACCCAGAGGGAAATTCAGAGGAATCATGGGAATTGGCAGCCCCCTTGGGTATTTGGTTATTCCCATTTTACTCAGTCTTCCCTCTTTTGTTTTTTCTGTCTTAATATTATTTTCCTTTTCTCCTCTTCTTACCCTTTTTTAAATATTCATTTGAGAGAGTCGGAGAAAAGAAAAGAGATGGCAAGAGACAAAATAAGCCTAAATCCCTCAGGGAGGATAATCCTTAAAACAGAAGGAACAACAAATGGTAATAACTACTAGGTTTCTACCCCAGTTCTGAATGAGTAAGACAAGAGCTCTCCTGTCTCCAGAAAAGAACAGAATTCAACAATCTAGAGACTATGTGAAATATTCCACGAACACTTTAAAACATGAGAAGTGCCCCACAGTACACCTGGAGGCACAAATGAGAGCACAGTTAAAGCTGGGAAAAATCAGAAGATTTTGAGTCTAGTGTTGAAGGATCTGTTCACCAGGGATTGTGCTGTGGGAAGATGAGGAGGAAGAGGAGGAGGAGGAATTTAAAACAGACCTATATAAATAGAGAAGAGAGAGCGAAAAAAAAAAAAAATCCTTACAAAGGTGTGTGTCATAGGATATGAGGGCTGGACCATGCCTTCATCCCTCTCATTTCACAGAAGGATAAAGAACAACTGAACAAAGTTTCCTATTGCAATTCAAATGCAGCTGTATAAGTAAGACATCAGTTTTTCAGGAAATTCTTCTGTCAAGGCTGTCCACACCTGCATTTATCCTTCCATCTGCCTGTCCATCCACCATTTCATCCATCTCTCCTAAAGGCCTCAGGATGTGTTAGAGGAGCCAACTCCTTGAACTCTCTGCCCAATACACATGTATAAAACAGACCCAAACCATTTAATTTTATTTTATGCATAAGTGAGAATAGAACCAAATCTCAATTGTTTGTGATCATATAGGGGAATAGAGATATTGACTACCCCAAATGAGCAGATAATCTTCAATTCCTCTCTATTTGGATTGTGAACATGCATTAATGCTTACATAAAATGGGGCTGTGCGGCTGGATGCGGTGGCTCTCGTCTGTAATCCCAGCACTTTGGGAGGCGGAGGCGGGCGGATCACGAGGTCAGGAGATCGAGACCATCCTGGCTAACATGGTGAAACCCTGTCTCTACTAAAAATACAAAAAATTAGCCGGGCGAGGTGGCGGGCACCTGTAGTCCCAGCTACTCGGGAGGCTGAGGCAGGAGAATGGCATGAACCTGGGGGGCGGAGCCTGCAGTGAGCCAAGATCGGGCCACTGCATTCCATCCTGGGCGACAGCAAGACTCCATCTCAAAAAATAAATAAATAAAATAAATAAATAAAATGGGACTGTGCATTATATATTGGCAAAATACTCCAAAACAAAACAAAACAAAAGAGAGCCACCCAGTAAAAGCAGTGTCTGGAGGAGCCTAAAATATGCTTAAATGTATATGGTCCCACAATAGGTTGTCTGCAGGCTGAGGATCAAGGAGAGCCAGTCTGAGTTCCAAAACTGAAGAATTTGGAGTCTGATGTTCGAGGGCAGGAAACATCCAGCACGGGAGAAAGGTGTAGGATGGGGAGCTAGGCCAGTCTCTCTTTTCACATTCTTCTGCCTGCTTACATTCTAGCCGTGCTGGCAGCTGATTAGATTGTGCCCACCCACATTAAGGGTGGGTCTGCCTTTCCCAGCCCACTGACTCAAATGTTAATCTCCTTTGGCAACACCCTCACAGACACACAAAGGATCAATACTTGCATCCTTCAATCCAACCAAGTTGACACTGAGTGTTAACCATCACAGCCATTTATTATGTTTACTTGGTAATATCAGAGACTGAAACATTTTCACTCTTTTAGCAATGACATCGGGTTGTCCAGCCAACATGGAGGTGATTTTGGTGGGGAATTCTTATCAAAATTATTCTTAATAGAAAGACATAACAATGTTTATTAATATATTTCAGATTTACCGAATGTATTTAAACATAGCTTTGAAAAAAATCTCCATATTTCCGTAGACTTCTGATAGTTTTAGAGAATCATTTTCTCAGAGCCCTAGAGTTTATTCTAGACCAGGGCTCTGAGTTTTTCCTAAGGCAGATGATGCTGTTCCCCAAACTCTTCATTTTCTTGTCCAAAGATTGTGTGGCTACCATATGTGAATGGTGGCCCCCTCAAGTCTTTGAATAAAATGATGTTAGTGTCCCTGGATGGATAGTGGCTGCTTTCCTGCAGGGAATGATTACTATGACTTATGGAAGACCCGCTATGGATGTCATGATAACTACCATTTATTTATTGGCCTTTTTTGTTCATAATTTGTTCTTCTTTTCACAGCAACTTTGGTGCCTCCTTCCCAAGTTTATTTACAAAACATTTTTCTAAAGTAATAAAATGACTGCCTACAGTTTTAGCCTTAGACTGTAATTGCTTCCTAATGAAGATCCTCTTAAGCATGGGAGCTTATCATGGTCTTTTGGGGAAGAGGTAAAGGAATGAACTGTGATGGTAGAAAATATGATTCCTACTCCTTTACCCTCCAAAATCATCCTTAGTCGTGGTGAAAGGATCATCTTGATGCGTTCCACTTTCCTGGTTTCTGAAATGCATAGGCGACCACCTTGCTGTGATTTATTTCATGGGACAGAAGTAGTAATGTGCTAATGGGGCTGTGTCAGCACCAGTGTGCATGGAGATCTGGACATCATCAGTGCCAGCGGAAAGCTCTGGGGGGACTCAATGAGGCAGGGCCCTGAGTTGGGCATCATGGCTACAGCTGTTTCATGCACAGGAAGATTCAACTATTTTATGAGATTATTTTCAATTTTTAAACATGAATTCTGGGTGTCCATCTCTAGGGAATGGAGCCTCAATCCTTTGGTCCCCACTTTGCTGTGAACTGTGGGCCTTCCAGGGAGTCACAGAACAGAAGAGAAGGCTTTTCACGCTCATACTGAGAATAGCTTTAGTTCTTCCTGACCATACTTGATCTGCTGTACTATCTTTTATGAAGTTGATCATGTCATGCCCTTAGGTATCTAGATGCAGGTATTCCCGCACAGGACTAGACATGTTTTAAGGGTGAGAACTATGCCTTATAGTACCCAGCACAGTGATTTATATATGTCACTGTGTGTGTATATATTTCTGTGTATAGTGATACATATCACATATTTGACTGTATATGTACATGTGTACATATTTATACATATGTGTATGTGTACATATGACACCCAGTTAGTACTTATTGAATTGGCTAGTCTTAATTAAATAATTGGTCTTAAATAATTAATTTTTACTCTTTCTGTGCTTGTTTCCTTAACCATAATAATAATTTCATAGAGGTTGTTGTGAGGATTAATGACTTAATAAGTGTAAAACTCTTAGAAAAGTGCTTAGGATATACTGAGCTGTTGCTATTTGCCTGGGACATAGAAAGTGTGGGGCGACAGAGTAGGGATTCCTCTTTCTTCAGCTCTCTAGCAATGAAGCAGAATGCGTGTAAAAACTTAAGGTTCTGAGACCAAGATTCTACGAAATTAGAAGACATAGTTATGATAGATTTCAAGCACTGAAAGTTACCTTAAAATTCAGATACCAACTAAAATAATCTCTCCAGGGATTAATATCTACTAAGTTCACTGAAAGAACGAAAGTAGAAAAAAGAGAAAGCAAAAGAAAAAAAATGCTCCCAACATTTCTACCAGAAATGTGGTATTTCTGGTAGAATGGCTTTTCATTCAGAGATTATTTGTCAGAATTAGCTCCAATCTTACGGAAGGTGACTAGGAATACTAAAAATTTAGCATAGTTTTGAGGGGATCAATTAGAGCTGGGGAAGGTGGGAAAAACTTTAAAGGAGATTCTAATGTGGTTGTGCTGAAAGATGGTAGGGCAATACTTGATTACATTCACTTCCACAGGCATTGCTTGGTGTGATTTTGGCCCCCCAAAAAGATTTCAGAAGTGCTTTGTGTTTTACGTAGGCCTTCAGGCTGAGAGTTTCTTTTTTCTTCTTTTTTTTTTCTAGCCTTCTACACAAGGACATAAATTTTCCAGAATGTTCATTCTGCCTGTAAAATAATGTGACACAGTTAGCCATATCAGACAAGTGCATCCTGCCCATCAGTGAAGGGATTCTAAAACTTAATGAATCCTTAAGTCCACTAATGATGTTGGATGTTCCTGAGGCTATTATTCCAGATTGCTTCTGACATTTGTGTGTTCATATCAGAGTAAGTTTGTATCATTCTTCAGTTCCCCCCCAGTGAATGTTGAGCCTGCATAGCAGATAAGCATAAGTCTATGGGAGCAACATGCTGACAGAACCCCTTAGACCCATGCTCTCCAATGCATTAACTGTTAGCCACAGTGTGACTTTTTACACTTAAATTAATACAAGGTAGGTAAAATTTAAAATTCAGCTTCTGAGTCACACTGGCCACATTTCAAATGCTCAGTCACCACATGTGATTAATGGCTATCATACTGAATAGCACAGATGTGGAACATACCACTATTGTAGAAGGACAGTGCTTCATGAGACTACAGGCATAAGGTGAGAAAATTGATCAGGGGCTAATAGAGAGCAAGGGTGTCCTGTTTCAGGAAAACTCAACCTGTGAACATGCAGATTTACACAAAGGAAAATTTAGGAGGTGTCCATTCTCCTCATATGGCAATTCAAAAAACATTTTTATCCAACTACCTCCACTGATTAATTAAATATCCCTAATCATATTTAGAAAGCAGTCAGAAAAATAAAATGAATATGAAAGAAAGTAAACTAAAATGTAAGGCTATTATCAAACACTAAATCACAGGAAACCATATACTGGGAAATTTTGTCAGAGGGATATAGTGGATATTTGAAACATATGTTTACATCTGTCTTTGAAACCAGCCAACCTGGATTTGGGTCCATCTTTGCCTCTTGGCTAATGGCCCCATGAACAGAAGCAGGCAGAACTCTGCAGGTTTGTCATGAGGATTTGTTGTGGAAGCATATGTGCATAGCAGCACATAGTAGGTAGTTTGTAACTACTAGGACTTCCCTTCTTCCTGTTTTCTTCCTCACCTTCTCCTTTGGGTGTTCTCTTCCTTCTTCCTTTCTTGCATCCTAGGAGCCCAGAGCCTGTCAGTTCCACACTCACCACTCTGCATTTTAGGGGTCCAGCTATGTGGAGAGAGAAATCCCTCTCTTTTTCTGTGACAGCCCCCTGAACAGTCATCTCTGATAACGCCATGGTTTCATTCAGTCAAAATGGACATATCCCCTTGATAAGGGATACTACCCATAAGGCCACTGATGGAGATATTTTGGACGAGTTTTATTATTCCCTGAGTCACATCAAAAGGGGGAAAATAGCATCAAACTAGAAATTAGGAGTTCTGGATATGTTTCAGCGCTGACAATGATTTCTACAAGTCCTATACTTCATGGGCTTCTATTCTTCATCTATAAAATGGAAAGGTTGGAGTAGAAAGTCTCTTACTGCCTCTTTCAGCTCAAATCTAAGTAAGAACTACTCACTGCCTCCCAGCTAGACTAGCAGCTCTGTGAGGGCAGGGACTTGGGCTGTCTGTCCCTGTTGCAGTCCCAATGTGCTAGCCCAGTGTCCGTCATTTATTCAATGCTCAGTGCGCATTTGAGGAACAGATGATGAGAGGAGCCCAATCTGCCTCCCTCGCACATGCTCTGGTGGGGGCCCTGTGCCTCTATTGCAGACTACCTTCACTCCACTCAGCCTCTCCCCGCCCCTCCACTCTCTCCAGCATTATGGCTGCTGTTCTCTTTATTTGTAAAAAGTTGCAGCAGCTCCACTGTGTTACTCTACCATTTCTGATTTCTCTGTAAAGCTGGGGCTGAGAAACAAACTGTACTGTGTAATTATCCTTGCAACACTCTCTTCGAAGAATTCCAATTTAATAGAATTACCAAGATTTAAAAACATTAAAACAAAAATGAGCTTGTTAGAGTAAATTAGACTTCATAAATGTGTTCTCCGTTTATTACAAAACATTGATTTCTGTGGTCACCTTCTCTAAATTATTGAAAGTTGAGTAGACTGCCTTAATTGGCAAGGAGAAATGTCACCAGCCAACTCTCATAGAAGTTGGGGGTTGGGGGCATGCATGGGATGGAGACACAAAGAAAGGGGAAGGAAGGACAGGGCCCAGCTGGCTACATAGTCCTGTGGAAATCATTATGGGGAAACAACTCACGCCTGCCTTGGTGAAGCTCTGTGAGAATAGCAATACTAGTCTGGGAAAGGAGTGGATAAATAGTATGCTAATGGCGTGCAGTATAAATATAGAGCCTCCTGATTCCATAGCAAGAATGGAGATGCTTGTTTCCTAGGCAGGAAAATCTTTTTTCATGATACTGGAACCTGGCCTAACACAGATTAACCAGCAGAGGTGCCCCGGGTTCTCCGTTCTGCTCCTGACCAGGATGACTTTAAACTCTGGCCTCTCCGTGTCCCCATCTCACACGGGCACTGATGCCTGCTGACTACACCTCCCCCCAGGCCTCTTATGTGAGCTTGCCAGCCCCAAAGAAATCTACTCTAGTCTCTGAGCTTCTTGGAGATCATAGTAATCAGTGGGAAGAGAGCAGAGTGCCCTCTCTGGAGCCTCCTAACCACCGGTTTGGAGAGGAGAGCAGTGGCTGTGGCCAGCCATAATGAAGCCCCCACAGTGGCTGGCCTGAGGAAGAGGGGGAGGAGGCAGCTGCAAGCCTCTGAGCTTCACTGCCAGTACTCCATCATTTTCTTGTTACTGAAGGACTGGCAGATTGAGAGGCTGAGTTTGTCGAATTATAGAGAGTGTGAGCTTCCAAAGGCAACAGTGTCATGCTGCTCATTTGCTGTTGGGGAAAAGTATAAACTCTTCCATGCTAATGACTATATTGTGAAGCCTCCAAACTAGTCTGACTTTTTTAGCAAACCTTCCCAACACTGCTGCCCTTTATAGCTGGTCAAGTTTAATTAGAAAGAAAAAGTCTCCAAATAATAATAATAATATAATAATAATTTTAATAGTATTCACTTACTATATTCTAGAAACTGTTCTATGAAGTTGTACTGTAACTCAGCTTATCCTTATGAACACTTTAGGAGATAGATAATATTATTCTCTTTTACAAATGAAGATCTGAGGCATAAAGAGGTAACCTATCCAGGGTCACAGAGTTAGTCAGTGGTGGATTCTGAAATTCAAAACCAAGTTATTTGGCTTCAGAGACTGGACTCCAAGCCCCTATGTTAAGAACACAATCCTAAAATTGAATAACCATGAAACACTTATTATGAGCCTAACACAAAGCAGACCTTAGGTGTGGCGGGGTCTATGAATTTGAGTTCAGCTTCTAAGGTAAATTACATGTGGGGTGGCTTTTTCCGAACTTTTGAAGAATTTCAAGATGGTAATATTAATCTTTAGAGAGTTAAACCGGGCATGGGACCCTTCTCCGCACAGGTGACAGGCCAGTGAAGCTGTCCCTGTTCTCAACTCCCAGAAAAACAAAACAAAACATGACCTAGAATACAAAGCAAGTAGAATATTTGTAAAAAGAAAGTGGAATGAAAGTGCTGACCAGGGGGCGATTTCATCATTGTGCCAGTGACAAGGGCAAGGTAAAATCTGTGATACAGACAGCATACAGTCAGGAAAGTGAAGGTCATGGCCACCACAGGAAGGAAGTTGTATTCGTTTAGTTTCATACTGCTATAAAGAAATACCCAAGACTGGGTAATTTATACAGGAAAGAGGTTTAATTAACTTCCAGTTCTGCATGGCTTGGGAGGCCTCAGGAAACTTACTTATAATCATGGCGGAAGGCGAAGGGGAAGCAGGCACCTTCTTTACAAGGTGGCAAGAGAGAGAGAAATGCAAGCAGGGGAAATGCCAGACGCTTATAAAACCATCAGCTCTCCTGAGAACTCCCTCACTATCAGGAGAACAGTGTGGGGGAAACCACTCCCATAATCCAGTCTCCTCCCTCCCTCGACACATGAAGATTACAATTTGAGATGAGATTTGGGTGGGGACACACAGCCAAACCGTATCAGAAGCTGACTAAATTAAGACATTGACTTTTGGGTTAAGAGTCAGGTTCAGCTGAGCCAGGCAAGACAGTGCATGTTCATCGTATTAATCCTAGCATCACTCAGTTAGACTTGCTCCGAAACAAAACTTCTTTAAGAAGTCCTGGTAGGAGGTTGTGGAACTATTTTCATGCCTTTGAAGCTGCAGGTCAGAACCACCTGTGACTGAATGCATGAGCAGCAGGAGCTCAGCTGGATTATATTATCGCAGCTTCAAAATGACCAAGGCCTACATGACTGTCTCATAATCAGTCACTCGAAAGATGCCAGAGACCATAGAAGAAAAGGTCTAAAGGGAATTTTTAGTTCAAATAGGCTAGCTCCAGGGACCTGCTCAGGGTCAACATGCAAGATGCTGGAGAAGCAGCAGCATAATTACCATTATTTATAGCTGTGCGCTGCACATGTGGAATTTCGTACAGTAGCTGTGATTTGTTTTCTATGTAACCAACATAGAATGCAACATAGAATCCAGTTCCCTAAAATACATCGCTTAACACTGTGAGTAGAGGAGGCAGCCAACCATCCCATCACTCCACGGCCTCTTTCCAGTGCCCCTCCCCCAATGCTTTCTCATCTTAAGCCTCACACGTACTTCCTATCCCCTCCCCTCGTCCCCCTACTGCCACCCTCCTCCCCATCCCCCAACCCAGATTCAGGACACAAATGATTCCAGCCATCTCAGAACACTCTTGCTGTGGTCTGTGTGCTCTGAGCTGTATCTCAATAGGATCTGGGCACATCTGGCTGCACAGTAGGAGTATTGCACTCCAAAGTGCAAAAATAAAACCACAAAAGATCAAAAGAAAAGCATGGTAGGCAAGAAATTACCCTTATCTTTATCTCCACAGCATCCATCAAGTACAAGCATCTGAGAGATGGCAGGCAGCAAGATAACAAAAGGGAAGTTGGGAGGAAATTAAAAGCAGCTTCCAATCATTAGCCCTTCAGCTGGCCTGGAAGGGCCTAAAAGGCTCCGAGAGGATATCCCACAGACAGAACCTTCATTAGGAATGGACCTGAGCAAAAGAGACGACCTGCTGATCATCAGGCCTTAAGATGACAGCCTGGCGAGGCAAGGTTAAAACTGGAAAGCCAATTTTATTTATGCTTTGCACACAGTTTGGATTGTTTTCTCCCTTGCTTAGCATATGCACTTTTGCCTCTTCCTGGGGTTTGAAGTTTTGCTTGATGAAGTGTGAATAATCTTCATGTCCCTGCCCTACAACAGTGCCCAGGGACTCCCGCAGGTGGATCACCCCCACTGCAGCCCAAAGAACTCCTCTGTGGTGATTAGAAGGGCTGTGAATATCTCTTTCCCAGATAGAAATTTGTTTCTAAATCAGCGTCTAATCTCTTGACTGGGTCAATTTTCCATATATTTATGATGAAACTAGTCTGCTGATGCCTGAGCCATGTTAGACACAGTATTAAAAACAGAATCCGGGCCGGGCATGGTGGCTTACGTCTGTAATCCCAGCACTTTGAGAGGCCGAGGTGGGTGGATCACCTGAAGTCAGGAGTTCAAGACCAGCCTGGCCAACATGGTGAAACCCTGTCTCTACTAAAAATAGAAAAATTAGCCGGGCATGGTGGCAGGTGCCTGTAATCCCAGCTATTCGGGAGGCTGAGGTAGGAGAATTGTGTGAACCCGGGAGGCAGAGGTTGCAGTGAGCCGAGATCACGCCACTGCACTCCAGCCTAGGCAACAGAGCAAGACTCCATCTCAAAGAAAGAAAGAAAGAGAGAGAGAGAGAGGAGAGAGAGAGAGAGAGAGAGAGAGAGAGAGAGAAAAGAAAGAAAGAGAAAGAAAGAAAGATAGAAAAGAAAGAAAGAAAGAAACAGAACCTACCACGTTTTTTTCCAGAGCATATTACATTTAGGAGATGTTTGACGATGACCTGGGTCAGTTATGAACTGACCTCCTTTTTTACAGGGTCAATGTTTTATTCAAACTGGGACAAAACTGATCACAAATGATAAAGATTCGGACTCAAATTCAAAATTGTGTCACTCTGATCTGTTATTTATACATAGTACATGCCCTGTGCCACAGCTCTTAGTCTATTTGTATCATATGCGTCCCTATTGGTAAATATCTTATTGTTGATACCAGGCTGTTGTGTTTGGATACAGAGAGTGCACTGTGACTTCAGGGGAGCCATTCATATTGTATTATTAAGGGTGGCACCTTCTGGAGTTGTACAGTGTGAACCTGCAAAGCCACGTGTGGCAGCTCTGGGTATGTCTGTTCTTCAGGGACAAAGGTGGTAATCTGTTCAGTAACACATAGTAAGAGTTCGGAGATGAGGATATAGTCCCTGCCTGTTAAAAAGTACTCTGTGTCAAAGGGAAATAAATAAAGACAGGAAAATTACACTGCAGGCCCTAAGACTATATTTGAGGTATGCATAGAGTACAGTTGGGAAACAGAGAAGAGAACTATTAACTTGCTTGAAAGAATCAAGGGAGACTTCATAGAGGAGATGACATTAGACCTTGGTCTTGAGGGATGAGTTGATATTACATGGAGTGAATGAAGAATTTCAGGAAGAGGAATGTTTGTGTAAAAAGACGTAAGTTTATAAAGAGCACAGCTTATGGAGGGCAGAGATTCCTCAGCGCTAAAAGCAATGGGGACAGTGAGTATAGGCAAGAAAGCGTGTAAGGAAAGATAGAGTTAGAAAGGTAGGGTAGGGCCAGATCACATAGAATCCTTGTTAAACTCTTTGGAGGCTAAGGGAAAATTTATCAAGAAATGGATTCAGTACTGACTGCTTAGCCAGGTGGGCTCTAGTCAGAAAAATGACAGCCAATAAGGCTCTGTCTTGCTTGTGGTGGCAGCAAAATAGTGTTTCAGAGCATGGACTCTAGAATGGGCATGCATGACTCATCTCTTAAGGTTATTTAGCCTCTGTTTACATCTGTTTCATCAGCTCTTTAACGGAATTAATAATAGCATCTGCCTCATAGAGTTGGGGTGAGTTTGACATGAGACAGTGTTTGCTATAATTCACCTGCCAGAGTGTCTGCTACTTAGTAATTGCACAATAACTGTTGGTGGATCTTCCTACGCTTCTGCTTCTTCCCTTTCCCTGACTGTCCTCCTTCCCCCCCTTCTTCAAATTACTATTATTATTGCAAATTTCACAAAGCCTACAGTCCAGATTTCTCCATAATCCTACTCTGAATAGATTATTAATAACTAGTCTGCATTTGCTAGACAGCAACCCTCAGGTCATTTAGAGACCTACTTGGTACTGGCAACACTGAAATCAGAAGATAATCAGCAAATCCTAAGTATTTTGTCTTCTCACATCAATTAACCACATTTTTTAAAGTTCTACTGCCTTCTTGTATACTCAGCTATGGGGCATTTAATTTCTGGTTTCTGTTCATTGCTTTATTATAATTTTATTTTTTCCTAAACTATAGCTTAAAGTTGCCTTAAGCTATTTTGAAGGGAAATGGTGGAAAGGAAAACTGTTATTCTGTGATTTTGCCATTATGAGTATTCTCCCCTTCCCCTAAACACGCACGCTCACACGCGCGCGCGCGCGCACACACACACACACACACACACACACACACACACAGAGAGAGAGAAAGAGAGAGAGAGTTTAATACAATTGGCTTCATTATTAAATAATACTGCAATCTGTATTTAAGTTGACAACATAGGCATCTCTTTAACATCTTAATTAAAGAATGTTGGAGCGATGCTTTCTGCTTTTTTGATGACAAGTCTTGGCTCATAGTCAAAAATTCCAGTTTAGCTTTGACAAGATGAGGACACTTCTGGGAGACCAAGGGCCCCCTGTGGCTTAATGCTCCTTTTTTTTTTTTCAGAAGAACATTTGGTGTGTGACTTGAACATAATGTTTGAGTCCAACATAAAATAGTAGAAGAACAAGCCTTTTATTAGCCTTTCTGATCTCTTTCCAAAGGTGCACTCAGCATTTCATCTTTGTATTTAGCTACCAGTATGCAACACTGAAGCCATTGCAATAGTCATCTCTAAGACATGAAATACCAGCAGCGCTGTGCCAGGCTCCCCAGCTTTGGCAAGCCCCAAGCCTCTGCCCATGCAGTGATTCAGGGAGGCAGCTGGATGAGATGAAGGCAGCTCCATCAGCCGGTGGTCAGAAAGCCTTGAGTCTCATAGCCATAAAAGCATGCCATAAATCTCATTCTCCAACACCATCATTAGGCAACAAAGTAGGTTTTCCTGGCTCCTTTTTTCACTTCCCTCACATACCCACTCCACACAATCCAGGCCACTCTTTTGGATATCTTTTGCCTTTTCACAGAGGGCAAGAAAATTAGCCTTTATTTATTTATTTATTTATTTTTTTTGAGACGGAGTCTCGCTCTGTCGCCCAGGCTGGAGTGCAGTGGCGGGATCTCGGCTCACTGCAAGCTCCGCCTCCCGGGTTCACGCCATTCTCCTGCCTCAGCCTCCCAAGTAGCTGGGACTACAGGCGCCCGCCACTACGCCCGAAATTAGCCTTTATTGAACTACATTTTGGGCACATAGTAGGAGTTCAATAATACTAATCCTTGTATTATATTTCCAGACCCTACAATTTCCATTTTTACAAATACATAACTGAAAGCTCAAAGTCTGTACCAGAGTAACAGCAAGAATTGGAGAGTCATCTGATCAAAAGTGTCTGACTTTCTTCTACTTCCTAGCGTTGAACATTTCCTCAGATTTCCCCTGGAGAGAGATGCAGTCGTCCTTAGAGATGCTTCTTGATCCCTTTAGAACCTCAAGGATCACACCAAACATCCCTAATAATCTGTGGGTTCTTGGATGGAGAGCTACACTGTTACTTTAATCTACAAGTAACTTGAAGGAAACACATTGTGGGCCAGTGTCATAATGTGGAGCAAAATAAGCCAGATAACTACCTATGGTTCCATGTATAAAAGTTAAAACAGGCAAAACAGTTGCTGGTGTTAGATATCAAGATAGTGGTTACTGTCAGAGGGTAGGGAAATGAAAGGGCATTTAAGTGGCTTCTGGAGTGCTGGTCGTAATCTAGAACTGGTGACATGGGACTGTTCTGTTTGTGAATATAAATTGAAAGATGTGCCTGTGATTTCTGCACTTTTCTGTATGTGTGTTATAATTCAGTAAAAACATTGTCGAAAGTTGCATCTGGCTTAGAGCTCAGAGGGTTTTGAAGCAACTTCTTTGAATTGTTTGACACTTTCACAATCTACTGAAATTTTCAAGGGGAAAAAGACAATAGTTTATATATTTTTAAAAATCTTAGAAAATTGTCGTCCCACATCTTTCCATTATTGCTGATGTTTCAGCTACTATGTTGGGCTTAGAGTGAAAATTTGAATCCCAATCTGTTATCAAGACTTTAAATTCTCCCATTAAAATTCAAAAGTAATGATTCTTCTTTTTTCCTTTTACTATAAGATACCGATTAGGATGAAATGTGATTCATTTTTGAACTTTACTGATCATTGTAGTAATCACTGATGTATGTTACAATATACATAAAAGGTTAGTACATTAGAATTGTGTTGGATTACCAGCACCTGCTAAAGTATACGTTATTGACATAAGAATAAAGGAAGTTCCTAGCCATAGAGAAAATCTTCAGATAGTGAGATACCATGATCCTGACTAGATAATCTACATACAATGAGCAGTAAGCAGTCACATTTTTTCATGAGGCATCTACTGCAAAATAAATATGAAAATAGCTTGTACTAATTGAATGCTTGAAAACCAGAAATGCTTGAATACCAGCAACTGTTTTAAGCACATTGCATTGGATTGACTCAGCTCTGTGAAAGAGATGCTCTTATTATCCCCATTTTGCAGATGAAAAAACAGAGGTCCACATATGTTATGTAATCAGCCTGATTATACAGCCAGTAAGAGGTAGAACTCACACATAAACCAACTGAGTTTGGCTTGTTTCTTCTGGCAAAGGGCAACCTGGTCATTCTCAAGGTTTCAGTCCTTCACTCTTCAATACTTAAAGTCTTTTGGGATTTCAAGAATAACTTGAAAAACTGAGGGCTTGTCAGGTTTATGATGAGAAAAGTAGGGAGAAATTTTCATAAATTAAAGGGTAGTGATCTGTGGTTCACACCTGTAATTTCAGCACTTTCAGAGGCCGAGGTTAGTGGAGCAGTTGAGCTCAGGAGTTGAAAACCAGCCTGGGCAACAAAGTAAGAACTTGTCTCTACTAAAAATATGAAAATTAGCCAGGCTTGATGGTTCATGCATATAGTCCCAGCTACTCAGAAGGCTGAGGTGAAAGGATGGCTTGAGCGTGGGAGGCAGAGGTTGCAGTGAGCCGACATCGAGCCACTGCACTGCAGCCTGGGTGACAGAGACAGACTCTGTCTCAAAAACAAAAAAGAAAGGTAGTGATAATGATATAAAGAAGATATTATGGGCTGGGTGCGGTGGCTCACGCCTGTAATCCTAGCATTTTGGGAGGCCAAGGTGGGTGGATCACTTGAGGTCAGGAGTTTGAGACCAATCTGTCCAACATGGTAAAGCGCCGTCTCTACTTAAAAAAAAAAAAAAAAAAAAAAAAAAATTTGATGGGTGTGGCAGCACGCGCCAGTAGTCCCAGCTACTCATAAAGCTGAGGCAGGAGCAGGAGAATCGTTTGACTCCCTAAGGTGGAGGTTGCAGTGAGCTGAGATCGTGCCACTGCACTCCAGCCTGGGTGACAGAGCGAGACTCCATCTCAAAATAAATAAATAAATAATGTATTATGTTTATTTGATGGTGAGGAAAGACTGGAGGATAATGTGGAAAGGAACAAAGGGAATGATGTAGTTCAGGGTTGCTTTATAAAGGACTCTGATACAGAAGGTAAGACGTCCCGCCAGTCAGTTCCTAGATGCTGGGCATGACCTTTTTAATGAGTCCAGTGCCAAATGAAACAAGGAATGCCAAACATCATATTAGCTTAGAGTTCCCCAAATCAATATGGACTCTCATGTACTTTTCCTTTAGGGCCACAGTTTATGAAAAGCCAGTATCCAGGTATTTCATTAAACCAAGTTCTTAGCTTAGGATGGCATTTTGGAGACATTTTGCTGTCCATTGTAATGCTCATTCATTACAAACGTGCCCTCACAGTCCAGTTTTCTGCCAGGTAAGGATGACACATGTTTAACTCCTATCTTCATGGCTTACACATAGGCAGAAAATTCTGTTGAATAACATAAATGAACTATTATGTGATAGATTAATCAAACAAATGAATCAAACTAATGTGTCTGCTAACCATCATGCTTATGAAATATTACATGTGTTGATCACTCTCTTCTCCCAATTAAGATTCCACTCCAAATTAATGAAATGATATACCTTCTTAAGAAAACTCTTTTAAAAGTGGTGCAAATGCCAGAAACTCCAGGAAGGGTAGAAGGAAGACACTGTTCATGTGTAGGAGCCTCAGGTACCCTTCAGTGCTATCACATATGCACTATTTCTGTCCCTGCATATGTGGTACTGAGCAACTTGTTGACCCTCGCGTGCCATGTTTCCGAGATGAGAATATCCCCATACAACTTGTGAGCCATTAAAAAAAATCTGGTCATCTTAAGCATCTAGAGATAATGCTTTAGGTCACTTTTTCTGCTTCTTGCTCTGTTTTGCATTTGATGATGATGATCATCATAGAAAATATTTATTGAGTGCTTAGTTGCTTGTCAGGCCTATGCTGAATGCTTTACAAATATTTTCTCATTGATGACAACCATGCAATGACACAGCAGTTATACTTTCCCCGTTTATAGATGAGGAAATAGAAGCTTAGCCAGGTCCAGTAACGTGTTTAAGGTCACACAACGTGTTAGTAGTTGAAGTCAATGTTGAAGCCCACATTGCCAGTCCCCATGCAGGCACTGCCAACCACTACAATGTAGTGTATTTGCCTGTAGCAATTCTACCTTTTTCAGTTTCATCCCCAGTCCTCAGCTCTTCACTGATTGCTTGGACTTGGTGAAAGCTTTGGCTGCAATGGTTTTGACCTTAGAACTCTTGCTTCAGATGGCACCCAGCCTCTAGCTTCATCTGTTTATAGTTCTTCTTAGTAGCCATATACTGCTAGAATCAAATTCAGACCTGGAACCCCAGGTCATTTGGTTGGCACCACTCCCAAGCCTCTCCTCATCTTCAGGCAAGGAAGAGATCAGACATACCTGGCCTGGGACACTCTCTGACAGGAAATCTTAAAATTTCACATACTCAAACTGATGGATGAAATAACATGGACATTCTTTGTTCTTTTTACTTGCAAAGGTAGAACTGGACCTGATGAAATAGTTGGAAAGCAGAAGCTGTCTCCATATTTAGTTAGCCTCAAAATACGCACAACCTGAGAGCTCCCTATTTAGCTCACCTTCCTGCCTCTGCTGCAAATGTTTGCTGATGCTACAGCTTACAAAGCACACATCTGCAGGGGCTCTCTGAGCCCCTTTGGTACACTCTTTCCCATGATTAGGTAAATGTCAGTGGAAAATCACCATGTATTTAGTGTTTTAATAAAACCACAATGTTGTTTATTTTGTAACCTCAGGTTCCAAAAGGGAAAGAAACAGCCACATTAAACTTTGCCCCTAAAACTCCAGCAACTCCCTCCAGGATACTTATAAATGTTATCCTACTGCCACCCAAGCTACGTTTTCACTAGACCATCTTCCACTGCTAATTCTAGTCGATAATCATAGGACTGCCCAGGGTCATTTTCAGGCTTAAGGAAAGAAATAGAATCCAGATTGTGTGTCACAAGAAACATAACTTTAATTCCTAACTTCCAGCTCTTTGATGACAAGGTCACCAAATGCCAAACTTAGATCACGGAACAGTAATTCTACCAAGAACACACAGGCATGAAATCTATCTCAGCTTTTACTTCCTCTGCCTGGCTTTCAGAGAGCTTCATTGCCACCTCTAATCTTATTGTGAAGCACCTGCTTCTTGCACTGCATTGTCTGGCACAATGACAATAATCAAGGGGTGAATAACCAGGGATATGTGACTATGGAGCCCATAATATCCAGGGTGGTCCTAAGGTGCCATCTCAGGTGCTGTTGATATGGCCCCCCACTTGTGCTTGTCATAGTTGCCACATGGGCAGTGGGATTTTAGTAGACAGGAGAGCTCCTCTCCACCCTGCCTTTGCGTGTTTCTCAATGCTTGTATTTTTAAAAGAAACTTGGACAGAAGCCATAGATAACTAAAAATGCAATATACCCCATATATGACATACATAATGACATATATTAACTCTTATGCATGACTATGATCAGCATCTTTTCAGAGAGTTTCTTGTTTAAGAGGGAGGAGAACCCAATGTCATTGGATGCTGGAGACCTGGAGTGAGCAAAAAGGGCCTTTGTAGAGGATGAGAAAGTGAGAAAGGGAAAAAACAGTGTTCCCCTATCCCACTTTTCTAATAAACCCATCCACATACACATTGAATTTACCTTTATAGTACATTATGAGACGTCCATATGTGATGAGTAAGTTGGGTGTTTATCAACCTTGTAACTGAATATTATTATTTAATTTATCACATAGCTACTGAACTATTGTTATTGGTGATGTTTCCTGGCAAATTCCAGGCTCTGTTTCATACAGGGTTGTTGTTGTTTTCTAATTGTTACCAAAGCCTGTGTTTTCTCTAGTATAAAAGTTTCCCTAGCTTTTGAACAAACAATCTAAATGGAAAAGCTAACCTTTTCGTTGGATAAAGGCAAGTAATTGGTTTCTCTCATTTCACTGGGCCTTTAGGCATGACCATGAGCAGGGGTCATGGCGAAACTCTGTTCAGCAGTAAATAACTTGTTGTCCATATAATGGCTAAACACTGAAGCACAGCAGATGTCCAGATTAGCTGGCAGAAAGCAACTGTATTTTGGACATGCACTAGGGCAAAGAATGCTGAATACTAGCAAATAAAAAGGATAACATTCGCTGGAGCTCCCAACTTATTCACCATCAATATTAAGTACGTATGTTAATAACGACTTCTCTGTATTATCCATAATAAATGGAAAGAGTATTAAGCTAAGGAACTGAAACATTTATTTGGAAGAGAAAACAATGGGATGAGAATCCACAAATTGGCTCATGGAAGAAATCCCATTGGAGTTGCAGGGGGTGGTAAAGAGAAGTCCTCAAATCTCTGGTTACCCTTCCTTGCATCTGTTAAAGGGATAAGAATCAAGCAGAAAATTGTGGCCAAGCTCATTGTCAAGGTGAGGGCTGAATCTTCTCCATTCGTTAGGGGGAGCTGTTTAGTCAGCAGGAATGGCAGTGGGTAACAGCTGGTGAAATTCATTGCCTCCTTGATTCTGTTGGACTCAGGTCTCTTCCTCCCTCCTTGGCTTCCCTGGAAGCAGAGCTCTCTATTTCCTCCTGTCTAGAAAGCCCCTGTGAAGGCTAGTTGTCAATAGATGTTAAGGCTTGATTTGGCTGTGTCCACTACATATGAGGCCCACTGCATTAAGATAAGGGTTTTCTATATGATTGCTGAGACCTTTTACCATCTGTCCTCAGACCCAGGGTTATTGTGCAGAAATGAAGAGGAGGAGCAGCAAGGACAAAATACAAATGTCTCCATTTTAGGGCTAGATGCCTTATTACTCCTAACGTCTAAATCTCCAGGAACCAGATATAGAAACATCTATTAGATCTGGGCACTGAGGCTGAGTGGGAAAGGTAAGAAAATGGTGGCTAAAATGTCTTTACTCCTCCTGATCAAATGAAAGGCTAGTTTCTGCAGCTCTGTTGTAGACCTGTTGCAGAGGCAGGCACGAGTAGTTAGCCCCAGCTACTTACTACTCTTTTTCTTGTTTCCCACAGGGCACTTCATAACTTTTCACCTCTGATCTTATATAGTGTTTGCAATCTGTGTCATTCTTATTTCTTAACTATATTTTGTTCGTATTGCTCCTTGTGACATGTCTGAAAAGCTGACTAGCCGTGCTAGGGAGTCTAACATTTAAGAGATTAGACATCTCCAGGTGGTATAGATGCTCTGAAAACAAAATTTACCTGGCTCTGAAAAGATCAGTCAAGTTGAAACTGGCACAGCATGAGTATAAATCTGAGGGTCTAGGAAGTTATGGGATGGTGTTGGTGTTGAACAACTACGATCTTGGGAAGAAAGTTTTTCAGCTGCCTGTTTGTCAACTATGGAGCCTCATACTAATGTCCCCTTTCCCTCTCCCATTCCTCTTCCTTCTTTTACTCTCCCATTCCACCTCCATTTTTCTATTTTCTTTTCAAAGTCTCCTCCTCCTTTCTCATGTACCTCTGGTATGCTTATTTACATCAAAGAAAACTACTTGTTTTACTTTTTTTCCTTCAATATGCCTGCTGAATTATAATATTGATATGTATCTTGTTATGTTAACTGGCTGCCGAACAGAGGGTATCACTTCCTACCCAGCTGGAGGAGATTTTTTAAAAAGCCAAACTCAGTTTTCCAGGATTTTAGCAAAAAATTCATCTATTGACCCAGTTACAATTCTAATTCTTATAAGACAAAGAAAAAGAAGTGGATTTACTTATAGAAGTCTGTTAAAAATTAAATTAATATGGGTGCATAGCAAATATAGTTTTATTCCACTAATAAATTGTGTAGGTTGGAATTTTTATGCATTGAAAATAATTTAAAGGACAATAGGCATTACATATACATTTATGTTCTATTGTATTAATTGGAAAAGGATGAAGAAGATTAAATGCTGGTGATACATATATATGGAAAAAAGGAAATGAAAAACTGAGTGCATTCCCAGAATGGGTTTGAATCCACTCACATTGCCTGTTCCCAGCTTGTGGTTGTAAATTGTTTATATTATTAGCTACAGGAGTATCCTATGTAAAGAAGGCAAATTATTTAAAATGGAGCTAGCACTGTCTTCAAACAGGATGCACCATTAAAATAAACTTTGAAGTCGTATTAGTCTCTTTTAGAAGAAAACAGCTCTATAACACCTGATCAGTTATTTCCAGGGACAAGCACTTCTGGTAGCCCACCGAAGGGTTGGGCAGTGCTTCCCTGGCAGATCTGCACCCCTTTGTGGCAGTTCTCTCATTCCAGTCTCCATCTGCCCTTCCTTTGACCAAGCTGTCTTTGGAGTACTGCTTTAACTTCCTTTCTTCATCTCAACCTGCATTTGGATATAACTAATTCAGCTTGCTGCTGAGCACAGCAAGAAATCCACCTCAGCACCCCCTGCACAAACTGACTTCTGCTTTTACAAAACCAGATACCAAACTGGTTTCACAATGGAGATGTTGAACATAAAAGTTGGCTCCATCATAATGTCCACCCGGTGGTTATGTGAATGGTTGTTTATAACTTGTGTTCAGCTTTCTAGCCGAGCACTAGTGTCGCCTAAAATTGCTACTGTGAGAAAACCAAAATGCTATTTTGTAAACCCAGACTGTTCATCTAAGTTTTGGAAAACTGCTCTTCTTTCTGCAGAGCTTGCTAAAGAAAGATAAACAACTCTACCCAGACAATGGGAAGCTGGGGAGCACTGGCTCTTTATTAGGTTACACGTTACTGTAGGGATGGCCAGAAATGTGTGCTTAAAAGGCATTTGCCTTCTTGTGGGGTAAAATATGTTAAGTACCCCCAATCTCCTCAAACCCCTCAGTTGACCCTTTGTAAATTTGTTACTGAGAAATTGTTCAGCCCCTTATTTTTCCCATGATCACATCAGAAGTACAATTTGGATATTAAGGCATCTAGTGTTCTTCTACTGTAACTGTAGTTTAAACAACCTATTTGACTTAAATTAATCCCAAACTGATGCCTGATAATTAATGATCAGTGGCCCCATATTCACCTATAATTACTTGCCAGGCAGCCCCTTGACTTCTAAAGAAGCTGTATACGATGAGTAATTGCATACCTGAAGATATGCTGGATTTGTGTCTCAGGGCAGAATACAATTGTAAATAATTTATTTGACCCACCTTGAATTATTAAATTTTAAATGAGCAAATTAATAATAAAATCTATGCAGGATGATAGTAATAATCTAATTTTTCCATTTAGCATGGATTTTGAATCAAATATATAATTTACATGGTGATAATAAATTTGTGTCTTAACGAATGAAATGATTTCAGGGATTGGCTGTCATCTTTGGAAACATCAGAAAATAGGTACAAGTGGCCACATGGGGAAATTCAGTAATTCCTAGCAATTCAATGAGATGGAAATAGTAACCTTTTGTAGCTGCTTGTAAGCACCTCCTGAGCTACAGGGATGAGAAACAGAGGGTAACGCTTGGGATCGGGGTGGATGGGGTTAAGCTTTTTCCTGGAGACACGTATCAGAGCCCATGAGTCCTTTCAGGGAAGCAGTGAAGGATATGTGGGAAATAAGTCCTCATAAAATGAAAAACAAAACAAAAACAAAAAATCATTACTCAGTAAGTGGGAGGATTAGACGTTGTCAGTAGATGTTCTACCATCCTGTGGAGTCAATTTTGAAGTAAGGGAGGCAAGGAGTGGCTGAGTCAGAAGCAGGAAAGTGTCTGGGCATAGAAATGGAAAATTTGTCTGGAGTCTAGGAAGTAAGTGTAATCTTATAGGTGGCCTCTAGTCCCTTCCCTAAGAATCTAAGAGGAATATTAAGGTTTTTATGGCTGGTGAGAAGGGTAGGAACATGTCATAAAACTACTTCTGCATTTCCTTTTAGTCAGAAGGTGGTATTTGTCCAGACTGGTGTTTGGGATACCTATTTGTTTTCTGAGACTCCTCCATGTTTATATTAAAGTTTTTAGGTGAAAGTTTATACCACCTGGTCCCTTTCCATTGAATATATTACCTGGAAATGTTGTTCATGGGAAGGAAACCTAAAAGCCCATACTTGAACCGTGAAAGTAGTTTTGAAGCAGCTTGATTGGTAACAGAAATAGAAACACGATTCTCTCCTTTATAGAAGCAGTGTCCTTAGCAAGGGTGGCTTCCAAAAGAAGTGTGTTTAAAGTAAATGTTGTTTTCCCTCTGCTTCCATTTAAAAATCAAACCCACATTCTCAATGTTGAAGATTGAAAGGCCAGGCACGGTGGCTCACGCTTGTAATCCTGGCACTTTGGAAGGCTGAGGCGGGCGATCACCTGAGGTCAGGAGTTCAAGGCCAGCCTAGCTAACATGGAGAAACCCCATCTCTACTGAAACTACAAAAATTAGCCAGGCGTGGTGGCACGCGCCTGTAATCCCACCTACTAAGGAGGCTGAGGTAGCAGAATTGCTTGAACCTGGAAGGCAGAGGTTGCAGTGAGCTGAGATTGCGCCACTGCACTCCAGCCTGGGTGATGGAACCAGACCCTGTCTCAAAAATAAAATAGAATAAAATTCCCCTGGGTATTCTCTGTGCCTCAAACTTGATGACCACTTCAAAGACAAACTTCTTACTAGCTTGCTTATTTCAGCTAGGACAAAGTATTGCATAAAGATGAATAAATACGTTATTTTCCACCAAGTGCTGCCTCCAAACCCTAAGGTGCTATGGTTTGGAAAGATAAAATTCTGCTAAATGAATCCAGATTTGACTTAATCAGTTCTGCAATCTGTGAAATGGGATTACTTGAAATGACAGAGAACTCTATTAGAATTAAACTCTGTTCTGATATCACACAATTTAATAAATAAACTGCTCTCTGGGCCAGTTCCTAAGTTTATATCTTGCTTTCAGACATAAGCTGGACATTATGGAAACCACATTGACTCTGACAGTCAAGGTAAGCAGTTTGTCGTCAGTTGGCAAGGGATCTCGGAAGACATACACTTCGTTTTCCCAGATAATTCTCTTCTCCTCCAACCAGAAATTTTGTTTTAAAACAGAGACAGAAAGGGTAGAATTATGTTGGAAGATTTTTTCTGCCTCTATAACTGCCGTAACCTGGAACATAATTTCCAAACCAGCTGTGAACTTTTGAACTTATAAAGCCTTTATTGACACGGTTAACTGGTTAAGACGTCTTTTATATTATCTCACTAATAAATTAATTCAAATTGTTTACATTTCTCTGACCAAATTTTTATAGCTTTTGGGATAGAAATAATGTGCTTGAGGGAGCTGCTTATGCCTTCCTCAAAACTGGGATTTGAAAGGAAGGAAGATATCTGTGTATATTAAGTCATTTATTTAATCCATTCAATTAAATCTCTAAAATAATAGGTCAGTAAAGATACATCGAGTAACCTCACTTTATAAAGGGTACTATCAAAACACTAAGGGAAATTTCAAAGTAGAGAAGAAGCAGTATTTGCCTTAGAAAAATGTGTAGTCTATTTAGGGAGACCAACCAACCTCACAGATAAGAAAAGCATATAATACTTGGAAGAACATAAAAAGAATAAGCAACTGAGATGAGGCAAATTGAGCCCATGTATGCTAAAGGGATATAAGGCAGAGGCAACAAAAATACAGATGAGATTAATCAGAGAAGTCTTCCTGGAAGAGGTGAACTTTAAATAGGATTTTGAAAAACGAACATTGGAGAGGAATTTTTAATGAGAGAAATAGTCTTCACATGAGACATGAAATGTAAAGTGCTGAGCAGAAAATAAGATTTTATTTTTTTAATTTTAATTTCATTTAATTTTGTTTTGAGATGGAGTTTTGCTCTCGTTGCCCAGGCTGGAGTGCAATGGCGCAATCTCGGCTCACAGCAACCTCCACTTCCTGGATTCAAACAATTCTTCTGCCTCTGCCTCCCAAGTAGCTGGGACTACAGGCATGCCCCACCACGCCTGGCTAATTTTGTACTTTTAGTAGAGACGGGGTTTCTCCATGTTGGTCAGGCTGGTCTTGAACTCCGGACCTCAGGTAATCGCCTGCCTCGGCCTCCCAAAGTGCTGGGATTACAGGCGTGAGCCACCATGCCCGGCCAAGATTTTATTCTGTAGCCTGGGTAAGTTTCACATTTAGAAATATAGAAGAAGCTCTTACATCTGCCATAGTTTGATTGGGTAATTAAAACTAGAGCTGAAAAAAGGAATTACAAAATATAAAGCACATATCCCTTAAGCATTTTCTTTTAACTTCAAACCTATAAACATACACCCGATGACAAATTTTCAACATAATGCCAGAATGTTTTCTTTGAGTTCGAGTCTCTCTTCTTTCTAATGACTCTTTTGCATTAACCACACCCACATGTATTATCCTCAGTTTCCAGGTTCAGTCCCTTGGAAGCAGAATCAGAACTCTAAGGCACTTGCTAAGCAATGTGGACACAATCTTCTACTCTGGCTTTTATTTTTCCCCCAAAACGTTTGCAGTTACATTACCTTTACAGAATTTGTTGGCAGGTTCTTTAGGGACATGCCTTCAGAAGAATCCACATCAATGCAATTTCCATGAAAACAGCTGTTTATTTTCATATTCATATTTAATTCGTTAGTTTATTTTAATCCAATTTTATAAATGCTGTAAATAAAATAGCCACATAAGCAGATTTAGGAACATACACAAGCGACTGCTAGAACGTAGACAACTCATTTTATGGGCATGGAAGTATACAGGCTTACTAATGAGAATCTGCTGAAGGAGAGAACTTAACATGTGGAATGTCTCATTACATGTATTTCAGATTTCAGTGATATAATAAGTCAGTTAAGTAAAGATCAGTTGATATAAAGATATCTATTGAAATAACTATTGTAATAAAATGATGAAGGCAGGCTCAAAGATGACCCTAGACTTAAAAGTCAGTTGAAAGCAACTCTAGAGCTTCCAGTCAAAATAGTTGGAGGTGATCATACTTCACCCATGACTCCAGTCTCTAGTGATGATAAATAAAATGCTAAAAAGAGAAAATTAAAACAGCTGCAATTAAAAAACAAGAAAAACATCTTTGTGGCCAGAAACATAAGAGAAATGCAAAAATGTGAATTAAGCCAGGCTGAAGCTACCAGCCTGAAGGGCTGAAGGCCAGAATTCTTTGGTAGATTTTACACTTTGAACATCTGGTTCAACATTACTGCAGCAGAAAACTTGGACTATGTCTACATGGCAAAAATTACAATGGATTGTGGTAGATTTACAATCTCCAGAATAAACCATTTCAAAGCAAATTCACAGGTTCAACCAGAAATTTGAACAATCCAATTAGAGGCATCATATTCGTGGCTTTGGCTCATTACTGGAAACAGCCAACAGGTGCTATTTTTATTTTTGAACAAGAGCTCATCACAGATAACCATTGCACAGTTACCACGAATGACCTCAATCTATGGGATCTTTCTTACCCACATCAGTCTCTGGAGTGACGCCTATAGCATAGTTCCTGAAACCAACCTCATTCATGCTGCAGACCCAGGAACACACTAGCTACACCTGTGGCCCTGGGGATATTCCAATAAAGATCAATGGGAAGAGGGTCCTTCTGTAACAGGAGTGACTTGAGGGCTTTCTTTAAAATTTCAAGATGGTCTATCAAAGGGGCATCCTGGAGTTTATTATCAATGAAAATATTTTTTAGCAGAGGAAAGATGAGTAAAATAACAGTTGTGACCCAACTCTAAAAGAAGAAAACATACAACTGTATGTAAATTCAAGGTAACGTGATATTAATATAAAGTTATAGGAAATATGAGTTTTAAACTGTAACATTTTATATTGAACTTGTAGCCACCATGAACAAACCTTCTGAGGGGTGACTAAGGAGTCATTGGGAACATATGGGCTAACTCCTCTTGTGCATAGTTAGAAATGGTCTTTGTCCTACTTGGCCCCTCTCTGCTCTTCATTCAGTGAAGATATGTTGAATATTTAGTCTGAGTCAGAGTCTGTATTGGGTTTAGGGAGGGCACAGGTGGATAAGACCCTGTAAATGTTCTGAGGTTATTTTGCATTTTGCTTTTCTTCTTGGCAAGGAACCATTTGATGAAATAAATAAAGATACAAAGAGGTAAAGAATCACTATTTCTTGCTTTTTGTAAAGTGTCGCCATATTAACATGGCAAAAGAAATACAGTAATAGTATTATTATATATAAACTATCTATCTTGCAAATAAACAATTACATGATGAGTCAAGCCTTTTAAGAAGGGGATCACTACTGGGTGCGGTGGCTCACACCTGTAATCCCAGCACTTTGGGAGGCTGAGGCGGGCAGATCACGAGGTCAGGAGATCAAGACCATCCTGGCTAACATGGTGAAACCCTGTCTCTACTAAAAATACAAAAAAAATTAGCCAGGCATGGTGGCGGGGGCCTGTAGTCCCAGCTACTGCTGCTGAGGCAGCAGAATGACGTGAACTCAGGAGGTGGAGGTTGCAGTGAGCTGAGACTGCACCACTGCACTCCAGCCTGGGTGACAGAGCGAGACTCCGTCTCAAAAAGAAAAAAAAAGGGACCACAAAGCTGTGTTTATACAAAAAGAGATTTCTTTAAAAGTAAAAACCAAGTCCGCAAACATATATAGAACTGTATAAGATCACACAAATGCTGCTCAATATAGGTAGAATATAGACATGGCTAAGACAAGGTTTCTGTCCTCACAGAATGTGAAGCCTACTAGTTGAAACAAGAGAAAAGCATGGGATCAGAGGGACAACCCTCTGCTTGTACTTAACTCTTGCTTGTTAGTCCTGTAGTACCATTTGGTGAAGACAAGTGACGGAGTCTTGTTCTGTTGCCCAGGCTGAAGTGCAGTGGCATGATCTTGGCTCACTGTAACCTCCGGCTCCCGGGCTCAAGCGACTCTCCTGTCTCAGCCTCCTGAGTAGCTGAGATTACAGGTGTTTGCCACCACACCAGGCTAATTTTTGTATTTTAATAGAGACAGGTTTCACCATGTTGGCCAGGCTGGTCTCAAACCCCTAATCTCAGGTAATCCGCCCCCCTTGGCCTCCCAAAGTGCTGGGATTACAGGCATGAGCCACCACCTGGTCCTAATTTTTGTCCCTCAAAATGATCCAGGGAACTTCCCTTTGTGCCTGTCCTGATGAGGACAATATCTCAGCCATCTGGCACTTACAGCTTTGATGCAACTAAGTGGTTCTAAGCTGATCCTCTATTTCCAAGGACATAGTAGATTGTGATTCCCTATGGTCGAGGAGGTATGATCCTGGTTTCTTCATGCCTCAGCTCGTCTGGGAAGAGTTGTGGGCAAAGGTTTCTAGCAGAGCTTCTGATTCATCTTGATAATTCATTAACTCAGATGGCACATATGGAAAGTACAGGAGGATGTGAGACGATAGTGCCTCCCATGACGAGGGAAGATGGGCACAAGCACTATGATTGGTCTCTAACTCCTATGCCCTGGCTCATAGTTGATTTTGAAACCGGCCAGTGCTGGCCTTCCTCAAGGGGTCATACTCTTTCACTTTGAGATCAGGCTTCTGGTATTTCCACATGTGGCACTGCCAGGGGCCTGGTACAACACAGTAGTAGTAGTAGTAATAATAATTTATTGATTGTTTTCTATGGGTCAGGCAATGAGCTATATGCTTTACCAGTTTTAACTCATAAGGCATAAGGACCCTGAGTTAAATATTAAAATCACCCCATTTTGTAAGATAATAAAAATTGAAGCTTTGAGGTTAGCTAATGCCCAGATTGAAGCTAGAGAGGTCAGCTAGTGGCCCAGATTGACATATCAAGGAATAAGACTGGCACTCAGACTCTGCTATGTCTGATTCCAGATGCAGGTCTCTAGCATGCTGAGAAATTTTAGCACACATTCAATTTCTCATAACAATTGTTCATTGTTCTCAAAAGCATCTCTGTATATCTCATGACCCAAATTCAAGCTCCTGCTTCCACAAAGCACATGCACATATATACAGATTCACACACATAGAGTGTTTTTCCACGATCTCATTTACAATGGGCTCCGTTATTGCTTATACCCAGTTTAATTTTTGGCTGGGCCTTTAAATACTTTTTAAATGTTAAGAATTCCAGGGACCTTCACAAAGACCAAAGTAGCAGGGTTTAAGTTTTCCCACAAATCAGAATAGGCAACTGCCAGCTTTCACACGAGGTCCTCCCAACCCAGTGACAACAGTTGTATTAAAGGAATAGAAAAGCCCAAACATTGTATGCATGTTTAGTAGTGCATAAGAGCTACTTTAAAACAGATTTGGAAAAAAAGGGCAAATTCAAAATATTTGCTGCATTTCTAGCGCCTATTCACTAGGCAGTCTCATGTTGTTTTGAGCTCAGAAGCTTGGTTCTTTCCCCACTTCACCTTTCTCTTTTCCCTGAAACATCTTTATCTGCTTCCCACTCTTCCATCTGTCAGAAGTTCCTGTTTGCCTTTGAAAGGATTTCTCGGCAAGCTGACCTCTGTGGATTTCATCAGCCCTGCATGCTTGCACATGCTGTGACTCATTTTCACTAATCTGTGCAATGAGCAGTGAGCAGGGGCCAGCAGAGGCCCTGCAGCCTGCAAAGGACTAATCAGCTACCAACTGTGGCATATGAGGATGTCTGAGTGGAGAGCTCCAAACGCCTACACGCCTCATGCCCAGAAGCTCCTCCTTCTGTGTCCCCCACCCTTATTTTTTGCTCTTGAATAAGAGGCATGAAAGCAAACATCTCTAGCCCGGAGTAAGGCTCACACTGCCAAAACCATATAGAGGAGTGTGTAGTTATTTTCCCATTTATCTATTTCAGAATTAACATTTGATTACTAAAGTTTTTTTTTTTTTTTTTTTTTTTTTTTTTTTGTAAGAAAAAGAAATATGTTTCCTCTAGTCCTGGCAGATCATTTGTTGTTTTTTCTCACTCCTCCTGCTTCTCTCAAGTGTATTTGCAAAATGAACGAAGGCTGATTTCTAGCAGAGGATATTTCATGGCTTAGTTTCTCATGAAGATGATAAATCAGACTAGGTGACTGAATAATTACATTCATGGAGCTGGACTGTAATTTTTTTTTTTTTTTTTTTTACCATAGAACTCATAAGGCAGCGTTCTGACTCATTATATACAACAGTTTTCATAACTCATGCAAATATTGCATCCAACTTTTGGATAGAGGGGTAGTTTTAGGAATTTTCATCAATACTTAATAACACAATTTACACTACAAACAGAACATTGTAATAAAGAATTCAAGAGCAGATAAGTGCCATTAAGTCAAGTAAGGGGCTTCATAGACCTGGTTTCCATTTACAATACCTTGTCTCAAGACACATGAATATACATGTTGGTATAGTCATAGTAGACATTATGCTCTTTCATTGTACTGTGAAGGCAACATGGTCTTTGCTCTGGGAACTGAGAGTACCGAATTCCATTTTAATTTCCATAACCAAATTGCTATGTGAATTTGTAAAAATTCATTTCTTTTTGTTTTAACAGAGAAAAGCACCACCTGGCCTCTGCTTTCCCTGAGATTATTTTTCATAGCCTGCTTTGACTTTGACAGAGAAATGTATCTGTGTGTTCATACGCATCTGAACTCAAAGCGTACAGGTCCAGAGGTTCTTCCTTGCTTTTTATATCTGCTTACTCCCCCAAGAAAAAGACTCATGTACATTAGAACTACAGCAATAAAGAATTTTTTTTAAAAAAAACAAGAATTATCAAGAATTATATAATAAATTTGGAACTGGGAAATGATAACTGTAACTGAATCCCAAGTCAAGGACATCTGCTCCAACCAGGCATAAAATTTAGCCTTCTGCTTCCAAGGAGTTAAGATAAGAAATAGGATGAGCTACCTAGCACTTATTATGTTAGCAAGGAATTTTGACAGGGGTTGAATAATAATTTGAGCACAGGATTTAGTCTAAAAGCCTAAATTCAAAATAAGTTTTAACACTAACTAGTTGTGCAGCATTGGGCAAGTCATTTAATTTCTCTGGGCTTTAATTTTCTTCTCTGTAAAATAGATTTGATAATGCATACCTCACAGAGTGTTTACAAGAATTAAATATATGTGTAACATATGTAAAACCATAGGACAATGCCTGGGATAGTGTGATATAATATATCAATAAGTTTTGATGCCATTAGGTTCAAGGGGCTCAACATCTGGTAGAAGAGATAAAATATCTACACAGATAACCATAATTTAAGGTAAAATGACTTATATATCCTCAAAGTGGTGAAGATAAGAGGTAACAGGAAAAGCTTCCAACTGGGGGTAGGGACTTGGGGGAATCAATTATTGCACCATGGGGAAGGTCTGAAGGGTGGAATTAAAAGAAAGCTAAGCAGAAGGAGACATCATAAGCTACATTTGCCCAGGGTCTTCACGAAGCAGACACCAATATGACATTAAATGTATGAGCATTCAGTTAGTGGAATG
Organism: Homo sapiens; assembly: GCF_000001405.40. Classification (NCBI taxonomy): domain Eukaryota; kingdom Metazoa; phylum Chordata; class Mammalia; order Primates; family Hominidae; genus Homo; species Homo sapiens. Next base: position 47,386,432 of record NC_000015.10, read on the forward strand.
CCTGTGAGCAAAAATGTGGAGTTAGAGGCGGGTGCTGGGAGAAATGTCAGACCTTAATCCAAGACTGGCTTCAGGGAAGGAGAGGGGAAAAGTCCTAGATAGGCGTGCAGTCTAATGAAAGTTCCGCAAGGCCATCGGGGAGTCCTGGAGCCAAGGTTGGCTGTTAGCAGAATCCATATCTCCTAGGCATGGACCTGTCTTAGTATTTTTACCTGCTCAGGCATTGGCTGGCAGTTACCTATGGGAAGTGTGACCTCTGGGAACACCTGGTGCCAGGTTTCAGAGGGCAATAGCTGGAGGCCTTGGTCATTTCCCCTTTCACTAGTAGAAGTTCTGCCAGGCACGTTCTTATAGCCATTTAATAAGCACAGGGGCTAGAATGGGTTGTTTTAGCCAGAATTAAACATCCTACAGGCCAGTTGGGCTTAGACACAGAGCCAAGAACATTTATCTGTGTTTTGTTTATTTGCAAATGCAATAGGGGTAAGGGATGGCAATGAAGGATGCAGTGGCAACGACGCTGCCCCTGCAAACACTGTCATTGTGGGTGTTGGCCCACACTGAGGCAGCCCATCCTTGTGCTTCACTGCACGGGCCCTGCTGCGTGTGGCTCCATCATGCTCCCAGTGGCTTCCCCTTATCAGAATAACTCAAAGTCAGCTTATAGATGTGACCACATCCCCAGAGGTAAGTTGCCTTCTAGGACACCAAAAATCCTTTGTGAAGAGTAACCCAGAAAGGGCAGTGGGCAGTAAATTCCAAAGCATATCCCTATCTGATAATTATATGTGCTCATCTCTAGCACTCAGTCAAGGAAATTTAAGGGAAGCCTTGTTATTCCATTTTACTGATATTAAGGTTGAGGTGCATTAAAGTTGTAATTTTCCCAAGGTCATGCTTATACTCTGCTAGTGAAACAAATGGAAAGAAAACAGAACATGAACTTGGAGGAACTCAGATTCAACCCTGGATTTGCCCATTACTAGTTTTGTGACCTTGTATTAGTACCATAAACTTTTTGAGTCCCAACATGTTCAAGTTTAAAATATGAACAATAATACCAACTTCATGAAATTGTTGTCAGGTTTAAATGAATAATGTTGAAAGTGCCTAGTTCCACACCTAGTCTAAAGGAGAAATTCAGTAAATGCTCATTTATTTCTTCTAATTATATGACTAACTGATTAGTTCAGGTAACAGTTACATCAGGACAGGCAAAGGTAAGAAGAAAAATCAGAAATAATTTTAGATAAAGTTGGGATCTCATTATTCCAGGAATATGAGAAACTATTGTGTGGTTAACAATAAAGATTTGTGCGCTCAACAAACCTAGTTCAAAATTCAGGTCTGCCACTTACTAGCTCTGCATCATTGGAGAAGTCGCTTAACTCCCTGAAACCTGTTTCTTCATCTGTAACCTGTGCATAATGAGAGTAGCACCCTCATAGTGTTGTTTTGTAAGAATTAAATAAAGTAATTTTTTATAAAGTACTAAGAATAGTGCCTAAGCTCTAATACTCAGAATAGTGGTAAGCACTTAATAAGTGCCATTATTGTCTAAAAACTATATTAGTATTTTAAGGATTATTATTTTTATTATTTAGTAGTTGTCCTAGGGCTCCCTGGGGATAGGTAGGAAAGGAGTGGGGCTGGGGAGCTCTTTCAGGCACCATTTCCTGATCAAATCCATAGAATATGCACAACCTTAAAAAATTGAAAGTGGTAGAGAAGGTTGTTAAGAGCAAACAAACAATCAATGAATATATACCCATAAAATTAATCCTGGGGAAGTTGTATACACAGCCTGAGTTGTTTTTATATTGATATTCTTTTATTTTTTTGGCTTCCCTGAGTCTGTTTGCAGTCGTCCCTCCTTTACCTGTTGTTTCACTTTCCACAGTTTCAGTTACCTACAGTCGGCCACAGTCCAAAAATATGAAATGGAAAATCTCAGAAATAAACAATTACTAAGATTTAAATCTTGTGCCCTTCTGGGTAGTGTCATGAAATCCTGTGCTTTCCAGCTCCATCCTGCCCAGCTCCATCCTGCCCAGGACTTGAATCCTCCCTTTGTTCAGTGTATTCACGCTGCAGGCACTACCCACCTGTTAGTCACTTAGTAGCTGTCTGGCCATCAGATCAAAAAAACGTAGTATACTTAGTATATATAGGCTTTGGTGTCAAGCGTCCACTGGGGGTTTTGGAACATATCTCTTGTGAATAAGGGGGAGACTCCTGTACTTATTTATATCTCTTACGGTCAGGAAGCTTTCAAGGATATATAAAATCCACCACTGTATAAATTAAAATTAAATGTAAAAGAGAAAAGGAGATAGGAGGAGGCATAATGGAGATGCAGGAATGAAGATAAACATGATGGCATAAAGATTTAGACACTTGCCACAAATGGGTTAGACATTTGGCTCCAGATTTTCTAGGAGGTAGAACTTAATCAGTTATAAAATCTTACCAATAAAAATCTGCCATTTGCTTAGGAGCAACACAATGATTATCTGGTACAAAACTCATCAGATACAAATCTGCCATTTCAGTAAGCATAAGGATTATTTGGTGCAAAAGTAAGTAATGTTTTTTTTCTGCGGGTCCAAATAAGGTACCTATGGTGAACAAATGCATGAAACAAATGTCTTAGCATCATCTGTTCCACAGACACAGTGAATTCTATAAAGCTGTTCATGTTCTTAGAAGCAACTTAGCTTCTCTCCCTCAGTTTTCTCGTATGTAAAATGGGAATAGTATTCGTCTCTACTTTATAGAACTGTTGTGAGACTACATTAGTTAATGCATATATAAAGTGCCTAGAATAGTGTCTGGCACATATTAAGCATCATATAAAGGTTGACTGTTGCTATTATTAGGAGCCACCTTAAGGAGACTTTGACATTTCACCAAAGCAAAATACATTGTTCTTTGTGAAGGTATTTCTTCCACATTTCACATTCTACTTTCTGCCTAGAGGAGAAATGAACTCTGGAGAAAAAAAAAAGACATCACTGAAATGCTTTGACCCACTTATTCCATTTCTAGGAATCCACTCACTCACCCCTAAAAAAGAATCTAAAATACACAAAACTTTAATGTACTTAGAGGTTAACTATTGAGGTTACGGTAAAAGATAAAGCTGGATGCAAATCAACTTTCAATGCAAACCTTCAACATAAAGTAATGATTAAGTAACTTACCCTATGTCAACTGACTGCATAACCATTTAAGTCATTATTGTAGAAAAAAATAGCAACATAGAAAACCCGAAGTGTCTTAACTCTCCACCCAGTTGTTTAGGCTGGAAATTTGGGAGTCACCCTTTAGTTCTTCACTTTCCTCTCTCTGTGTATGTAACTCATTAGTGAGTATTATTAGTTCTGCCTCCAAGATTTATTTCAAATATATTCACTTCCATTTTACTCCTTGCCACTTTTCTATCCAAAAAGACTATTCCAACTATTTTCTCCTAATGCCCTCTCCCAGCAGCCAGAGTGAGCTTCAATAAACATAATTCATTTTCTATCACTCCCTACTTAAAACACTTCAATTGTTTTTTCACAAGCTCTTTTAGATGATCTTTATATACTGTCTCTCTTAGTTATTCCCATAGTAATACTGACCGACAAACTACCCCAAAACTCAGTGGCTTAAAGTGATAATTATTTAATCTTATTTAAGAATCTGGAAATCAGTTGGAAGGGGCTGATCTCAGTGGGGCTTAGCTGGACTTGATGCCAAGCTGCATGTTGGATCCATGTCTGCTACACATCCCTCATTGTCCTGCTACCAGTGGACAATCTAGTATATGGTCTTTCACCACAGTAACACAAGAGCAATAGAGTGAGCCCAACTGTGTGAGCACATTTTAAACCTCTTCTTCTATTATATTTGCTTAAGTCCCCTTAACTAAAGACATAGCTGAGCCCAAACTAAAGGGTTAGCAAAGTGTACTCAGCCACCATGAAACCAAAACAAGTCACATGGCCAGGTCCAACATCAGTGAAGTGGCCAAGTATATTCATTTCATGAAATTGGGTAGGAAAGAGGGAGTGAATATTTGCCTAAAAGTAATCCACCACATATGCCTTTCCACCCCCATTTGAATTGCTCACCTTGAACCAGCCTCACCGGTTTTTTTGTTTGTTTGTTTTCAGTTCTTCAAACAGGACAAGCTCTTTCATACCTCAAGACATTTGAAAATGTAATTCCATCAAGCTCTAAGTCTTTGCAGAGCTGTTCTTCCTAATTTTAACTTAAATATCGATTCCTCAGGTCTTTTGTGAAGACATTAGTAGGTGATAACCTCCTGTGATTCTCTCAGCATCTTGTTTCTTCATAGCATTTATATCAGTTTGTTATATTTTTTTACTAGCTTTGGAATCTGTCTTCCCTACTAGACTGAGTTTTTCTTCCATTTTTCATATCGTTTGCAATTTTGGCTCCTATTTGCAATTAATAACCGAGAAGCAGGAGGATGCAACTCAGAAGCAGAGTCAAGAGTTTGCAAAGGTGCACATGCAGCTGAAATTCTACAGTTGCCCAATTCTCATTATTTCCAAGAAGATTCTTGCCTCCAGTATGAGCTTTCCTTCCTGAATTTGGCCCTTGCTTCTTCATTTTACTAGGGTCTAATAAGTTAACCCCTTTGCCCTGCCTTCTCTTTTGAGGATATTTCCTCTTAAGTTGTGAGATATTCCAGGTCCTCTACCAGACAGCAGTTCATAAAAGCTTCCCCCTAGTAAGTCACCAGTAACCCACACAATCAGCCTCCTTTCCTCTGCTCTCTGAGCTGCTCTTTGGTCCATACACACTGGATACTGGCAGAGCTATGGCCAAAGCCAGGCCTCTTGTCTACCACTGTGGAACTCTTTCTTGGGATGGAAAACATCCTAAATGCTAGGTCAGTTTATACCAAGGCTTCACTCAGCTCTAAATAAGTCCTGATAGTAATGAGTCTTCCAGCTTCCTGCTGGAGCTTATGTGATGGTTCCAAGGATCAATCCATCAGACAATGGTTCCTATTACTGCTTAAAAGACAATGTCAAGCAGACTGAGGAGAGGTGACTCTGTCTAACTGGAGTACTTCGGTTTCCAGTTGGCTGGAAATTATTACTGAATTGCAATAAACTCACACTGACTGGAATGACCTATCAACACTAAATTGAACTGCACATTTCACAAAGAGGCCCAAGATGAAATTTAGGGACAGAAACAACTATTGATTTTTTTTTTTTTTTGTAAGAGGAGTGAAACTAGCTATTGTATGATTTCTACACAAATGCATTTTTTGCTGAATGTTTCTTGTGGGAGTCTCTACTGAAGTATGCAAGGGTCATTAGAATAAAGGCTAGATTTTTTGAAAAGAAAGAAAGACAAGTTTGATAGTTGGTACATTTTTAGAAAAATTGGAATTGGAACCACCAGCTATTCATATTTACACTTTCCCCCACCTCTGTTCCCTCAATATCTCTCTCTTCATAGATATATTTACTCCCTAAAATGCATCTTAAAAACACCACCATATGCTTCCCTGGGCTCACACTTAATTCCCAACACCCACCCCCTTTGCCATCCTTCTCTATCCAGTTTTTTAAAAAACTGTAAAACTACTGTCCCTGAAGAATCTCATTGCCTGTTTATTAAAGGTGCTGTTGTCACCATTTCCACCAACCACTCGTTCACAACTGAAGTTCCTCATCTGAAACATAGGGCACAGAAAACGATCTGAATGACAGTTTTCTCAGTTCTTCTGAGGATGGCACATAACTAGTACCATTCTAGTTGCACAGAAGAAAAATTTACTGCAAACAAAGGATGCCAGAATAATGGCCTCCCCCCGCCAAAGATATTCACTTCCTAATCTCTGGAACTATAAATCTGTTACTGTATATGGCAGAAGGGACTTTGAAGATGTGATTAAATTGAGGATCCTGAGGTAGGGAGATGATCCTGGATTACCTGGGTGAGCTCAGTCTAATCACATGTGTTTTTATAAATCAAAGAAGGAGACAGGAGGGTCAGGGTCAGAGGCAGGGACAGATGTGAGTATGCTATGCTGCTGGCTTTGAAGACGGAGGAAGGTGAAAGATTGCCAGAAGCTGGGGAATGCAAGCAGCCTCTAGGAACTGCAGAGTGAGGAAATGAATTCCCTCTATCCCCCAGAACCTCCAAAGGGAACACAGCCCTGCTGACATCTTGAGTTAGCCCTGTGAAATTTCTGGGCTAAAATTCTGACTTCTGACTTCCAGAAGTCGAAGATAATAAATCTTGTTGGTTTTGGCCACTAACTTTGTGATAATTTTTTATGGCAACAGCAAGAATGTAATACAGATGCTCTAGAGAGTTCAGGCTTAATTCTCTGCAGAAACTCCAGTTGAGGAAGGTTGTCACCAGGAAAACAAAGGCTTCCAATGAAAACAAGGGATATCCCCAGTTGCCATTGGCCATTCAGATAGCCACGACTTATGTCTCTAGAGAGAGACTCCTGTCCTGCAAGGATGTTATTTAGTCCTGTTCGGGCACCTGCATGTGGCATATTGAGAACACTGCATTTCTGAATTGCTGCTAATCAAGAAGTCTTCAGTTGGCCTCTACAAATGGCTTCGCCAGTCCCAAAGAATTGTCAATGGCAGAAATGTCTCTCTCAGGGTAGTAGGAAAACATATATGGGCATTGGAAAATTCTGGTATTTCATAAGCATTCACAGTGGAATCTAGAACCTACATTATTCTAACATAATCACAATCTTATCCTTCAAGCATATGCATTGATCATCAAAAAAATAAATTGAAATATTCTGCAATGTCTACAGAGAGTTTTCTTGGGCTCAGCTAAAGATGCAGACTCACGATATTACCCTAGGAGATACTTGACATCATACTTACTTAAGGACCTTGATGGGAAACCAAATATGCCAGCAGTACAACCTGAGGTATTTCTTTTCTGTGAAAGTCTTTGTGGGAATTCTGTGCAGCACAGCCCAGGTGCAAGGAGATGAGATCCACATCAGCCAAGTGCCTAAAAGCCTCATTCCTACAAGAGCCATTATCTGTTGGGGTGACAGCAACGTAGGCATAATTTCCAGGGTCTTCACAAAGGCCATGGCAGTTACAAATTCACCACACTCAGGAAGACCCCAAGTGTGACTTCCTATCAAATATATACAGCTTATGTATAGGCCTTCCAGTGTTAATCATGGGATTTGTGTTACCATAAACAACACTGGTTAGCAGCATAGCCAACCTTAACAGGGAAACCCAGCGTGAAATTTAAATGAAGGTCAAATTCTCATGCAGAAGGGAAAAGGCTATCTTAACTCTTTACTCATAAATATGTTAGAAGTTGTCCACTTCCATGCATAACACTGCATTATTAACAATGTTGTCATTGTTATTCATAGCTTCTGTTTTTGAAGATGAACATTTATGTAAAGCTTTGTGCTTTATCCGCACTGGCATGTTATATAAATCTTATGGAGAAGGTATAATTAATGCTATCTTTTCATAAGGACACTGAGATTCAGAGAGGTTGAGCAAATTTCTTAAAGTCTTTTAGCAAGTGAGAGGCAGGATAGATATTTGGACCCCACTCTCCCTGGTTCTTATACCTACTCTCTTAATCAGTTTGCTGTCTTCATCCTCCTGGTTGCTAAAGCCAAGCTGTAGCCCTTGTCATGGGTACATTGTCTGCATTTAGGAGGACTAGGCTCCCTCAGGACTTGGGTAGCTTTCTTGGTCTATCATAGTCCACATAGCCAGTTTCATTAGCTAAAGAGGGCATTTGCTCTGTAATAAATGTGCCCATAAAACAAAGAATGAATTTGCACATGCTTAGTTTCTCAAACTGAAATGGGCTATCTTTAATGGTTTACAAAAAAAGAAAAGAAAAAGAAAAGAGCTGGGGACATTCAAACACTTGAGCAGTTTACAATGGTCTTTTCTCAATTACATTTAATACTTAGTACAACTTTGCAACCAGAATGCAGACAGATTCTGAAGAGTGCTGGATTCGTATCAAAAGAGAGTGGCGAATTAGTTGGGGAGAACAGCCTTTAACTTCATGTGCAAAGGAAGACTTGAATGTGGAGGTAGTGAGGGTCAACGGTATTCACTAATCACTTCCCTCACAAAAAAGGCTGCTTTCAGTTCTTGCTGACATCAGTGGGAATCCTAAATCCCTCCAGAGCATTTCAGCCGATTCCTTTCACAGCAGGATCACTACTGTTTCACCTCACTTTTGAAATTCTGCAGTCTTCACTAGCCATTTGCTGGAGTTATAAATGATTGTCTGTCTAAATCAACAAGTGGTAAATCTCCTTTAGTTATAATTTGATTTAAATTAGCTTACCTTGGGAAGCAGACCGCCACACGTGCAAATTACCATAAACAGCAGTCCTCTTTGACGATTTACATAATTAAATGGGAGAATATTAAGACATTATGTGAAGTGGCAACCTATGATGCCTTTTTTTTTAAGTGAAGAATAGGGTAATTCTTCACTTCCCTGTTGTCATTTTATACCAAAGCAAACCTCATTGTGATCTCTGTGGTCTTAGAGATACATTTTTCTGAGATGCCATGTCCCCAAATATATGCAGCTTTCCTGGACAGTTTTAAAAACTGAGAAATGAGGAAATTCCCAAATACATAAAGGTATATCTGATCTATAAGATTGCATACACAATAGGTATTTTGAAATGCAGAAAACTAAAAAAGACAAAGTGCTTCAATTAGTTGTACTTTGGAAAATACATTATACTACACTGTTCTAACAAGCACAGTGAGGGGGAAGAGATTTTCTTCAAAGAGTACTCTTGGGATTTCAAAAACACTTCTGCTTTTGGGGACTGAGAGTTTTAAAATGTCATTGGAAAGTTGTGAAATTTAACATGCAAAATCTTCAGTGGCTTTGTCAATAGAGAAATCAAATGAAATAGTCTAATCCTATGGAACAGAGCAAGCCCTGGTTTTCAAACCAGAAGGCTGTGCTTAAGACATTTACTGTACATCATTTTTCTTTTTCAATCATTTCATGGATTGTTGGAAAGACCCTTCGTTAATTATTGAGTGGTGTAAATATAACGCATTATTTTGAAAGGAAAAGAAAACATTTGGGTGTCATCACCTGCTTCTCTGGAGAATACACATAGTCAAGAGAGGACCTGTCCAGCAGGCAGGAGCTATCATGTGGAGAAATGCCCTGATGCAATGGTATCCTCCAAGTCCACCACCAGGCAAGCTATACCAGTGGTCCTGGAAGACAAAGACCAAATGCTGATATTCAAATCAACTTAAAACACACAGAAGAAAGCAAGGAGCATAGAAATGCAGTAGGTTCGTATACCTAGCATAGAGGGCAGGCACAGTGTAAGGGTCACTTCACCTACATCTCATTTGTACAATATTCATATACAGGATCAGCTACTCAATATATGGAGCTGTTGTAGATTGCATGTTTGCATCCCTCCAGAATTCATATGTCAAATTAACTCCCAATGTGATATTAGTAGGAGATGGGGCCTTTGAGAGGTAATAAGAATCAGATGATGTCTTGAGGGTGGAGCTTCATGATGAAATTCATGGTTTTATAAGAAGAGGAAGAGACACCAGCAAACACCAGAGCTTTTTTTGTCTCCCATGTGAGGACAGAGCAAGAAGGCAACCCTCTGCAAGCCAGGAGGAGAGCCCTCACCAAAACCCGACCGTGCTGGCACCTGATCTTGGACTTCCAGTCTCCAGGACTATAGGAAATAAATGTCTGTTACTTAAGCCACCCAGTCTATGGTATTTTGTTACGGCTGCTCAAGCTGACTAAGTTAGGGGCTGTATTAGTCAGGGATCTCTAAAGGGACAGATTTAACAGAATAGATATATATATATATATGAAGGGGAGTTTATTAGGAGAATTGACTCACATGATCACAAGGTGAAGTACCATGATAGGCCGTCTGCAAGCTGAGGAGCCAGGAAGCCAGTACGTGTCCCAAAATCTCAAAAGTAGGGAAGCTGACAGTACAGCCTTCAGTCTGTGGCTGAAGGCCCAAGAGCCCCTGGCAAATCACTGGTGTAAGTCAAACAGTCCAAAAGCTGAAGAACTTGGAGTCTGATGTTCAAGGGCAGGAAGCATCCAGCATGGGAGAAAGATGGAGGCCAGAAGACTTAGCCAGTCTAGTCCTTCCGCATTCCTCTGCCTGCCTTTATCCTAGCTGCACTGGCAGTTGATTAGCCCGTGCTCACCCAGATTGAGGGTGGATCTGCAGCTCCCAGTCCACTGACTCAAATGTTAATCTTCTTTGGCAACACCCTCACAGACACACACAGGATCAATACTTTACATCCTTCAGTCCAATCAAGTTGATACTTAGTATTAATCCTCACAGGGGCCCAGTGCAAAATTAGAATACAAAGCCTTTTGTTTAAAAAGCAGGGGGGAATGCCGGCATATTAAAGGTACTAAAATATCAAGATTGGCCTTTGATCTGTGTCTCCTTTTCTAACACATGCTCCATTGTACCATCAAACCTCCCTTACAAAACACAAGTTCAAAGAAAAAAATTATTAAGGATATTTCAAGACCACAGAACATTACAACAAGTGTGGGGTCCTCTTGGGCCTATTTATAAGTCCCTTCTCTTCCCCATCAAGTATTTCTGCTGATGGGCTTGAACCATAGTAGAGGTTGAAGGACTGAGGAAGGAATGGGGGAAATGGCCGGCTCTGATTTGGATACAGTTTAGAAAGCCAAGCCCTCTTAGACATCTGTGTAGACAACCTGTGGACCTTCTTAGGCCTAGGTAGTATGTGGGTTCTGTGCTCATAGTAGAGGTCAGGCTAGAAATACCAATCAGAAATTAGTCTGCATGTAGAGCTTATTTAAAGTCATAAACCAAATGAAGTCAATAGAGATATGTAGACAAGGGAGAGTTTTTCTCCCTAGATTGCAGGCCTTATGAGGGCAGATAGTGTCCTTTGACTCTTTTTTTTTGCAGTCCTATCAATGAACAAAGAATCTTACATATAACAGGTGCTAAATAAGTGTTCAAGAAAGGAATAAAGGTGTAAGCAACTAGTTATTCAAGAGTCTTATTTTTCTCTCAGAGTCTTTCTGAACTCCTAATTTGGAGAGGATTTGCTTTTCCAGCAGAAATTGTACATTGATATACTATATGCATGCTTGTTAGAGGTGATTTTATTGTTTTATTTCTGTAAATAATTAACCTGTTTTCCATGCTTTCTGTGATACTAATTAAGAATATTTAGTGTGGAATAACTCATTCAGATGAAACTTCAGCATTTCCTTGCTTTGTACCGCTTGCCATTGAAGATGTTGTAACATAACTATGATGTCATATATCCATTATTTCCAGGAGCTTCATAAGCAATTTCCAGTGGCTGTTTGCTTCACTGTTTGTTGAGATTTTTTTCCTCTGGAAAAATTTCCATTGCTGTTTTTTCATTTCCTTTGGAAAGGGAAATAAAAGCAAAAATAGAATAACAGTATCTTTCAAAATGTGCTTTATAAACAAATATGCTTATAAACCCTGGGTTCTTAAACCGCTATACAAATTGAAAGGGTGTCAGCACTCCCTCCATTCCCCAACCCCCAACACTTTCCCTAGCAAAAATCCGTAGCAGTTTCTGCCTTAAGAAAGATCATTTAATCCAAGCCATAGCATTTGTGACTTGGCTAATTATGAAATACAATTAAAAAATGATTAAGAATTTTTCCCTTCTTAGCCAGAACTCAGGAAGTGTTCTCTTTGTTCTCACCTATTTAATCACCTTCACAGTCATTTCCAATCTAGCTTTACTCCTTTTGACATATCCCAAAATAGCCTGTTTAATTCTGGCCGGAGATGTTCTTTCTTCTTATCTGATCTGGCTCTGTCTCTGCTTTATTGGCTGCTATCAAATAAGATACCCTTTTAAACCATCTAAAATCACAGATGCCTCACTCTTGATACTATACATCTCTGGACTTCTGCTTTTCTTTGGTGAGCCTTCAGGGTAGGACCGCAGGTCGTAGGGTCTGTGTCTATGCCAATAAAATAAACAGGGTTTTGGGAGGGGGATGGTTTTGTGGGCATTTTTTTTAACATCCTGGAAATGCTGATGAAATTCAGTTCCCACTCCCTGTGCCCCTGAGGATTCAGCTGAGAATTTTAAAGGAAGGGAGAGATTCGGTTTGGCACGGAAGAGGGAAGATATCATAAATTTAAGCATAGAAAAAAGGCATGTGTGAAGGCTCAAAAGTAGGAGAAAGGAAGTGATATCAGAAAGTGCCACAATCACTCCTTTGTCCTGGTGTCAGGTGAGATCTCTGAGTAGCTGTCATCACCCTCTCAGAAACCAACCTGATGCCTTTGCCTTTCAAACTCAGATAAGCCACTGTGACTGTAAGGACCCTCATCCATGGAGGATGTGCACCATAATGGGAAGGAACACCGGCTCAGGAGCCACACTTCCTGAGTGAACTTCCAGCGGCATAACCTTGGTCAAGACACTTAACCTCTTTGTCCCTTAAAAAAGGCCGTCAGAATACATTACTGAAATACTGATTTGAAGATGTTTTAATCAAGATTTATGAGCCACCACCTTGCCCAGCACTTTCACGTAAATTCTTTACATGAGAATAGTTTACAAATTCACAGGCAGTCTAAAAATATAAACTTCTATATATTTCCTCAGTTAAAAAAGAAAATCTCCTTTCAGTTTTTATTATTTCCCATTATTATCTGCATTTTGGAGATAAAAAACAACAACAGAAAATAAAAGAGGTTAAGTGATTTGCTCAAGGTCACATAGCTGATAATTGCAGGCCTCAAACCCACAGTGAGCTTTCTAGTCCACTGAGATTCCCATGACAGCTCAGCTCCCAACAATCTGCTTGTAATCAAGTGCCAAAGCAACATTAAACTTTCCAGTTCTCTTACCAGCCACCATCCTGCTGAATCTCTCCAGAATCTTACTCCACTCAGGGCTTGATAAGTGTACATCCACCGTCTGAACCCATCTCTTCCAAAATTCTGACTTCCTAGACTTGAATTCCTTTGACTTCCTGGCTGATGCCTTGGATCTGAATTTCTGATCCTACCAAATGTGGAGGACCAATAAAAGAGGATTTGCTTTTGGTGGCTTAAGAATATGACCTTCCACAATTATTACTTGCCATTGTCAGCCGAGAGGAACTTATGCCCCTCAGCAAGGCTGACCCTAACCAGTGTCTTATGCTGGGGAACATGTGGTTGTCCTAGCCATGGCTCTGCAAGGAGAAGCTGGGGACTAAAGGACAGAAACAAATTCGGATGATAATTATATTATCTCACTCATTAAAGTGGACTTGTGTGAGGATGAACATCAAACAAAAGGACAGAATGTCGGAAGAAAAGACATGTGAAAGAACATCCCTGAGAGAAGAAATGGTTAGTGAGGTCAGTGAAAGCATCGATGTGTCAGGCTCACCTGGTCCCAGATTTGAGTAAACACAGGAACACACTGCAAAGTGTTGTTGGATCCTAAATCAGAGAAAGCTTTAAATAAGAATAGTTAGAGTTTAGGTCATACACTGAGTTGTGTTTGTTTTGAATAATTTTATTTTTATGATACCCTCCTCACCATCCTTAAGCTATTTAAGAGTTCAAGTTAGCCCTATGAAATGTTTTCCAGAATTCTAGAGACTTCATATTGGAAGATGGTGCTTTAAGTAAAAGAACCAAAATCAGAGCAGCAAAAGCTACTTCCCAGCGAACACACTGTAGAAATCCTTCCTGTAGGCTGAGCGTGGTGGCTTATGCCTGTAATCCCAGCACTTTGGGAGGCCAGGGTAGGTGGATGACCTGAGGCCAGGAGTTCAAGACCAGCTTGGCCAACAGGACAAACTCCCTTGTCTACTAAAAATACAAAAATTAGCCGGTGTGGTGGTGTGCACCTGTAGTCCCAGCTACTCTGGAGGCTGAGGCAGGAGAATTGATTGAACCCAGGAGGCAGAGGTTGCAGTGAGCCGAGATCATGCCACTGCTCTCCAGCCTGGGAGACGGAGAGAGACTCTGTCTCAAAAAAAAAAAAAAATCCTTCCTATACACTTTTATTTAACATTCCTTGCAATGCTATGAGGCAGGCATTATTCCCATTTTCTTAAGAGGAAGCTGACATTTATAAGGACCTAATACAAAGTGAGAGATTATTACAGGCTGACTGTGGTTGAGAATGCTCTGGAATTGTAGTCAGGTCTTGGTTGTCCAAGGAGTCTTTTGAACCTACTCTTCGAAGGATACTCAGTGTATCAAACAACTAGCTGTTTCTATTTAGATGGCCTGTGGCCTATTTCTAAAGCACACATACTGGCTTACTGGCTTTCATGGCAGGAGAAAGTTGTTTTCAAGACCTGTACTTAAATAAATGAGTCTGACATCATGCTGTGGGGTGAAATAATTCATACAATATCAGGCAGGCTTTTGTCAAAGAACTTCTAACAGAGACAGAACAGCCTGAGAATTAACGGTATAGATTCAAGAGCCAGATGTCTGGGTTTGAATCCCACTGCTGTCAATTATTAGTAGTGTAACAAATTATTTAATTTCTTTATACCTTCGTTTTCCCATCTGTAAAGGAAAGCTAGTAATGGTAGCCTACCTGATAGGGTTGCTGAGCAGATTAAATGAAGTAGCTTATTTAAAATACTTGAAATCATGCCCAATAGGTAGTAAATACTCTGTAAATGTTAGCTGTTATTTTAATTATTATTATTAACATTAGTAATTCCTTTGCGTCTTACTTCTGTGTACAATACAGTCATTTTATTTTACTCCTCAAACCTTTTTATAATCCCACATTTCTTATAGAATAAATGGTCCCAACTTTTATTTTTGAATGTTTGACGTGTGCCATGCACTATGACAAGCACGTTGTCTCCTTTAATCCCAAAAACAATCATAAAATGTTGGCAGTACTACTAATACCATTTTATAGATGAGAAAAAATGGGATTTAAAGAGCTCTTTAAAATTATCTACAATAATAAAGCTAGCAGTGGATAATTTGAAGCATAAAACCTGTTTTGTAAAACTTCAGTTCTCTAACCACTGTGTTACAATGCGTAACCCCTCTTCTTCCTTCCACCTGCTCACCCAATACCCATGTCTGCTACTTTGTCAGCCTGCTCTCACCCAACTTCCCAAAAGTTTACACTGTTTCCCAAGAATGCTGAGGGACTTGCAGTTCCCCATGTGCAGTAAGCTCTTCCCTGCCCAGTGACTCTGCATATGCTGTTCTCACCATTTCTAGTGCCCTTTCCACTTTGTAAATTAGGAAAGTCGCTACACGTCCTATAAAAATTGCATCAACTGTCCCCTCTGCTTTGAGGTCTTCTCTTACTTTTTAAGTCAAAGCTAGACTGTTTTGTGTCTGTGCGTTCATACCACCCGCAGCACATTTGTCCAATGTTTTTTCCTTTCTAAAATATTGTCTTCCCCACTAGACTGTGAGCCCTTCAAAAATAGTTAACTCTTACTTTTGATTGTTGCCTCCCAAGCCAGAATTGGTTTTTTAAAAGTAAACAGTTCACAAAATCTTAAGATAAACTGGTAAATAAATAGTTCAGATTACTTCCTGAAGGAGCACTGTCCAATAGAATGTTCTAGGGTGATGAAAATGTTCAGTATCTGTACTGCATGGTAGCCACTAGCCATGTGTGTTAATGAGCTCTTGAAATGTAGTTGATGCCACTGCAGAACTGGGATTTTAATTTTATTTAATTTTAAGAAATTTAAATTTAAATAGCTACTGTTTAATATGCTGGGCAGCACAGTTCTAGAGTCAAAGCTGGAGCAGCCTTTGATTGAAGGTTCTTCTTGAGTATTTCTCATCCATATTTCCTTCTCTGTTATATAGTGTACCTTGTAGTTGTTTGAAGTCAGAGCATTGCATATGCTGGAGAGCAGAGTTCAAGATGCTGTAATGAGACAGCAATGATCTTCTATTAGGACAATGGCTCTTCAGAGGGGAAATTTAGGCTTGTAGTGTCACTCACGTAACCACAACAGTGATTTATGTAATAGGGCTAGCAGTCTTCTCAAAGAGCATTTTCAAATTCGTAAAGGATATTTGCAGCCAGAGGAGGATATCTGTGTTGGGGCGCTTTCAGGTTCTCTGCACAGCTAATAAGTGGAAAACAACATCAGCTTCTCTTTATCTGTTTCCACTGGGCCCCTCCAGCATTGTACGTATAGATCTGTTTTCCATTTGCATTATTATACTGTCATTTGTTTATGTTCTGTCTTCTCCCCATCCTAAGTAACTTCTTTGTGAGCCAGACTTTTTTTTTTTTTTTTTTTGGTTATGCATCTTTATTTCCCTAGGACTTACCATAGCATTTGACATAAGGAAAAGCGTCAATAAATGTTTGATGAATAGATAGATGAACATTGAATCAAGGACAAGCCAACAATTCCTGGGACCTCAAGAGGCAAAGCCTCCATCATAGAGTAATGGATATTCCAGAGGGATCTGAGCCTGCAGCACTGTTCTCACTAGGGAGGGAAACATGCAGGAACAGAATCCTGTCCTGTTCACAGCAGAATCACAAAGAAAAGCAATTATGCATTCTGGGCTAGTCCAGACAGCTAGATTGGGTAGAGGTTCAGTCAAGTTGGCGTACTATCTTGCAGTCCACCTGAGGAAGTTTGGATTTAATGAGTAGGAAGTGACAAGATGCTTTTAACAAAAGCCTTTTTTTTCCAGAATCCCTGTGTTGGCTGGAGGGCTTACCCAGCCTCCCTAGGTTTTGAAATAAAATGGACCAGTAAATGCACAACTCTTCTTTTTTGCATAATCTCTGTTAGAAAAGAAAGGGCCCACGGAAAAAGTGCAAAAGTGAGGAGAAGACCCCAGCAATGACTGCCATGCAGACACACATGCAAACAGTGCACACATCCTAGTAGGTAGTAGAGCAAGGTAAATGATTTAATGGAATATGAACAGGGTATCATCTCAGTTCAATTTAGTGCGGGTCAATAAAAATTTAGTGAGCATCTACTTTATGGGGAGAAACATGAATGATTAAGACACAGTCTCTTCCTTTAAAGAATTCACAATCTAACACAGAAGTAAGACTCATGAGCTAATAACTTGCAACAGAGTGTGATGAATGCGCAAACAAAGGTGAGTTAGGTACATTGGTGGCACAGAGGAGCAGACAGTTAACTGCACTCGAGTTTGTCTTGAATGATGTGTAGAAATTCTTTAACTGCATGGGGATGGGGAGAGGTTAGGGAAAGAAGGGCCCTTCTAGTTAGAAGCAATAACATAGTCAAAGGCACAAGTGGGTGAAGCAGTGCAGAGCGGCCGGTGTGGGAGATGGGGCTGGCTCTTCCTTTGGTGACTACTGAGGTGCCCATTTTATCAGAAGTTCACTCTGTCTTTCTGGAGTTTGCAAGATGATTCTTGCTATTATATACAGGATGGACTGACAAGGATAACCTTTAAATAGGGAGGTCAACTAGGAAGCTGATAAAAGATTCGGGATGAGAAGTTTATGGTCCCAGCTAGAATTATGCCTGTGAAAATAAAAAGCAAGACTTTAAAAAGTGTGTTCTAGAGAAGTAATTGTCAGCTCCCTTTGTGTCTGATAACTCCTGAGAAAGAAAACATGCGTCTATCAGTAAGAGTGATGGTACGCTACAGAAGTGTATCTCAAAAGGGATATGGGGATATCATTTGGAAAATCACCTTAAATTATTCTGTTGTCGAGATCACCCTCTAATACCCTAGCAAGGAGAACCTCTATTCTAGAGGAAGAACAAAACTCTGTGGGAACCAAGAAGTGGAAGGGGTTAAGGCTGAAGATATAAAAAATAAATGTTACCATTTATTGAGAACCTAAAATGAGCCATCATCGTGGCAGTTATAATTTTATTTTGTTTTTACTACTGTAGGGTAGGTATTCTCCTCATTTTATCAAAGAGAGACCTGAAATTCAGCTAGATTCTGAACATTTTTCCAGCTCCAGTTGCTGCTGGTAGAAATGCCTGGATTCGATCACAGGACCATCTGATTGAAAAGCCTGAGCTCTTTGTAGCACAGACCACCACCTCTCTCTAAGACCTTTAATGCTGTGACCTGATTGGACCCTAACATTGTATCAGAGGGGTGCCATTAATAGGGAAAATGAAGTTACCCTCAGGGATGGGCTTTAAGAGAAAGATGCCCAGCTAGTACTCTGATCTTTTGTTTCTTTTTCTCCAGTATCATCACTATAGTGTGTCTCAGAGAATGATAACAGCTCACATGCTATTTTGCTAAAAGCGTGTGGGAGAGAAATTAGTGAGTAATTCATTCATTTTCTTTCAATCAACATGTATTTATCAGGCTCATATATGCCAGGTATTTTGCTCAGTGTAAAGGATAAAAAGGTACATTTGCAAGCATTGCTCCTGCACTCCAGAAATCTGTAGTTTCATACATGCTAAAATATGTAGCATAGAATTCTAGTGGAGAGTGCTAAGTGGTCAAGTAGAGATGTGTGCAAGGTGTCATGAGAAAGTCTTCACCTCACCGCCGGTCAAGTGGCAGCTGCTTCTTAAAGAATGAGTAGGAAATGTCCCTAGGGGGAGAAGTGAGAAAGGCACTCCAGGAGGAGCAAGCAGCAGTGCAAAGGCAGGGCATATTGGAAGTGTTTCAGGAGATGCGCCATGTAGCAAGAGCTGAAAAGAAGGACAGGGCTGTTCAGGGCTCTGTGTTCTCTTCTGAGGAGCAGACATCTAGTCTCCTGAGTGGAGTGTGTTAGTAGCAGGGAGGAGGGATGGAGACTGTAAGGGATTGGAGGGGGTGGCATGAGCTTAGTGTTTCTGAACAAAATTTGGAGAGCTGGTGGGGAAGGATTTGGTTGGAGACAGAGTGGTTCCAGGAGAGGCAGATTCCAGCCTGTTACAAAGTCTCATCTCAGACAGGCTCAGGACCTAGTCTGAGTCCATCCTAAACATCACCCTCCTCCACTACCCCCCAAACCCATTCCACTACCTCAGAGGGCTAAGTCATTTTAAGGGTCAAGTGGGAATGGAGGAGGAGCTTCACCTAACTTACTAGCCTGAGGAGTCCAGGATCAGGGCTGTATACCAGCCTATAAAATGAATC
Source organism: Homo sapiens (assembly GCF_000001405.40). Lineage (NCBI taxonomy): Eukaryota > Metazoa > Chordata > Mammalia > Primates > Hominidae > Homo > Homo sapiens. The sequence goes on from NC_000015.10 coordinate 47,405,564, forward strand.
AGTGCCTCAGGGTCTTTCCCATAGCAACAAAATTAGTCCTTGACACCTAGACAGTTCTTGCTTCCTTTGTTTTCTGCTTCTCGTGTTGCCTGAAGGCGTGCCTCTTCTTTTGACTTGTATAATTCCCTCATCTAGCTGGGGGCCTCATATAAACTCTGCTGCACTGCTAATATTTCAGTGTCATTTTCAGCTCTATTACATGCTTCTCTCAATCATTCTTTAGAGCAGGGGATGTCATCTAGAGGGGTCTGCAGCTTGCATAAATGAGTTACAAATCCTCGTAATTTCAAGTGGGTTACCAAACCTCTTCCCAGCAGAACCAGGCATCTGGTAGCTCCAAAGTGTGAAAAGGACATTATGCATATGTATGCAGAGCCACATGCCCTACAGCGATTCAGAAGTACTTGCCACACTTTCACTCACGAGGGCCATATGCAAGGAGACCTGAGAACTGCTCTTTGAAAGGAAGCTGCTTTAGCATATCCTTTCTGTTCTCTATTCTCTGCACAAGGCTTCAACTTTCTTTTCCTGAACCCATGAAAGGAGTGAGGAAAAGGTTTGACTGAGTGTGCAAATTATCTCTCATATAAAACTTTGCATATATGTAGTTGGCTAACTTTACCATCAGCAGCTACTGGAGAAAGTGAAAAAGCAACAAAGCTCAGTCTATATGAACATAGCGAGGGCAACAAAATCAGGGACCTAGATGACTCTGACATGGATAATGTTGCCTGAAGAATTTGGAATGGAGGAAAAGGTTCGACTGCTGGTAGCTGTTTGACCTGGCTTAAGATACTTATCCCCACTGAGACTTCCTGCACCTGTAAATGGGGCATAATAATAGCTCTACTGAGTAGTGTTTTCTGAGAATTAGATAAAATAACAGATTTAAAATAGCTTATAAAAACATACCAAAGAACAAAAGCTAACAAAAATACACTTTCCATTTCCTTCCTTTTGATTTATAATAATTTATTAATAATTACTCTGACTTCTAAAAATAAGTCAATCTCATAGTGACAGAGAGTAAAGGGGTGGCTGCCAGGGTCTGGAGAGTAGGGAAACGGGGAGATGTTGGTCAAAGGGTACAAACCATCAGTTATAAGATGAGTAAGTTCTGGAGACCTAATGTACGGTATGGTGACTATCGTTATTAATCATGTGTTGTATACCCGAAGTTTCCTAAGGGAGTAGATCTCAAGTGTTCTCACCACCAAAAAAAAAAAAAAAAATGAAGTGACTTGTGAGGTGATAGATAATGGATATGTTAATTAGCTTGATTGTGGTAATAATTTCACAATGTATGTCCATGCCAAAACATCACATCGTGTACCCTAGATATGTGTGCTACTTTTATTTGTCAGTCATACCTCAAAAAACAAAAACAAAAATAAAAACAACAACAACAACAACAAAAACAGAAAAAAGCAAACTGTAAATTTAAAAACAAAAAACTGTCCTATTCACTTTATGTAGTTTTTGTGGTGGAAATTAAGTGAAAATAGTGAATGTTGTAGGCCGGGCCGGGGGGTGGCTCATGCCTGTAATCCCAGGACTTTGGGAGGTGAGGCAGGCAAATTACCTGAGGTCAGGAGTTTGAGACCAGCCTGGCCAATGGTGAAACCATGTCTCTACTGAAAATACAAAAATTAGCTGGGCATGGTGCATGGTGGCAGATGCCTGTAATCCCAGCTACTTGGGAGGCTGAGGCAGGAAAATCGCTTGAGCCTGGGAGAAGGAGGTTGCAGTGAGCTGAGATCGTGCCACTGCACTCCAGCCTGGCTGACAGAGCAAGACTCTATCTCAAAAAAAAAAAAAAAAAAACCAAAACAACAACAACAACAACAAAAAAAACAAAAAAAACAAACAAAAATACTTAATAAAGTGAACAATTCCAAACAACCAGAATGTGTGATTTTCATCATTATTTTGGAGGTACTTAGGCTGTCGTTGTTACAAAAATATTTGGAAATGTTGACTTGAAGTAGATGTAGTATTGTTACTGAGGAGCAGAGAAGTTGATGCATTTATCTGTCAAGCCCAGTTCCTACCCACCTTCTTGGTGCAAAAAGCTGCCAAATACCTCATATATGTATAAGGTGGGTAGTGTTTGGAAAGGAGGATTGGGAGGTGCCCTTTAAAAGTGGTATACACAAAGTGCAGACCTGCAGTTTTTACATTCCACAACTGTGAGTTCTTATCTTTTCTGAGACTTAAAGATTTAGCATGATTGTCAAGGCACATTGGATGGATAACCAGCCAGAAGCTCAGATGCTTGCAGATGCTGCTGTCAGTTTGCATCATCCTTTCGCAGGGGGATGGCGCCCTCACCCCTTCTCCCTCCTTTCTGCACCTTGGTGGTGGTGGTGGGGTGGGGGTGTTGGGAATCTCCATGTGAAAGGACGTGGTGAAGACTGGCAGTCTGAGGTTGGGCCTCAGAAGGAGGGCAGTAGATAGGACTCTTAACCAAGTTATCAAGGACCTGCGGTTTTTCATTTGCGCTGTCCAAATCCCCTTTCTCAGTAAATTTCAGCGTTTTCTCCTCCCATCCTTGTGACCTGGTGTGGAAGTGGAGAGAGGTGGTGGGTAAGACAACTACCTTGGCATGTTCTGGCATCCTCAGACAGGCCTGGGATTGAGCCCCGTCTCTGCCAGCTACAACTTGTAGCTGTTTGACCTGGTTTAAGTTATTTATCCCCACTGAGACTTACTGCATCTGTAAATGGGGCATAATAATGTATCTACTGAGTAGTGTTTTCAAGACTTAGATTAAGTAATATATTTTAAATATCTTATGAAAACATACACAGAACAAAAACTAACAAAAATATACTTTCCACTACCTTCTTTTTGATTTATAACAATTTATTAACAATGACTCTGACTTCCTTCTATATCACACTATCCTTATCTATAAAAAAGGGTAAACTAAATAACTTATAATGCTTGCACACTAGTAAAGGCTGAAAATTCTTCCACTTCCAGTGCTATAACCAAGAAATAAATGAGGTTGCTATGTATATTCTAAGGTATGTCGAGATAAAATTGCACAGAGAGATTAAAAAGGGGGAATCTGATCTAGGTATTATTGGACAAGTAAAGTGTTAATAAGCAAATAGGTATTGACACAATGAGGAAAGACACACAGAGCCTGATGCTGTTAGGTTTAACGAAAGCAATTTGGATAAACTGATTTATGCTAAGATAATAGAGATTCTCCCAGAACTATGTTTGTAATTTAGAAGAGGGCAGCTCGAAGGAAGCATGAGCCTCTGTCTTGGGGAGTAGGTGCTTCTCCCTCCATTCCAAAGCACACAGGCAGGAGTGCAGCAGAGCTTGCAGGAGGCTATAGTTCCCCACTGGACACTCATCTGCATGAGTGCAAGGACTCCGTCTGTTTTGTTGCCAGTTGTACTTACTGAATGTTGAACTTTGGATAAATAGATTAGTATCACTGATGCACTTCAAGTATTATTGTCTGAGTGTGGGGTAAAATCCAGGACAAGAGAACCTAGTGATCTTTTTAGAATAGCAATTCTCCTGGAACACTTCCTGAAGACACCTCAGAGCACTTTTGCAAATGCTGATAGTTTATTTAAGCTTGTAGACAGCTTTTTCTTGCCTATCGTACAGCTGTGAGTGTGGGAGCACAATTCTCTGAGGACCTGGGCATATGTTCTCTCCTGGAGGAAATGTGGGAGAGAGCCCCAGGGAACACATTGTACCCCTCTCTCTGCCAAGAAAAGAAAATCCTGCCTGAAATGCACCCTCAGCCAATGAGAAAGTATGAGCTGGAAACAGAGCTTTAGAAACTTAACTGTGTATTAGAATGAAGAGTGAGTTGGTGGATGAGTTGGAAATTCTGGGTTCCATTTTTGATCTTCCACCATAATGATATCTCCCACATACTACAGAATATGGTAAACTCTCTGGACTTCAGTTCCTCCCCCATAAATAAGGAGATTAGTCCAAAGACATGTTAATGTCAAGATACCTTCCAGCCTGTTGCTCTCAATTTTATTGGCACTTCCTAGAATTGTGAAGCTGGAAAAATATTCAGATTTTTCTAATTCAGCTTTTTTATTTCATAGATGAGAAAACTGAGTTGTAGAGAGGTGAAGTTATTTGTCAAAAGCCACCAAACCAAGTAGAAGCCAAGCTAAGGTTAAGACCAGTATCCTCAGACCACCAGTCCAAAGGCTCTTAATCTGTTGAGTCATAGTCCACCTTAAAAATCTGATGCAAGCCCTGGACATGCTGGGAGTGGGGAAGGGATGGGAGGAGCAAATGCATCACAAGTAAATTCATAAAATTTGCAAACTATTTTCGGGGTTGTGGGGGGGGTGGGGAGGCAGGTCTTAGATTTTAGGCTAAAAGCTCTATGCAACACTTTATTTCTGAAAGTCGGTGTTAGAACCAAATATTTAAGAAATTTTTTTTTTAAACAGGGTCTGACTCTGTCGTCCAGGCTAGAGTGCTTGGCTCACTGCAGCCTCAACCTCCTGGGCTCAGGTGATCCTCTGACCTCAGCCTCCTGAGTAGCTGGGACCACAGGCATGTGCCACCACGCCCAGCTAATTGTTTTTGTATTTTTTTTTTTGGTAAAGAAGGGGTTTCTCCATGTTGCCCAAGCTGGTCTTGAATTCCTGGGCTCAAGGGATCCGCTTGCCTTGGACTTCCAGTTGCTAGGATTACAGGCAGGAGCCACTGCACCTGGCTAGAACGTTTTTATATGTGATGGGAAGTGTGCCTCTGGCTTCTTTGGCTTAATAGCTTCATTTGTGCAAGAAGCATCAAAACACACTGGAACAAATCTAGGTTTATATCTGCCCTCCAAATAAGTGTTACTCACATGTTTTATTGATGGCAGTTTCTGATTTGTAAGAAGCCAGTTCCCCTTTTAAATGTTATAGCTGTTGTTCCTCTTACAAATACTTCTGCTAAATTCGGTGCTCCTCATTTGTCGACCATAGTCAGATAATACAAGGGGCTGGCTAAACAGAAAAGGTTTTCTCATTAAGTGAATCTGAAGGAGGCCTCTACTAATTAGTTATTGAATTGGATCTTTGGGGTAGGTGCATTAAAATGACCTGTTCTTCTTGAAAATATATAGCATATAGCCCTGGACCCCAGCCCAGACCTATTGATTCAGAATCTTTAGGAAGTAAGGCCAAAGAATCTGTGTTGTTACAAACTCTCCAAAACCTCTTATGCACACTCACATTTGAAAACACCCATTCTCAATACTTGCCCAAATATTTTCAGTCTTTAACAAAACTGACCTAATGATAATACTACCCTAAATGATTCTTTGGTCTTTGAAATGGTGAAATAATGCAAGATTCAGACCATAATACAGGTATGGAAAACATACCATTTAATTTTTTCAAAGAAAATATTTTTTCTCTCCACTTAAATACAAGGAGATGAGTGGCTGTGGCCTGACTCATGCCATGGTGGACACGGTGTAGGGTATCAGCTTTTCTTCTTGGTGGTCCTCATTTTCCAGATGATTCCTTAGCTGAGTTTTTTGTTTTGTTTTGTTTTGTTTTGACAGAGTCTCACTCTGTTGCCCAGGCTGGAGTGCAGTGGCACAGTCTCGGCTCACTGCAACCTCGGTTTCCTGGGTTCAAGCGATTCTCTTGCCTCAGCCTCTGAAGTAGCTGGGACTACAGGCGCTTGCCACCACGCCCGGCTAATTTTTTGTATTTTTAGCAGAGACGGGGTTTCGCTGTGTTAGCCAGGATGGTCTCGATCTCCTGACCTCGTGATCCGCCTGCCTCAGCCTCCCAAAGTGCTGGGATTGAGTTCTTGTTTTAATATTCACAGTTGCATGCATGCCTGCCATTGAAGAACTACCCCTATAGTTCTGCTTCATTTTATTGAAATACAGAAATATCAAGTGTGTTATTCCAAAAAAATACTTTAGCAGATGGTAAATATAAAACTTATATCTCCTCTTAGCATCAAACAAGCTAACATACACACTCATATACCGGTAGAACAAAAACTTATCTAAGAATGACAAAGTCTGACATTTTCTAACTTTAAAACACCTTGCCCTATTTCTGAAACTAAGGTTTCTCTGGTTTTCAAAGAGGCTTCATAGAACTCCTAGGGATATTAATTCAGCTGCTTTTCACCCCCTCTGTCTTCAGGTTTGGGTTTCTTGAGTGCTTCCATGGGCTCGCATTTCTTCTGTGTCTGTGTGGCCACTTCCGGGTTCAGATCCCTCTATTCCAGTAGCGTGGTCAGAACAAGATAAATTCACTCCAGCCCTCAGAGCCTCATCTCAAGGTCAATAGAGGGAATTTGGAAACTTCTCTTGAGTAAGAGTATAGGTTATCCTTGTCCACTGTGACAAGGGACTCAGTGAAAAAAGCAGTTGCCCTCAACTACCCAATGTGTGGCCCAATGTGTGGCCCACAGCCAAAGTCTGTGTGCACAGACTTTGCAGTCACGTAAGCACATACTTCATTAAAATTGGGTTGGTTACTTTTTTCCCCCACAGAGACCATGTCCTGATTGCAGTTTATTAAAACTCCCTAGGCAGTGTACCATTATTTGTCCTGCTTGTATTCATGAATAGCCTGTTTGCAATAGGAACATCCAGGTAGAGATCAATAATCAGTCTCATAGTTAGGGCAGAGAGAGGAAAAAAAAAGAAAATCCACTGGTGCGCTGCATTCAGCTGTGTTTAAGAGGTCTTATCATTAAAGCAGCAGCAGGCATTTATAAACCAAGCTTGCCGGCAGTGCTGGGCAGACAGGATTAGAATAATCATCCATCAGGCTCTGTTTCATGAATGTTTTCCTTTGACTTTTGGCAGGATCTCCAACCTGAGCATATGCCAGTTGACATGGGAACACTGAGGCCAGCAATTTAAGGATTTCACATTTGCTTGCAGTGGTAAGATTTAAATATATAACAACGAAGGACAGTAAATATTACTGGGTTCTGCCTTTTTCCATTAGATGTGAAACTGAAGTTGTTTAGGTATATCTTTTTTGATCAGTAAAGATCTCTGCTCGCAAAACCATAGCAAACACAAGAGAAATCCATAATCCATAAGTACTGAACATAGTGTTTGTTGGTACGAGTGAAAATAGGGAAACTAATAATTAGATTTTTTAAGTGTCTGCATCATTGGACTAAGTGGAGGAAATGGTTTCCATTTTGAACAATGAAACTACGTGTATTCAGAAGAGATATGATTATACAGCACAAAGAGACACAGAGTTTAAGATCAATGGGGAGAAAGAAAGGGAAAATGACTCTGTTTTCAATTCTGCATGGGGCAGTCATACCCTTAACATGGGTCCAGATATTTGGTTTCTAAAACAACCACATTTGCAGTTAGTTAGGAGATTACGTAAAAATGAAGACTCTCTGAGGCCGATGACAGTGCACCTCCACACACTGGACACTTGCTGCTGTCAGAGACATCTGTATGCCATTACTTAAAAAGAGAGTGATAATGGTGACTGTTGACAGACGGATGGCAAATTGTGTTACTGGAAGTTCATTTTGAAAAGGGAAGTCTCCCACTCCTCTGTGTGTATGTGTATTTACATATATGTGTGGACAAACACACATATACTCCCTCCCTTAAATCTGAGGCCGAAATATAATATTGAAAAAAGTAATAATTAAAATTTACATTCTTAATAAAAGAGAGCACCATCTCTGGAAACATTTTCAATATAAAGTAGAAATTGCACCATGATAGGGTTAAACAGTCAAACAAGATCATCTAGGCCTCGGTGGATTCTTTGAACCCCGTTTTGTTTAATAGGTTAAATTAAAAACATAATACCCATTCCATTACCATCTTCCTTTAAGCCAGATCATCATGGAGTGAGACTATATTTGGTACATTCAGTTCTCTGAGAGCTACCATTTTAATATATTTTCTTTCTTTCCTTCTTTCTTTTTTTTGAGACAGAGGCTTGCTCTGTCAGCCAGGCTGGAGTGCAGAGGCACAATTACAGCTCACTGCAGCCTTGAACTCCTAGGCTCAAAGGATCCCCCCACCTCAGCCTCCTGAGTAGCTAGGACTACAGGCAAACACCACTATGCCTTCCTAATTAAAAAAAAATTATAGAGATAGGGTATCACTGTGTTGTCCAAGCTGGTCTTGAACTCCTGGCCTCAAGTGATCCTCTTGCCTTGGTCTCCCAAAGTGCTGGGATTACAGGGGTGAGCCACTGCATTCGGCCACTAATATAGTTTCTATATATTTCTTAGTCCCCATTTTCATGTGGTCTTATAGCAGATCCATGGTGCACTGAGCAAAATGTGACTTTGAACAGCCTGATTTGCTCATTCTTGTATACTGACCATGGCCTTACATCTGTGAATTTCTGAAGGATGTATTTTGGAAATTCAGCATTCATATTTAGTCCTTTTAGTATATTCTTCTCAAATTGCCTTGCTGCTTTATTCAGTCATATTATTGCAGTAACTTTTAGTTTAATAGCTTGTATTTTCAAAATCTATTTATGGAACAATGGAAGAATGATTGTAAAATAGCTTGGAAGATGCATTACCTAAACTGATACCTGGAAGTGATGATATAACTTCACACTTTTATGCATATAAAAGTAAATGAATGTATCATTATGGTTTCTTTTATCTGAATATTACATTCCCCTTGAAAATTAAATAACTTTGCACTTGAGTTTCATGTTTTATTTCATGATTTAGAAGTGCTTTCTAGGAACTACCACCAAAGCCTAACTTCTATACATAAGTCGTGGTTTCCTCATACATACATGGAATTTAAGATAACATCCTAATTAGAGTCATTAAATCTTAGATGTCAGAAGGGGCTGAGTTAAACTGAACAGGGCTTTTAAAAATCCCCAAGGTTGAGCAATGTGAGGAGGAAAAAAAAGTAAGAGAAACACGCATGTGATTGGCCTTAATGAAATTATAAGCCTCCAAGGAAGTGGCCTACAACTCACATCTGGACCACAGAAGTCATCATTTCATCTGAACTGTATATATCAAATTATGCTTTTTGTTATCAAAAGTGAAAGTCTACAAAAGAAATCCAGTAGACCATGCTAAATTGACTTGCATCATTTAGAAAGTGGGAAGATTTTCTTAGAACTAGCCTTGGAGCCTCTTGTCTCTGTAGAGAACTAAGGACCATACAGAATCCTTTTCCACTTCTGCATATGAGGACACTGTTGAACAGATAGACTTGTTTGAGAAATAATATAATCATGTAGAGTGACAGAGTAGAAAAGCACTAATGTAGACACCAATGTACCTCAATCTTAATCCTAAAACCATACCTGATTTTGCTGGATAGGATTTTTCTTCTTTTGTCTCTAAGATTTTAAATAGTCTCTTAAATGGCAGGCCTTAGTTTTTAATTTGTAAAAGGGGTTTAATATTTACTCTATTCTCTGTAGACTTAGCTGGAGATAAAATAATAAGTAAAAAATACTTTTTGGGACTTCAAATCACTACACAGAATTTAGTATTGCTAGAAAGTTGATTCCTTATTAATAGCACTTGTCTGATTTGAACATTAGGTCAAAAAAGCATCTTCATCGATCTGGTCTGTGTTTTTACATTGAATGAAGGCTTACAGTTGCTCTGAGCTCTAATACACTTGACTGCTCTTATTAAATTATGATAACAACAAAATGCAATCATTATAACTTTCCCTGAATTGTGTGTGTATCTATTTTTAGTGTTCTTAATGCACTGATCCAAAATTTCAGTGCTCTAAAATTACTCCAAATGAGAGTATGGGAGGTTATAGAGGAAATGTTTACAATACAATCCCTGTCAGTAAGGGGAGTAGAAAGGGTCTCTGGGACTGATCCTTGTGGTAAAGCCGTCTTTCTCAGACCTCCTTTTCTCTAATTCTTTTCAGATGCAGACTTCCTACCACAGCAAACCCTGTGTATCTTCCTGCCCCTTCTCCTCCTCTCTACCCGCTCCCGTCTCCTTTCTCCTCTCCTTCACACCTCAGAAAGTCCTTTGATTGTTTACAATCCAGGTTTTTTTTAGCTATTGACCCACAGCCCTCCGCTTCCATAAATCCTGCTTTAAGTGTTTGATCTGTAAGACAAATATACCCCCATAGCCCTGAGTTTACTCTCTGACTCTGTTTCATTACAAATGTTGTAGACAATCAATATGAGTTGGGGGTGGGGGGAAATGTCTTAGGTCAACAAACACAATTTGCTGGAACATACCATAATCTTTGCCCTTGCAAAGAACTGTTGATCACACATCCTTTAAGAATAAAGCCAAGTTGTTGGAAAATGTAACTTAAATAATACACAGGAAATTCCAACAATTACACATGACATAAAAATCTTTCAGAGCTCCCAGTTCATGTACTAATGTTAGAAGCAATCAAGGACTATGAATAATGGATGAAGTTAAACATAGTGGCCCAAATTTTCATCCAGAGTGCTAGAGAAGAACGTTAACATAATGGATGTGGGTCAAAGAAATTGCCTGACATATGAAATACCAACCAAGAGTATCATCCATTTATTTTTTATTTAGGAGTAAAGTTTGCACACCATGCCAAGGTCACCATTGTGGAGATACTTACTTGTGTGCACTATGGTCCTCCCTAATGATAACGATATTCTTCCCCAGTCCCAAGACCTCCAATCACATGGCAGCATCATTTGTACCTTCTGTGACAATTAAAATCCACCCTCATTTCTACCAATTTGTTCTCCCAAGAGAACAAAAGTAACTAATAGTTCCTTCAAGCCTGGGTATGGTCTGTTTTGTCCTCATGTTAGAACTTAATTTAAACCTTCCTTGGTCACAAAATTCGGAAACTAATCTGGGAAAGTAACCAAAGAGAATTAAGATGAGAATAAGGTTAAGTATGGGAAATGTTGTCCTAAAATACTCCACCCAAATTTCCATGTGTTTATAACTGACTCAATTAGCTTGAAAATTAGTTTGAAATCATCATAGCAGATCATACTACTAATAGTCAAACAGTGTACTCACAATCTGGCGGGTCTGGCTACGTCTATTATTTCTAGCATTTCCAACTCAAAAGGTAATTTCTCTGTTCAATCACTGACCTCTGTTTCTCCCCGAAGCCAGTGTGGAGGTAAGATATAATCAGCAAAGAGAGCTCCTTAGGACCCTTCCCAGGAAGAGGATCAGAAAATTATGGAAATTGACAGAGATTCTAGTAGGGTCTCTAAAATCTCAGCTATTTTTATTAGCGTTTTGTGAAGCTTCAGAAAACTGCAAGTATTTTCTATTCTAGTCACCCCCTATTACTTTGCAGCTGATCAAAATAGCCCATGACTAACAATAGGAACCCGAGAACCGCCATAACTGCAATGGTCCCATCTATCACTCAGACATTTTTGGTGTAATAAAGTCAAAAGCAAATTTTCTTCTTTTATTTTCAAGTTTTGCATCTGACAAAATGTCGTTAGAGCTCAGTGACTTATGAAAAATTGGGACAGATTGAGAGCCTCTGATAAAGGCAATCTTTTTTATCACTAAAGGATTCTGCTAAATTGAGGGGAAAGGGGAGTTATAGTTCTTAATAATGTGTTTTATCAACCACCTGCAAAAATTTTTAATTAAATATCTAAAGATACATTATACGATATTGTTGTAAAAGGCACAAACATGATTCCAGAAACATTTTAAAAGCTTGAATATTTAATATTTATTTGTTTTAGAGATAGAGGGAAAGGGGAGATGAGAAACGTAAATTGTGTAATCATATTATGATTTCATCCTCATATCAGGCAAGAAGATATGCTCTGACATACCATCCCATGGTTATGTACTTTACCTTTTAGACTCTATCTGCTTATACTGTGTGTGTGTATATGTGTGTGTGTGTGTGTGTGTGTGTGTGTCAGAGAGAGAGAGAGAGAATATCAATGTCTGAGAAAGTAGAGTTATCAAAAGTAAAACTTTCAGAGGTTGCCTGAAGGGGCAAGATTTACCAAATATCTATTGTTTAAGGAGTGACAATTACTGCGATTAAAAATAGTAATTTTAGAATTGTTCAGGATTTGTATTAATTCTTAATGTTGTTTTGGTGTGTTTTTCAATGAGCTGTAGTGCCATATTGTCATGGCACTACCATGACAACTGTTGTATCCTTGGATCCCCTGAAATCTTGGTTTCATAAATGGAGGATATCATGGTAAAAATAGACATCTCTAAATATTAATTTTCCATGTGAAAGACATTAATCACTTTTTGTTTTTTCTTTTCCTAATCACTCATGCATCCATTTTTTTTTTTGCAATTCATTCATTGAACAAATTATCGATCACCATGTAGGTATTGCTAGACAGTGTTTTGTGTATTGGGGATACTGAAGTAAACCCAACAGATAAAAATGTCTGCATTCAAGGAAGTTAATTTTCAATGGAGGAGATAAACGATGCATGGATAAATATATCTAAAATATAGCATTTATATATTTTATATGCCCATATATATTTTATATATAGATGTGTGCAAAAAGAAAAAAGAGGAGATATGAAATGGTATATGGGGCTGAACTTTACATGGAGTGGCCTGGTAAAGCTTTTCTATGTAGATACCTTCTGAGAAAAAGACTTGAAGGAAGTGAGACAGCAAGCCAGGCAGAAATCTGAGGAAGATTGTTCTAGGCAGAGAGAACAGTAAGTGCAAAAGCTCTGAGACAAGAGAATGGGTAGTATACTTGAAAATTAGCAGGGAGGCTATTCAGTCTGAATCATTACAAGGATCACTCTGGCTGCCATGCCGAGAGTGTCTTAGTCTGTTCATGCTGCTATACTGGGTGGCTTATAAACAACAGAAATTTATTTCTCACAGTTCTGGAGGCTAAGAAGTCCAAGATCAAGGCATCAGCAAATTCAGTGTCTGGTGAGGGCCCATTTTCTTGTTCATAGGCCGAGCCTTCTGTTTGTCCTTACATGGTGAGAGAGGCGGTAAAGCTCTCTGGGATTTTTAAAATTGCAATAATCTCATTTTTGAGGGCTATACCCTCATAACCTAATTACCTCCCAAACACCCCACCTCTTGATACCATCACCTAAAGGGTTAGGATTTCAACATAAGGATTTTGGCGGAACATGAACATTCAGAGCAGAGTAGGAAGAAACTCAGGGTGGGTAGGGAAGGCATAAGTAGGTAGACCACTTAGGAGACTGCTTCAATTACTTCAGCAAGAGAGGATAGGGTCCTGTGCCTAGGTGGAGAAGGTGACCTTGACTAAGAGCACAAAGAACTTGTCTGTAAGAACAGGAAAGGTGTGGATAGGTGGGAAGAGATGGTAGTCACAGGATATGAAAGTTCTCTTTTGATTGTTTACCAAATGTCAGTCACATTAGACTGCGTAAGTGCAAGCATACAGTGATCATCTGATTGAGTTTAAGGAGGGTTATGATTCCACCAGGAAAGTTCACCAAGATAAAAAGGAGCTGGGAAAATATTACAATGATCCTCTATGGAATTTAAGCTGGAAAGGAGAGAAGAGGGAAGAGAGGATTTCATGAGAGAGCTATGTCTCAGAGACACAGAGAGTGAATTTCAGGTCCTTGTGGGATTTTAGAATTGTAGGAGTTAGGGTGTTAGAAGGAGTGATCAGGAAAAATAAGAGATCATGATCATAGAAGAGAATATTTAAAATTGAGATTTTTGCAAGGAGTGCAGTTATTGATCACCACAAAGTCAAGTGTTTGACTGTGGAAGTGAGTGGCTCAAGAAGGATGGCTGATGAAATCTCTAAAAGCAAAGTAGTCCAGAAACTGAGAAACAGGATATTGGAAGGATCATGCCATTGGATATGAAAATGGCCAAAAATTAAATAAGGATAGTATTAGAGAAAGTGATAATGAGCCATATGCTAAAATCTCCAATGAATGGAGGGAGAATGAACTGGAGGATGGTGGAGGAAGCACCAACAAGAGAAGGGGAGTATAGCCTGATGCCATGAAAGAGAAAGCTGGAGTTTTATTGAGGAAGAAGGACAAAAGGCCTGGACACAGTAATGAAGAACATGGAGGACACCTACTATACTTTTATGCTCCTTGGTAAGAGGGATCTAGGAGAGTAAAAGCTATCTCTTGAAAGGGCTTTAGTGGAATGGGCGTTATCTGGAAAGTCAGATTTCAACTAGTGCAAAAAGGTGAAAGAGAAGTTTCCATAGGAAGTAGAGAATAAACAGATTTACTGATGATTGACCTCAAGTCCCAGAGGATTCAGTGAAAGACTTTCAGGAAGTATGAGGCCAAGATCAGAACAAGTAGTGAACAAAGCCACATGAGGATTAGAGAAGAGGAGATAAAAGATGACCTGGAAGTGCTGGGCTGATGTGGTGACTGATCTGCCATGGTGCAATAATAGCTGGTCTGCTGGTCCAGGGCAGGTGGTGGTGGTGAGGCTATGAGCATTGAGAGGGAAGAGAGTTATATGCAAGTTTTGGGGGTGAGACGGACCTTTCCAAGAACATGAAGAGCTGTCAGGTGGTGATTGACTGTTGCTGAGGAGACTGTTATCCTTCAGAAGGGTGATGTGCTCAGAACACACAGATACCCTCTTAAGTTGAGCCAAACAGTGGCCTTCAGCTTGGTGGTCTTACACTGAATGGGCTGGTTCCCTCTGAGTTCATCATTACAGAGCCCAATAGCTCAATTTTAATCAGAGGATACCTTTGCCTTCCTTCAACAGTAGAACATTGTATTATTGGGCTTGTCATATACAGACTAACTGTGAAACTGATTTTCGTCATTTAAAGCATTCTTTTGTGATCTTTGCTGTTTCTCCCCTCAACCTATTTATAAACCTTTCTTCCCCCTCCCCTAATTTTCTCTCCTAACCTATTCTACTCCTTGATGCTGTGAATGAATGAATAAATGTATGTCCATTGCCTCCAATGTCTCTGGAAATACTGCCTTCTCCCCCTCTGTGCATGCTAGTTGCCCCATAGTTTTGCCCATCTTCTATTTTGTGCATTCTGAGCTGTGTGAAGGTATGTGCATTGCAAGTCCTAGTGGCCCTCTCCATTGTTTGTCCTGATATTCTGCCTTTGCTGAACAGATGTGAGAACTGTTGTTGAGTCATAAGTGACTGTTAACTTTTCCTCTTTTTATCTAAAACAATTCTAAAACCAACATCTTTTTGGGAAGGATGATAATATTCATATAGTTTTTGGAGGCACTACCTATGATCAGTCATTCTATGGGACTATAATAAAATGCAAGTTGTAATGAAATCTAAGGCCTCAGGCCCACTGTCTCCAAAAAGTAATTTTCTGTTTGTGACCTTAGGGGCAGCTATTCAGTTCTCTAGAACAAAAAAATGTACATATGAAGTAGATAAGAATAGAATTACGATCACAATTAGTGACATAGACCATCAGTACCATTGGGGTTATCATGAAGCATAAAATTGCTATTTCTCTTCTTATCTTACAATGTAGAGATATTGCAAGGATTTTAAAGTCTAATATGTTTGGACTTTTTATTGAAAGTAGATGATACGAGTCAGTGAAGAACACATGATTTAGGTAAATGAACTTTTCTTAACAGTTAAAATTATTCACTTTTCATCCTCACCTGTACCATTGGTTATTTCTTTATTGACATTCCAAGACAAGATTCAGTCCCCTTGTTATACTCCTCATTCTCCCTTAGGTTCTCAATCTCAGGTTCTCACCACCTGCAGTTTCTGAGGCAGTGCCATATAGAGTAAGAGCATTGGATATGACAAGAAAGGACTGGGACTGGTGTCTGGCTTTGCTACTTACCAGCTATACAATGCTGAAGACATCAGTGAAGTGCTATTATCCTCTATTTTCTTATCACAGGGTTGCTATGTTTAACTACCCTCATGTATTTGAAAGTGCTCAGCACTTATGAAGAGTAGTTCCTAAATAAATATGCACTAATAATTTATGTTTATCATCTACTCCTTGGTTTTGGCTTCAGGTGATAGATTAATTTTAATGCTTTGTTTTTGATGCTTCCTGTTTCTCTGGCATCTGCAACTGTTCATTCCAGTTTTCTGCTTAAGGATTTTTTTGCCTTTACTTTCCACTTGACTGATGAGTGTGTACCATATGAGATTAGATTTGTGGTTGGGATGGGGAGGTATTAGGAGACTCTCTTTTAGATAAGGGGGGATCAGAAGTAAAGGTGCCAATGACATGTATGACAAAAACTAAATATTTATGAGGTTGAAGGGAAAGATGAGATGATGGGAACCTGAGTGTCAGTTGATGGTAAGAAGTTATCATAAAGTTAACCTCTAGCAATGTCCATAGTGTGTAGGACTACAAACAGTAAAATAACATTTGACTGTCTTTTCTAGAATCTATAAATAATCAATTTAATAAAATAAAATTCTATTGTCTCCACGTAATTATAGATATGTAACTTCATAGTGTGTAATTTTGATTTCTTCACACATCTTCCTTAGCACACAGAGCACAGAATGTTTAAGAACTAGGAAGACCGAAACTATTCAGCAAGAACTAAGAACCACAATGTTAAGGGGGTCCATTGTTTATTTTTTTTTCTTTAGAGGATGAAAACCAAAGGTCAGGTGATTTAATTTAAAATTAACACTCTTATTTTTTGCCCGCCCGCCTGCCTGCCTTCCTTCCTTCCTTCCTTCCTTCCTTCCTTCCTTCCTTCCTTCCTTCCTTCCATTTTCTTATAACTGCATATTGTTGGAGTCTTTAGTCAGGTATCATTGAATTAAAAACCAAACCTAGTAATCATCATCTTTAAGTGATGAAGTATGTACAATGAAACTCCAAACAGTAGAGACAGTTAAAACAGATAAGTTTCCAAGCTCAGTTTCTTGATTGATACTACCTTTTCAAAACAGTTGGGTATTCCATGTCATTTAAATGGCAAAAAGAAAAAGAGAATATATTCTGCCTGACTGTGTCTCTTTGGTCATCTTTTCACACTCCATTAGAGGCTTTATCCAACTTTTGTATTCAGACTTCATTGTATTTTTCTGGTGCTAGAAGAAACTTCAATGAGGACATGATGAATGTCCATATTAAATTAGATTCCCCTCCCCTTTCAATTAAGTTCATTTAAATTTAATTTTGTAATCTTACTTCAGTAAACCATTTGACTCCAGATGTTGGATGTACTTTTTCTTATTTCTGCTTCCACATAATCATACCTGTAAAAGATTTATCACTGCAAGAGGCATTTTGGAACCTTTCAGAGCATTTTTGGCATATGTTTCACGGATGACTGGTTAACATGAGCAATTAACATCCTAAAATGTTCTTATGCTCTCCAGAATATTTTTAATGGGATGTTATTTTTATTAGCCTGAACTTTAAACAAATAATCATCTTAAAGGAAACATTATCATCAAAACAACTCAGTTGCAACAGAAACCCAACCCTAAAGGAAATTGGTAAGAGTGAGGAGAAAAAAAGACCTTTGGGCTAAAACAACCTTTAACAAAGATATATAACTGAAAGGCAAGGCTTGGCCTTTTGCTAAAATAAGAGTTATAAGCAGAGTTCCTGTTTCTTCCGAATGACTCTGAGTCACTTCTCTGTGTGCTGTAATGCATATATTATAAAGTGATGGGCCACACCTCTTATGCTTAGGGAACATTTAACTCTGGCTTTTGGTGATAGAACATTCAGATCAATCAGAACAACCCAAGCACTACCTGCTTTGCACACCAAAAATAGAGACTCACACAAGTGTATTTGAGAAACTATAGCTGCCTTGGAGCCTAGAATTCAGACTTACTCCATTGATAAATGATCTTCACCATCAGCCCCTATCAGGCATTCTTAGCCACATAAAAGATTGCTAGTAAATAGCCTTTCTTGTTCTTAGAATTATTTGAATGCTTACAGTTGTTCTGAATCTGCCTTCTTGCTTTCTTAAGTCAAAGCTTATTTAATAACATACTTGATAGCCCTCCTGGGACCTTGTCTAATGAAACTCCTAGTTCTCATCAAAGAAACATAGACTACAATTCAACCTTTAGATGACATACTAAAGAAAAACAGCAACTACAAATACATAGGATAAAGAAATCATTTTTTTTTTCCTCAAGTGAAAAATTGTACTTCATGTTTTGGATATACAATAATGTGTCTTGATGTACATGAAATATTCACCACTACAGTAAACAAGTTAGAGTATGGATTTTTCCTCATACTTAAGGGACCCAGTAAGCAAGCTCTAATTTTATTCTTTTACAGTCTTGTTTTGCAGGGACAGGTATGTGTCTGTGCCTTGGTGGTGGGGTTTGTCTAAAACCCACCAGAGTTTAGCATTTACTGTTTCCAAGTGCTTTTCTTGCTCAAAGTACTAAATAATACTAAAATCATTTAAAGATGACAGTTACCATTGCAACCAGGCATAATTTGTTTGTCCATAATTGACAGACAAAGAACTCACGTTTTCTGCTTATATCTAATATAACAAAAGCTCAGAGAATGATTCTGTGAGTCATGGAATTTTGCAACTTTATTAAATTTTAAATAGGAAATCAGTGAAGGCCTAGAGATGAAAAATATCTGAAGCAGCAAATGGCATGTATAGAATTAATAAATTGTCATGCTACTCAGTGTATTTGTTTAGAGAGTAGCTATGCTAACTAGGAAAGTGCACTCGAAACATCCTCTGATTAGAAGACTACCTAGTGACTATTTGCCAATACCTCTAATTCCTGCTGGTAATCGAAAATAGATGTCTAACATGGAAATTTAAAGAGAAGGATTGAGAATATATACAGAGCCGTAAGATATTGCATACATTTCATGAAATAAGAAAAAAAAAAGAAAATTAGTTTTGAAAAGAAAAAATTAATTGTGCTTTCAATTGCTTCTATAGATCAGTTATGATGAAATAAAACAGATTTTAATGAAATAAACATTTTGTCTACCATAAGTGTCAGTCAAATTAGAGCCTATCGGTTTGTAATAACTTGGAAAGTAAGTTCAGAATAAATATCTGAGACATTGTCTCTATCCTAGAGTTATTTTTTAATGTATTTATTCATCCATTCATCCCCCAACAATGTAATGAATATCCTTGGTGCAAAGCAAG
Organism: Homo sapiens; assembly: GCF_000001405.40. Taxonomy (NCBI): domain Eukaryota; kingdom Metazoa; phylum Chordata; class Mammalia; order Primates; family Hominidae; genus Homo; species Homo sapiens. Next base: position 47,424,628 of record NC_000015.10, read on the forward strand.
TGGTAGAGCGTCAGAAATCTGAAAATAAAAATCAGAGCTAGGTCCTACTGATGTAGGTAGAATAAGTTTGAATAAGATATATGAATTGTGGGGGCAAAGGGAATTTTTCCCTTCCACTTCTGAAGGTTCAAGTCTTCTGAGATAAACTGACAATAGATTAACAGGAGCAAAAGCATACAAATTGATTAATGTGAACGTGTGCATGGGAGTCATACAAAATATGAGACTCAAAAGGGCCAGTTGGTTGAGGCTTACATAGCCTCTTAATCTGGGAGAGGGAGGTGGGAGATGCAGGCAATTTTGAAGGGTAGTAAATGATTTTTAGGGGAGTCAAATGAGCCCCAAAAGCAGAAAATGGTCTGGGACAAGGTTCCTCTGAGCTCTGGAGGTGATGGCAACCAGTTTTGGAAAGGTGAGGGGTGAAACTGCACTGTGAACTTGTCTTATTATGCAGATAAAGTTTTCCAGGCCATCTCCCGGAGCTTCCCTCAGAGGAATCATTGAAAAGTCTGTCATATTGTGGTGATGACTTTTAGTCTTTTCTCTTCTCTGGTGGGTAATCCTTCCCTGGTTATTTAGTGAAATTCTTAATGAGGAAGTTTCAAGACAATTACATTATTTTGGGGGAGGAAAAAGTTTCCTCAGCGAGATAGGGGAGCTTTTCGAGTGATCCCCTATCTGCAGTTGGTGAGTGAGAAGAGAAACCTGAGACAGAAAGTCCCTGATTCTGAGGCTGCCTCTAAGACCTTTTAATTAATTATTTATTTTTATTTATTTTTAGTTCTAAGTGCTCAGCAAGCCAAAGCACCATACTTTGGGGTATTGCTTTCTGACCCCCAACAGAATCCTATGTTTGATCCATGTTGGCCTACAAGGCTAATGGGCTAATCAAGGACACCCTCAAAAGGAACATTAATTCCTTGTACTGTGCTTTAGCTTTTTTACCCCTTGGAATAATACTGCTGTGGTTTTATATGCCACACCTTCTTCTTAAATGCAACTGAAATTTGTTTCACTGTGCCTAAATGGTATTTAAGATACTTTCTTTTTTTTTTTTTTTTGAGACAGAGTTTCACTCTGTTACCCGGGCTGGAGTGCGGTGGCATGATATCAGCTCACTGCAACCTCCGCCTCCCAGGTTCAAGCGAGGTAAAGCGAGGTAAAGGTACCTTTTCCTCCATTTTCAAATTTTCACAGAATCTGGGGACACTTTTAGGACTGGAAACAAATTTATTCTCTTCCATTTATGATCTAAAGTCTCCCTTCTAATTTTCCAGCCTAATAAACACCTGTTCTAATTACTTTTAATCATTTTCTGCTGGAGATTTTGTGTGTGTATTGGCTATAGGCAGGTGTTTTGTAATAATTAGGGGAAATAGCCTGTAAGACACTCCTTAGTTATGCTCTATATACTAATAAATGCTACTTTTTCTATTTGTCTCATGTCTTGAAAGCCTTTTGTGTGAATTTTTGATAGGTTTCCAAATTCTACAAAAATATACACATGGATTTTGTATTACTTAGGATCTTAGTGCAAGAGTTTTTTTAATTTATGTTTTTAGAGATGAGATCTCACTATGTTGCCCAGGCTACCTTTGAATGCCTAGGTTCAAGCGATACTCTTGCCTTAGCTTCATGTGGCTGGTACTACAGGCATGTACCACCATGCATGGCTTTGGTGCTAGAGTTTTGTTATTTTGTTCTGTTTTATTTGATATTGTTGTCTAATGGGTCCTCGTTTTATCACAAGAACCTGCAGAGCTTCTGATGCAGAGCAAAACAGAATAGTTTTGATCATCAGTACCCTGCAGGCAAGTATTAGGATTAATTGAATCACCTGTCTTCTAGTCCGACATTGTGGGGTACGTGAGGATGCGGTCTTTATATAGGGAAGGATAGGGCCTTAGAACCATTGCTAGTAAAATCTTTTGTCCCAAGAGCTGCTAGTTTAAAAGCACAGGAATACAGAAGGAAAGATTTGAAGATAGATTTTGGTCTTTTATTTACATTTTCATTATCATATAATAGCACATCCCTGATGCGTACTCCCTACAGGGTATAGAAACTCAAACTCTTTCTCTCACACACATACATATATAATACCAAATATTTTTCCCCCAAGTAAAGCCCAATGCTAGAAAGGACTAGTTTTGAATATGTTTTATAATATCCTAAGGGCTGCTGTGAATTTTTATTCTTGTTACAATTGTGGTAATGAACTGTATAAATTACACAGTTTTTGTCTGCCAGATGCAAGTCATAAATCTGAAGAGAATATTTTCTGTTAAAAAGACATAATGATCATTTTACTGATAGAGTTTAAATGGTAGAAATCACATGCTTCTTTATATGGGTTAAACTATTGTAAAAAGGAATGAATAAGTCAGGTACCAAATGCAATTTCAAACACCAGTAGGGTGTTATAAGACGTATTTGCATTTTCTTTTGTGATTGTATTGAAGTAAGGTTCATTTACAGTGATAGCATCATTTAATTTCATTTAAAGACATGACATTGCAAGTATCCATAATATGAACAACTTTAATGGGGAGAAAGGAGGCACTGATGGAGATCAGCATTGCCCATCCTGTGTGTTCTAGGACACAAACTGCAGAAGGTGTTGATCAATAGAGTGATCCCTTGGTCACATAAGTTTGAGAAACACTGCACACAAACCTGCTGTATAGTGCATACTCCACAGCCACTAGGTCTGGGAGATGCTATGCACTCATGTACAGTCACAGCATGCAACCATGCACAGCAGCAGGTTAAATGCGCTGAGAAATATTACATTTTAACATGTTTTAGCTTATTACACTCCTTTTCATTCTGTCACATTTTATAACAGCCCATGGAATTATGATTCAGTGGAAAATTCTTTGGAAAATCTTGATCTCAGAAATACTATCTTTTATATCTTAAATGAATTTATTTCAAAAAAGAAATGTACACTTGGGAAAGGTCACTGGGTGTGACATTACAAATATTTGCTAAATATGTGACCTTGGGGATACCATTTAAACTTGCTGTGAAGTGGAAATAATGTTATCTTCTCTAACTCACAGTGAGTCATTGAATCCAAAGTCTAAAAGAGATAGTGCTTTTATAAGCCTTTTGTAATCCATGAAGCACTCTCATTTGTGGTATTTATCCTTATCGTTATTGTTATTAACTTTAAGAGTTCTGCCCCAGAAGTAGTGAAGAAATTCTTATTTATCCTATTGGAACCCTTCTTGATTTCCTAAACTCCCTTACCAAAGTTCTCTTACTCTCTCTTTCTCTGAGGAGCCTGAGAAATTGTATATTCTTCTTAGGGAAAAGATAAATAGAATGGGGTATACGAAACAAGATAATCTAATAAATTTCTTTCAGACAAATTACTTTGAAATAGCTCACCAGAAAATGTGCAAGATTTAGGTGTTTCATCATGTTATGCAAGAGATCTATGCTTAAAAAATGTAAAAAAAGAGAGAAGAAGCTGAACATTATTAATAACAACAATATATAGATAAATTTAGGTGTAAAATGGTCCATCTACCTGCTCATATTGCAATAGAGGCAAAGATAAATAAATCAACCACTGAGAATTTATTTAGCACATATTATATACCCAGCACCACGACATATAAAGAGAAAAGAATAATGAGTTTATGTTGATCAAAGGTTTTACAAGCCCATTGTAGGGCTAATATGAACACGTAGTGTAAATATACATCAATCAACTCCAGCTTTGCAGAAGACCAGAGTATTTTTAATTATAACCATGTACTGCAGTTCCAAGAACAAAAGAAGTTCTAAGGATGGAGAGGTAAAAAAGTATTTAGGCGCAGATCTACCCTTAAAAGTGGGTAAAATGGGGCAAGGTGCAGTGGGTCACACCTGTAATCCCAGCACTTTAGGATTTAGGAGGCCAAGGTAGGTGGATTGCTTGAGGTCAAGAGTTCAAGACCAACATGGCCAACAGGAGGAAGCCCTGTCTCTACTGAAAATAAAAAAGATACCTGGCCATGATGGTGCCGGCCTGGAATCTCAGCTACTCAGGTGGCTGAGGCACAAGAGTCACTTGAACCTGGGAGGTGGAGGTTGCAGTGAGCTGAGATTGCACCACTGCACTCCAGCCTGGGTAAGACTCTGTCAAGGAAAAAAAAAAGTGGGTAAGATGGGTTTCTTATGATTTTTGTCTCCCTGGCAATTGGTATTTACGTACCTTGTGTATTGTCAATACTCAGGTACTCAATACAAATGTGTTATGTAATTGGATAAATAGAAAAGAAAAGAAGTGGAAAGAAGGAAGGGAAGAGGAGGAAGAGAGGGAGGGAGGAAAGAAGCAAGGAAGGGCCGAAAGAAGGAGGGAGGAAAGAAGAAAGGGAGGGAGGGAGGAAGGAATGAAGGAAGGAAGGAAGGAAAAGGACAGGAGGAAAGGAAATTCCAGTAAAATAGGGCATCCCACTAAGACCACAGCAAGTACTAGTGAGTGTAAGGCTTCCTGAGAAGAGAGGTGTGTGAGTTGCCTGCCCAACACCCAGATGCAGGTACCTAGAGGGAATAACGATACCATGCAGAGAGCACCAGAGTTATCATTAGAAGTTATAGGCTGGCCAACTCCTGGCTCTGCTGCTTACTACCTGTGTGACCTCAGATAAGTTGCTTAAATTTTCCGAGTCCTCTTATACAATGAGGTGCTTTCTTTTTAGCATTCTTGTAAGAATTAAAAAAGGTTTGGGAAGTTAGTAAAATGTTAGGCAGCTGTGAGATAACATTGTTATTACATATGGAAATGAGATGAAGCTCCAAGAGGTCATGAAGTAAGGAATCTAGCCATTCTTTCAAAAATCTGGAGTAAATTGCTAAGAGGGATTTTATCTGACTTAGGTTTGCAATATCTTTGAGCGTATTGTGTTATCACCCTATTGCATATTTGGTGGTAAGGCAACAGAACACCAACAAAATTATGCATTGACCATAAGCACTTGGCTCTCCAGCCACCAACTGCCTGGGAAGGAATGCAGTGGGGCAGATGGTATTTTTCTGAATCAACTATTATTATATAGTGTGGTTAAGGCCACTGTGCTCTGTCCTGTCAAAGTCCACTGATGATTAAAATGGTTCAAGAGTATTTAAAGATAATATATATATTTTTTAAAAAATGTCTGTTCTTGTCTGTGGGAGTTTTGAAGTTTTCAGAGTTTTTGTGATCAACTTAGTTGACCTTCTTCAATGACTAGAAAATTACAGTTTGGGGACCTCAGTAGCAACTGAGTGGCCACCTGTGAAAAGTTTCTCTTACCTTCTTGCACCTTTAAATGATGTAACACAGACCAAGCATCTTATATGTTGGTTTGGAGTTCATCCACTATAAGGCACCAATACAACTACATCTGAAAGTAAGAGGCTCTTCCTATGTGCTTTCCAACCTGATTCAGCAGTGATTCCCTTGAGTACTCAGAGGTACCAGAACTTTCTCAGAGTGAGGGAAAATAATAAAAATGCAGTATGCCAGCCACTCTTGGACTTTAGCATTAATTCCTTACACATCCTTCTTTTTTTCCCACTTCACATCATTCCCCCAAAAATCTCCTCCTTAGTAGGGAAAACCATTTTCCCTGCTGTAGAGAAAAAAAGAGAATTCCTTTTTGTTAGCATAGGAATCTACCACAAAGGAGGAGGGAAACACTCCTGTTTTTCCTTGGGGACCATTTTTATTTGCATGGTTGCTGCAAACTCTGTCCCTTTCTTGATGTGGGTTTGCCTTTTGTCTGTGATCATCCAGGGAGTTTTTTTTTCCTTCTTTGGCATCTTATCAGACTGGGGGCAGGTCTGGGAAAAATAATTGTGCTTCCTCAAAAATAAAATATATATTTTTTACTCAGGTAGATGAAAGGGCAGAAACATAGGCACAGAGACAGGCTAATGTGGGCTGGGTCTCCTGGGTGGCAAGTCACATTGTTCAGTGTCTGCACCTGGAAATACTAAGACAGACCAGACAGACAGGAAGAAAACTTGAAAAGTGACCAAAACGAAAGAGCATATGTTTCCTTTCAATGTTATAACTTGCCACCCTGCCCCCATTTCTACTCCATTCCCCCACAGGCCCAAGGTAATGTCTCAAAGTCCAGGCGTCATCTCATGGAGAAACTACCAAGACCAAGTCAAATGCTACCACCCCTCCTCACTCTTTACCATCCCTCTACCATTTCAGCGGTGTAGCCTCTTAGTTGAGGTGGGATGGAGGTGATGAATTGCAGGAGCAAGGCTTCTCATCTGGGAAGCCCAGGTAAGCCCAGCAAAACTCAGATGGTCATGAGCCCTAGCCACGGAGTTCTTTTGTGAGGCAAGTCATAGCAGCCAGTCCCCTGGATCATAGATGGTGGCCATTTCTATAGCTATCAATAAAACTCACAAACTCTAGATAAATTACACTCTCTTGTTGATTCAAATAAGATTTTTTTCTCATTTAGATTGAAATAAATTTTTACTTTTGTTTTTCAAAGAACAGACATGAAAACTATTGGGCTCATGGTCTCATTTTTGAGGATGGATGGCTATTTGTATGCAAGGTATATAATAATGTGAGTCTTAAGATTTCTCTTTGTAATATTTGATTTAAGGGACTTTTATCATACAATTGAATATCATTTTTATTTTGTTTATTAAATTAAATAATAAACCAAATAAAATATGTTTAGAAACATGCCCTTCAAATTAACACCTCAAAGCACAATTTGAGCATAACACTGTAGTTTAAACAGTTCCCTTCCCATTTCAAACATTACCTGGAGACTAAATAGCTTCAAACCCAAATCTTTACCCCTTTTTCTGTATCCTCATTATGAACATAATTTTCTCTCTGTAACTCTTCCCACTATTCAACAAACCTACATCCTCCCGCAGTGATTCCAGATTTTTCACTAACCACACCTTCTTGGTAGACATAGATGGAGTTGTGGGCTGGAGATAGGGTTGACTGGCAGAACTGCCACTATGGACAGCAGGAACACTGTTTGGTCATTGGCCCTTGAGGTCTAGCATGTGCATATGAGTGAATCAGGCTGGTCCCAATTCCAAGGCCACCCACAAAAATGCTTCCTGTGTGATCTGTTTTGAATGCCTTCTCTTGATTCACATGCACGAAAGAAATGCACAGTTTAGACTTCAGATACAGTACAGTTGAAAATGCTCGTGACATCATGCCTTATGTGACTAAAAGATATCTTAGTGTTTCTGTTGAAACAAAGATAATAATTATAAATAAGCCTCTTATTTATTTCATAAGTGTCTTCTGTGTATGCACAAGCCTTTGCATTCATTGAGACAACCTGGAAATGTGATAGATGTATCAATGGTTTCTTTTTATTCTTCTAAATATCCACCCCCAACCACCCGCAATGTTACATGGCTGGGCTGGGGTGATGTTCCAGGGCATCAAGCAATGTGTGAGGCACTGAGATCTAAAAAGATATTTTCTTTTTTAAGAGGAGAGCTATGTGTTCACAAAATCATTAGTGAACCCTAAAAGAGCCAAGAGCAACTTCAGACCTGTTAATACTCACACTGAAAATAAATGGCAGGTCAGACAATGTCCATGCCATAAAACTATGTAGATATGATTCTTATGTCTTCTGTCTTTGTAACATAGAGATAAGAAGAGAGAGTAGGAGCAAAAAGTGCTTTCCTGAATAAACATGATTTATAAATATGGTTCGATAGAAACACATGAAAAGTAAATTTTGTTGAGACTGGTGAAATTTTAGAAGGGGAAACAATTTTCTTATTAAAACCTAATTGTTCTCTGATTCTTTCTCTCCTTCTCTTCACCCTGTTTCTCTTTTTCTTTCCATAAACACACACATTTATTTCTATATATATATATACACACACACAAACATACATATGCATATATACATACACATATGTGTTATGTGTATATACATATACGCATATGTATATACATATACAGCTATATGCATATGTATATACATATACACACACAATTAGTAAGTACTCAGCCCAAAAAAGAAAAAAAATGGCAAAGTGACTTGACTTGGTCTGAGAAGAAACAGAACAGGCAACTGAGCTGAAAAGACCATGTGACCACACTTGAGATGAAAAAGCAACTCTATAATTAACCACTCCTAATTATGATCTGAGCATCACTTAGGAGAACCACTGTGTGGAAAAACTAAAAGTGCAAATGATTAAATGTATGTCATTTTTGCTTTGGTGAGAAGTGTGCATTTTTAAGATGTAAAAATTATTTTTCAAACTAAAATAAACTACACTGTCAGTAATTCATCAAAAACTTAATGAGCTTTTTTCTTCTTAAAGATTGGGTAAAATGATTTTATTACTTGTGAAGGAATCCTTCCCATATTTATAGGTTACTCAAAAATTTTGACTAATTCCACAAAAATTTCCTGAGGCTTTGTGGCAGACAGTGTGCTAAGTGCTGATAAATAGTGGTATATTCCTCCTTATAAGCTGTCTATAGACTATAAGCTATATTTACCAATTTTGATAAATGCTATTGGTTCTTTCTAGACATTGTCACTTTCTTCTTAATTATGTTGTTAATTTCTGTTGCTGAGCTCTTTCCATAGACAACGCAAACATAAACTTGAATTGGGCTCTTCAATTATTTGTTACTGGAATACTAATAAAAGGTTGTACATTTATTGATCTAGAGGCATTATCGCCAAGTATTTATATATTTATATATTTATATATTAGACATATATCCAAGTATGCCATTATAAAATGTGTCTTCTAAACAACAGATGCAGAATAACAGCAATAAAAACCACAGTAGAGACTTCAATGACTTTTCATTAACCAGTCAACCTCTCCAGCTAAACTATGATTTTGCTTCAAAAGAATAGCAGGTTTTAGATTTCAATAAAAATTGACCCCTTGTAGAGATGTTTATGTGACTATTACATTTAATTTATTTTTTGCTTTATTTTATCAGAATCTTTTTCTGCCAAACATTGCAATTCAATGTTTTATAGATCACACATTCTGAGACCGAGTTTTAGTTGAGGTTAGTGATTAATTTGAAAAATAAACTCACTGAAGTTGCAGAGTATGGGAGATACCTGATTTATAGATATAGAAAAACACCACCAAAACTTTGGAATTCCTGGATAACTCTTAGTCTCTTTCCAAAGCACAATGGGGTAAACAGAAAATATGGCTTAAATGTCACATTCGGTTCAATTATAAGATGTGGAAGAGATTAAGATAAAGAAATAATCAGTAATAGAAGCATCATCTTCTAACCAGAGATTCCTTATGCATTTGAAAATATAAACTATGAGATGGACTTTCAGTAACTACATCTACATACTGAATATTAAGGTTTTCAGCAAGAAGTAAGTTTTCATCATCTGAATAAATTCCAAAAGTTGGCTAAAATCATAAGTGGTGGTGTTGAGGTGGCAGAGAAAAAATGAGAAGGCCACAATGACAACCATCTAAGTAAGAGATGTTGAGGCCTCCACTGAAAGAGAGTCAGTGTTATTAGAAAGTGAGAAACAGTGTGCAGTAGCATTGGACAGAGTGAATCGATTTGGAGGCTGAGGGAGAAAGGGAAGAACAAGGTAACTGTGTGGTTCAAGCCTGGTGATAAATACTGAAAAAACGGACAGAAATGAGCAGGAAGGAAGCAGTTTGGAAAGAGGGGTTTAATCCTGTTGAAATGGGTGCATTCTGGGTCATGCAGATTGGAATATTCAGTAGGTTGATGGTGATACAGAATTGAAGCGGAGGGAGGAGGATCCTGGCTCTAAAGAAGTGAGCTATCTGAGTCAAAGCAGATATTTTTTTTCTTCTTCCACCCTCCATTCTCTCTTTTCTTGCTACATGCTATCCTGACAGTTTTCTGCTGTTTTCCTTATTTTGGAAGCTTCCATGATCAGTGATATATAAACATAACTTTTTTTTCCTTCTCTGTCTTCAGAAACAGACTATAGGCAAGTGATACACTATTTGATGGAAGCTACTTTGTGAGTCAAGTCTGTATTTGATCCAATTTTGTATCCTACACAGCACATAAATAATGTCTAGTACATAGAATTCATTCTACAAATGGATAATGTGTGGTCCCACATGGCATAGCTCCTTCTGAATCATATGTGAGGACCCATTGACTAACCCATAATCAATCCAGGAATGAGACTTAGTGCACAAGAGGAATATGTGTGTTTATATCAGTGCGTTCTTTGTAAGAAATATGCCAGATGGGAAGAAAATGGGGCCGTCCTTTGACCTTGAAGAGGGACTAAACACAGCTGGTCATCAGAAACAACACACACTCACATACACACACATAGACCACAGTTCTTTGACAGCTTTCTCTTGATCCCAAAGGAAGATAATAAATGTTAAAAATAAATCACTGAATTGTAAATTCTTAAAAAATGGCCAGATTTTAAACTTAACCATGTTGGAAACATCACATTGGATTCGAATTTCAGTTTCTTTTTATACTATATTTTAACTTATTCTTCATAGATTTTGCAGTTAACAGTAGGTGGTGGGGAAGCTGGGCTTTTCTTGAAAGAACTTACTTGAAAACACCATTTTTTTGAATGGAGAAGGAAATATTCTAAACAACAGTCTAGAATTCCTGTGAGGTTGCTATTGTAAAAGCAGCCTGGTTTGTGAATCATCAATCCCTATCTTTGATTCTGTTATTTTCCAAATTGTTAGTAAAATAGAGTAGGTTCTCACTCTACTCTGTCACCATCTTCTGTAGCAAAATTTGGCTTCCTAGAATGGTGGAAACTCTGTTTTTCCTCCTTATGCCCTGTAATATACACTCTCAAAGGCCCTGATAAGAAACACTGACTTGCACATGGCAAGTCTAATGACATGTGGCTCCCTACCCAGTTGAGCCACGTTCACCATTTTCTGAGCTAAGGGAAGTCTGTGGCTGCTGTGTGCTGGCCCCTTGAAATGCTCCAGCTCAGTGTGGCCAATTCTGCTCTGGCTCTTGAGAGATGCAAGATGCATACTGTATTCTTTCTGGGTAGAGGCACTACTGACTGAGTTAAGTTTACCCTTTTCCCTTTCATTGAGAGCTTAGACATTTTTTAAAAAACTGTTTTTCATTGATTTCTTTATATACTTTAAAGAAAAATCATGTTTTGGGCCACTAAGACCCTATAGTCATATTATTGTGTTTCAGTTTCCTTAAAAATAAACAAAAAGATAGCATAGAAAGGACAAGTGCTTGTCAAATATTCCTTGTATTTCCCCATACTTTGTGGTTTAGTAGGGGCGATATGGTTTGCTTTGGACTATGGGCTGTGAAGGGAAGTGTCACTTTCAGGCTAAAGCAGTAAGAAATCCACACTTAATGAACCAGTCTCTCATCTTCTGAGGGGGTTGAGTGTTTCAGCACTTTGGTCTTTTGAATGACTCTATGGAGGAAAGCCCTCCACCATATTAGATATGTAGCACAAATTAAAAATTTGACTTTGGGCCGATTGCGGTGGCTCATGCCTGTAATTCCAAAACTTTGGGAGGCCGAGGCAGGTGGATCACCTGAGGTCAGGAGTTCCAGACCAGACTGGCCAACGTGGTGAAACTCCGTCTCTACTAAAAATACAAAAATTAGCTGGGTGTGGTGGCAGGCGCCTGTAATCCCAGCTATTTGGGAGGCTAAGGCAGGACCATCGCTTCAACCCAGGAAGCGGAGGTTGCAATGAGCTGAGATTATGCCATTGCACCCCAGCCTAGGCAACAAAAGTGAAAGTCTGTCTCACAAAAAAAAAAAAGAAAAAAGACTTTGGCTGTATTAATGTGCTGAGATTTGGGGTTGTTACCATGTCATTGTTAGCCTGACCTGACTAATACAAATAGTATTTGTGATGCTCTAATGACACTAAATTACTAATATATGTATATATATATTTTATATATTTATCTCAAGTAGAAGTTTAATGTTCTTAATTTTATGATGCAGAAAAAATGCTATGTAAAAATGATTACTTGGTGCCAACATTAAAGATGGATATTTTAGGCTGGGCATAGTGACTCATGCCTGTAATCCAAGCACTTTGGGAAGTCAAGGCCAAAGGATCCCTTGAGGCCAGGAGTTTGAAAACAGCCTGGGCAGTCCTATCTCTATTAAAAAAAAAAATATATATATATATATATAGCTGGAAGTGGTGGTGCATGCCTATAGTCCTAGCTACTCAAGAGGCTGAGGTGGGGGGATCACTTAAACCCAGAAGGTTGAGGTTGCAGTGAGCTGCAATTGTGCCACTGCACTCCAGCCTGGGTGACAAAGCAAGATTCTGTTTCAGAAAAAAAAAAATAAAAGAAGAAAGGAAGGAGGCAGGGAAAGGAAGAGAAGGGAAGGGGAGGGGAGGGGAGGGAAAGAAAAGAAAGAAAGAGAGAAGGGAGGGTAGGGAGGGGAGGGGATGGGAAGGGGAGGGGAGGGGAGATAGAAGAGAGGATGGTTTGGTTGTCTGTCTCTCACTGACACTAAAAAGAAGTTTCCATTCCTCACCATGAAAAAGAAGTTTCCAATGGTTCCTTTAGTCAAATATCTCCTTAGCCAATTGCTGTCTTGTGCCTAATCCAAATTGTATTATGTGCCCATTCAGATTATCAAAAGGAACATCTAGCCTTCTTATAGGCTTGGAAAGTTCACAGTGATCTTTAGGGCAAGGGTCATGTCTTATGATGTTTTTACTCCCATCACTAAGAAAACCTGTGATTTTCAGTAGGCAGTAATAAAGTTTACTGTTAAATGAATGAATGTATCAAAATTATTAGTCATCTACAAGCATGTCAGAAAAGTTTTTGAATACTCAGTTCCTGCTGGACTGAAAATAAATTGTGTAAATTTTCCTCAGAACACTTGCCTACATAATATTAATCCTTTTCCTTCATCCCAAATCATTCCCCACCCACAACAGTCTGAAATTAGCAAAGGAATTAAGCAGTATCTGGTTAGTTAAACTGTGAAAAGAAGTGTCTCTCACCTTAGATACCAACCTCCTGGACTGGCCCTTAATCACTGTCATTTTCTCTGACTAAAGGAGAACCTCCTTCAGGAGACCTGTGCAGCATTGATTTGTCTGAGTCATAGCCTGGTGCAGGTGATTCAGCTAATTTGCTATAATTACAAATTTTCTTTTCCTAGAGGTAACACTCAATAAAAACCTTGGGCTCTCTCTCTCATGTTTGTCTTGAAAGCACCAAAAATAACCCCTTAAAATTATTTTATTCATGAGCCTGTTATAGAAATTTTCTTTCTTATTTGGTACCTTGCTGCGACTTAAGTTTCTGGCAAAATCTGGGATGAATTGATGTGTGTGGTGGAGGGAGTTATAAAGGTAGTGTCATTCTTGGGACTTCCAATTTATAACTGCTACCAGATTTGGTTGTGTGACTGAATTGTTGGACTTCACATGTTCTAAAGTGAATTTCCGATATTTCCCACAAAGGTTATTCAGCTTGTAGTATTCATCATCTTAACTGCTCACACCCAAACTTCTTGGAGTTATCCTTGACACCTCTCTTCTTTCACATCTCACATCTCATCTATCAGAAAATCCTATTGACTCCATATTCAGAATATATACTGAAACCTCCCACTTCTCATGGCTTCCATTGCACCACTCTGGTACAGGCTACCATCATCTCTTGATTGTAATAGCCTCCTAAGTCATCGCTCTTCTTTGTCTCATGATCTCCTAGAACCCATCTCAACACAGCAGCCACAGTGATCTTTTAAACTATAGATCAGATATTACTACTTCTCTACTGAAAATCCCCATGATAGAGTTTCACCTTGCACACAGTAAAAGCCAACATCCGTGTAACAGCCCACTTTATCCTATGAGATTTGACTCTTTGTTACCCATCTCTTCTCCTCCCCTAAAATCTCCCACCCCCTATTCACTATGCTACAGATCATTAGTTTCCTTCTTGTTCCTGAAACCCACCTTACATGGCTTCTGCCCCAGGATCTTGGCAGTTGCTGTCCTTCTGGTTATGTTCTTTCCACAGATGGCTAGCTCCCTCATCTCCTATAGGTTTGCTCAGATATCACCCTAATGGGCCTGCCATGATCTTTTGCACCTGCCCCTTCCCTGGGTATGCTTATTTCTGCTTGTTCAGGTAATTTTCTCCTTCATTTTATTTATTATTTGTTTTTCCTTCTAGAATTTAAACTCCATGCGGGAGAGAGGTTTTTGATTTGGCTCACGATTGTATCCCAAATGTCTGGAACAGAATCTGTCGCACAACAGATGCACAATCAATATTTAGTGAACAAATGAATTTTATACGGCGCAATCTCCCAGCAAATACCTTGCAGCTGGTAAACAGTTGGTATGGTGGGATGACATTTGAGGGAAGAGCAGAAGGAGAAAGAATGAAGACATTTGAGTTCACCAGCTAAAAGAAATAACCTGAAAAGTCATCTGGGAACCATAGCTTTTGTGAATTTTTAATTTCTGATTTTTGTGCAATGAAGTAAGAAGGGAATCCCCTTGTATTCTTCACATATTATAATTAGAGCATGTTGCCAATTAATGTGAGCATATACCCAGAAATTTATTTCATTAGCAATGTTTTATTTTTGTAACCAAACAATAGCTATGTGCCAATAAGTGAGTAGTTTGTGTACATATTTAACAAAGTTTGTGAGTCAGCTCAATTCTATTTTTAAAAGCGTATATAAACTCAATACTTACAGTCTCCGTATTTATACAGATCAGGCCCTTAGAAGTCTTTAATTATAAGATACTCAAGATTCTATACTTCTGTTTATATAGTTACTAGAAACAACTGATACAATTTGGCCTGAGCTGTGCCAACACTATAATTTTGAATGTACTTTCTTCTCTGGGTGTGTGAACTCTCCTTTACAGAGAGAATTTATCATGTGACCTAAGTGATGATATGATCTGCACAATATCCTCTGGGCCATGGTGTATCTTTTCATTACAGGCTTTTCTGTGTGGGATTTCTCATTCACTTTGCAAAGGCAGAGCTGAAAGCAGACAGTGTATTATTGACTAAGTGCTGATGCTATTCTCACAGCTGAACACTTTATACCTAATTTCCACCCTGTGGGTTTAGAGGCCAAGTTAAGCAGACAATAACAATCAGATGAAAAGTAACTTGAGGTCTCAAGAAAGCCAGACTCACTTAAATTTGTAAAAAATCCTTCACTGGGATACTGCAAAAAATTTTTCCAGAAGATCACAACTGCCAAGAGGAATTTGAACACATGGTAGTTTCATTTGAAAAGCATTTCAGGCACTAAAGGAAAAACAGGAAAAAAATACAATGCATCTGAGACATAGTCCAAGTGACAGGAAATGTCAGCCTCCAACATTTATGGAGCACATATTTTAGGTTGAGTTCGGAAGGTTACATAAAAGCAAGTGGCTCGCATGCCGGAAGAGTTGAACTTGGGAGAGCAAAAAGAAGGATGGAAACCAGGGAGGCTATGAATATGCCAAGACAGTTGTGCACGTGTTAGAGACTGGATGAAAGCAGTGGTTTTAGAAATAGAGGGAGGAACGTGTCTAAGACATATGAGCAAGAGAGAAATACAGGGACTTGGCAGAATGAAGAAATGAAAGAGAGAACTCAAAAGATGGCTTCCATGAGTTAGGACACAGGAGGCAAGAGATTATCCTCACCATCAGTAAAGCCAAACAAAATGACAGTGGGCATTGCAGCAAATCGGGGATAGGGATTTTAGGATGAGCTTGGCTGTGGTTATATTTAACTAGTTATTGGCAAGAAATCTGTGTGACAAAAAGCTATAGTCAGTAAGAAATACTGGGCTGAGGGTTGCCTTAGTAGAGTCAGATGCAAGCGTGTTTTTAGTGGTGGTTGTTAGCTGGAAAGGAACAGAGCCCTGGGGAAAGAACACAAGACCCCCAGCTAAACTTCAGAAGAGAACTGCCATTCATGCATGAGGGAGATGGAAGGACCACTTTTCAGGATCAAATTAGAAAGAAAAACAAATATTCAGTGGTGCTGAAGATAAAGTTAAAAAAAAAAAGACGGGTGTTGAATGATGACTTAACATAGAAGCGACTGAATTCAGGAACAGAATAGAGGATTTTGTGTTGGTCAATAAGAAATGCAGCCAGGTTGCCTGGATGAAAAACATTAGTGGTAAGGACATGAAGGCAATTTAGAATATATGCATTCGAATAGTTTAGCACATAGAAAGGAAACAAGAAAATGAGAATTGTGACACATTTTTATGGAATCTGCTGGAGAATCTGTTGCTAGGATTTATATTTATAATTCTTTCTTTGACCTTTAGGAGACCAAACACTACAATCAGGCTCATCTGTTTGTCCTCACCTTGTGTGTAACTTGCTCCTTCTTCCTTTTGCCTTTGAAATGTTACCATTCCCCTGACATTCCGCTTGACACTTAACCTTACCATGGCAGCATTGTGAGGTTAATCTTAAATCGTGTCCTTAAACACTCACTTTGCATACTATTTTGTATCTCTTTATGAGTCTCTTTTGGTCTTTCTTATGTTTATTTGAACTGTGTCACCTAAATAGATCACCTGTCCTTCCAGACAAGTGTTGCCAGTTCCTGACCAAACATTTCTAATTCCAAAAACATGTTCTTCATCTTGTCATTGACATTTAATGAAAAAATACCATCTGGAAGGTGAAAGACAAGTTAAACAGAGAAGTAAATAATGCTGGGGAGAAACCAAAGTGGACAGAAGTCAAAAGTAAAAATAAATTTGTAATGTAAGTTGGGAGGGTAGGAACAAGGTGTATTGAGAAATGACAAAATGGAGTGTTCCTGCTAACAACAAGCAAGACAAATGATATGTTTATGACTGTAAAAGAATGTAGACACAATTTCATTTATACAATAGCTTGATGTACCATTTGTCTTCTAAATGTTTACAGGCAGGAGTTTCAAAATACACAGTAGTCTTTTCAGCCATAGATGCTGCATAAGTTTTGGCAACAGCAGATCCCAGTTTTCTGAGAAGAACTGGCCTTAGAAGATTCCAATATACTGAAATGTTTTATGGAATCATAATCAATACATTTTATTTTTTTAATGAGGTTGATTTGAATGTGTTTCCAACCATAATATTGTATGAATATCTGTTAATATGAAGCCATTCATCCAAGAAGTGGAGCAGAGAAAGCATTTGTAGCCTGTAGATGGCTGATTTCCACGTGGTTATTTGGGTCAGGATGGATGGAGTGTGAGTGGGTGACTGCCACATCTCTACACTCAGAGATCTCCTGTAACCTCAAATTCCTTAGTTCATTATTGATATTATTATAACTCAATGAGATAATTAAGCAGGTTTTTAATCCATGAATCATGAGCACTTTCTAGCAAGTTTACCACACCTCCTTCATCATATACAATTTCTAATGTTATAAAGGCAGCTAAATTCATTCTAATTTCATTCAGTATATTATAATTAGAGTAAATAGCTTGGGGAAAGATTTTGAATGCCTATCAAACCTTGTTTGTGTTCACAATACATTGACAATATTTCCACTCAAGTGTTTAAAATCCATTAATAATATTCCTTATATGGTGCACATCAAATTTTGTGAGTCCCCACTATTTCCAAGATGTGTGACCTACTTGCCAATCCTTGAGACACTTAGATCCTTCACCCTCCTTTTCCTATGTGGGGCAGTGGGCTATAACCACCCTTGAGAAAGATACCTTCCATGATGTACAGAAAGGGGAGACTTGGCTGCCTCTTCTTTCTTTTTTGGCATGGACAATTTTATATCTGTTCTATAATGCTAAGTAGGAAGGAACTTTAGCCTGCATTTGGGGATCCTGAGTCCTTATTCATGCTCACTGCCACCAGCTAGTCATATGACCTATACCATTTGATTCCATGGGTCTCTCTCTTTCCTCATAATGACTGAGGGTAATGTCTGCGTTAGATAGCTGTAGTATAAACAGCAACATCTGTGGATGTGCTTCTCACAGTTTAAAGTTGTAAATATTATGTTGACATTGTTTGGGTTACTAGCCATCTTCCAGACTGGAAAGTGCTATACAAGTCCATATTACTGTTATTTGCTCAGATCTGGAATGCCTGGGTTGGAAGTGCATTTGCCATGGTCTTTCTGGCATGGCCTCCTTTTCAGTGCACCATGACAGAGTCACCTTTTGTGGGTGTTGATTCTTTGTATAGAAAAAGGCTTTGTTGTAAAATAGAGAAAAGCTTGCTGCTACTCATAGTATCCTAAAATCTATAGATTTCTATGAATTTCAAATCAACTAGAAGTATTACTTATTGTCCCCTTCCCTCTAAGCCTTAAGTGTGTATACCAAATAGTATTCTCCAGAACCCAAACAGACAGGCAAATACTTCTCTAACCAGGAGTAGTTTCAGATTATTACAAGAGAGAGCACCAACTAGAAAATTAGCCTTCTGCCAGTGAGGGCAGGAAAATGCATTCCAATTTAGCAAATTAAAATGATTTCTATCACATGGAATGTAATGATAGATATGTCACCTTGTGGCAGATGGTAGTTTCCAAAAAAACTTTATAGCTACAACAATATCTCCTTATCCCTACACACCTCTCATTGAGAGGTAGAGTCTGTGTACCCTCTCTTTGAAACTTGGCAAGCTGTTACAACTGTGTTGGCCAATAGCAAATAGTTGAAATGACTTTTGAGGCTAGGTTGTAAGATGCAATGCAGTTTCCACTTTGCTACCTGGGAGTAGCAAAACCTTGGGCTACTATTTAAATAGTCTGACTGCTCTGATCCCATCATGCTGCAAGGAAGTCCAAATTAACCCACATGGCATGACCATATAGAGGTCCCAAGACTACAACAACACAGAGCCATGCCCAGGCATCTCCCAGATGTTCTCACACCTGATGTCCCAGCTCCACTCACCATCTGACTGCAGCCTCATGAGAGACTCCAGCCAGAACCACCCAGCTAAGAGCTTCTTAAATCTCTAATTCTTACAAACCATGGGAGATAACAAAATGATTATTGTTTAAAGCCTCTTAATTTAGGGGGTGATTTTAGTGCAGTAATCAACAACTGGAATGCACTAGAAAATATCAAAGTAAGTGCAAAAATAACTTTTAAAGAGAAATTTTCATCAATATACAGTTACCAAACTTCAGCAACTTCAGAAGCCCCTTGGCTTTTTTGGGAAAAAGATATCAGGCTGTTTTGGGAAATTAATGAATTATGGCCACCTACCGTGGAAAACTGTCTTCTTGGCATATCTAACTAAGAACAGTATATTTTTCTAATAGCTCATCATCATTGCTAGACCAAAATAAGTGCAAAGGTTGCTAATAATAATGATAAACAAATTGATGATTTAGAAGACAGTCATGGTATCTTGGGGATGTGGTCAGAATCCTAACCAGTGAATCACCTACCTTTAGAGTAAGCCACCTGGCTAAAATGTGACTGAGTAGGCCATTGTCTCTTTCAACAACTACATCTTGGACTTTTTTCCCTGTGTCTATTTACCATCTGCAGGACACTGTGAGGAGCAAGTCATGAGAAGTATACAAAGTCTCATGGAGTTTATAATCATGTGCACATGCACATACACACCCACACACGCAGTTACTAACAATACAGAGGAGATTGTGTCCCCCAAATAAGTAGGACTGACAGGCTGTGGATATTCACAAAGGAGAAAGTTCATAATAGCTAAAATGGGCAAGGATGACTTTCAGTGGAGATGGGATATTTTAAGCCTGAAATAAAGTGCTAGGGAGTAAAGAATAGCTGAGAGTTTGGGATCAGCAGGTTTTCTTTAACTAAGTTAAGATCAGGCCCATGATGCCCGGATAAGATTTCAAGGATGAAGGCTGCTTTGCTCCCTCAGTCCTTTGAGTAAGTATCAGAAGGATATGTCATTACACAGATAATGGGGAAAATACTCAGTTGCATCCAGAATGAGCTAGACTAGTTTATTGCGAGAGAAATAAAATTACTCTAAGTCAGACAAAATTCCTGTTCAAATAATATTAAAAATTATAAAGATTTTCATCTTTTTGGTCACCATGTGCTCAAACCCCTTACAGGAATGGGAACACACAGACAGGCAAGTGAAAGAGCCAGAGCAAGCACTATGGGCTCCTGCCCCATGGTAGTGTCTAGGAGTGGGTGTCTGTAACTCCTGAAGCCCATGTGGGCATGTGTTACAGTGCACTCTTTTAGCTTTGCCATCCGCAGATAGCTTAAAGTTAACCAGCTCAGTGTCCTCTTGGTACCCAGGTCCTTGTCCAGCGTCCAGGAAAAATCAGGTCACACACGGACTTGAAGGATGAATGTGGGGGTTTTACTGAGCGGTGGAGGCAGCTCTCAGCTGGATGGATGGGGAGCTGGAAGGGGGATGGAGTGGGAAGATGATTTTCCCCTGGGGTTTGGCCATCCAGCAAACAATCTTCTCTCCAATCATCCCCAGCCAAACTCCTCTTGGGATTCAGACACTCCTTCTCTTCTCTCTGCTATGCCATTCTGCCATTCTTCTGCTCTCCTGTTTGTCTCTCTCCATGGAGCGTATGGTTTGTGGCTTATATAGGTACAGAAGAGGGGGGTGTGGTGGGTAAAAAGACAACTTTTGGGTGAGAAAAGAGGAATGCATGTTCTCACTGAGGGCCATGAGTTTCCAGGTTTGCTGGGGGACCTCTGCCGGGGAACCACCCTCTTCTACCCAGTATTTCCCTGTCTCCTGTGTGTATCAATTTGGTCGTAATGTTATCATTATATTATGATACTGTCCTTAAAGAAAACTTGTGGAAAATAGGGAAGAGAGAAAATAAACAATACATACCCATCATCCCACCACAGTAATACAGCAACTCTTCATTTTAACCTATCCCTGCTTGGGGCTTAACCATACCTACATCTGTTTCACACTGATAATTATGGTGTATATCAGTTTGAACTCTATACTTTTGATTTAACATAGAATTTTTCTTAGCACTAATTTTAGCCCCTGCATAATATTCCTTCTTTCTATGTGTTACCTATTGCTGAACCGTTCCCCTTTTATCAAATGTTTAGATTGTTTTCAGTTTAGTAAGAGGCTTTTTTTCACTTTTTATTTTTTACTATTCTAGTTTAAATTTTCAACTTAAAAAACATGGTATTTTAGAAGTCAAGGCATGTCCTCCCCCTCAGCATATGTTCATGTACCCCATTCACGCTCCATATCTGTGACAAATATCGCCACTTTCAAAAGGTTGTGTTCAAAATGTACGACAGCTCACCTCGGACGCAGTTACATCAGCCATGTGCTGGCAACACAACACAGATTGGGGGATGGGGCTTAAACCTAAAAGCACTTTGGACTCATGATAAATGCACAGTGATCACCTTTCTCTTCCCTTCCCCCTCAAGGAAAATGTGTAATCCTTGTGCAAAATAAAATAAATAGTTACGCATGACAGTTTTCATCCCTGCATGCACATTTCCTTCATTCTTCACCCACCTCTGTTCATGCTGCCCATCTGCCCTGGAAGGGCAGGCTTGCTCATCTACTTCCTCCAGACAGCCTGACCCCCACCCCCACTCCCACCCTGCTAGGTGGAACAGGGAGGCAATGATCACTTCTAAAAGAAGAGATGACGTCTTCTTAGTCACTGTAAGGATGACCTGGGAGAAAGGGCCACAAGCCTTGGGGGAAGCCAGCGCATACCAGTGGGGGGCTGGATGGGATGCTCTGTTCTTTGCGGGTCCCAAGGATGAATATGATTATATTTGTGTTAGTGCACATATTATTATGTTCTGTAATTGCATTGCTAAATTGTATGCATACACTATATAGAGAAATTATGCATACAATCCAGTTCTTCAACTAACAAGATAGAAGTTTAGACTTCTTAAAATAGGATCTACTAAAGCAAATGTATGTTTAAACTCTGGTGATCACTCACTATCATAATCCAGTGGCAGGCCTCAATCTGGTGTAAAGCGGGTGTTTAGTTACTAATAGTAATTCAGTAGTAAACTTCACAAATTGTTTATTTTTCTTTTCAATGTTATTTTAATAATAAATCTACCATGTTTGTTTGAAATCTGTCCTGCATCCTTCCGAAAGGGAAAGAAACAATGGAGGTACAGCTGGTGTGCTGGAAATTAAACAGAGCATCACCTACCTTAATTTTAACAGTGTTTCATGAAAGCTGTAAATGGGAATATCATATGTCATGTCTGTTGTAGCAAATTTGAGAACACTTTTAAAATGGCCAGCAAAGAGATAAGGTGAGTTCAGCAGGTCCAATGCATTATAAAATGTATTTCTCCTCTTAAAAACCTTCAGTGATTTCTGTTTGCGTGCAGGACAACATCCGGAAATCACGACATGACACATAGGGGCTTCCTAGGTCTTTTCCTTGCCTCATGCCTGGCCTCTTTCTGGAGCCTCATCCCTGGGCACACCCCTGCCATATCCATGCTGAAGGGCATTTGCCTCATTCATGGGCACGTGCTCTCCTCCAGTGGGATATCTTCCTGCTTTGACATCCTGGCACTGTGCCCAGCCTTCAAGATCCTCTCAGTTTTGTCAGCATCTCCTTTCTCAGAGAAACTGAGTATGATATTGTTTGGAATCTTCAAAGTGGTAGGTGTTGTTTTGTAGTCTAATGAGTTGACTGGTGGCTGGTAGTCCCTAGGCAGCTTCAAGGTGAGGACTGGCCAGGATTAGAGGGTCGTAACTTTCATCCCACCCCCAACCTCTGGGGAAGGAAGAGGGGCTGAAGGTTGAGTCTGTCACCAATGGCCAATGATTTAATCAATCATGCCTATGCAATGAAGCCCTCCATAAAAACCCAAAAGGACTGGGATTGGGGAGCTTGCCTATAGCTAAAGGGGTCTCCCAGGAAGATGAACAAGAACACATCCATCCTCCTGGGGGGTGGCACACCCCAACTCCACAGGGGCAGAAGCTCTTGTGCTCAGGACCCTTTCAGACATGGCCCTATATATTTCTTCATCTGGCTGTTTATTTGTATCCTCTAAAATATCCTATGCAATAAACTGATAAATGTAAGAGTTTCCCTGAGTTCTGTGAGCCATTTTAGCAAATTAATCAAACCCAAGGAGGGGGCAGTGGGAACCCCAATTTATTGCTGATTGGTTAGGAGCACAGGCAAAATAGCCTAGGGCTTGTGATCTGCATAGACGTGGTGCTCAGTCTTGTGAGACTAAGTCCTCAACCTGTGTGATTTGAAGCTACCTCCAGGTGGACATTGCCAGAATTGAATTGTATTGGAGGATGCCCAGCTGGTATCTGCTAAAGAAATGATTGCTCACTTGGTGTCTGTGGGAAAACCCTTACACATTTGGTCACAGAAGTTTTCTTTATTGATGGTTGTGGTACAACATCAGAGGAAAAGCAGTTTGGTTTTTCCAATATACTCACCCAGAAATCCACCCAATTACAACATACTTTGGAAGGTCACAGAGGCCACATTTGCTGATGGGTGTCCTGCCATTGGCTTTGCACAGGCTGGCTTGCTGCTGTTCATTGTGTTGTTTCTGCACTCACTTGTCACCTTCTATGGTTCTCCACTCCTTTGTACTTACCCCCAACCCAAATATTAATGCAATTGTACCACGACGCCTGGGCCGGGATCTTTGTTCATGCCTGTGTGACAATGAAATGGAGAAGAGCTGACTATTTTCCAGAAAAATAATCTCAGTATGACCTGGGCACAGCTGATCTGGTCCAAGACAGGAATAGAAATTGTCTTGTGAGGCTTCAGTGATTTGTGGCACGGCCTCAGTCATGCTTGGGAGGCCTGGTTATTGACACCTGATCCATTAGTGATGGGGCACACACTTTAACCAGTTAGACCTTGGAGGAATAATGCCTGATCCATCACTTATTTCTCAACCTGGCACCTTGTTGGAGCTCAGTAATATTTGTCCAATAAATGGTTGGATGAATCTATTTATCACAATATTTTCCTAAGCAGGGCCTCCTTGTTGTGAGAAGAAAGAAATGAGGTCCATGGCGACTCAGTCTACTTAGAGAGGGGAAAAGGCTGCAGAAAGAGAATCAAATGGGGTTGAAGTAAGGGTCCTACTTTAAAGTGTTGCCTACAAGAGCATCCTCATTGAGAAAGGGACCTGTTCTGCTTGTAGAAGCCACTGAGGTGAACATCTTCTTCCAATGAGAGGACTCGGTCTTCATCTTTGTTCTGGAACAGCCCCTGCCTGTGCCTCAAGCAGGGGGCTGTGGAAAATCCTCTTCATCCTTCCACCCTGTTCAGAACTTTCTGGGAGTCATGGTGCTATGTTCATCCAGAATCTTGTTCTAGCAAACAAATGTGAAAAATCATCATCTCCCCCATTCATAGCTACTCTTGTGATCATCAATGAGAATTGCTAACATATTTCACCATGGCTTACAGACTTTGACACCCTCCTACGCACGTTCTGAAGAGACTTTGATGAAGCAAGAAATGTCCTATACAGGACATAGTAAATGAGCTTGCTTCCTGTCTTGGTGACTTCCCAAAACCCAGGAACCTGGTGATTTATTGAGGCATAAAGGAAAATATTAGCACATATTCTCATGTTTTATTGAAATATAAGACATGGATTAAGCTTTACCAATATTCAATATATGTAGCTTAAGAGTTGAAAATAAATATACAGTACTGAAGATATGTTTATGAAAATATTTCACTGGTGGAGTCCATAATAAAAATAATGCTGGTGTCCATTGGTCTAGACAATGTTAGGGTGTGTGTGCTCTGATACAAGAGGGTCTGACTGGAGAAGGGGTTACAGGAACCTAGGTAGGAACTTGCTGCATTTGGCTATCTGCATCTGAAGGCAGGTTCTTTCTCCATTGTAGAGTTGTGGAAAGGCTTCCTCTCACAGACTGCCTTGAACCTGGATGACCCAGTTCATATCAATTGTGTTTCTCCATTTATGGGGCTGACATATGAGCAATTGTATTGAATTATTTATGAGAAAAAAAAAGTATCCCGAGCTTCTCACCACAGACCTTGTCTTTATGAAGAATGGGGCTTCACATCGTACATGGAATTTGAGATTCTCCATGCCTTACTGACAGTGTCTCATTACCATCTCTTATCAGACATCCTGGTCTATCAGTAAAATATCATTAATTTTTTAAGAGACGTATAATGCAATAGAGCACAATCCTTCCAAAAGAGTTATTATAAAGCTCTTTATTTCTTGCAAGAAAATCCCTAAATACATATTTATAATAAGTATTAGAAGTCTCAAAATGCATATTTAGATGACAAGTTATGTGTTTAGCCGTCCCTGAGTACTTATTTTAAAATGTTACAGAGAATTAGGGAAACTCTCAGAGACACATCTCGACTTCCACAACTGTGATCCTAGTGAGAGTTATTTTAAGAAGCGGCTGACCTTTTGTACATAGGGGATAGTTGGGCACCATTCTAATTGCCTTTTAAAAAATAGGATTGGAAGTGAAGTAAACAGAAT
Source organism: Homo sapiens (assembly GCF_000001405.40). Taxonomy (NCBI): domain Eukaryota; kingdom Metazoa; phylum Chordata; class Mammalia; order Primates; family Hominidae; genus Homo; species Homo sapiens. Next base: position 47,450,104 of record NC_000015.10, read on the forward strand.
GAGTTCAGAGCCCATTGCACAGGCAAAGACCCTCCCAAGGTGGGCTCACATTAAATGCATGTTAAATAGATAAGATAATCTCTATTAAAATAAATCAAAATATCTAACTTTTTCATTCCCGTTCTCCCTTTTCTGACCAGATAATGTCAGAGAATTTCCTTCTTTTCGTGCATTCATTCCAGACATACTCATTTATTCATTGCCTATGATGTGCTAGATGATACTGGAATGCAATGCTCCCACCTCCAGTATACTGATCAGGACATCACCATGCCTCTTACTGTCCCTGGGGCCTTAACAAACTCACCTCACCTTGTTAGTGTGTTTCCAGTCAACTGGTCACTAAAGCAGAGTTGTGTGTCCCTATGGCAGGGGTGTCTGTGAAGGCCTGACTTAAAGGAGGTGGGCTTTCTTCTCAGAAACTGGCTTCTTCAAACTGTTTACAGTAATGTCAGGGCATTTCTCAGTTTTATGGGCTTTTCAAATGTCTGGATTTTTCTAGTGTGTGTGCTGGATATCTCATAAGGTGACCTCAAGTGTCCCACATATTTTGTTTCAATTATAAAAGTGGAAGGGTAGTTTGACTTAAGGGAAGGTGGGAATAGGACAAGGGATCCTAGAATATTGAGCACAAAGGTACAATCTGGTCCCTTCTCATTTGAAATATGAGCATACTGGGGATACCTAGAGAGGTCTGTGACTTTCTTGGCATTCAGCCATTGTTACTGGGGAAAAACAGGACCAAGGGGAACCCTACAATATCCTGTGTTCTCTCCATCTTTTGAAGCATTGATTCTCAACAGGCCACACATCACTGCCTTCCCCACAAGCTTTGCCTCAGAACAGTATTTCCCTGTGTAAAGTAGTGGAAGTCTCCACTTCCAATCCAGGGAAGAACAAAGTGTTATAAAAGGCAAAAAACAAACAAACAAAAAACTCAAAAAACAAAAAATCAACAACCCTGCTTTGCAGCGAATGTGAGGCTTAAAAGCAGTGATGCAGAGGCTTTCCTGATTCCTTTTGCAGGGTATGAGATATATCTACCTGGTTTGTCCAGTGAAAGAAGGTGCAGAAAACACACAGGTTATGGCAAGGATTTTACCTGAACACCAAGTACACCCTTGGGATTCTGGGAGTGGGTTTCAGGAGCCCTGTGAACCCAAAATCGAATGCAAAATGGTTGATGTGCATACTACTGGGCGATCAAAAGCTTCCTCAAAGAGGCCTGTGACCCCCAGAAGTCTAAGAACTACTTGAGTAGAATCTTGGTGAGGATGCATGGACATGGAGGATGGTGGTTGGAGCTACCAGTGTGATCCAGATCAATCACAGCTTCCCAATACTACAGAGCCCTACTGGTACCATTTTTATCCTAGAGATAAATATAAGTGCTGGATGGGCCTAAGGTTGGTGACTGGATGAGGAGTGAGAAATCAGAAAATGACTTTGGGGAAGGAATAGAAAGGTTACATAGGAGAGCAGGTGGCTGTCCCTTTCCCCACAAACCCAAATCATTTTTCCCTCCTGGTCTGAAAATTTTATTTAGGTTTATAACCTGGAATTCTAACAACTGGGGAATTCATATGATTTAAGTCCTCCCTTTGTTCTCACTGTTTCCTTTACCCTCTTTGCACTTTCTCAATTATTAAATAAACCCTGCTGGATCAGTGGTCGTGTGAGGCCAAGAGTGGGAGAAGAGATTGACTGAGGAAAAGCTGGGGGGAATATTTGCAGGCAATGGACATGCTGTTGGTCTTGATTTTAGTGGACATTGAATGGTACATTAAAAATGGATACATTCTATTGTATGTAAATTATACCTCAATATAGTTGATTTAAGACAAAAACCAAACATTGAATTGCTGTTCACTCCAGTTCCCACCTGATCGCGTCTTTTTGTGAAGGCCATTGGTACTTAGTGTTGGTATCTTGTGTTGTTCATACGTAGACCTCAGTTACTACTTCTTTTCCTGGATAACTCCCCTACTAACCTCTTAGTCCCTTAAAGCCTAGACCAGAACTTAATTTTCGTCACTCTTCTTTGAGTTCTTCATAGCAGCAAGCACTAAATTAAAACAAAACAAAACTCACTAATGATAATAACGATGAGGCAAATCAATAATTTTGTTCAAGGAGCTCTTCAGTGTCCATTCAGTCTTATAGAAACCTATCATCACTACTTTTTCAGGAATTGAGTTAAGGGTGTGTTTATCAACCAAAAAAAAAAAAAAACTGGACTCAAAGTCACACGACTTGTGTTCAAGTTGCAGCTTTGACACTTAGCATCTGTGTAATCTGGGCAAGTTACTTTATGTTTCTAAGCTCCAGTTTATATCTTTACATAGAAGAATAAATATTTATTTTATCTACCTATGGTGATGTCTTCAAAAATTATAAGACCACATGCAATTAGTGGTTTTTGTAGTGTGTACATAGCATAATAAAACCTTTCTTTTATCATAAAAAATACTGACATTTTTAAGGAAAAAAATCTTGAATTTTAATGGGATGTTTTTGGGTTTGTTTTATTTTTTAAATAATATTTTCTGAAACTTCTGGAATATTTTTATTACATGATTATGTGATTGAGTATGAAAAACCATTTTAAATTACCATAGCAAATTGTTTGACCTACTTCTTCTCTTTGGCACATTTTGGAGATCTTTACTTTGTTTCATTCTCATTAATAGGAATTTCAATTTGGTCTTCTTAATAACAGATATTTCAATTTCTGTTCAGTAATTTATTATGGTATCATGTCAAATAATAGTATTTATTGAATAACAGCATGAACATTTTTTATTTTTAAATGAATGTATTTACAGTTGAAATTATCCCCATGAGTTTTTTATTTGTTTGTTTGTTTTAGTTGATTGTTTTATGATTGCATTACCTTCTCATTTGTAGTTCATTTAAAAAGAAAAAGTAAAGCTCATACCACAGCAGATAAATCTCCAGAATCACTATCACTTCCTGTTTCAAAATTGAAATGATTTTTAAAAACAAATCTGTGCTTTCTCAACTTTGTTCAGAATCTAAAATAGTGTCAATGTTTGCCAAGCTAGAAAGTAAAATATTAGGATAAAATTTAATTTCCAAGTTCCCAAAAGGTCATGGAGAGGCAAATGAGAAAGATAAATTTAATTAATTTATTTTAAATAAAAATGACTTAAGTGCCCTTTCGAAAAAAAAAACACCCTTTCAACAAATGTGTTTTAAACAAAAGTGACAATTTCTATCGCTTAAAGAACAGATATGAAAAAAGTAAATCAACAATGCTAAACCTCACATAGAAATCCATCCACAGTGAATCTGTAGAGGTTATGACAACAGCTATTAAAATGATAGCTATTACATTTTACAAATCAGCTATTAAAATATCTGAGTTCATTATGTGCACAAAAGCTTTACATCCCACTGAGAAGAAAGAGCTGGGAATGTTACTTAGGGTCTATCTGTATTTCGAGGTCAGGGAAGAGTCCAAATTTATGTAGTAACAGCACGTCTGCAAGTTTTCAGTTTGCTTCCATGAACTAAAACCAATAGCCCCACTCCACAAAGAGGCAGAATCAAATGTCACTGGTTTGATCTACTTCAAAACAGGAGCCACTTCTAATAGCTCTTTTCAAAAAGATGGCGTAGAAGAGAGATCAAGAGCCCATGTGGATACCATCTTTGGCCAGAATTTCTGGCATGCCTTACACAGGCTTGAAAAGTATTGCAAATGAAGCTACAAGATAGAGTGGTCCCAAACACCTCGAAAAAGGAGCCCTCCTCATCTGAGGCCCAGACAGCCCATGCTCTTTATAAAAGCTTATTTTCTATTGATGCTCTTTTTGGCCATGTGAATCTGACGCCCCAATGATTGTGGCTGCCACTGCTTCATGAGACTAAAAAATGATCAAGCAAAAGCATACTGCTATCCAGCTAGTGTTGTGAGTGGTGCAAGACCTGTGGTGTGGTTGGTGGAGAACATATTTAAAACAGTACAGTTTTTCCATGCACTCAGTGGGCATTTCTGGAGAGCCTGGTGGATATATACAAGGCTCTGTGCTCATAAGATACAGATAAGAATCAAAGGCTGTGAATTCTTGCTTTCTTCAAGTTTATAATACACCTAAAAATTTATGGTTTAGTTTTAATAACTGAATTTCTACCCATTAGTACTCCTTAGAGTGAAGCAGCTTTTTCTCTGAATGTCGCTTAATTTCCAAGGCAATTTTACAACTTGTCATTTTGATGTTCCCCAGTTTTATTCTTCTGGTACCAGAATACAATTTCATGCCACAAATGTGTATTGAACACCTTTGTTAAGCAAATTTCTGGGGCAATAGATAGATCGCTGCCCATGAGGACTGCATGGCATCTTGTGAAGACTACCCAGCAAGAATGCAATGAGCTATCTTGAGATGGGCACTGGAGGTGAAATAACCTAATTCACTGTGAGACAGCTAAAGATGCCTTCACAGAGAGAGTTTACCATCCTTGCACATGTGCACACACACACACACACACACACACACAGAGCTTTTTACCCCATTATTTATCTCACAGGACATACTGACATTATATGATAGGATTCTTATTCACCTCAGCAACCTAATATGCCAACTTTTCACGTACATTTTTTTGAGTCCTGAAGACTTTTCATTACAGAGTTACCCCTTTTAAAACGCAGATGCTTTGTAAATGAATTATGCCTGAATTGTATTCCCACTACAGCCAGGTAGTATGGGGACTCAGTGGTTTTGAGCCCAAGCTCTGCAGTCAGTGTCTAAATTTGAATCTTGGCTTTATGATTTATTAACTGTGTGAACTGGGCATGCTAACTGGATCCTGTAGGCGTTGATTTTCCACTCTATGATAGAAGGGTTAATAATACCTACATCAAGGGAGTGGTAGGAATTTGAGATGATCTCCTTAAAAAACAGCCCAGAACCTAGCACATGGTAAGCACTCAATAAATGTTAGCTATTATTATTATTATTATTATCATTATTAGTTATCCACAGACACTCTAGTTGGAACCAGAGGAATAGGAGTCAGGCATTAGAAGGAGGGAGGATTAGGAGACCATAATTGGAGGAAGAATAACAGGAGTTGGCAGGACAATTGGAAAGGCACTGAAGAAAAATTTAGCAGATTTCCTTCCCTGTTCACCCCTATATGTCCCTCTTTCCACAATCCCAGCATTAGAAAATACAAGATTCAATAGTTAAAATTCAAACAACTTGTAGCAATATCCAGATTCATTATTTTCTTTCATTCTTCTTTTTTAGTTTTTATTTTCACAAAATTTTTGGAAAATGAAACTACATTCATGCATTGTTTTGACACACTGTGTGGAGCATCCACACTAGGTGATAGGAATAGAGTAAGGAGTAACGTAAGTGGGACCGCTGCCTTCCATTGATACCTTCTCTGTCACTAGTCAACTCTGATACACTTGCTGTTGGGAATATAGGGAAAAAAGAATCTCTCCAGGATTTAAATACGCATCCTAAGCCTCCAAAGGTTGAGGTCAGGCCTGGTAGTGGTCCTCACCTATCTTCATTGCCCTTCCACATTTCTCACCACCATTAACTCCACTTTAACAGCTCTGGCATCATGAATAACTGATGAATTATGAAGATGAGAAAGAAGAGAATGGCAATCAGAAGCAGATTTATTGTGAATTTAATGAAGATTAAGTTTCAGGAATGCTTACTTGCCCATGTGGCTTCAAGACCCTGGGAGAGATCCTGATATAGTAATAGGTTCATGTAGTCATGAGTTTTCATAGGATTTGCAAAAGGAAAACACTTTATTGATTTTTTTAAAGAGGGGACCCTCAAATTCTATAGCTTCAGCCCCCCTCCAAGATGGTTCCACTCTGCCATGATGATGATGGCGATGATGATTAATAGCTAATGTTATTGTGATTATTGTGGGCTTATTGGATGCCAAGCACAGTGGTAACTGCTTTACCTATTATCCCACTTAATCTTATTGTTCTTTAGGAGCTTACTGACAATTAGGATATAGAACCAGCAGGAAGCTTGACCAAACAAGGTGTTGGAGGCAACAGATTCTGTGATCTATGACTTACCCCCAAAATTGAAGAACCAGGTGGCTTTCTCTACACAATACTTCTTATCATGGAGTCCATACACCTCCATGGTATTCATGGAAAATTCAGGAGTCCATGAACTTGTATAAGAAAAATGAATCTTTATTTTCACTTACCTCTAATTGAAATGTAACAGTCCTCCAATTATTAATGCAAGATTCAAATCTAAGTAGTATTAGCAGTTGCTGTGATTTTATCACCAAAAAAATATTTTAATATCACACACAGTCCTTAGAGATATCTGGAAATATTATTTATGCTCAACACTGCTTCAAATTATTAGAGCTGCCGCTAGAATTTCTTTCAACATTATAATAAAGAAGTACATATAATAGGGTACAAAATGAAAAGATTACTTCTACTTTTAGCAGTGAAGGACCAGAGACTACATTTGTGCACTCACCTTAAACAAGTAAAGAAAAAAATAATAATATTTCCAAAACAACAGTTTTAGGATACGCAATAGGCAGTGCAAATAGTAATATCTGATAGAAGGGAAACAAATGAGGTAATCACTGAGATTGTCTCAGTTTACTGCTCAAGAGTTTCCAGGAAGGAGGATCTGAAACAGATGGCGGTAGTCCCCCTGTAGTTAGCAGATGGATTTGAGAATTCAGGGAGGCCACAGCCCCTAGACTTTGTAAGACAGAGTACTGAAAAGAAAGAGCTGCACAGAGAGAACGCTTTTGAGGTCTCCATAATGAGTGTTCCCAAGTCTTCTCTGCATTCTCATCAGTATGAGGGTGTGAGGAAACCACCCACATCTTGAGAAAGAACCAATAAAGAAGTGGGTGAAACAGTCTCAAGAGATCACATAAGGCTGGTAAGAATTTTCATCCTTCCAGCCAGAGTGGAAAAACTTTGCATTATACAGGGCACTGGCAATATACTTGGAACTGTATTGCCTTAGTAGCAATAAAAAATTATTCCTAAAGACTGCTCTGGTCTTCTATAACAAAGATTATAAGCAAGGCTTGAAAAGCTTACCAAATAATTTATTTGGGTTTCAGAACAAATCTCAAACCTACTTTAAAGAATACAAAAATATCCAGCATTCAAAAATATAAAATTCAAATGTCAAGCATCCAATACAGACTTACTTATACACACAAAGAAGAAAAAATACACGTTTTATTAGGAGAAATAACATCAATCAATATAAGAAGATTCAGAAAAAAAACACAGATGAAAGTATCAGCACACAAGGATATTAAGCAGTATTATAAGTATATTCTATATGTTCAAGAAAGTAAAAGAAAGCATGAGCATGCTAAGCACAGATATGGAGGATAATTAAAAAGACCTAGTTCAAACTTGTAGAGATAAAATATAACTGCCCAAGATTTAAAAATATGTAGGAAGAGACTATCCGAAGATTAGACACTACATAAGAAAAGGTTAGTCAATTTGAAGATATTCCTTTAGAAACTAACCAAATTTCTCACACAGGATACTTTCAAGCAGGCTAATATATTTGTAATTAGAGTACTCAAAAGGTAAGAGACATGGAAAAAATATTTGAGGAAATAATGGGTGAAAATTTACAACTCTGATGAAAAATATAGACCCAAAGATCCAAGAAACTCAATAAATGCCAAGCACAAGCACAGGAAGAAAATTACACCAAAATGTATTGTCATCAAATTGCTGAAAACCAGTGATAAACAGAAAACCTTAAAAGTAGCCAAAAGAAAAAAAAAGTCGCAATGAATACAGACAAAAAGAGAACATAAAAATGGCTGCAGACATTGAAAACAATGCAAGCCAGAAGACAGAGAAGAAACCTCTTAAAGTACTGAAAGAATAAAATTTTCAACCAAGAATTTATACTCAGCAAAATATCTCTCAAAACCAAAATAAAAATACGAAATGTTTCAGACAAACAAGAGCTGAAATCTAGATCTATACAAAGTAATAAATAACACTGAGAATGTTAAAATTGTGAGCATATATAAAAATACTCTTAAAAATCTCTTTAAAATACCATTGGTTATTTAAAGTAGAAATTATACTGATGTATTGGAGGTTTTCACCATATATGCGGTAGTATGAGAATCATAGTTGAATATTTTAACAATTTATTTCAATAAATAGGAAATTTATACTAAATAAGAATATAAAAGACTTAAACAATGTTATCAACTAATTTAACCTAATTGACATTATGGAAGACTTTCTCCAATAACAAAAATACACATTATTTTCAAAGGCCCATGGAACATTTACCAAGATAGACAATATTCTGACCATAAAAGAAGTCTTATTAATTTAAAAAGAATTCAAAATATGCAAAATATATTCCCTAGCCACAATGGAATTAAATTAGGAATTAATAGTAGAAATATATCTGCAAAATACCCATGTATTAGGAAATGAAATAACACACTTCTAATTAACCTGTATGTCAAAGAAGAAATCAAAAGGGAAATCAGAATGTATTTTGAAATGAATTAAAGTAAAAGCATGAAAAATAAAAATGTGTAGGATGCTGTTATCACAGTGATTGGAAAGTGACTGATAGTACTAAACACCTTTTTTTAGGAAAGAAGAATGGTCTCAAATCAATGGCATATGCTTCCATCTAAAAAACCTAAAGGGACAAAAACATCTGAAATCAAAGTAAGCAAAAGAAATAAAGCTATGAGGTCAAAACCAAAAATAAATAAATAAATAAACTATTAATAAAGAATATCAGTATAAATGTTGCAGACAAACACTAAGATAAGCCCCAATGATTTCCACCTCCTAGTATTCATGGCTTTGTGTAATCTTCTACCCTTGAGCGTGAATGGGACCTGTGACTTGCTTCTAACCCATTACCTATGGTAAAGGTAATGAGATGTCATTCTTGTGATTAGGTTTTGTTATATAGCAAAGGTGATAGGATACAGCCCCCATCATTATGTTGCATTATGTGAAACTCTATCTCAGCAGACTGAAGCCAGAGATTCTTCTTGTAGGCTTGATGAATTGAGTGACCATGTTGGAGAAATCCATGTGGCAAGGTGTGTAGACAGCTTCTAGCCACTTCTGGTGGCCTCTAAGACCTCAGAGCAGCCTTCAGACAACAGCCTGTAGAAAGCCAGGCCCCTCATTCAAATTGCTGTCAGGAAATGAATCCTGTCAACTGCCTGAATGATCTGGGCATCAGATTCTTCCCAGTTGAACCTGCAGATGAAAACACAGCCCACCAATACATTGATTACAGCCATGTGACATATTTTGTAGACTGACTTGCAGATGGCTTGATTATTGAATGCAGGATCATCTGAGAGAAAGAGGAGAATCAAGAAAAACCTAGCTTGGTTTTGCACTGGGTGGTGGTGACTTACTAAACAAGACAGACCACGGAGAAACAGATGAAGGGAAGTAACAGTGGAAATCAAAAATTCTGTATTGACTACACTAAATTTGAGGTGTTTACAATATCCATAAGTGGAAATATTTAAAATTAAAAACTTTTATAATAACCTCAAAACAAACAATAGGTTTTCTCCCCTCTTTCCCCTGCAGCTTTGCACTTAAACCAATATTAAATTCTTAAGAATTTCTGGTGGAGAGTCTATTAAATTCTACTTAAAAAGATTTCATCTCTGGGTGATAACAAAGATAACTATCTGGGGAAAAATGTGGAGTAGTGCAGAGTGTTTAAAATATACTGTATTTGGTTCTTCTACTTCAATTTCCTAAATAACACATGAATTTATTAAATAAAATCCATTCTTGAAAATCAATTCCACTAACTCCTCCATTGACCTTTTAAGCTCTTTAGATCCCCGTATTCAAATCCCCAAGTCAGGGAGTTTCAAAATCTTACATACAAACTTAAAAAAAAATGCCTATTTTCTAGGTTTTATTAAGGCATAGCTAGGTGAGGTTAAAGTCATCTAATTAGCCATCCCACCACTGTGTCTCTTCATTTGCAACATTCTGACACTCAGCTATGGCGAGGAATTCTCCTCCTGTGAATTCTCAGAAATTATTTAGAAATTATTTAGAATCTAATTTTTATGCCCAGGGAGCTCAGTAAGAAGGAGTCAGTCTCATTACTGCTTATCAGAAATTACTTTTTGTCTCAAGTCTTCTTTACCCTGAAAAGCCAATTTTGATAAGAAGTGAAGATTTAAGCCAACAAGAAGGGGCAAATCATTGCAAGCAGTGATCAATGAAGTTGGGTTAGCCAGGCTTATTTAGAGTAGTCCGAGAAATCATCTTGCTGATGACCAAATCTTACAAAATGATGAGTACCCGACTCTCAATGTGCTTTGAAAGCACTGAAGGGAAATCATATATCTGCTATGATTAAAAACTACATCATGATGCTGTGTGCTTGAGGACAGTGTATAAGAAGGAAGAAAGACAGCTGGAAATCAGTGATTCATTAGTGTTAGGTGTTAATGTAATTGTGAATGTTTTTCTTTGTCTTCCAACCTTTTGTGCAGATAATATTGTGAAAGGGGAATGAGGAGTATTTAAACATATTGCAAAAATTTCCTAATTTTTATTTAAACTATAATAGAATCATCAAACTGGGTGAACAAACAAATCCCAGTTTTGGTAAATGTTATAGATTTGGTAAACGTTGCTTATAAGTAACTGAGATGTTTCTTACCAATAAGCACTTTAACATAAAACAGCAGATTTAATGACCCGGAAATTAACTCAACTAACTATGCCTTGATCTTGTGAAATTACTGTTGGTATTTGCCCTAAACAGGCATGCTGGGTCCTGTCTGTGGCTCACAAGTCCCCAGATGGTGTGACTCCTGCCTACTTCCTCTTCCTGCTTCCTCCAGCCACTTCCTCTCTCTCACTCTGCCCAGCCCTCCTGACCTTCTTTTTGCTCCTTGAGCAAGCTCATTTCTATGCCAATGCGTTTGTACTTGCTCTTGTCTCAGCCCAGACCACTCTCTGCTTGGTCTTCGCATCACTGCCTTTATTTGATTCTTACTTCAAACATGACTTTCTCAGAGAAGCCTTTGGTGACCACATTGCCTAAAATAATGGCATCCCCACCTGCACCTCATCATCTCATCACACTGTCATTATTCCACATGCAGAAACCTTGCACTCTGAAATTGCCTTTATTCATTAGACTACTTCTTCATTGTCTCCCCACAGCCACTGCCACACACACACTCTTGAATGTATGCTGCATAAATACACAGACCTTGTGCTTTCTCCCCCACTATTATATCTGAAGCACTGGAAACATCACCTAGCATAAAGGAGTCATCTGTAATATTTGTTGGACAAATGATTAAGTTGAATCTAGTAGACCAAGAATCTGAGGTTTGTCCATCAGAGTTAAATTTCATGGTTATTACACATAGCATAGAACAGTATTTCCGTCATTAAAAATAATATTAATAATAATAATGCCCATAGCAATTTTTTAAATTGGTAAAGTGAGGTGTATAGGATGTTCGGGAAAAGCTTCATCTTGGAAATTTAATTGCTTTCTGCTCTTCAATGAGTCATTCTATTTGGAATGGAAAATCTAGTCCTCATATGTTAATTTATTTAAGAGGGATGAGCTAAGAGCAATACAAACCGACAGATAGTCCCAAAGGGATAAATTCATAAGATTAGAACTTGAAGGGCAAATTTGTAAAATGTGTGAAGAATGTATATGTTTCTGCTTGTATATTCATATTTATACTGGGATGAAAGAACAATGTTACCTCCCAGTGTGCCCAGGTCCAAGTCAATGCATACCAAGGTTTGATCCTGCCACATGAGTAAGATAGGCCTGGTGTATTACCAGAAAATACTGAATATTTCATAAAGTTACTATTTGGTGATTCTAGATACTGATGTTTTTCTCCTTTTACATCCTGTTAGCGTGATTCATTTCAAATCTTGGTACTACCATGGAGTTTTTCCAGACCACGCCAGTGTGATATACTCTTCCCATTTTTCTGACATCCTGTAGCAATTATTGGTAATTAAATGTGGCCTGCCTTTTGCTATTTTTGTTGTCTTGAACTCTTACTTGGGGTTCTTTTTGTTTTGATTGTTTGGGGCTATTATTTAAAATTTAAGTCATTATGACTCGTTTCACCAACAAGATTTTTAATGCAGGGATGATGCTTTTAACCTTTTGTGCTTTCCACAGGTCCCAGCACAGTGCCTTACATAGCAGGCAAGCACTACATATGTTGCCTCACCAGCAATTCTGGAAGGCAAATGCTTCATGTATCCCAAATGACCCATCTCGGCCTCTCTCTTCTCAGACGGGAACTATATAGGTTTTTTTTTAGGAAACTGAACCTCCTTCCTACAGCCCTTTTGAATATTGATCTGGAGTGATGCTGTTGCTACCCTGGACATAAACGTATTTCTTGTTTCCCTGCCATCAGAGATTAAATCGTTGACTGTAATGAACTAGAGTTAAAACTACTAGGTTCTTCGGATTTTCAGATAGAAACAAAAACACATTAGTTGTGGTGGTTTGTTGTTATTGTTTTTTTCCTGTTTCTGTGAGCCATAGCGAATTGTGATTACTCTGTTCACAATGAATAGATAAAAGGCCTTCTCTTTTTCATTATTAAGGTTAGGCAAGAGTGCAGGTAATTTTATCTCATAAAGATTACTTAATTCACCTTGGGTGAGGGGAGAAGGGCTGAAATAAAGCTAAAACCTGTTCTGCAAGAACCCAGCCTTTATGGCTCTGTTTGTCCTAGTCTGGCTTATAATTCATTAGATCTCTTAGCAAAACAGATGTCATTGAAAGAGGCACATGGACAGAGAGAAAATGCCTGACCATAAAGAGACGTAGCTACAAGACCAATTCAATGATGAACTTGGATATGGAAAGGACTTTTTAAAAAAAATGAAGAAAAGGATCTTCAGTAAGTAAATAAGACTACCTCAGTTTCCTGAAGGAATAGCAGCAATCCATGATAACAGTAACAAAAACAACCAGGATCTAAATCCACCTAGTTTTTCATTTTGGTGCAATATTTTCAATTGCAAGCTGGGTTCCACAGTGAACTCTGCATGAAGCTTGTAATTTTCCCCTAGAAATATTTTTCAAGCCTTCAGCGGCCCTAGAATGTTCAAGCTGGTCCTTCACAGTTATCCACATACATGCACCCTTTTCTTCACAATTCAAAACTTTCTTCTCCATAAATCCTTTGCTGATCATCTCTGCCCATGACAAGTTCTCTTGACTCAATTCGTATAGCCCTGACTGCATATATGTCTCCTTTAAATCTTAACACATGCAGTACATTTGCATTTACAAAGGAAAATAGGCTCAAACGCCAAAGTTTCTCAACCCTTTGCAATGTATTTCCAAAGAAAAGGTGGTGGCAGCTGAAGCACATGTGTGCGTCATGGTAGGCCTAAGAGTTGTAGAGTGTGTTGATAGTATGTCGGGGGAATCCCCGTGGGGCCCAAAGGGAACACACCTTAAAGTTGGACAAACTTAGATCTGAAACATGTCTTTTGTAGTTTACTGTGCGACTGTATTAGTTTCCTGTGGCTGCTGTGACCAGTTGTCAGATAGTTGGTGGTTTAAAACATAACTTTATTCTCTCCCAGTTCTGGAGGCCAGAAGTCTGAAATCAAGGTGTCCACAGAGCTGCACTCCTTCTAAAGGCTTTAGGGAGAACCCATTCCTTGCCTCTTCCAGCTTCTGGTGTCTCCAGTCATACTTTGGCTTGTGGCTGCGTTACTCCAATCTTCACCTCTGTGGTCACCTTGCCACCTCCTCTCCTGTATGTCTTCTCTTTCGTTTATCTGTCCCCCAGACTCCCTCTGCCTCTCTCTCATAAGGATACATACACATGATTGCCTTTAGGGCCCACCTGGATAATGCAGAATGGGCTCATCCCCTTTTTAAATTTACTCATTCACATATTTTGCTATATAAGGTAATATTCACAGGTTTCAGGGGTTATGATCTGGACATATCTTTTGGGGGGCTGCCATTCAACCCATGTAGTGACCTTAAGAAGAGATTTTAACTTTTTTTTAGCTACAATCCCTCATCAGTAAGATAAGGTTAATAAACTTTTATTGTCAGGCAGTTAGGAGGAATAAAGTAAAATATATTTTCCATGTTAAGTATGTGTTGCAGGATCATGTAGGGTAAAAAGTCTTTCTCTGGATGCTATTGTAATAAATTCAGCCCCTGCAGCACCCCCACCATAGAGGTGTCTCATATGTGCTCGTTAAGAAAAGGCACCCATCCTGCTTCAGGTGCCTTTGGTGATACCCATTGTCTCTGCCTCATGCCGAACCACTGCCACCAGTGTCCAGTCCATGCCAAGGACTCCTGATGCTCCCAGATCAGCCAACAGTGTATTCCACATCTGGGCCTGGCTTTTGCTCTTATAAGATGGTTGGTTTGAGGAGGTGCCAGTATGCAGGCATGGTAGCTAATTCCCTGCCACCACTGTGGTGTGACTGATTTAGTCAAGCCCTCAAGGAGCTAAAATTTTATTGAATTATTTATAGTCCTCCATGTGCACAAACCACCCTGCACCCTTGTCAAAATGGAAAGACTCTCTCTCTCTAACCTTTTAATTTAAATACCTCTTAATGGATGAGTACCATATGTTAATATATGAGTCCATACAAAGTTAGGTCAGAACACAAATCAAAGTGACAGTCCCATGGATTGCTCCACCCCACTGATAAAAGGCACTGTCATGGACCAAGTGGGGGTTTGCCTGAATTTACTCTATTAAGAGACTCTTAAGTTTCTTCTGCAAATAATCAGGTAATTTCACAAGTTTGCCATATATGTATGAATCCCAGTGATAAATTAAAGTGAGCCTCAAGCTAGAATACTCTGTTTCTCTCCTGTTACACCTCCTGGCCCTCCCTGACTCCCCTCACCACTCACAGATACACAACAACTAAATGTGCCTTGCACAGCACCTAGAACATAGTAGGTACTCGATAAACACAAGATCGTCTTCTGTCTTGTACTCACAGTGCTTTGAACACAGCAGGTAGTCAGTAGATGCATTTTGACCAATGTGTATCTGGATTTGTAATGTGTAAGAAATATTGAAACATTCCTCATAAAATTTCAATCATTTCTATTTGGCCTCTAACTCTAACCTCTTTCACTATTAATTGGTTCTTAATAATAAGCCCCTAAATATAGATGTTTGTACAAGAAGAAGTGGGCAAATAGTTGTCCGCATCCCAGTTAAAATTCTTATTGCCTAGACTTAGCTTTGCAACATTGCTAGGTGGCTAAATTATTGCATAACTTATAAAGGGGAAAGGTTTCTGACTTTATGTTCTAAACGCAGTTGATATGGTTTGGATTTGTGTCCCCACCCAAATCTCAAGTCCAATTGTAATCCCCCGTGTTGGAGGAGGGGCCTGGTGGGAAGGGATTGGATTGTGGGGGCGGACTTTTTCCTTGCTGGTGTCATGATAGTGAGTTTTCATGAGATCTGGTTGTTTACAAGTGCATAGCACCTCCTCCTTCTCTCTCTTCCTCCTTCTCCTGCCATGTAAGATGTGCCTCCTTTCTCTTTGCCTTCTACCATGATTGTAAGCTTCCTAAGGCCTCCCCAGCCATGCTTCCTGTATAGACTGCAGACCTGAGTCAGTTAAACCTCTTTTCATTCTAAATTACCCAGTCTCATGTAGTTCTTTATAGCAATGCGAAAATGGACTAATTCACCAGTAAAGGGTCTTGCCAATTCTGCAATAATATTACCTATTGGTTTCCTCCAGGGAACTTGACATGCTTTTCTGATATCAAAATGTTCATATTTGTAACTTTTCATAGAAAAGATAAAGAAAATAATGTGTTTTTATTTTCTCCCAGCTTTATAGGTGGTATAATTGACAAATAAAAATTGTATGTATTCAAGGTATGCAAAATGATTTGATGTACATATATATTGTGAAATAATTACAATCAAGCAAATTAAGATGTTCATCACCTCACATAGTTACCATTTTTTTCTGTGTGTGGTAAGCACACTTCAGATGTACTGTATATGCAAATGACAAGGATGCAATACATTATTATTAACTGTAGTTTCCATGTTGTATATTGGATGTTCAGAACTTAGTTCATTTTATAACTGAAATTTTGTACCCTTTGACAAAAATCCCTCCATTACTCCCACCCTCTAGCCTGTAGCACCCACTTTTCTACTCTGTTTCCATAGGTTAGGCTTCTTTAGTTTCTACCTATAGGTGAGATCATGCAGTATTTGTCTTTCTGTGTTTGGCTTGTTTCACTTAGCATAATGTCCTCAAAGTTCATTCATGTTGACACAAATGGCTAATTTTCCTTTTGTTAAGGGCTGAGTAATATATTCCATTGTAAATATTTATCAAATTTTCTTTATCCAGTCATCTCCTGGTGAACACTTATGTTGTTTTCATATCTTGGCTATTGTGAATAATGCTACAAGAATGTGGGAGTGCACATATCTCTTTAATGTATCATTAATAATTTCATTTCCTTTGAATATATACCGAGAAGTGGAATTGCTAGACTGTATGGCAGTTCTGTTTTTAGGTGTGTGGTTTTTTTTTTTTTTGGAAATGGAGTCTTGCTCTGTCTTCCAGGCTCACCAGCTTAGAGGAGTGATCTCGGCTCACTGCAACCTCCACCTCCCAGGTTCAAGTGATTCTCCTGCCTCAGCCTCCCTAGTAGCTGGGATTATAGGAGTGTAGCACCACGCCTGGCTTTTTTTTTTTTTTTTGTAGCAGAAGTGAGGTTTCACCATGTTGGCCAGGCTGATCTCAAACTCCTGACCTCAAATGATCTACCGACCTTGGCCTGCCAAAGTGCTGGGATTACAGGCATGAGCTACTGCACCCAGCCTATTTTTAGTTTTTTTGAGGTACCTTGACACCTTTTTCATAATGGTTGTACCAATTTAAAATTCCACTAACAGTATATAAGGGTTCCCTTTTCTTCACAAGGATAATAATTTTTGTTCTTGTTTAGAAATGAGAACATGAAGACCTGGAAAACTGTGAGTTATCCATATCAATGTAAAAGGCTTGTGCCCTCCCTGCTACAAGGCTGAGATCATTTTAGAAGTGATATGCCAAGTTTCCAAGCATTTATTGTAATTTATGTTTCATAGACCAGTTATCATTCCCCACCCTGGAAATCACTGTGGATTGACACACTCCGGGTCTGGTTGGGGCCAAGGAAATTAAAGTAATTATGATGTAAACATGTCGGTATTAATGCTAATGCTTGCTAGAAGAGGCAATGTAGAGAAGGTAGATTGACATAAGGCCATATACCCTGTGTATTCTCATTTAATGTTTAAAGGCTGAATATGCAAGAATGTTGGCAAATTTCTGGAAACTAACTACTGGAAAATGTTAGCTAAATGGTAGATTGAGAAGTAGAGGAAGGGATGGAAAAAAAGCTGTTGAATTAGGGATAACTTTGCAAGCGCTGACTTAGGTGCTTGCGAAATGGAAGTGGAGCTGTTTCTCTCTTTTTTACACATCATGGCATTTTGCTAGGGATTAACTCATTGTCTCTTTTCTTTCCCTGCCAGGATGCTAAGAGATCATTGATATAGTTCTTTATCACTGTCGTAATTATTTCTGTAAGACCTACACCGGCAGCATCGGTGCCATTTAGTAAATGTGCCTGCTCCATTAGGAAGCAGAAAGAAGACCAGTTTGAACTCCTTCCCCTACTAGTAATGTGATCTGGAAAAATTGTCTTTAATTTTACGGCCTTAGTGTTTCCCCTCATCTGTAGCATAAAAATTATATTATAATAATATTATAATACCGACAGGATTGTTTTGAGACAGTTAATGTCACAGTGCTTGGTGAAGCATAGGCCAATACATATGTTATGTAAATAATGGTCTTATGCCACTGATTGTCACTTATTGCACTAGATTTGACTGCCTTCTTGTTGGAAATACAGTACAATCAAGAAAATTAGCAACTTCAACCTTGTTTCTAATTTAAATATATGTTACTGTGTGTTTGTGTGCGGGTGTGTGTGTGTGTATGTGTGTTCATACCTATGTTTCTTCATCATTGAAAATGCAGTTACAGCTGAAAGTGATTTCCATTATTGGCATTTTCTCATGATAGCAGAATTTATCCTGAATTAACAGCATTAGCAGAAATGGAGACTGTTTCAACCACTGCAATCGAAGAAGTGGTAAAATGGTGTGGAAACAAGTGTCTGAGCACTAGCTCTGCAGGGAAACAGGCAATGAGGAGCAAGAATTGTCCTACTCATGGTACTCAGTATAAGTGGGTGAAAGCTCGGCTCTGAGAAAGGACACAAGTCACCAAGGGCCATGGTCAGCCATGGTGGCTAACCTCAGAAGAGGCAGTTGTAGATATGAAGTGAGCTGTGTTACGTGGAGCGAGTTCACAGCAAAGGGGGAGTTATCAAGAGCAGCTGACCCAATACCTTCCGAAAGATCACCTGCTTATCAAAACCCTTTATTTTACATATTTTGCTGTTGACAGGCTGTGCAATTATTAAAGCGGCACTTTTCCTTACTTATCTTCTACAGAAAAGATCAATAAAGCACAGATTGAATTGTTAATATCCAATATCCAGGTTTGAATAGTACAGATAAAATTGCCCACAACTGTTAGACACTCAGGCTAAAGGGAGTAGCCCTTCCCCTGGGCTGCATTCGCTTACCCTCATCAACACACTAGGAAGCCATTCAGAATGATTTCCAAGACCAATTCCTCCTATTCCACCCTGTCTAGACTTTCTTGGAATGTTTTATGTAGAAAGTCCTGGATTTTCCTTTTCATTGGCCCCTGAACTCTTGAGGTCTCTGGGTACGGAAAGTCTGTCACTGCCAAATTTCCTGTCAGCATAATTTCTTACCTGTTTTAAGTAAATAACCCATCTTTTCTGAACTCAATGGCATAGTGAGTAGTGGGAGCTGTCTGCCCAGAGGAAGGAGTATTTTATCACTGACATGATTGAGAATTATCAGTGCAAGGTGATGATAAAAAGCAAATCAACTTTTAATTGAACTTTATTATGATTTTAAAACTCTTAACAGGCAGTGCACCCCCTTATTGCCCCAACCAGGGGCGGATTTCCTGCCTTGGAATGCCTGAGGACAGTTGCTTTAAGGTGTGTGTGTGTGTGTGTGTGTGTGTATGTGCACGCATGTGCGTGTGTGTGTGTGTGTGTGTGTTTAGTGGGGGGAGGACTTCAAAATTGTCTTCAGTTTTTTTCATTTTCCTTTTCTTTTTGAGAAATGTTAAGAAATCAGGACACTTCAACCTGTTCAGTTATATATGCAGTAAGTATTCCCAGAGTACTGTTAGATTAACAACTCCAGATATTAGAATTACAATAATAGGCAAGCCCTGTTTCATGCCCATCAGTAGCTCAGACATTTAAACATCCTCCAGATTCTCCAGAAAGTGTTTATTTGCTCATCTATTGTAAAAGTATTTATCAAATACCTATCATATGCCATGTACTTTGCTGGATATTGGAGATAAAATTAACAAAGACATCCTTGACTCTGTCTTCATTTAGCTTCCAATCTCCCAGGTATGCTTACCTCCCTTCTTCATGAAAATTCTATTTCCCAAACTCAGTCACTTATTACTACTTTTAAGATCTTTTGTATGTTGATATATTAAAAGTGTTATTATTTACTTAAGATTTACTTTACTCCCACTTAAGTTGAAAACCATTTTATAAGGAAATACTTTATTTCTCCTCTCAGAAAAGTGTGCACATGATTATAAACTCCACGAGACTTTGTATACTAATCACAACTTGCTCCTCACAGTGTCCTGCAGATGGTAAATAGAAGACATATAAATACAAATGCAATGAAAAAAAAAACCCTATTAATAAATTCTAGTTGAATCTTGTCTACCAATACCCAAATTAGTTAAAAGAGAGATTAGTACAGTTTAGAGACATACTTTAACCAAAATAAGACTTTTCCCATGAACTAATTGTAATTATTGGAAAGGAAATAACTTTGCTACGGTGTGCCTTGGTGTTACTTTATTCCATGTCCTTGTTCCACCTAATGGTCTTGCTTACCTACAATAACCATGCCATATGTTTTGTCAGGCCCTGGTCAGCACTGTTGGATTACTTATTAAGTTTTGCATGGAGAAATCTTTTTGATTGAAGGCCTAGAATTGCTTATATCAACTGGAATTATGAACCTAATTCCAATTTATTTTCTCTTTTTTTAGTAGTCTGTAGGTGACACATTTTCACAGCATTTGTAGCTATCCCAATATATTTTTGTTCTTTTTTTTTCTATTTACTGTAGAATGCGTAATCCTGGATCTCTTGTTCGCAAATCGACAGCCTGAAGCCCTCTGGAAGCCCAAGACTGCTGGAGGTAAGGCATGAACTTTTTTGCAATTATGTCTCTTCTGCATGGAATGATACTGCTGTTTGATTTAAGTTTGAACTTGGAAGATTCATTCCTTTAGGGAAATATTTAACCTAATCTTGATTTTTGCCTCAAATTGGCATTAGACGAGCTTGACTAAGTGGTCAGGTTGGGTTAGCTTTACAGATTGGATTCTTGATTTAATACAGCTCAAACTACAAGTATTATTATTATTATCTAAACCCTCTTTGCCAATTTAGAAAAAAATATAATAGGAGGAGAATAAAGATAAATAATAAAAGCACTGCCCAAGCACACCGTTTGAATCATAACCTGGGTCAGTGAGTTGCATGCCATACACTGACAGTCCTTTGTGGGGTGTTCCCAAATTTTATTCAATGTAAAGTGTGTTCTTTTCATAACCAAATGTGTACACTGTAATGGCCTTGTCTGTTAAGCAGCCACACAGGAAGGCAAGTTGCATGATGCCTATAGATGGAAATACTCCAAATTATGATCAAGTGATGGGAGAAGCAGCAGCCAAGTGCCAGAGAGAGTCTGTGAGTGGACATGTGGCTGCTGTTCCTCATGAATGTTGGTGGGAGCAGGGCCAGGGCAGTCGACAATTCTACGCACACAGTGACACGGCATTGGGTGACTGAGTGGACTTCATTGTGACTTTGCTTTTATAGACTCTGAGACACTGACGCACTGTCCTAGTCATTGTGTTGAAATCATTGCTGACTCTTAGTGATGTTTTCAGTTTGTTCATCTCCATAAATATATCTTCAAGATTCTGGTATGTTTCAAACTCCCACTTTCCCCCCCAGAAATGGGTCTTTCTGATTCAGGATTCACCTTCTGTCATAAGTCATACTTTCTTAATTGTTACTTTTTGAAATCAAGTTATGATATACACCTTGCTTAAACATTCAACTCCTTCAGTAATTTTCTTGATATTTTCAGCCTTTAAGTCCTACACAATCTGTCGTAAAGACTGCTGCTCTGGCAGACATGAGCCTTTATGATTTCTGTCTCCTGTGAGGGTCTGCACCTACTGAAAGGTTGATTCTCTGAGAAAGGCTGAATTACCATGAGATGGCAGTAGAGAGCAGCCTGGCAGATAAGCCCATATTCCTTGGTATTTGAGCCAGACTAGGGGCTGGGCCTAGTGGGAGGAGCTAGATTACAAGGTAGTCTGCTTTTGATTTTTAAGTGTCTTCCTGGGAAGAGAGCGAGGCATGTCTATGAAAGAAAATGCCGGTAGTAACATCTGAGGTTAACAAATGTGTGTCAGGAGAATGGAAGACAATTCCTGAAATATACCAACCTCCGGTGATCAGAGTTCTACCTGGCTGTGCTCTTTCTCTCTCTCTCTCTCTCTCTCTCTCTCACACACACACACACACACACACACACACACACACACACACACGAAAAAGAGAAAGAGAGAGAGGGAAGGGGGAAGGGGATGGAGGGAGAGAAAAGAGAATAGATAGAGGACACAAATACTTTATCCTTGGAAAGCAAGGTTAAGTGAGATCAGCAAAACGCAAGAAGGCAATTGTGACTGATAGGAGCCACGCAGGACAGCTGAAGTTTGAGACCATATTACCTTGGCTTTGCCATTTCGATTCTCAAAGGGGCCAAAGTGCTGCCGGATTAGACACTAGCATGGGCTCTAAATCCTGTGTATTTTAATAGCCCCTATTGTACAGAGAAATAAGAAAAAGTTAAAGATGGATGGCATTTTTAAAACGGTTGCCCAGAATGTGCCATGTCTTGCTTAAGTCACTTATTGCACTACTGGCAGTATTAGAATTAGAACCAAGTCCACATGCCCTAATTATCGGTAGGCCATGCTTTCCAAATCACAAGAGCAGGAGCAATTTATTTTTCTCTCAAACAGAAAAGATATTAAAAGGGAATTCAAAATGACCCTAGAACTCTATTGGAGGAATGTGGATGCCTCCATGTAGTAGAAGGAACATGGGGCTTTGTGGCCAAAGAGAACTGGTATCAAATCTTGCCTCCATCTCTTATAATCTATGTGGCATTAATCTTGTGGTTTGTGTATCTTAATTTCTTCTGAGCTTTAGAAGAAATCAATAACATATTAAAAATATCAAAAATATCAATAAAAATACCAATAACATTGATATAAAAAGTAGAATTGAGGATTAAATGAGATACACATATATAAAGGAGAGATAGGTGAAGACTGAATCCTGAAATTGTTCAATGTGGAAAATATTGATTTGATTTTTGGAACTGGATTCTGAAGTCTAAGGTAGGAGGTAGAATCACTTTTTTTGGGTTGAAGATGCTTTTGTTCTGTCAAGGACTACTTGCCTGGTTGCTTATAGTTATGCAGATAATAGAGCAAATGACACCCATTTTTCTGGAGAAAGACAGTGCCAATGTTTTGTGTAGTACCTGCCATTTGAAACTGTAACTGTGATAAGTTAGACAGCACTCTGCTCTCCAAAGAGTCATGGGAACTTCCTGGAAAAGAGACATTCAGACTCTACGTCTTCTCTAGGGTCAGTCTGAGGAAAAGAAAATGCTTTGCTAATCCTTTGGACAGCCGTGAGACTGGGGACATAGATGAGAGGAGGAGGCAGACAGGCCTCCCTGGAAAGGAGTGGCAGCCTCACCCTCACTTCACAGCTGGCAGTACCCACTGCACTCTGGGCCCTTCCCCTCAGCCACTGCAGAGGCAGCTTTGGTTCCAGTCCAAAACCGGGGCTAGAGAAGATTTAGGATTTGTGGAGCCAGTGGACCCTTGATAATACCAGGCCAAATCAGAGAGTCGGTACCTCTTGAGAGAGGGTCTGTGGCTGGGCCAGGGGAGTTCCTGAGCCAAGAGACACCAAGGCCAACTTTGGAAGTCATCTACATCACCTGTCAAAGCCAGTAATTATGCTGAAGTCCCCTGACTCACATTACACACTCTGAAAGAAAGAGAGTCACTAGCTGGCTCTCCATCAAGTCCTCAGGAAGTCTATATGTAAAATAGAGATTTGGTACCAGCATTATGCCTCTTCATAAAGTATGAACTTAAATTTTTCATGCGTTAGAGAATTGGGGTTAATGCTTAAAAAGAAAGCTTCTCATAAAATAAAACTAATGAAATATGGCTCTGAACGGATTTCAGAGACACGTCTTCCAGACTGCCTGGGGTCCCCTGGAAGGAAAAGGTTTGCTCTGATTATCAGCAAACTCTGAAAAACTGTGACTACACTGCTCGAAACTCATCATTTTCTTTCTTTTTCTTTGACCCAGAAACTCCTTCTTTCCCCTTGGACTCTTAAAACATCTATTAGTGACTATATTGTGATGGTGGCTTTGTAATCTCGCAATTCTGGCTCTTACATGGGGCAAGAAAAAAAAAATTGTTGGCAAGCTCATCGGGTTCTGGAAAGGCTGTGCCTTTCCCAGCTGGCCAGGGGAGCCGGAAGCCTGGGAAGGCTGTCCACAGGCTTTCTGGCAATGGTATAGGAAGAAAAAAGGAGAAGGAGGCTTAATTCCTAGCTGGCTGGACCTTGGAAGGTGGCCTCTTTTCCCTTTGGCTCATGAAGCTGAATAGAAGGCCAAGAATTCTAGCTGAGTTCCTGTCAGCTTGTCGCCTTGCTTTTGGACTCATGGAGTGAACTGAGTTGAGAAGAAGCTGAGGGCTGCCTGAGGCAGGCTTACCACTGAGCCATGAGGAAGACAGACCCTCCCTGTCACAATTGGAGTCAGAATATCTTAGCCAGAGGCCTCTCTCCTTTCAATTTAGAGAAGTAGATTGAAGAGTAAATGGCCTAATTAATTGTAGAATGTTTGCTCAATATTTGTTTTTTTTCTATTATACCATGAAATTACCATAAACAAAAACTACACTTTTATTTCTAGGCAATGAAAACCTTATTGCACAAAGGGTATGTGGCATTAAGTCTTAAACTTACAAGTATATCTTTCACAGCAAATGTCACATGACTTTAAAAATCATCTTAAAATATGATTCTTCTCAAAGCGTCTTGTGTGACTTCAATGAAATACTCATATGTGCAGCATCCCTCTAGTAGGTACTGACTTATTAAAGCCATTTAACACCTACGCAAGTTGCTACATGCAAAGAGGCACTAAGTCTTCGTTATATTTGTTTCTTCAGTGCTTAATATTGAGGCAAAAACAGTGATGCTCAGCAAATGGTCCCTTTGTCATTTTCCCTGTATTCCTTGGCCCTTTTGCAATCAGACAGGACACTGTGACCAACTCTAGACAATGACGTGTGATTGGAGGTAATACGAATGTCACTTGCAGACTAAGAGAATGAAAGCTCTCATGCAATGCTTCATGATTCTATGGTACGATGTTGCGGCACGATTTCATGGCCATCTAGCAGGCATATATTCTGGATGATATAGCTACAGGGTGATAGAGTCTCCTTCAACTTGGATCCTTGAGTGACTGTGTGGAGCAGAGTCCCTGCTGACATTTCATTGGCTATAAAATATGAGCAAGAAATAAGCCTTTGTGACATTAAGTCACTGATATTTAGGTGTCAGTTTGTGGCTTGCATAATAGAGCCTGACCTGACAAGTGCCAAGCAATTAGTGTACATTCAGTTAATTTTTGCTGAAAAAAGAAAGCGCTCTCATTTACCTAAATAAAAGCCTAAATCATAATCATACCAATAGCAATATATTCGAGCCCTGTTTGTGTGCCAGGCATTGTGCTAAGTCATTTACATTTATAATTTTATTGATGTTGCATAACAACTCTATAAAGTATCATCCCCATTTTTCAATGAGGAAAATAAGGCCTAGAATAGCTAAATCTTGTCACAGAATGTCTTGAAGGTTCTATTCAAACTCAAGAATTCTAACTGTAGAATCCTTTGCAGTGTATCTGATTTTCATTTTTCTGTATCATATATCACTTCCTTTGTTGGCAGATTAAATGTTTGTGTAGGCAACCTGAATGCTAGCTGGAAAGCCCCCATACACTCAATCCTTATTCCTAAATTCAACAAGTCTTCATGTTTTAAATCATTGTAAGAGAGCTTGCAGTTCCGGATAAGGACAGAGTTGCATGGCGCAGAGTTCAGTAGAGGAATAGAAGCTGAAAGAGAGGAAAGTTGCCAGCATCCCAGTTCATAGTAAGTCAGATCTTATTAGATAACTTAATTATTTTGTTTGAAATTAGGTCTGAAAACATGGTATTAAATCAGTTTTATCTGTAAATTAAAAAAATAATTACTTTTTCCAAAGTTTGGATGATATATTGGACTGGATTACCCTTGCTTCAATTTCCCCCCTTTCTAACAGTCTAATAATGCCTCTGTATTATTTTATTAAACAGCCCTGGCTAAAGATCAGAAAGAATACATGAGCAATTTCCTTGAGTTGTCTCATCTATGACAGTGCTGCTGAATGGAGGGCCTATAGTGGGAAGTTTGGGCAAAGTGTGGTGAAAACAAAGAGAATTGTTGGTGAAACCTGTGCCACAGGGGAGGGACATTTATCATGGATCCTGAGGGAGACAGGAACATATTCCAGGCAGAGGAAGTAGGTTGGGCATTCTCAGCACAGGCAGGTAGACAGGAAAGAACTCTGTATTTGAGGTGCTGGCACTTCATTTATTCATTTAACTTTACGGAGAATGCTGGGAATTAGTTGAAGCATAGATTTCATGGAAAGATGAGTAGAGAAATGAACTGCAAAAGTTATTTAGGATCAGGTTGGGAAGGGATATGTTTATCTTGCTAATTTAAAGAGTTCATTTAAGAATCCTAAGTGAACTTTATAATCTTAAAATAAAAGCTTTTATTTAATAAAAGGAGATGGACCTAATTATTGTACTCATTTTATGTGTGTGAAGCATCTGAAAATTTCATATATGTTATCTCCAGGTTTAATTAAACAGAAACCAATGGTGGAGCTTAGAAACAGCTTAGAATTATGTACTATTTCTTCCACTAATGGTGGAGCTTAGAAATGGCTTAAAATTATGTAGTATTTCTTTCACTTATCCATGATCCACTTTAAAGCCTTCCTCATGCTCTATCTCCTTCAATAAAAGCCTAAAATTGTTTAGAGACAAACACTGGGAATGGGGGTGGGGGGAGCATGAATATATAAAGCAGTGCTGACACGCCCCAGGCATACCGTCTGATTTAATTCAGTCCGTTGTTTGTTTCTCCCATGAACTCATGCCATTTACTCTGGCCTAAGACTCCTTTTTCTCCAATTCCTAGACTTTTTGCCTGACTCTGGTCAGTTCATTTTCTTAGCACCCCTGTACTTCCCTCCTTTTCTGAGAGCCCTTGGTCAGGTCGTATCTTTAAATACAAATCTATCTTTCATCCAAAAATGTGTCAGTACTTGAAGAAACAGGAGACCGTAATACTTAGTAGTCATGTAAAAGGATCATAGTGTATACTTATGAAAAGTCCGTGGTGTGGGATCAATGTTGATGAATCAGAAAACTGACATTTCATAATGTGGAATATATTTTATGTTTCCCAGCATGTTAATTCATTTAACCAAAATGTATTGACTAGATTCACAAACTGGATATTTTTTTAAATATCAGGAAAATATACCCTTTCCCTGAAATTAATTGCGTAGCACTTGTTTTTGTTTTTGTTTCCTCTGACAAGATGAGTGTTTTTAAATACCACATGAACTCTTGCTGGAGTCTGCATGTAAATTATGTTATCAGTCCCGTCCTAATAACCTGGATAGAGTATGCAATGAGGAACACCTGGTGCTCATACACATTACCTTCTTGGGGTTATCTGGTTGGGGCCATTCATTTTAGACACATTAAAAATGCCTTTCCATAACTATAAAGAGCTTACATGCCCAACCCTGGCCAGCTGCCACTCAAGTGTTGCCATTAATCTGTAGCAGGGAAAGATCAAGAATGACCTGGAATAACCCACTTTTACAACAAGAAAAAAATGTGAATCACAAATTCCAGTAGTTAAGGATTGAAATCATCATTTTATATTTGGAGGAAGGCATATTGCTGTCATCATAAATAAATTTGGTGTATTTAATGTTTTAATAAGCAAGAGAATTGTGATGCAACTATCTAAACCAGCCAACAGCCACAGAATTTGATTTTTTGCCAATTTTTTTTTTCCTTTTCTTTTTGGTTGGGTGACACAGTGAGAAGTATTTAACTAACCATTCTCTATACAATTCATTTTCTGAGGCTTGCAGTGTACTTCATTGGTAAAGCTGGATAAAGACAATAACTGGATAAATTGTTTTTTGTACCAGATATTGTGATGTAATCTAGAAAACTGTACTAAAGAGAATATTGGCTTAGTCTCCTCATAGTTCAGCTCTTTTCTATGTAAATGCCCAATCAGTTGTTCATAAAAACTAAAATTATGACCTTCATTTACTGTAGCTTGAAGTTACAGCAAAAGTGTTCCATCAATAAACTCTTCAATGTTTTTTCGATCCTCATAATATCACGCAGCAATTCTCTCCTTGAGTTGAGATAATAGCAGCAATTAGGCAGCTTTTATTTCTCAACCCCTTTTAACTTTTGCTGTCTTATAAACGAGCACACAGCATATATATGTAACCACTATAGAGGGAATGCTGGTAAGTGTCAGAAGCAGTAGAAAACAGTTAGCCTATTCATGAATTATCCTTTATTTTTCACTTTAGCCCCAAAGGTTAAATGTGAATGTGCTTGGTTTGCCTCTTTCTATTTTGACTGCATGTGAAAGCCTTGGAAGAGTTCTGTAGATGGGCAAAGAATGTAAGGTTTATGAAAATCAAACACACTTGCATTTATTAGTGGTCACTAATGGCATGTAATTAAAGTAATTACAGGAAGGCAAGCAGACAATTAACTTGTTGAAAGTGTCAACAAAGGGCAATAACAGAGTTTAAAGTTCTTGTCTGCGTGGTTCATCTTTAAGTCCCACAAATATTATAGAGAAAGAATAATGCTAACCAGAACGGTCAGGCTAATATTAGACCTTTATGAAGCAACCCTGAAGTCTGTACAGTAAAAGCAAAGAGCCAAGGGCAGGGTGTTGTGGTATAGCATGGGGTAGAAGGAAGGGAGCTGGAACCAAAAACAGCCTTCAGAAATAATGGTGGCTTAGTCAGAACTTTAGCAAGGATTGACTGCAGCAGATGGCAAGAGAATAATGAACACAGAAGCCTTCTTTGCCATTGTATTAGTCTGTTCTCAAGCTACTAATAAAGACATACCCAACATTGGGAAATTTTATAATGAAAAAAAGGTTTAATGGACTCACAGTTCCACATGGCTGGGGAGTCCTTATAGTCATGACAGAAGACGAAGGAGGGGCAAAGGCACATCTTACATGGAGGCAGGCAAGAGAGAGTGTGCAGAGGAACTACCCTTTATAAAACCATTGGATCTCATGAGACTTATTTATTCACTCTCCCGAGAACAGCATGTGAAATCCCCCACCACCCCATGATTCAATTGCCTCCAACCTGGTCCCTCCAATGACACATAGGGATTATGGGAGCTACAATTCAAGATGAGATTTGGGTGGGGACACAGCCAAACCATATCAGCCATCATTCTATGCATCCAAAGTGTAA
This sequence comes from Homo sapiens, assembly GCF_000001405.40. NCBI lineage: Eukaryota > Metazoa > Chordata > Mammalia > Primates > Hominidae > Homo > Homo sapiens. Next base: position 47,479,134 of record NC_000015.10, read on the forward strand.
ACCACATTCTTCATCCTTGCTTGGTCTTGGTCAACAGTTACTTCATACATATATAATTTTTTTATTACCAAGTGGGTTATATGCTCCTGGGGGACAAAAATGTCCATTTTTGAAATCTTCCATGTCTTCTGCCTTGCTCGGTTTGAAGCACAGCATCAGTTGTTGGGTAGGAGCCTCCCTAATTGCCCATCCAGGATCTCCATCCTCAACCTGTTTCTCTATGCTAAGTTCAGTAAGAGGCAGGCTTGATGCTAAATACTAGGAACCTTATTTCAGTTTTGAGGTTGACTTTTTCTGAAGGCTAGACCCAGTCACTGATACATAAGAACACTGCTAGTAATACTAATAAATGTATAAGCACCAATTATCTTTTATATACTACCTACTTTATTATCTCATCAGGACAACTTTATGAGGTTGTCTTCAAGAGGGTGGAGGCAATCCCATTTGTATTATGTCTATGTAAAGTAAGTTGGAGTTTTAGAGTAGTGACTTGGAAACCAACCCTTTGGGAAGACTTAATTGGAATATCTTTTCTTGATAATGGAGTGATTATAATATTCTAGGACTAGGGGCCATTTGCTATCAAAGGAATGAGGTTATAAAAAGAGATGCCACTTCCCTAACCTCTCCCCAAATGAAAGCACACATCTACAGACAAATGTAAGTGGTTTGCAATTTCATTAATTCCATACTGCACCATTTCTTAAATTCACTATTTTCTTATCATTCTTTTTTTTTTTTTTTTTTTCTGAGACAGAGTCTCACTCTGTCACCCAGGCTGGAGTGCAGTGACGTAATCATAGTTCACCGCAGCCTTGACCTGGACTCGAGCAATCCTCCCACCTCAGCCTTCTGAGTAGCTGGAACCACAGCACAGCACCTGATTAATTTTTTTTTTTTTGGTAGATATGGGGTCCCATTTTGTTGCCTAGCCTAGTCTTGAACCCCTGTGCTCAAGTGATCCACCCACCCTAGTTTCCCAAAGTGCTAGGATTACAGGCACTAGCCACCACACCTGGCCCTATTTTCTTATCATTCTTATTGCACTTCCTGTGTTCTTTTTATTTCTCACCTGCATGAAAGTAATAACTTCCAGAACAACTTCCCCAATTTTATCTCTTCTATCTCCAGATTATTTTAGGGACTTTAGCTAATGGGTATCTCCTATCTAATGGGTAACTCTAATCATAATACTGTCCCACCCAGAAACCTTCAATGGTTCTCCATGGTCGACATGACAAAGTCGAATAACCTCACCCTGACAGTCAAGATTACCCACAAGCAAGGCCCAACTTGTCTGTTGAAACTGATTCCCCATTATTCTCCTTCAGACCCTCTACATTTCAATTTCAATAATACTCTTCATGAGGCCTCTGCATTCGTCAGCTTCCCCACCTTTATTCCTTGGCTTATGTTATCCCAAATATTTGTTTTCACACCAAAATTCTGCCTTTATTTCAAGATCTACCTCACATGTCACATTAATGACACACCCTTACCTCATCCACTCCCCTCCACACCCTGCTTCTGCCACTGAACTGCTAAGGTTCTTATCTGAACCATTTTAGCTTGTGTTTATTTATTCTTAGACCCATCTCATCAGTAATACTACAACATTTTTGAGAAGACAGAGTCATCTTAATTCTCTTTGTATCCTTGTAACAAAACCATAATAACATAAACATAGTTCCTCCAACCCTGTTGTCTTTCTTCCCCTGGTGAACTCGTATTTAAATCTGAAAACCTATTGTGGATATCACCTCTTCCAGAAAGCCCTTCTTAAGACCTCAGGCTGGGTTATGTGCACCTTTGTGTTTTCATTGCCCTTTGATCATACTTTCATCTTAGATCTATACCATTATAGTCAAATTATATAATTATAAGGCTGCCTCCACTATTAGATTAAAAGCATCCCCCAAGGAATTATCTAGCATTAAATTCCCCGAGTCTTGAATGATGGCTGTAATTTTGTAGGTGCTCAGTACATTCTGAATGGCTCTGTAAGGGCTCAGATCCATGACAGCTTTCTTGGTAGTGTTGGAGAGGGTGTCTCCAGTAGATGAAGGCAGCTTAGATAAGATTTAGAGAGACCTTTTTGAGGTGAGCAGCCACAAACTCTCCCAGTTGCAGGGTTCTAAAACTATACTCAGCTTTGGCTGTGTCATCTTGAACTCCACAGCTGCCCCCATTTATAGCTGCAGAGTAGCTCTGTACTTAAGTGCATGAAGAGAAAAGTATCTTTGGTAGATTTCAAAAGAGTTAGGATGGATTTGAGAAAGTAGCAAACTTTTAAAACTCTTATGCTTTTTTAGACACCTGAACCCCAGTTATGTGCAGTGGGATATTTCTCATGGTTCTCCTCAAACCGACCTTGACTGAGTGTTCCTAAGAATTCAAGATTGATGGATACAAGACTGTTTTAGGTCACAACCATTGCAATTTCCAGACATCTGGCCTTGAAGTGAGGCCACTGACAGTCCCATCACCTCCAACTCACAAGTCCATTGAGCTCTATTACTGAGTATAACTGCAGTGCTCTGAACAGGAGGGGAAGATTGTTCTGCCTTAGATTGTAATCAGCATGGACTATTTCCTTTTATGTGCTAAATCCTGACTCTACTGCTGGGGAGGAGCATAAATGCATGTCATGTATAATTCAGCCTTACCTGTTTAAGATACAGCTCTATATTTGTATACAAAATTATGTTAAGACTGAACATAGGATTCCTGAGGCTGGATAGAGTGGAACTGTGTCTCACCAGGTCTGGTTAATTACAGAAAGCCTCCTGGAAGTTATTTTCCGAGAGATGAGAGAAGTATTTGACCAGGAAAAGGATAGCTATTTCAGGTACAGCATGCAACCTCATGTAACGAGAGTTGGACAGAGTTGAGCAAGGCATGCAAGGAAAACAGTCAGATTCTTTGGCTAGAGCAAGGATTCTGAGTGGGGAAAACAAATGATTAAGTCTCTAAGGATGGGGAAGGAAGGTCAGTAATTGATCTCTCTAGAATTTAGATTAAAGATATATTTTGACATAATGACAACAGGGAAACATTATAAATTATGTGTGGGAGAGAAGCATGATTAAAATATTTTTGAGGAAGATTTTTAAAAATCTTTTATATTAAAGATAGTAAAGAGGAATGAACTAAAACTTGGACATCATGAAGGGGTTTGCTACATTAAATGTATGAGCTGATGAGGCATTAATCTGAGGATGACATGCCATCATTACCTGTCCCATGACATACATCCCTATTCAAATGCAGAATGCTTTTGGAGTGGCACCGGAATCCTTCTCAACACAGTCCTCTGGGTACCCTTTACTGATCAATTTCAGTAGGCAAGCCTCATGATACCTAAATGCTGTCCGTGGTTTAGAGAAATGATACAACAAGGGCCATTATGTACCAGTCACGTGCAGGATATGTATTAACATTAATAAAATGGCATTCATAGGATACCATTAATATTAGTGTTAATATTAGTTAGCATGAATAGGATGACATGGACATAGGGTATGAGGAAAAATGATGAGTAGGAAATGAGTGAAACGTAGAAAGCTAAGCGACTACAAAGAGTTGTTCCAAGAATGTAATAGAAAAATGTGGGAGGATTTCTTGTTTTGATAAAAAACAAGTGAGAAGTTATTTATTAATCCATTAGATCTATGTTAATGGGAACATATTAACTAGATAGAAATGGCTTAGAGAGAGGATAAAATATTAAGGTTGATAACTATTATTTCAACACTTTCAATAAGTGTATATTGAGAAATTACTCTGTATTCGGCATATGTTTGGCAGCTTGGAATATATCAGTGAAAAAAGTAGATATAGATACTTGCTCTTGTTGGTGCGTGAATTCTAACAATGGGAAAGACAAACAATGAACAAATGATATAACAAATAATCAATAGTTTATTAGAAGTTGATAAGTACAGTAAAAGTTAGAAAATGTATAATAGAATAAGGATTATTAGGAATTTGGGGGCATGGAGGGAATTTGGAGTCATTCATTTATAAATCTTCACCATTTGACCTACTGTCAGAATATTTGCTGGAAAACCTCATACAACTTGAAAATATTTATAACTAATTTTCTCCTCTCTAATCATAAAGACTCACTAGCCATAGACCCTTCAGACTGCAAAGGTATGTGCTACGGTTTTTTAGGAGACCAGAGACTGATCAACTTGATTCACATACTGACCTTGTCACCTTCCAGGAAAGGAAAATTTAGGTAGTGGTTGATGAGGACAGAACATTTGGCTCATTGGAGTCTCCATGTTTCTTTCATGGATAAATTTATGAAATTTGTGGCTGCTCATTTTCTTTATTCATCCAAAAGATGAAGAGAGCATCTTGCCTGGTTTTGCCTACTCAGGACACCAGAGTCTTAACTGTAATAGTCAGGTTTATAGTCCATTCAAATTTCTATCAATTACAGTACCAGGATGTGATTTTTAACTCAGGATGTTTTAAAAATCATAGAAGGATTTGTTGAAGGTTTAAACCTACTCTCTGGAATGAGAGAACTATATGAATTTTAGTATTCAGTTACCATGGGGACTATATTTACTATAGAACAACCATAAATATCAGTCAGCAGAGTTCAATTTTCCATCTTCATGCCTATCTAAGTAAGGATCTGTTAAAAATCTCTTCATTTTCATGGCCAAGGAATATTGGCTATGCTATCTCAGTCTCAACTCTTCCCCTCTCTTATTGTTTCTGTTTCTTGGAGCTTCTTTGGTTTGCTGAAAATGCCCTGCTTCGTTTCTTTCATACCAGTTGTGGGTTTCTGATTTCAGGGCCCTTGTTGATACATTCTTGGTCTTCCTGTGTGCAAAAATCTTAAAGAGCACTTCATGTTGAACCTTTGCAGAGATATTTGCTTATCTCACCAAACTGCAGGTTGCCTGCTTTACTTGTTAGCCTCAGAAGTGTCTTGGCCCTGCAACTCTTCCCACACAGGAGGGCTCCCTTCTCTCTGTTCCTTTTGGCACAATCAACATTTTCTCTGCATTTTGTAGCATTCTAAGCATACTGTGGCAGCAGGAAGGGTATTTTCAGTCTCTTTTTGGCAGTAGGAGTTATCTTCTGCCTGGCACCAAGCTGAAAACATTCTCCATCGTGCAGTACTTTGACATTATCTCAGCAGGAACAGTGCGGAGGTACTTCCTGTGTTGCACCATTAAATATCCCTGCCTCACCAACAGCCATTTAGGGACACTTCCTGTGTAGCATTATTAAAATTCCTGTGCCAGCAGTAGCAAGGCAAGGCTATTTCTGTGGTACTTTCGAAACACCTCCTATGTAACATCACAAAGAGGATTAGCGCAGGTTATGGTTTTGATTAAACATTTTGTTTCAGAGGCCACACAGCAACTTAGAATCCTATTGTTTATTTTATTTCCAATATTGTTGGAGTTCTTCACAAGTATATAAGATATTATTACCAGTTAGTTCATGAATTTAATATTTTATCCCCTAATCAGAGTCACTCAAGCCATGAAGATCCAGGCAGGTAAATGGAATCCCATCAGATTTAAGGCCTGAAGTAACCTCTGAATTTATAATAACATTCAAGAAGGAGGCAAGGCCTACACTATGTATATCCTGTTTTCAATTCTGTTTCTCATTCCTTAACAATAAATAAAAATACAGCCTAAATTTTATCACTCTCATGAGAATAGTCATTTTAAAGAGAAGTTTCAAATTGTACAGTTGTGGGGATTGGAGAAGAAAATGAATGCCATGTGATGTCCTGTGGGATAAATCCCAATTCTAGTTGATTGATTTGAAAGGTTGTTTTTTAAGCCTTTTCCATTTATTTGTCAAGGGTTACATAAGGATGTCTATAGCACAGCACACTGGACAAATACATCTTAAAATAATGTAATGATTTATGAATACTTACGAATCTTTAGAGAACACTTCAAATTGGCATTTATGTGTATGTGGCTTTTATGCTACAGGAGATTCACCAATTTCTTAATGATATAAATGCCATATTTGTGTCACTATGACTAAACGAATTATTATACATGTGGTCAAAATCTGAGTCATTATGACCTGCAAGGCAGGCACAAAAGAGATAAATATTTATAGGTCCATATTAAAGTAATGGTCACATTGAATGAAACCAACTAATATAGTTTTGGTCACATCTGTGTTTCTCAGGATATCTAAACATGGTTTATTTTTTGAGAAGTAGTTAATATTTCAGAAGACAGAATAAACACAAAATGACCACAATTAGATAGAAACATAACTGACACCCACCCCCATTCAAAAAAAAATGAAGATCACCAGGAACAGGCACATAATAAAATATTTTGCAGAGAGAGTGAAATAGTCTGGTTTAATCGCAAATGAATATATACCAAAGAGAGTCATACAATACTTAAGCCAAAGACAGTTATGGCAGGCTCCATTATATTATATATCCAGCTTTCTAGAATGATGTCATTAAATTGAGTTAGCTTGACCACTGTCCAGAACTGATGACACATTGCAAGAAAAATAGCAGAAAGCCCAAGAAAGCTAGCCTGTAACTCTCACAAGAGTGGCAGATAGGCATAGCACCGAGCCACAGTGCTATGGCTGTCTGTGCCATATTTCATGTAGCCAAGAGATGTGGCACCACTCTCTACAGTGCACCCAACTTTGTGAGCACTTTCATTAGCCACTGTTAATATGAGGAAAATAATATTATTTTTCAAAAGGAGCCAGAAAGATTGAGTCCACAGAGCTAATAACATTGCTTATTTTAAGTCCACAATATTAGACTGTGTTTGTGTAGACAATGAAAGGACAAGATGTCCAGAAAACCACTCCGTAGTAAACTAAGCTAGGGCAATAGGGCCAGGTATGAGAGTGTGGTTAGGAGAAGTATCTCAAGTGTCTAATAAAGCCAAAGTCTGCTAACGTCCATAGTCATGGCTACTGGGAAAGTGGGATTGTGGATATTTTGTGACCAGACATAAGAACTCATTTTTAGTTAAAGCATTTTAAAAAAGTATACAAGGCAGAGTTGCAAACAATCTCAGCCTATGAAAAGGACAGCTGCAGTCAATGTTCCCACTAATATTTTCCATCCGTGTACTGAGTGAATTTGTAATGTGCAACTCATGTCAAGAAAATAAACAGATGTGCACCACAAGCGGAACAACAATGAAAGAACTTACATAGATTTTTATTAAGATTGAACTTTTGATGTTGATTCCACTGGTAAGAGAGCACTGTAGGCAAAGGTCTTGTATTTATAAAGTTATCTCCTATTGAGGAAGATGAAGATGTCAATACTCCCCAACAGAATGCTTTGAGCTCTTTCTAGTAGATCTGTGCCAACTCTGAAACACCCTCTCACCCATTTTCATTATGAGCTCAAGTGCAAGGTTGCCAGACAGCTGGACGTGCACTACAATGAAGAAAACAGACCTACCAAAGAACTACATCTGTTATCTTGGCCTCATATGCACCCTGCTGAAACCAGCTTTTCCACCTGGCCAAAGACATGGGAGAGCATACTCATATGTTAATGAATTGTTGACCTTAGGAAAGTCTTTGTAACTGAGTACGTACATTTTTATAGGAGAGAAGAATTTAAACTAAGGATTTAATTGATGACACAGGTGCTAAATCTGTACTACCATTGACTACAGATGTAATGCATGGTTTAAAAATTTCTTCATAACTTTCCCCCATACATGCTTACCACCTTTATTAGCCCTGCCATTCCCTGAGCATCCTACAGTCAAGGCATATGTACTGTTTAACTTTCCCAGAACACACTGTTATTTTTAAATAATTATTTCTTGGGCAACTACTGTGTAACAGGCATAGTCTCTGTTTATACTGTCGTCTTTGCCCTCAAGTCTAGTGAGGCAAGGCAATATTAAATAAACAAATATGCAAATGAATATTTAAATCAAAGTGTGATTTTTTACACAAGGAACACATTAATACATTCTTTTCGTAAAGACAATCAAACAATATACAGATACATAGAGTGAAAGGGAAACAGCCTAGATTGACCAAGACTTTCAGTTGCAAGTGACATTGTGCAAGAGATGTGTACTGTAATCGGCATCCCCATAAGAACCTTAGAGAATGAGGGAAGAATGATCCCCTCAAGGAAACTGCAGGAAATGCTAATTGCTAATCAAGTAGTTCTATCGATGCCCCTCCCTCCAACCCCTCTTCTTCTAAGAAACTCACCAGCATAAAAATTCGTGTCTTTCCAAGCCTTTGTCCACACATTTATAATACATGTACATGTATACATGTATAGTTACATCTGTACATATGTATTCAGATATGTGTGTCTACATGTATGAGACTGTGTATGCATATGCATATCTATACATGTATGTGTATGGCTTCCTTTTTAAAAATCATAAGTTGGATTACACTATATGTATTGCTAGTTTCCTTTATTTAACAACACTATATGTCACTTTTCTATGTCAGTAGATATGGATCTATTTCATTCTTTTGATGGCTGAATCATTTGTCATAGTAAAGATGTATGACACTCTACCTAATTCTCTCCCTATTTATAGATATTTAGCTTGTCTCTAATTTTAGGTTACAGTGCTTCACTGACCATCCTTACAGATGCTTCTGTATGCACACATGCAAGTATTTCCCTGGTGTTGTTATCTACATGTTATCTAGTCTGTGTTGCTTATGAAGGTTCTTTCAACTTCAATATTATAAAATATATTACCTTATTTATTTTTCTTTTATATATGCAGCTCTTTCCTTCATCTGGGTTTTGGTGAGTGGTTAGAGGCAAGAATCTATTATCTGTACCACCAAATTGCCAGTCAACATCATTTATTGAAGAACTGTCTTTTCCTGGCTGAATTGAGGCCCACCTCCCTCACACACTAAATCTCTGATATACATGCACCTGTTTCTAGCCTTTCTATTCTGTCCTGTTCATCTGTTTGTACATTCCTGAATCAGTCATACTGTTTTTTACATTTTTGTTTCTGTCATCGGTATTTTTGTTCTGATTATACTGGTAGTATCTTCTTTGCACATGGTTGAAAGGGTGCAGAAATACCAGAGGAAACATGAAAAACCCTTTCTTTCTCTCATTACTTGCCTGCCCTTCTCCCAGCTGTCAACAGTTGGGAGATATTATTCTGGTGTCCTTTTTATCTGTTTCCATATGTACATGAAGCTTTATAGACATGTCTGGTTTTAGTCTTTTTATTAATATATGTAGAGTTATGCTATACATGTGATTTTCAACTTGCTTTTTGTCACTTAACACTCTTGGAGATCTTTTCATATCAAAGCATACAGTTAGATCTCATTTTTGAAAAAAAAAACTGCATGAGATTCCATAGTACATAGTATGTACTATGAGATATTTACTCCTCTTTTTCTGAAAAATACTGTTTTAATTCATGGAGCTTTATAATCTTCAAACATGTAGGGCAATAGTAGGATGACTTTTGATTTGAGAATCAGAAGAGAAAGCCTGAGACTTGAGGAAGGGAGGGAGTTAGCTAGAGGAGGAGTGGGAGGAAGAGCATCTGTGGCAGAGGAAACAATGTGCAAAGACACTGAGTGTGAATGAGCAGGGCCTGGAAGAAATTCTCAAAGATGCCTTTGTGACTAGAGTGTAGTAAAGGAAGAGAGGGAGACAGTGAGATAAGGACTGAGAAATAGACAAGGGTCACACTCTTAGGGTCCTGTCGATTGTTTAAAGGAATTCATATTTTACCCTAAAACGGTGAAGAGTAGAGAGTAATTGAAGACTTAAGCATGGAAGTGATATTCTGTAGTGGGTTGAACTGTGGGTCCCAAGAAGATATGTCCAAATCCTAATCCCTTCTGCAAGGGAATATGAGCTTATTTGGGGGGAAAAACAAGGTCTTCACAGGAAAAATCAAGTGAAGAATCCCAAGATGAGATAATCCAGGATTACCCAGGTGGGCCCTAAATCCAATGAGAAGTGTCCTTATAAATAGAGGAGACAGCCAGAGAAGAAGGCGTTCAGAGACACAGGCAGAGACTGGAGTGACGCTGCCACAGCCAAGGAACACTTGGAGCCGCCAGAAGCTGGAAGGGACAAGGACAAATCCTCTCTGGAGTCTTTGGAGGGGGCACCGCCCTGCCAACACCTTGATGTCAGATTTCTGGTTTCCACAACTCTGAGAGAATAAATTTCTGTTGTTTTAGGCCACCAAGTTTGTGGTGTTCAGTTACAGCAGCCCAAATAAACTAATAGACATTTTTTCCTTTTCTTTCTTATTCACTCACTCAGATATTTGACGAATGTCTATGGAAGTACTCACTATGTGTCAAAACTATTCAAAATCTTGGGGTGGATACAGCAGTGACTCAGGCACACATGAAAAATCCCTATGCGTTTGTCAGCTGTGTCCCTCCACAATGCATCTCCTCTCAGGTGACACCTTGGGGGTTGCATTCCTACAGTACCTCACTTTCCTTTACTCATACCAATTGCATGTCAAGTTTGATTCTACTTGCACATTTTTTTTTTTTGAGACGGAGTCTTGCTCTCTTGCCCAGGCTGGAGTGCAGTGGCGCGATCTTGGCTCGCTGCAACCTCCGCCTCCCAGGTTCAAGCGATTCTCCTGCCTCAGCCTCCCGAGTAGCTGGGATTACAGGTGCCTGCCACCACTCCCAGCTGATTTTTGTATTTTTAGTAGAGATAGGGTTTCATCACGTTGGCCAGGCTGGTCTCAAACTCCTGACCTCAAGTGATCTTCCTGCTTCGGCCTCCCAAAGTGCTGGGATTACAGATGTGAGCCACCACTCTCGGCTGCACAGTTTTTCATTATGGTTTCTCTTATCACTTAGCCTTGGCATATGTTAATAACATTTCTTTCTTGCAGTTGTTAAGTAGTAGCTTAGATATTGCATCTGCTTCTGTGAAGGTTTTCCAGTTGTGCTCAGTACATTTTTTGCTGTCTGTGTCACAGTAGATATCATACTATTTTGTAATCACTTACCTGTTTGTTATTCTCCTTAGACTTTCAGTTCCTTGGGGGAAAGGACTATTTTGTTTTCATTTTTGCATCTCCAGGACCTGGAGTAACCCATACACATAGTGAGTGCTCAGTATGTATTTAACTTATTTGATTTATAAAATTATAACATAAAAGACATTTTTGATAAGCTGGACTTTATTAAGTTAAAAACTTTTATTCCCTAAAAGACACTTTGAAGAAATTACATCCAGGCATGGTGGCTCACACCTGTAATCCCAGCACTTTGGGAGGCCGAGGCAGGCAGATCACAAGGTCAGGAGTTCAAGACCAGCCTGGCCAATATGGTGAGACCCTGTCTCTACTAAAAAATATAAAAATTAGCCCAGCATGGTGGCATGCGCCTGTAGTTCCAGCTACTCGGGAGACTGAGGCAGGAGAATCACTGGAACCCAGGAGGTGGAGGTTGCAGTGAGCCTAGATTGCGCCACTGCACTCCAGCCTGGGCAACAGAGTAAGGCTCTGTCTCAAATAATAATAATAATACAAATAGAAGCTACAAACTAGCGCAGCAATATTTGTAAACATACAGCTGACAAAAGATTAGTATTCAGAATTTATAAAATATTCCACCAAGCAAATAAGGAACACACAAATGCTACAAATAAAAAATGAATGAAAAAACTCCATAGCCATTTTAGAAAACAGTACATATATTTGATTGATACATATATGAAAATATGCTCCATCTAATTAATAGTCAGAGAAATGCAAATCTGCAATACAATTTTACTTCCTTTCAACTGGGAGAAAAATGTGAGAAACTCAACAGGGTAAGTGCTGGAGAAGATGTGTTTCAGTGAGTTTTCATTCACATTGCTAGTGGGAATGTAAACTGAAGCAATCACTTTGGAAAGAATTTGGGATTATCTCATAAAGTTCAACATTCACATACCCTATGATCTAAAAATTACACATATACACGTACGTACATATAAGTAGAAACACTTGCACTGATATACCATGCAGACATCTATACTTTTATTCTTCAGCAGTAAAATAAAAAAAGTTTTCTAATTTTCCTGCTCTTTGCCCACCCACCTCAAATAACCCTACAACTAGAAACAACCAAGATGATAAGACACTTTGACAAGAGACTGTAAAAATAACTTGTGATATATTATCACAGTGGAATATTATACAGCAATGATAACACATAAACTAGTATTACAGACAATGCAGATGACTCTTAGTAACATAATGTGCAATGAGAAAAACAAGTGTCAGAGGACTACATAGTTTGATACTGTCATCACAAAGTTCAAAAATAGGCAAAAATAAGCAATACATTTTTTATGCAAATATATGTGGCTTCAAAACAATATTCTTTAAAAAATAAGGGAACTATAAATGCAAAAGTAGAGATATTGCTTACTTCTTAGGGGATGGTAAGGAATGGCAAGGTGCTCATTAATGTAAGTGAATGGTAGTGTTTTAGTTCTTGGATTGGTGGTGGGTTTGTATTATATTTTTAAATGGAAATAAGGTAAAAGAGAGCTATGCATATAACAATAATATCATACAAATGAAGACTAAGACTGATCTAATTAAGTCAATTAACTTGAGAATATAAATATTTCAAAATGAGCTTGGTTAGTAGTTTTGCCAAAGAAATCTCATTCTATGTAATTCATCTTCTCTTTGGTCAGTGCTCTAATTGTTCCTCATGGTTTGTGCCTGCCTAGAGCAGAAGGCAGATAAAAAAAGTAAACCCCAGTGGTTGAATTAATTAATAAACTCACAAATTTGGCTTCTACTCCTTTCTATTGTAGCTAGTTATTAGCTTTGTAAAATGGTGGGTCTTAATCATGAATGCTGGGTATGAGGCTTCAGAGTTTTAGATCCTGCTGTGAAATTCAAGATGTAGAAATTCAAGAAGATGGTAACTTCCCAATTAGTGGTTATGATAGAAATAAAGGCAGATTATCTTAATGTAAGAAAACACAGGAGAAATCTTGGCCATAAAGTATAAGAGTTCCCTAATTACAAATGTTCAGTTCAAATGCTGTGACATGAAGTTAAACAAAGTGAAAGATAAAAGTCCAAATTAGACTGAAAAATAGATAAATCTAAATTAGACTGAAATTGAGATAGAGAAAAAGAACAGAGATGTTTTCCATACTGCAGAGTCATATTATGGAAATATAGAGTTGTCTCTACAATTCCTGGCAAAGGGAGCAAAACTGAAAATGCTATTAATACTTTAAAAGTTCTCTCTCACTCCCTATCCACAAGGGAAGGAAGTACACATTTCTGAGGCAAATGTACAAATTGCTTGTCCCAGCTCTTTGAACATTTGATCTTTAGCCAGGACCTTAAAATGTGTATATTTATTACACAGCACTGCCTATATTTTTATACCTTTCCAAGCAATATATAAAGGTGTTTTGAAAAACTGCTTGAGAACCTGAATATGGCTTTGTTTCTTTTAAGCATTTAGAACACTCTGGAAATACCTTAAGTGAATTCTTAAAATTGTACTTAGGATGATATTTGGAATGCCATATTCTGTATCTACATATGTTTTTATAGGTAGCTAACAATGTCTGGGTACTAGGGGTTTTATGGAGGAAGCATTGGCATAACTATAACCGCTGCCCCTTAAATGGAAGCAGCACAGTATTACAATAACCTTACAATGAATGTTAGGAGAAAGAGTCAACATTTTGCATATATTTTTGATAGTTGTCTGAGTCCCAACTTTGACTTAAATATTGTCAAGTAAGACTCTTTTGAAGAGTCTTTGGGGTATTAAATTCTTCCATATCCGTTACCAAGGTCCTCTGAGCAGGACAGCAGGAGAAACAAGAAAAAAAACTAAGAGCTTACTCCTGCATCCAACCCACCATGCTAAGCTGGAATGAAAGACACAGATTTCAAATCAAAAAGCTTGTCAGCAGAACAGGAATTGAGCCATTAGAGTAAGAATTGACCACAACAATTAGATTCTCCATATGTCCGCTAAAGGTCCCCATAGGAGGTTCTCATCCCTCATGCTTGAGATACTGTAACAGGAATGGTGGGCACATCAGCATAAGGCACAGGTGAACAACAGCCCATTCTTGGAGTTTGATATTCACATAGGGAAAACTGTGGCCCTTGGAAACACACCTCTGTGGAGAAACACACTATGTGAAATTTTGTTAGCAACTCTCACCTCTCAGTCTTTTCATTTTGTGGTCTTTTTGTTGGCAAGTAAAAGCATCATCAGGGTCAATGTGGAGGCTTCTCTTTAGAATTGAAAACTTGCTCTATCACAATATCTTAGCTAGAAAGGCACTTTACAATATATCTGAAGCAGTTACCAATGCTGGGCATTGGAAGAAGATTAGCCACAACCCAGCATTCACAGACACCCTTGACGGAGAATCAGTCAGTACACTGAACAGTAATTTACATAAAAGTCATACATATGTATGTGAGCTCACAATTACACCACCTAACAGTTTTGAGTGTTTTCTATTTGTCAAGAACTCTGTTACCTGTTTCATGTGTATTATTTCACTTATTCGTTATATTTTTGGGAGGTAAAATTACTACAATCTCTTGTATAGAGGTGAGGAAACTGAAGCTAAGAGAAACAAAGTAATTTATCCAAGACTGATTCCAGGTCAGCCTCACTCCATAATTCATACTCTTGATCATTTTGCTATTCTGCCTATCCTAGGCTTTCTGTTGGAAAGTGCATTGGAGTTCTTTGTAAAATTCATGGCCAAACTGTTGGGAATGGAAGGTAATTTGCAAAACAAATTGAATAAAATCTGCAGTGGACAATTCAAGTCCTAAATTTATGCAACATGAAAACTTCAACAAGGCAAAGAAAGTCAGCCAGAATGATATTATGCATATGTGTCACATTTTCTTCAAAGTCGGTTCCATTCCAAAAAGCAAAGAAGCTTCCCACTTGGAAGTGTATTGAGTATCCAAGTGCTTGCTGGTTCACGCCTGTCTACAGTCAACAGTGTGTACTACCAGTTATTACTGTGGCCTAAACATCATCTTGGTGTCACCCTCTCTATTATTCACAAATGTCCATCAAACAGTAAATACTGGGAATTACTATAAACAGCAACGGTGCAGTTTTGATGGCTATCGCTTTCTATATTCTAGAAATGTAATCTTATACACTACCCTAAAATTGGATATAGCATATGAACTCTTTCAATCATGCAGAAAGTGAAAATGTGTGTTATACAGATCACTGCTGTCTGTAAAACAGCTGATGAAGAATCACAAAAGGAGTTCTAGATGTCCTAAAGAAATTTCTAAGCAGCATTAAAATCTCAAGTAGAGAACATTCCAAAGGTTTTTCTGTACTGAAATTCAGGCTTTAAAAGTTTTCCCATTAAGTTTTATGCATCTTGAACATAATTTGTTAATATATAATTTTGGGAATTTTGAATATATATGACCAGTGAATAGTTATTATAATGTATTTAGCATGATGAACAGTTGCTGAAGGATTTGGCAGCATATTTTATTATAATTCAAAATACTTGAATTCTTTTCTCTTATTTTTCTTCTAACCTCTAAAGTACATTTAAAAATCTGGAGAGTGGGATGGAGATATATATATATATATATATATATATATATATATATATATATATATATAATCTCCAGATACACACACACACACACACACACACACACACGCTAATTCATGAATCATTCTGCACATGATTGCAAGCCATTGTTTTGATTGCTAGCATTTATATTTGCATTTAATCACAAACACAGTTAGTTGTTGGAAGAGAAATGCAGTTTTTTGTGGAGGATGCATTTGGCTTTGGGGTTTTGTAGTAATGTTTAACTATTCCCACGCTTTGATTACCATACCAGTATCTCAAGGGAAGAAAATACAATGGACAGTCAATAAAAATACTGAATATTTAAAAGGTCAACTCCATGAGGGACTAAGTTTCTGATGCCTCACCATTTTCTTGTTAAAAATCTGCTTTGAATAGGAAAAGAAAAAACTGGAAGTCGTTCTTATGGTTGTGCATGATTAAAGAAACTCTATAAATAATAATTTGTGCAACTGTGTATTCAGAGAAGGAATGTAGCTTTCCTTTGCTATATTTTTTTTTTAGAAAAGAAAGAAAACTTTTCTGATTTTCCATTTGTTAATAAGTTCTATTCTCCCTTAAAGCTTATGTTATGCCTTATTGTAAATCTAGACTCATGGAGCTGATTCAACTTTGTACTGATGCCAAAGAACTTACTTTTTAAACTGAGGTTGTGGAGTAGCAGGGGTTAGCTATTGCATGTAGTTCAGAGGTAAATTTCCTTCCTTTCCCCTAATAGTTCCATTACTATTTATGTTAAAACTCCTGTTATTAGGTCTTGTTTATGAATCCATGAATCGCAAATGTTGTAGAATTTGGGAAACATTAAAAAAAGAGAAGGAACATTCTAAAACTTCTAGTCCGAATGTGTGTTTATGTGTGGGGTGGTACTTTCAACTTTCCTTTATTCTGTGGAACTGTCTTCTAGCCTGGTTTGGCATATCATTCTCTTCATAAATATTTTCACAAATAAAACAAATATTAAGTTATTTTTAATTCTGAGTAACTGAAACAAAATTACAGAAGTACAGAAATAATGACACATTTTAAAATTTGAATTCTAAATTTAGTCTTATAAGTACCCAATTCTCATAAATTTCCAGAGTATTTAAAAGGTGCCCTTCATTGAACATACAAGTATTTTTCAGCTTTGTAGAGTTTAAAGATCTTCCTAATACTCTTAAAAGGTTAATCACATTTAATGAGGTTGTTAAACTAATCAATATTTCTTTTATAGACACACTTTTCACCTGGTCTCTGAAAGGAAATTCTCTAAGGGAGACAGAAACAATATTCACTAGAAATAGAGTATAACAAAACACTAGGGACTCACCTTCATTTTTTCCATTAAACTTCTTTTTTAGGTTTCTGATTACTGATGCTAATATATACTAATGGAACACTGGAGCTAATTTATATACTTTCAGATCCAATATTTTCTCTAGCTGGTCAAAGACTAAGTAGTGCAGTGATTTTCCATGACTTCCGTTATTAGACCTGAACCATATTTTGTTGTCTCTGAAAGTGCTGGTGCTATTTAAGCAGGGGCCATTCAACCACTGACTCACAGAATGGAGGACGTATTTTCTGAAAGTATTTACCCTTGGTGTGTTCATAACATCTTCTGCATTACCTCATTCAAGATCCACCAACACTTTCCCGTGTCCTCAGTGACTTCAGAACCTAATGCTTAGTTACCCACTCTACTGTAAGCTCACCCTCCTCCCTACATTTAATACATACTCCTGAGTACATACTCCTGTTTTCAGCTCCACAAGCTTATGTTTTCATTCTACCTCCGATACCAATGACTCAGTCACCTTTGATCTCATCATCATTAAAATGGCCCTAATTCACCTCTGATAACAGCGTCACCTAAATCTGATGTTGAGAAATGTTGAGAAAATCTCAACATTTTCTCCAGTACTTGACTGTTCATTTTCCCGGTTTGTTATCTTTTCCCATGTTTTTTTCTGATTTCTTGTTTGCCTGGATTCTCTTTTAAGAATTTGCAACATTCTAGTGATGATGATTCAAGGATGTCTCACCTACTTGACCTTCACTCCTCTCATCTAGCTGATCTCCAGTTCCAAAAATTTTTGGATGCATTGACGTCTGAGCCACCAAAAACCACTTGAGAAAGCCTTCAAAAATGAACACTACTTTTTGCTGCCTCTCCTCTCTTGGACCAGCACAGTTGCACTGCAGTCCTTCAATGCACCACTAGTTTGTGCCAGCCAAAATCTCAACTATGATTTTAAATACTCCATTGTCTCACAATACCAGTCTGAGACCTTTCTTCACTCTCTCAATAGTTGTGCTCATGTCTGCCACAATCCTATAATTTTCTGTGTTCTGTCTTGTGAGGTATCATTCTTTTGTCATCTCTTCCTTTCTGCCTGTGAGAAAGAAACATTCCTCTTTGTTGCCAGAGTTTATTCTTTTGTCTCTGTGTTCGATTCTATTTCTTGCTGCTTCTGCCAGCCTCTTCCTCCATAAACCACTTTTACTTTGGCATTTTCCATATAATTTTTAGACTGTTGTCCTCAACACCAAACAAAAAGGAAAAACAACAAGTTTTTTTTTTTCCTCAAGCTTTTCTCTTCTCCAAGCTGATGCCTTATTTCTTTGTTCCTTCCCTTCAGTGAGAAACAAAATCTATACCCTTGGCTCCCCTTCAGTCATCTTTTCTATTAAGTAATCATTTGCTTTGACTTCATCACATTAACACTGCTATTTAGTTTCTTTTGAAATTCCTACTTTCCTAGTTCTCTTCTTTGACTGCCTCTACTCCCATAGATATGTACTCTCTGCCTCAGTAGATTAATCAATTCTGTTGATGGCAGACATCTCCCTAGTAGATTCTTAAAAATATTTGTATGCCTCAGTCTCCTTACACAGCTCCAGATTTCCTTCCCGATGCACCTTGGCCAATTCTGTAACAGCCTTCCTGGCATCTTGACCAACATGTGTAAAATCCCCAAATCCACCTTCTGCTATAACTAGTATCTTCTAATTCTGTAAACTGTAGTACCATACTATCATTCAGCTACCACTGAAGGCTTGGAATCTTTCTACTGTTTCATCTCCCTTTCTCTTGCTTCCCTCTTTGGCCTTCTTTGGCTTCTAGTCAGTTTCCAGTAGGTTCTACTTCTGCAGAGTTACCTTCATCTGTCTAATGCAAACACTACATCAGGACCTCAGCATTTCCCATAGGAACCATTACACAATAAACTTCTTCCCTTATTTTCTATCTCTTTGTATACTGTGGTCAGACTATTCTCTTAAAGCATGGTTCCAATACCACGAAAACACATTGATTCCCTGCTGCTTTTAAAACTAAGTTCACACTCTAAAATGTGACAATCATTGTTTTCAGACTTTGATCCATTCTGTTTTAACAAAGCTACTGCCTACAACACCACTTTAAGATCATGCATTTCTATAACAATAAAATGAGTGACCTGATTATAACCTGGATTTCCACAATGTGGTTATCATTTTAGGTTTTCACTTAGCAATGGGGACAGTAGAACTTATACCTTATTCCTCCTTCCTATTCTAAGGATTGAGAGTTATGAACCAGCCTGAAGCAAAACCGCAAAATAGGGAAATTTGGTTTTGGTACCTCTTATCCCCTTTCTTGCATCTCTCACCAATCTTGATAAATACATCAAATTATCAAATTCTTGTCTCAAGGCTACTAGGGGAGATATATTTGAATGGGAAAGAGAGGTGCTTTCTCAACTCTTGTTTAGAATGAGGAATTTCAGGAGTCCACATCCTTCTGGTTTATAGATATGTGTATTATTTAGGAGATAATATTGTGAATTAATGCCAAGAAAAGTGCCTGCCTCTGTTTTCATAAATTATGCAAATGCATATATTTTCACCAAATTTGAAGGATATGTTTATCAAGGACCGATTCAAAATATATGTTATAAATTTTGTGAAAGATTTACCTTGGAGGGGCGCTGGAGAACATCTCAAAGGGATTGATGTTTTTCTCCTAAAAAGCTACCTGAGGCACAAGAGGCCCGCATGACTGCAGATCAGGAGAATCGTGAGAAAGACAGAAATGACAGTGGCCTCAAATATGAGCTACAAATTAACAGTCTCAGGGTAGATATTCCAGGTAGATTTCTAGTAGCCCTGCTCCTGACATTGTCAACTATTTATACCATGTTCTGTAGTATGTAACAGCAAACTTTATTTATTGAATGATGGTTATTCTCTTAAGTAACCCAGTGGAGACCAGCAATTAATAACTGTATAAAGTATTGTTGTTGCCACTTTTTGTGCACTTGCTGTGCACCTTGCTGATCACTCTCTATGCATCATTTTAATTTAGCCCTTAAATGATTTCATGAGATTTTATATATTGGTACTTTCAGACGAGGAGACTGAAGGTCATGAATTCTACGAAACTTGTTAAAGGTTGCACATCTAGTGAATGGTGGGATGGAGAACAAGACTGAGGTCTAAGACCAAAGATATTTTCTCCTCTCTAGTCCTCTAATCCGTCCTCAGAAATAGTCTTTCTATCCTGGCTTCTACGCCCTTCCCAGGCTCATTTAACCAACCTCCCCTTTGCCCTCTCCCTCATTCTCTGCATAACTTCCATGGCTTACCCGCAAAGCCAGATGAGACCAGCCCCAAGATTTATGTTAAACATTTATGTTATTTGTATCAAAAATTAATTATGGATCTATTAATTCATAACTTCATAAAATTATAACTCATGGCAAACATTTGAATAGGATTACTAATGTCATGATATTTTGTATTTAAATATCTTGCTTTATAAAGTATGATGACTAGGTCATGCTTTCAGAACAGACTTAAGGTAATTCTAATACTTTCAGTTGTGTGATTTTAAGTCACATGTTATTTCTCAGAGTTATATTCCTTATGAAACTTGGGGTTCAACTTTACCTATTGCTTATAGTTTCTTAGATGGAAACAAAAGGTTCTTTAAATGAAAGATAAAGCTATATCTGGAGGGCTTGAAATTGCAGTTCTAAAGCTTTTGCAGGTAAATCTTGGGTTGATAGCCTGTTATTTCTCCCCCATAGAACACCAGGCTCACAGATGGTGGTGTGACTGATTGTCTCAGTGGGTCAAGCTTTTTTTTTGTTTTAAACTTCAGTGCTTAAAGGCAATACCAGTACTCCTACCCATGGAGGTTCTTGACATTATCATGGCTACTTGAAGGATAGTTGCTAACACTCTGGCTCTTAATCCCTCAATGATAAGCTCAAACACTCCCATCTCTGCAGCAAAAATCTCTTTTTGACACTGCAATACTACTAGACTTTCTAGTTTCTTGAGAAGTCATTTTCATAGCCAGTTTCATAGCCAGTCAGCTGGGATGCTAGTAGAATGACCCTCCTGATGAAATATAAGACTTTTACTGGTTAGAAGCCACTTTGCCCTTGAGAAATCTCTGTTTAACAGACACTTCCTGGGTCACACAGACCTAATTACACTCTGATGGTGCACTTTCATTCTTTCTGTAGCTATTCAACAAATGCCACCAAATGTAAATGGAGCTAAATTATAAATGGGAAAAAAAATATAAAGATACCAACATCTGCTGACAATTTCTAAATTGTATATTTCTGTGGCCAATAATTGTGACTTTATTAAATATATTTATATAATTTAAAATAATTAAGACCATAGTATAATCAATGCATATGAATTTATTCCATACTTTTATCAAATGATAAGATTGAAATCATTTTATATAAATTTAATAAAAACAGACATCATACAAATTTTCTTCTCCACTGTCTTTAAAATACCCTACTAGCCAGGATTATATTTTACTCATTTAGCAGTTATTAGAATTGCTTGAAAAATTTTGTTAGAGGCCAGCCCAGGTCCCTCTTACAGAGGTTCTGACATCAGCAGTGTGATGTGGGACCCAGGTAGTTGTAGATCCATACTTTGATAATTTGTCACTTCTGCTCTTCTAAATCTATTTCAAAGGCTTTCCTTTAACAACTAATAGATAAAAAAATAGTTTGCCTGATCTCTTTGTTTAACAGAGTCAATTGGTTCAGATTTACATTCAGAAAGGTACATTTGCCTATGCTTACATATAGATATTCTATAGAGGAGAGAGTGTCTTAGAGTGTTGTTAAACTTTCCTTTTGACTTTACTTTGCAAAAGCCAACACATATGCCTCGGTTTCTTCACCTGTGAAACAGGTATGCTATTTTGTATAAATAATTCTGGTTATCTCAGTTGTATAATTGCTTCCAAGCAGTAGAGGGAAGTATTGCTCTGGGTATTTCTAGAAAAGGCAACAGAAAGAAGTGAAGGTAATTCTGACCCCTGGGCAAATGGGGATCCCAGAAAAAAATATTTTCTCCTCATCGGTTCAAACAATTTTTTGAGTCCTTTCATTTGCATTAGAAATGTAGCTTTCATGGTTCCACTCCTGAGATTAAACAGGGACCTTTCTAAGTGCTAGAGAGACATATCACTGTCTGGAGTTATTTTCAGAGGTGGAATTTTCCCTTCCCATCAAGTTTATTGCTAGCTTCTCACTTCCCTTCCTCGTCTAATGAGTTATTTCTTTCTCTGCTTCTTTAGCAAAGAAAATGAAACAAATTATACATAGGAAAATACATAAGGACACATCAGGGGTTTGCCATATAGCAAAAACCTGCAATGGACTTGGGGGAAAGATCCTCCATGGGACCAAAATAGATTTTCTCCAGTACCTTGTAAATGGGACATCGTTCTGTCTTCTTACTTTACAAGGTAAGATTTAAATTTTAGACTTAAGGTCTAGTTCAGAAACTAGGTCTATATCTGCCCTTGCTTAATATGTGGGATCAAGTTCCCCACTTCCTCTCATTTAGGAAGATGAGGATGTCAGCAGAGGGTTTCTGGAAACTGTTAGCAACAGTAACAAGTGAGCTGGTCATCCATGGCCAAGGAGCTGAATATGAGTTCTTTAATAAACCATTATTTGATGCAGCAAAAGAAATTAAATTACATCAGTTAATTGACAAAGCAATTAGCAAGCTGTCCATAAACCCCAAAATAGCCAAACATTATAAATTTTGGTACCACCTACTGGCTGGAGGAGATTTTTGGTTTTGTTTTGTTTTGTTTTGTTTTACTATAAGCTTCATTTACATCATTATTTCTCCAGCAACAATCAAACCTCTGGCCTGTAGATCTTTCCATCTTTGCATTGCCTCCTTGGTTATCAATTATTCAGGTTCAGAGACCAGAAGGTAATTTTGGCTTCAACTAGCTGAACTCAAGAGTAGTATAAGGAAAATATCTCCTGATGTTTCCTCAGTATTTAGCATCCACGCTAACAACAATTTCAGTATTTATCCAGAGACAGATGAAATTATGAGCCTAGCAAATCTGTGCCGTACACATATTTCAGCAGTGACCATAAAAAAAATCACACTTAATCATATTCGGCTCTGTTCCCAAAATACATTTTTTGACAGAAGACAAATTAGATCGTCGCACTGCATGGTGATGGGACCCATCTCTCTACAAGGGTTTGATTAAATGCCTTTGACCCGTGTCATTGACCAAGAAAGGAGAGAGAGAACATAAATAAATTCTTTTGACTTAAAAGTACACTACAGAAAGTGGGCTCCTCTGGGAATCTGGCACATTCAGCTGCATGGTCTCTGTTGTTTTGTTTTGGTCCTGCCCCCTAAATGAAAGGGCTTCCTGGGATCAGGCCACCACATGGAAAGAAAGAAAGATGTTACGCTCCCACCTCCGGCCTGAAGTGCAAATGGAAAAAACATTGATATGGCTTGAAAACACTAAAGGCTATACGGTAATTGGTAAAATCTGCGACCCAAGCCATGTGAAAATGACAAGGGCATGTCATATCATCTTTGAAAGATGGCTCCCTTCTATTCCAATGAATGGAATGTCTTTTGTAGCAAATTTTCAAACTCATTTAGATCATAAAAATGTCCACTGGGACATGAAATGTCTCTTGACTCTACCTCCATGTATTAATACTCTTCCTGCCTTCAAACATTCCTGAGTCCTGTGACCCAAACTATTAGGTTGAAGAAAAAGCATTTGATATTCTCATCAAACATGTTCTCACTGTGATGTCTCCATAAAAGACAAGCCAAATAAGAATGAAAAACAGGGTAAACTGTGATCTTCCCTCTCCTACAACCAATCTCATTTTTGTTTAAAGCCTGGTCTCATTTTGTGTTTTCATTTTGACACTTGATATGAAATATCAGTAAATATAAGTGACAATATTTTTTGCCTTGAGTGGTGTCCACTTTATTAACTATACACTATCTTATACTTGCTTTTTTCAAGTAATACAATACAAAAATCTGTCAACCAAATATTTGAAACTCAAATTGTATGTTAGATGTCCTAGGGAAACTTGACCTTTAGTGATATATTGTGATGAATTCTGAGATAAAATTCCAATATCCAATATTTTTCTGCTGATATATCTATTTAAGAAAAAAAATAGCTTTCTGTATTCTCTTTGAAGTAATATACACCTGAGTCACCATTCATCATATTGAATCTTCATTCCAAGTGTAAACTCTTCTTTTGTCAGAAAGAAAAACAAAGTGAGAACATACCAAATCCTGGTAAACCTCTTGATCATAGAAATTGTGAGGTTATCTGTGTGGTGAAGTCAAAAGAAAGGCTGGTGTATTCCGACTGATTTGTCCTTAACCAGCTAGATGACTATGGGCTGGTCGCAGTTCCATAGCTGTAAAATGGGACTGGTAAGTAATACAGAGTGTGAAGAAATTTTGTGAGTTCTTTCATTTCCATTTACATTAGTAATGTAGCTTTCATGGTTCCACCATGTAGATATGGCATAAACATTAATGTCACTTTTGGGGGAAACATCAGTATCTTTGCTTGTGTCTGTGCACATGCAGGGGTGCTCTCTCTCTCTCTGTCACACACACACACACACACACACACACATTCACACAAATCCCTGTATGTGACAGCTCAAGGCCTAGGCTGCGCCACCTCTGCTTTTGGATAAGTCTTCTTTTCCTTCCATTTCTTCCCACACTCGGAAGTGAACCAAACATCATTTGGGATAATTTAAAGTCTTAGTGATGTAACCAAAAGGCCGAGAGAGAGACTCTAATCTTTGTGTTTACTGCCACTTAACCTTTGTCACATCCCACTCCCCTGACTAAGAACAGGCCATTTTTCTAGAAAGGACAGCTCCAGTCACCTCCTGGTAAAGGAGACAGAGAACCTGGTAGGAACCCCGAGGCTCAGTTTCCATAGCAAACACATTAGCATTGGCAGCTGGACATGAAGCCCTCTGCTCCTCCCTCTGCAGGCTGGTGGCCTCTTCTTGGAAGTCCAGAGATGGTACATTGCCAGGCAGCATCAGCCGGGTTTGCCTTTTCACCAAAGGGTTTGAAATAGGGGCTTCCCCTCCATTTTTATCCTCTCTGCAACTGCTTAGCAGAACCAGGCCTCTACTCCCAACTTCTGAATTCTTCTCTGGGCAGACCAGCCAGCCAGGACTCATCTGAGGCTTGCTGGCTGCCTCTGTCCTCACCACCCCCACCTTGAGTGAGCAGCCCTGAGTTGTCCCTGTTGTCCCACAGCCTAGGCAGCCCTCTCTCTTCTTCAGGAGAGAGGAGTTCAGTGCAAGCATAGTGCTCATCCAACCCCATGGCGAGGGACAGCAAGGGGCGTAGGAAGCCTGCATTGCTCTATTATGGTTGATGCTCTGATAGAAAAGCAGGAGATCCAGGGAGCCAATAAATAAGACCCCTTTGCCCTCCTGAGCTGGGAAACAACAGGGAATTACAGTCGTCAGACAGATAAACATCAAAATAGCAGCTTTACTTTTGATAAAGCTAGAGAATGTCATATGTCTTTGATGTGCCACAAAACGGGTGCCTTAATATGCCCTCTAAGTGGAACTCATCCCTTCTAACTGCACCCACCACACACACAAACACACACAGGCAATCATGTGAGCATGCAAGTGTGTCTTCTCAGACAGGCAGCCTGGAACAAAAGAGGAAGAGGCTAATTTGGACACTCAGATTCTTCGTCTGGTTTTACCAGTCACTTCCCCGGGGAGTGTCTGCGGGAATCATCTCCATAGTGTTTCTCTTTGTGGAGGAGAGTGGAAATTCCCTTCCTTCCTTCTGTGGGAAAAAAGAGGCATGGAGAGTAAAGGCTTGTCCCTATCAGGAAAATTTGCCTCATTCCTGTCATCTGAGCCTGGAGAGACTCGGGCCACCCAACAAACTCACAGAAAACAGAATTACAGTGGCTCAGTGTGGCTGTTTGCGGAAGTGGAGGGGAGCAAGGCCAGGAGTAAGAGAGGAGATCAGGCCTTCCGGAAGTTAGATCTGTGGTTTTGGGGCCCCTAAGATGAAGGGAAGAGAAAGGACCATAAATATGCTCTTCTGTCCCACCTCTTCTAGTTGGTCCCAGGCAGGATGTCAGGAGAAATGGGCTCTCTCCTTGCAGCTCTGCCAGCAGTAAGCTGTATGGCCTTCATCAGGTCTCCCAGCACTTTTGTTCTTCATTGTTAAGCAGGACTGAGAACTTAAGCCTTAACCACATACAGGGATGTTTGGGACCATTAATGAAGGATCAAAAGTGACAACACTTAAAGTTTAAAGCAATAGGCACATTCTGCGAAACAACTGGCTTAGACCTTCCGTAAACACCAATGTCCTACATAAAAGACTGATAAAGAACATTTGGGGACAATATGAACATGGGCTACAGAGTGGCTATGAGTACAGTATTAATGTAACATTTCCTAAGTGTTATGATTGTCATTGAGGTTATCTAGCTGACATCCTTGTTCTTAGGACATGCATGCAAAGATACTTAGGAGGAGAGAGTCAGAATATCTAATTGACTCTAAAACGGTTCAGCAAGAATAATGAAAATATTACATATACCACATGTGTACATTTATACACACATATACAAAAAGAGAAAAGGAAAAATAAAGTTAATATGGCAAGATGCTAATAACTGGTGACTCAAGGCAAAGGTTATAACTGGATCATCCGTTATCATATTATTCTTGGAGCTCTTCTGTAGATTTGAAATTCTTAAAAATAACACGCTGTGGAGAGCCAGGGAGAAGCACTAGAGAGGTTGAGGGGCCAATCAGGAGGAAAGGCTGATGTGTGGGACGTGATTGCAGAGATACTCCAGTCTGAAGGTGTGGAGAAGTCAGGGGGTGGAGGTGGTAATAATGCATTGGAGGATTTTGATCTGCTAGAAACTCTACCCGAGGAACAAAGTCAGGGCAGGAGAGCAGTGGGAATCTAAAGGGGAGTGGGAGAGCATGAGAAATGTATCTCACCCCTCTTCTCATTGCTTCCCCAGGGCCAGGCCTCTCAGAGAGTATAACCCTTCGCTGCTACAATGTGTACTCTGGCCTCCAGGGAGAAAATTTCCTGTGTCAAAATTTAAACATCACACAAGGCCAATTTTATCCCTGTGCTTCAAAAATGCTTAGCATCCCAGGCCATCTGATCTTAGAGGGCACCTTTAGGTTTGTTTTGCCTTTTCCTAAATCCATCAAGTAACGTGTCTTCATGTTAGACTTTAGTATCGTTTTGTGTCTGTGGTGGCATCGGAGAAACCTTTGCTAAATTTAGCCTTGTTGCTAATTAGGAACAGAGGACATGTTAAGCTTGAGGCTTAAATACAGAACTTGGCAGGATACCAAAATATGGAATCAAGTCGTCATTTCAGGCTGGGGGAAAATCCAAGCCTGAATTACCTTGGCGACTCACCCAGTATATTGTTATTTTAGTCTTCAAGGCCTCCTAACTACATGGGCATTTACACACACACAAACACACACACACACACACACACACACACACACAGCGTTATCGACTGCCTTGCTCATCCCCCAGTGCCTCATTTTATAAATAAAAGGCAGTGCAGTGGAGGGATAGAAGCAGGGTTTAAGAGAGTGTCTATGTTGACTTTACATTGGAAGCTATGACTGTATGGAGTGCCATACCCATTGAGAAGAGATATTGACCACATTCTTAGTAACATTACTGCAAGAGTTACATTATTCCTGTTGCCATATTTACATCACTTTAGATCCAGACAGCGACTGCAACAACAATAGCTACACTCATCCTCTAATCCAAGCATAAAGTAAGTCTTTCAAGTCAGGCTTTAGGCATCTACACAGCTGTATCTAATGCTACAGTGCTGCTAGTATTTAAAGAAAAAAGGAAGCGCTGCCTGAGCTATTTGTCACTCTAGGGTCTCTATCATTTAACCAAAATAACTTGAAAAGGGTGTTGTTTTCATCTCTTGGAGCCATGTGCATTTCCCCAGGGCATTACAGGGATTATGGAGCTGTCAGCCTCTACCCTGTCTTCCTCCTTTCCACTGAGTCCACCATATTTGGCCCAATGATGAGAAAACTAAATAGGGAAATAAAACAGAATGGAGACTAAATGAGAAGATAGAAAAATAGAATACAGAGGAGAAAGAAGAGTTCCAGTTGTTGTTATTGCCTTGATATGCCTTTTCCTTCCAAGGCAACAGCTCTTCTGGGCTCTCAAGTGGGACACCCCCCCCCACCCCCCCGGGCCTTATATTCCTTGGCTGAGACCAGATGCTGCCTGAGTCGGAGACTGGCTTCTGGCCCCTACTGCAGAATTGCCATTCCAACTGGGTTTCTAAGTGCCAGAGCCAGAGCAAGAAAAAGGCAGTGCATTGAAACCAGGCCTGCCACTCCAGTGTTGTTCTCAGGCATGCCTACGGAGGAGTATTTATCATAAAGGAAGAAAACAGTAATAGCCCAGAACTGTCTGTTTGTTCAACTCCAACTTGAATGATACCAAAGATTAAATCTTGGTTTCCAATTGTTTCATGCCAAGGCTGTTATATTTAAGGTCCAAATATGTGCACCATATGTCATACTGTAGCTTGACAATTACCTCAACAGGCAGTGTCAGACAGATGGTAAACATTACTACCAGGCATACGTACATTTAGAATTAGACATTTAAATAAATTCAGGCCTATCTTAAGCTTATTAAAAGGATTTGGGTCTATAAAGCCATTTCGGGCCCCTGCATATGCTAAAGTGTCTTTTGCATCCTGAACAGATTTGGTTTGGTTCAAGTACCTTCGGGCTACAGATGGCAAGTGACATGCTTTCTCTTTGAGCCCTGTACCTGCAATTAGGCCAATAATGGCAATTAAGGAAAATGTAAAGAGATTTAAACTTCAGTTCTTAATATCATAACCATGCAATACTGCCTATGAAATGACAGAAAATCCTCTGCAGGGAACATCACCAACCTCTCTTAAAAGCCCGTGAACTTCAGAGAGAGAGATTAGAAAGCTACAAAGGTACCCGCCTCAGGACCAAGTCAGATTCTCTCTGGTTTAAACCTCAGGCTACGGCAAGCTTTTGACAGGAATCTCACAAACTGCAAATAAAGGTTAGCATTCCATGGGAGAATTGAAAGAAGAATTCAGATGAATGTGTTTTTAAGATATTTTTCCCCAAAAAACGATATAAAAGCCCTCTGTACACTCTCTTCTTCCAGGGGGTTTTGGATCCTGTTTGGCATTGCAAAATGTTCAGTATGGTTTGTGATAAGAAACTAAATGAGGCTGGGGATAAGGTCAAGTGTAGCCAGAGCCGCACTCCAAGAGGATGGCCCCATGGAGTGGCGGATTTTTCTGAAAACCCTGTGTCCTGCCCACATATGTAATTCACTACTAGAATTATTTCCCTGCTTAGAATAGTTTATTGGCTCAACTTTTTAAAAGCAATTTCAATCTGTGAACAGTGCTTGACACATCATAGATACTCAATAATTTGAAAGGAAAGAAGTAAGGAAGGAAGAAAGGACAGATGAGAAGAAGGCATAAGACAAATCAGGACTTTATTTTTCAAATGCAAGTGTAACCTCAGGATTGTTATCCCGCAGGGAGTACACACCTAGTGTAGTGGCTAACTGCATAAATGCTGATTCTTGGCCTTTCTGAGTTCAAATACTGGCTCCATTTCTTACGAGCTTTGTGATCTTGTCATGTTTCTTGACTTATCTATGTCTTGGATTTCTCATCTATAAAACAGAGATAATAAACATTCCTGTTGTGAGAATTAAATAATATATTTATAATGCATAGAACAGTGCCTGGCACTATATTTCTGCTGGTTTTTTTTTGCGGGGGGAGACAGAACTGAAACTCAGTATTTTTTTTTCAAACAGAGCCCCATTAGCAGGTTTGATACCATTTTCCTCCTCTTCAGCTCCATTTGGTATGTCCAGTTTTATTCTGGACACCTCTTGAGCTGAGAGAATCACCTCATCATGGGAATCTGGTAATGCTTCCACACCCATACAGCTAGCACCAGGCTAAATCTTAACTTCAGGGCTACAGTCTCCTTCAAACAGATGAGTGAGGAAGCATTTGCTAAATTCTGGTGTACCTGTGTGTTTGTGTGTGTGTGTGATAATAAAAGCAGAATTTCAAAACCCTACACTGTGCCCAAACTGGGACCTTTGTCCTGCTTACTCAGATAAACTCCAGAAGCATATGGAGTGGCTTTTGGAAGAACACATGTCTCAATTCTATTTTGGTTTCCCCTTAATAAAGACAGCTTGGTCTAGTGGCTTAATTATCAAACCCTCTAGTCCATTCTGCCATTGCCTCCTGTTGTCAGCCCCTTCTTGGAATCTATGATCACCACTCCCCATATTCTCTATAACCTAATAAATAATCCAGGCTCCCTGCCATGACATTGAAGGCTTCCAAAATATTGCCCCCGAATTATGGTATCCTTGTATCTCCATACAGCTACTTTCTATCCCAAAACATTGTGGCTGCTTTCATATCTCTACACCTTCACTCATCCTGTTTACTTGGCAGTGTCCTCTTCCAGTCATTTAAAATAAAAAGATGAAAATAGCTGCTGAAATGCTGTTTATTATTTCAGGCCTATCTGTCGCTAGTCCAGTGGTTCTCAAAGTATTGCCCCTGAACTAGGAACATCAACATCACCTAGGAACTAGTGAGGAATGCAAATGTTCAGGCCATATCCAAACTGAGTAACACTTTGGAGGTGGAGCTCTGCCATATGTACTCTCCAGGTGATTCCAATGCGTGCCAACATTTGACAACCACTGCCTTAGCCCATCATTTAAAATGTATTGCTCTCCTCTTTGGATACAAAATATTTCATTCTTTTATTTGTCATGGCCCTTCCACCTTAGTGATTATTATAAACATCTCTCTCTTTCCTTCTCCTTCATAAATGCTTTTAAGACTGAGATTCTGTAGTCCAAGAGTCTCCAACCCCTGGGCCATGGACCCATACCAGTCCGTGGCCTACTAGGAACCAGGCCACACAGCAGGAGGTGAGTGGCAGGCAAGCAGGCATTACCACCTGAGCTCCGGCTTCTGTCAATCAGCTGTGTCATTAGATTCTCATAGGAGCAAGAATCCTATTGTGAACTCTGCATGCAAGGGAGATAGGTTGCACCCTCCTTATGAGAATCTAATGCCTGATGATCTGAGGTGGAATAGTTTCATCCTGAAACCATCTGCCCCTGCCCCCCAGTTTATGGAAAAATTGTCTTCTATGGAACTAGTACCTGGTGCCAAAAACACTGGGGACCACTGCTGTAATCTACTGTTGTCTCTCCCAACCTGGCCCATAGTAGACTCTCAAAAGTCTGTGAAATTAATCTTGTTCAATATATATTTGTGGATCACCAAATATGTGCCAGCCCCCAGTCCTTGCAGAGATAAAGGAGAAATGTATCATGGGATCTTGGTCTGAAGGAGTTTTCAATTCAGTTGGAATGTCAAGACTTGCATATATAAGATAATTACCAAACAACATAAGACGGCCAGAATGCACAGGTGCAGTGTGAGGTGCAGCAGTAAGTGCCACAGGAAATCAGGAAGAGCAGAGACTGTGGGTGAGCTTCCTGGGGCTCCTTGTGGAGAAGTGGGGCTTGAGCTAAGCATGGAGGGCAGGGAGTGTCAGTGGGCCTGGAAGAATGATGATGCTTTTCCTTGAACGGGAGCAGGGAGACTCATCTGTGGACCTCACATCTCCTTCAACACCACCTTCCATATGGCACTTGGTTCTTAAAGGGATGAATAAGTTCCATAAATACTTTATTTTTATGACTTAGATTAATGTGATATTAATACCTTGCTAGAATTAACCAAGTACATTATAACCTAATTTATGAGATGAAAATCTGGGTGTATAATAGGTATTCACAAGTGCCACCTTCTGAATGAATGCCAACATGTAAAGCTTCAAATTTCCTTCAGTTTTCAGTGGTGCCCATGAAACCACCTTTTCAATTACACATGCTGTTGTTGGAGCTCCTGCTTTGCAATTAAGTGTTCATCTTTTTTCAGAGCAGCTTTGGGGAGAATTGTGAAGGAGGTGGAGTTGGTTTGGGGCAATTCCTCATACTTGTTGGGAATTCCTTCAGCATCAGTTTAATCTGTGTCCTTGTTCTGTTTGAAGATCACCACCTTGGCACTTCATGCAGAAAAAGCTTCAACTTTCCAGATTTATAGTTTGCAATTTTAACAGTGGCAAGTGCTCACAAATCATCTAACCTAATTCCTTCATCTTTACAGTTGAAAGGGCAGACACCTAGAGATGTAGCATGACTTGACCGGGATTGGACAGTTGGCCAGCAGTATAACCTCTATTGGATCCCACATCTCCTGCTTCTCAGATCAGTTTTCACTACCCCCCTCCTGCCACATGTGTTAGGTTGCTCCTATATCTTGACACTATTGTCTCTCCCTTCCCTCCTCCATAGAGTTGGCCTGTAATATATCCCTTCAGAAACTTACATGTGACTCATTAAGACAATAATGGTGATTTGTGTTAAAATGAATACCTAATAGGTTTCCAAGATAACAGTTTTTTTGGAGGGGTAGAGAGGAAATCAAGGGAGCTGAGTAGGATTCCAATTAATCCTAAAATTTGACTTTAATGGTGAGGAGTCTAGGATCTCTGGCAGATGGGAGGAGGAGATCATTGAAAGCAAGAAGGGCTTTTGGCACCCCTCAGGCCACACATGTGCTGTGTGAGCCATTGCAGTCTGAAATGTGCACTGCATCGTTTAGGATTTTGCCACCTCTCCTGGGAAAGCAGCTTGCCTGACCTCGGTGAGAAAAAGTTTTAGTCTTAATGACTGTTACATTATTTAAATACCAAGTGTTTGAGGTTAGGCATATTGCCTCACTTTTTTCCTTTGAATCTGACCCTGATTTTAGGTTGTAATTAAAGTTTATTGAACTTTTAGTCAACATCCGCACACGTAAATGCTGATACCAATACATAAGCTGACAACCACTTCACTAGCTACAAGCGCAGTGCTTTAGATGTGCTGTTAGGTTATCAAGCAGTGGTTAGCATCAGGTTTTGCACAGCACAACTCTAGAGGGTGCTATTTATGTTGTGATTTGCTGCACCTTTCCCACATTGCATATGGCACCCTCTTCAATTGAGCAGTTGTGATCTGCAGAGCAGTAAGCAGTGGCTCAGATTAATATTCTTTATTTCTCCTGCATGTGTGATCATGATAGAGAAAATGACCATGCATCATGCGCAATATCCACACAGTTAAACCATCAACAACAGGAGGATCCAGGAGGCAA
The DNA here is from genome assembly GCF_000001405.40 of Homo sapiens. Lineage (NCBI taxonomy): Eukaryota > Metazoa > Chordata > Mammalia > Primates > Hominidae > Homo > Homo sapiens. The sequence continues at coordinate 47,512,430 of NC_000015.10, forward strand.
TGAGTGTAAAGGGTCAGATGCCCAATATCTGTGTAGTCCTGACAGGTGGGCAGAGCACAGAAATGTAGCATCATCATGCAGACAGACATGTAGACAGGCAGCATCAGGAGACAATGGCAATTCAGGGTTTGGGGAAAGGATTCCCATTTTGCAGGCAGATGCTTTAGGTATGAGGAAGAATGGCTGAGACTATTCTTAAAAGGCCTAGAATCCTGGACAGGTTACCAAATTGGGGACCTGGATACAAAGGACCAAGACAAAGACTGTGAAGCCACCACTGGGGCACAAAGTGGGAAGCTGATCTCAGAAACAAGACAGAAGCTCACTTGTAGAACTGGATCATACAGTCTGACAGAATTGGTGACTATGGTGATTTGCCTCTGAGTCAACTAAGTGTTGAAGCACATCTCTTTAAGTCCTTGTGATTAAAGACAGGATTGGTCCTAGATCCTGGGGCAGGGATTAGTCTATAGATGGGAGAAATGTGTTCCATGCAGTGGGGAGAGGTGGCCATGAGAGCACAAACCAAGGCAGGCCTTAACAGATACCTTTTGCACTGTCACTTCCCAGTGATGCATAAAACACTGTCATTACCCCCAGGAGGTGGCACGTTCTCAAATTTCAATAGCTTCTGAAAAGGTATAGGTAAATTCATGGATGAAAGACCCAGAGTGAACTATTAATGGAAATGGGGAAATTATGGGGCACACATTTAACCTTTGGGTGGATATTGGGGAATAACAGTCTTCTCCCTTGAAAAAAAAGTGGCCCCCATCATCTGAGAGGGAACACAGGCAGATTGATTTGTATCTGTGATACATATGTATCATGTATCTATAAATTATATTATAATATTAATATTTATGCTACTAGTAGCCCACTTCTATGTATACATCAAAATGTATATTCACATATATATACTCTGGCTGATTTGTCATGCAATCTTACAGTACTAATCTCTATTCCACTACATTTTCCTTGAGGAGAATACCTAACCATCTCTAGTCCTAAATAAGCAGGGAGCCAACAGCTTTGCCCTTCCTTGGTCTTGGGAACTGCAGCTGGCCTTAGGCATGGGTAGAATGGAGCCATGTATTCCAGGAAAACAGACCAGTCGAAAGCAATCTAAACTCCTATTAACAGGGTAGCAGTTACAGAAAAGAAGGGTACCAAAGGGATAAATCTGCAACAGAAGCTTGGCCAGATGGAATGAGCAGGTTTGAGAAGTTGATCCAAGATAGATTCCCAAGGGCAATAGATGATGACGATAATGTGCGTGTGTCTGTGGTTTGTTTTTCTTGAAGCATATCAAGCGAAGCTCAGCAGTTCAGGATACCGAACCAGTCATATGGGTGAGATTCATAGGTGATTCTTCTCTATAACTTTTAAATTGTTTAGGCAAGTACTTACACATTGTAATGCAGATTGTTGAATGCATTAATAAATGTTTGTTCTGCCACCTCAAATGGATGTTTGCGCTGGACCTGTTTCAACAAATCATATAGGGACTCCAAGTCGTTGACCATTCGCAGGATAATCCTTGAAGAGGGATGCAGCTCCGCCATAGAAACTGAGATTCTAGAGGGTGGAAAACTGTACCTTTACACCCACTCTGCATTGGTTCACAAGTCATTGCTAAACGGACAGTGTGGTCTCATTACTTGCATGAGTGAGATGTGGTATGGGAGACTTGGAGGAGAACCCAAACACTCAGTCCAGAGGAACTGCTTCCAGCAAAATTTGAGAAAGAATTCCCTTTCAAGTCTTCCTCTATGTTTTTTCCTGGGGGCAAGAGACTCTCTTAGAACACCAGGAAATGAACCAGTTGGAGTGCCACAGGGCCACGATTGGTCTATTCTTTTCTATGTGCATTCACTCCCTGGGTGATCTCATCCAGTTTCATGGTTTCAAATATCTTATGTCAACCACTCCCACATTCATATCTCCAGTTCAGCTCTCTCTTCCAAGTTCCAAATTTTGCCTCCTTAACATCACCAGAGGTATTATGGACAAATGAAAACTCCTAACCTACCTCCCAAACCATGTCTCACTTGCAGCATTCCCCATTTCAGTTGATTACCACTCCTTTTTTCAGCGGCTTTAGTCAAATACTTTAGCATAATTTTGATTCTTCTCCTTCTATGACACACAACTTCTGACTCATCAGAAAACTATGAAAGCTATATCTTGAAAACATGTCCATAGTCTAACTGCTTCTACTAATACTTTCTTGACCCAAGTCCTCCTGCTTTCTTGCCTTTATTACAGTAGTCTCCTCACTGGTCTACCAATTTATCTTCCCTGGCCACAGTCTATTCTCAACACTTGAAAAAGCTTTCAGTGGATCCTCACTGCGTTCAGAGTAAAAGTCCTTTACAATGGTCAGAAATCCTCCTGCTCAAAATATGTTCCATGGAGCAGCAGCACCAGAGGCACTAGATTAGAGATACAGAAGCTCAGCCTCAGACCAAGTGGATATGACTCTTCCTTTTCACATGATCTCAGTTAATTTATATATACTTGAAAGTTGAAGGTCACTGTTCTGTAAGCCCCACATGATCTGTGTACCTATTATTATTTGATCTCATTTCCTACCCCCATTCTTTCCCTTGCATTCGCCTGGCAGCGTTCACATTGGCCTCCCAAACTTTCTCAAATATGATTGGCATGCTCTTGACTTACGGCTTTTTCATTGGCTGTTCCTTCTGCCTAAATGACCATCCTCCAACCATCAATATCACTAACTCCCTCACCTCCTTCAAGCCTTTGTTCAAATATCACCTTCTCAAAGAGGCCTATTAATAAGCCAGAGTACCCAATTCCGCTTGTTAACTACCTCTTGCTCCACGTACCTAATCTCCATATCTGTCTTCTGTTACTTTTTTCCTTAGCTTTTATCACCTACTGATGTATTATATATTTTAGTTATTATGCCTGTTTTTATCATCTGTTTCCCACTGCCCCCTTCCATGAAAGTCAACTCCACCAGGACATTCAGTGTTATATGTGAAGTGCCTAAAATCACCTTTGACACATAGTAGGCTCTCAACAAATACTTGAATAAATTGATGAATGCAATAGAGATATTCTGTCACCTGATGCTTTGAGAAGAGTGGATATAAACTTTTGTAGCAAGCCTTCTGAAACAGTAGGATTTTTTTTCCCTCCCAGAGGAAGTACAAAGTTCTGAAAGAAGTAGGAAGGACCCTCTCCTGGAGGCAGCCTTCAGCAAAGGCAGAGTTTGTGGAGAGCATTTCCTTTCCCCTTGGAGAATATTTGAGGAACAATGTTAGCATCTTCTTAAAATATGATCTGGCATTTGGAGCATATGTCTCCAGCTAGTAAAAGGCATGAGCTCTGCATGGTTCAACTTTTCAATGAGGCTGCCTTACGACATTTTAATATATTTTGACTCTGTGGGCCAGATGTGGAGCAGAACCAACAAATAGGGCAATTACCTTTCAAAAAATACCCTTTTCTCACTATGCAGTCATTCTCCCAATGCTTTTTCACAGCCAAAGCTATAATTTGGGTGGGTCTGAAAAGGATGACAGAGGTAGTTACTTTTGGAAACCAGAGAGCCACACTTCAAATTATGGTTGGCTGCAGAACTAAGCCTTAGACTTATAATCTCTTATAGGATTCTACTTGCACAGTCGTCCCCATTGAGCCATGTGGAATGGATGGCTTTTGTTATGGGAGCAACATTGTTGTTTATAATGACTCTGCACATCCTGGTTTCTGGAGTGCCGGATTAATTTTATAGCCATGGTGACTTATTTTGGCACCTAGCTACCTCAATGTAAACTTATCTCATTAGTATGCTGAACCGCCAGATACTTTTGTACAGTTTCACCAAATAAGTAGCCAGGCCTTAAAGTAACTTAAATGCAATTACAAAAGAATCTTTTGGAATGAAATGGTGAATTCTGTCTATTTGCTCCCAAAAGATCATGGCAGCCCATGGCACATCAAAGTGACTAGTCAACTTACTTTTCAATGCTATTGATGATCTAGTTTTGAATTTAACCATTACTGTCAAACTGAGTGGATTTAACAAAAGCCTAATTTATTATCTGATCAATTTGTTGTACCTTTCCAGGATATAGGATGAAGCCTTGAATACTAATTGCTCAGAGCTCCAGAGCTCCTCCCCATTGTTGCCCTATGGACAGGCAACTAAGGGACAGAAAAGCCCCTTCAGTGTCCTTGATGGGGACACTGAATTAATATGTATCATAGTAGTGTGCCCTCAGCTGCAGCTGAGTGAGGTGCCTCACTTCTTAGAAGAAATTACTTGGAAGAGGACATCATCAAAGTGATGCGTATTGATGAGTCATAAGATTTGCTCATAATTACCAAGTGCCAAAATATTCTCCTAGAGCTAATCCAGAGCCTGGTGTCCCCAGGGTGTCGAGGAGTCCACACTCAAAAGTAGCTGTTTTGAATAATTCATTTTTTTGTAAAAAGAAGAATTAATTTAAAAATGTAAACTTTAAATGCCCAATAAGAGTTAACACTTATTGACAGATGTGCTGAACTGAAACAATTTCCTTGAGTGCAGAGAGCTGCTTTCTAGAGAAACATGATTTTCAGGAGTCAGTGCTACTCTCTTGTTTTGTAGCTTCTAGCTGCACTTCTAGGAAAAGTAATACCTCGGACAGTAGTGTTTTTAGTTCTTTAGCTGTACAATGAATGGGAAATGAACTGTCATCTATTACTCTTAGGACTTCAGGGGAAATACTTCCCTGAGAGGCAGTTGTATGGCTGCCCCTGAATCCCTGGCTGCCTGATTTTTCCATTGTGATCAGTTACTGCTTTGAAAACCAGGGGTTTTCAAGATGGGTATGTTAGAAATTAGATCATATATTCTCAGACTAGAAGGCAGATGTCTTTGAGGTCTCTCTGAAATCCTCCTACTTGAAGGACTCTGGCATGAGAGCTGAGTGTGTGTGAGTGTGTGCGTGTGTGTGTTTATATGGGGAAAACCTATTTGCTCCTCTCTATGCGTTCATTACACATCTATATTGTACTCTAAAAAGTGTAGTGAATTCTATTTCAAGCTTCCTTTTTCATTTTTAGATATATCTCAGGAAACAGACTGGGAACAAAATATAACCTGAAAAAACAAAGATGTCATTTTTGTTTTTGTTGGTCGTGTTGTTGCTTATTTGTTTCGTCTTTCTTCCTTCCCACACAGGAAATCTTTACCTGGGAGGGAACTTTTCTTCTGACCTTGGAATATTCTTAGCTGCTGTATTTCCTTCATGCCACTTTTTGTTTGTTTGTCTGTTTAAGCAAAGTGGCCTCCACCCAATGTTTCTGGGTCCTCACTCTGAACTTTTTATAACCCTCGATAGACTGACTTCTACCCTTAACAAGTAATGAAAGTGCTTTAACCAGCATTAACAAATTAGGGAGCTGTCTTTTCTCAATCTTCTGGAAATGTCTCCTCTGTTGGCTTCATGCTTTTCTCCCCACAATGAGTCATTTGGCCCACCCTGACCCACTGTTTTGTTCCTTTTTTCCAAGCTGGGCCACACCAACTTATTTCAAAAGGCAGATTGACCTGAGTGCATGGCTTGCTTCAGCTTTCTTTGACAAGTACTGTGTCCTGAACTTCTTAGAACTCATTAAATGTTGATAATGATAGAGAGATTAGGACAACTGCAGCTTCTAGGGATAAGGCTATTTATTTACATTTTAAACTGGAATTACATGTGCATTTGTGGGGCTGTGATTTAGAGCACAGAATAGGAATTTAATTTTTAATAATGAGGAAAAAACAGGAAATACAAGGACAGAAGGGAGTGAGAGACAGAGCAGAGAAGGAGATATTTAAGCTAGAGAAACACTGGAAGAAATCTAAGTGGTGAAATACAGGATAAGCCTTTGTCTTATCTATTTGCTAAAGGATCATGAGGGTGGGAAGCTCTTTGGTTCACTTTCTTTTAGACAAAAAATTGAACAGTGATGCATCATTTAAGAACAGGGATACATTGTAAGAAATGTGGTATTAGGTGATTTTGTCTTTGTGCAAACATCATAGAATGTACTTATACCAATCTAAATGGTATAGCCCATTGCTCCTCAGCTACAAACCTGTATAGCAAGTTACTGTACCGAATATTGCAGGCAGTTTTAGAACAACGGTAAGTATTTATATATCTAAATATACCTAAACATGGAAAAGGTATAGCAAAAGTACGATCTAATGGATAAAAAATGATATACCTATATAGGACATTTACCATGAATGAAGGTAGCTGGACTGAACATTGCTCTGGGTGAGTCAGTGAGTGAGTGGTGAATGACTATCAATATCATTGTCTTCCACCTCCTTATCTTGTCCCACTGGAAAGCCTTCAGGGGCAATAACAGACATGAAGTTGCCTTCTCCTAGGATAACAATGCTTTCTTCTGGAATACCACCTGAAGGACCTCCCTGAGGCTGTTTTGCAGTTAATTTTTTTTTATAGGTAGAAGGAGTACACTCTATAATATAATAATAAAGGCCGGGCACAGTGGCTCATGGCTGTAATCCTAGCACTTTGGGAGGCCGAGGCAGGTGGATCACTTGAGGACAGGAATTTGAAACCAGCCTGGCCAACATGGTGAAACCCTGTCTCTACTAAAAATACAAAAAAATTAGCCAGGCATGGTGGTCAAATACAAAACAATAAATAAATAAATAAACGTTAAAAATTAAATAAAAATAAAATGTATAGTGTAATAAATACATAAACCAGAATGTAGTTATTTATTACCATTATCAAGTGTTATGTTCTACACGTAATTGTATGCATTAGACTTTGTACAAAGGCAGCACAGTAGGCTTGTTTACACTGGCATCACCACAAACATGTGAGTAATGCGTTGCAATACGACATTTTGATAGCCAGGGCATCACTAGGTAACAGAAATTCTTCGGCTCCGTTATAATCTCATGCAACCACTGACATATATGCAGTCCATCATTGACCAAAATATTATGAAGAGCATTACTGTAATTGTTTATACAGATGACAATCAGAAGCTTAAGGGGAAATCTAGTAATCACTAGTTTGTGGAAACCAGGTTTTATTCCGTAAACAACATCAGGACAGCAAAATATGACTTGAAAATATGAGACTAGACAGGCCATAATCAGCAATAAATCATTGTTCAAAGTGCCATTTACAAAACTCAGGCGCACCTACTTGCCCAGGGATGTAGCTTCTGGCCTGAGACCGGGTCACATCCCCTCCCTAACTTTCACTGTAGTTGCTGTTTGGTTACAAGTGACAATGAACAATGTATAAGGCTCTCATTCCATGTGATGGTTCACTCTGCTGCTGACATTTATATCATATTAGTACCTGCCCTTTCCTTCCTCTTGGGGAAGTGGCAAGGATGATTGATGTGAGGCCTATGAAGTTCTTTGAGCTTCTTGGGAGAAATACATGGTGTTGTCATTATCGTCATCATCACAAAATGCTTGAAAATCTTTTCATGCCTTGCTTGGTGCTAGGATAGACCCTCTTTTCAGCATTGGATTCTCAGCCTATGCTAATCTTTCCTCATGCAGCCGATCATCCAAGTTCTTTCCTAAAGGGGATTAGGAAAGAGAGATGAAAGAGTCCTCATGAAGCAAGACCTTGAGAAAAATGATCGACAGAATCCTCAGGTCTCTGTGTGTCTGGGCATGTGCAGTTCTATGTCTCCTTGATACCTGGGATATTCTCACAAGTCCAGATAAGGAAGAAACCACTGGCTGATACAAAATCAATTTTCCTTTGGTTTTAAAATACTTTAAGACTTACTCTAAAGAATTATGTCCTGGGAATTTATTTCACATGTATCAAATCGTAATTGTAAAGGAGTGCTATGGGGAAATTGAGATCCAAAACTGCTGAGTCCTTAGGCCCTGGGCCAGGGGCAGAGTGAGGAATAGGAATCAGGTCCCCTGTGACACAAAGTAGTGGTCTTTTTTTTTCTTCACCACATCGCAATTTCTCAACATGAGAGAACATAAGATGGATAGAGATGCTTTAACGCCTTTTTACTCACATCTTGGACAAGACCTACAGTAATGTCATTGAGCTACCAAAAGTTTGAACTTAAATTTTAACCTCCAATGCCACCTGTCAGAATACATTGCAAAAGAATAGGATTAGAGATATTGCACTGTGCATTGGTCTTCAGAAACTTCTGGAAGCTGGTTGTTTCTGAGAAGTATTCTGTGAACACCTGTATTCTCAGCCACAAATGTCAGAGCCATGAGCGAATGGTGTGAGACAGAAGAGTGGAGGTTGAGAGGTTCAAAGATCAAATAATGGGGGATTACAATGGAGAATCTAACATCAAGTACCAGGCACGTATGTTGGGGAACCCCAGCAAAGAGGAAGGGAGGGTGCCAGAAGGAGGCTAGAGTCTGGCAAAAGTGGATGTGCCTGTTTGTGGTGTCCTGGTGCTGGCCATGTTTTTGAGGCAGAAGAGAGTCTCCAAGAATTGAAGAGAAATCTTGGATTTTGTATTTCTTGAGCTTTAGTTACCCAGCTTCAGACAGTCTAGATGTGTCTGAAGATGGGTTGGGTGAGTAGAAAGTTGCCTTTTTTGTGTTGTTGGAACCAAAGTAGAACTGCCTCCTCTCATAGGTGTTGGCTTGGAGGGCCTTGCTGACAAGATGGCAGTTGTGCCCTTCACAGCTCCATCTTGAGGAGACGTGGGTCAACATGGACTCATTCAGTTATGCATTCATTCACATGACCTGGCTGAACACAGGTTGCAGTGCTCTCTGATGGCACCTGGAAGGGAAGAGGTGTCATAAGTGAGTTGCTGGAGGGGCAGCGGTGGAAGCAGGGACCTGCATTCTATGGAAGCATCAGGCTCCACGGAACCTTGTAGAGAAGGCATTTTTCCCACCTAATATTGCTCAAGGTTCAGGACACTTGCATTTCTGAGGGTTGCTTCTTCCCCTTCCCCAAATTCTGGACAATCTCTTCAACTAAAATGTAAACTCCTCTCGGATCTGACTACCTGGTGTCCACTTCTACTTGCTGTGTGCCTATGCCAGAGCTGGCACATGGCAGGTATTGAACAAATGTTCCTTGAGTAAATGGATGACTCCTACCATGGTCACTGCATCATGCCGTTTTAGAAGGAATTTCCTTCTTTTTGACTACACCACCATTTGCGATTACAATCTCCTTAGAACAGTGGGCAATAATACATTGTTGTGGATTTCTAAAATCCTTCCTTTAAACTAGGAAACAAACATATCATAAAGATTCACGGCTGGGCACGGTGGCTCACGCCTGTAATCCCAGCACTTTGGGAGGCCAAGGCGGGTGGATCACAAGGTCAGGAGATTGAGACCATCCTGCCTAACACGGTGAAACCCCGTCTCTACTAAAAATACAAAAACTTAGCCGGGCATGGTGGTGGGCGCCTGTAGTCCCAGCTACTCGGGAGGCTGAGGCAGGAGAATGGTGTAAACCTGGGAGGCGGAGCTTGCAGTGAGCCGAGATGGCGCCACTGCACTCCAGCCTGGGGGACAGAGCGAGACTCCGTCTCAAAAAAAAAAAAAAAAGAAAGATTCATTAGCAGTAATGACCTTTAAGGGAACTATATCACTTTATCTACCAGCAATCTGATTGTACTTGACCAACCCAGCTCCAAACCACAGGTAAATAGCCCAGCTCTGTGGGCATCAGATCAACTATACACATGTCCTGCGGAGCTGACACAGAACCAGGACATTCCATGCACTTGGAGTTTAGACGGAGTCTCAGAATGTCCTATGCTTTTCAATAACAATGCAAAGCATTTGTAATCACATTTCAAACTCATGTCTATTCAATGCTTTAAGAACATAAATCTATACAAGAAATATTTTTATGTATGAACTACAGGATATTCTTGGAAATATCCTGGCACCATGCATTTCTCCCTTGTGCTATTTCCCACAATTATAAATCATATGTCTTATTTGTGGTCTGATTTCCCTATCAGTCTATAAACTCCATGAGGTAATGTACCTGGCCTGTCTCATTTACACTCTATCTGGAAGGGCAAACACAGGGTCTCAATACACATTCACTGAATGAGAAATAAATTAAAAGGCAGGTAAGTAAGCATCCTTTCAAGAGTTTTTAATGTTTTATTTCCTCTAAAAGAGGAAGCCAAAGGGGGTCTTTAGAAGGCATGAGTGGTGGTGCCAACAAGTGTTGATGGAGTCCGCCCACTATACTGAGAGGATATGGTGTTAGCGACACTGCCTTTGTGGCCTTTGTGTGGTCTCTTTTGTTCACCATGGTCCCTTCTTCATGATGGCAGATGGTAGAATCAGGGAAGGAAAGCACGTCAGTTGGTGTCCCAGCAGAAAACAGATGACAACTCTCAAACTGAGTAATTAGGGAGAATTTAATGAGTGGAGCTTTACCAAGATATTTACAGGTTAAGGGAAATCTATAAGGGATGATGAAGCTGCCTGTACCCAATCATGGAAGGGAGTCATTACTACCTTTAGGCTTCCATGGAAGCAGAGCCTCTGTGTTAGCACAAAGCTATAGAATATTGTCAAAAGGACCACAGCTTTTCAATAGAAATACAGAGCCAACCCACCAGGGAGGCAGTGGGGATGGGGCTGGTGGTAAATATCCGCATCCTATACTCCTCCCATCTTCCATCTGCTAACAGTGCCCTTCATTGGCTGAATCCAACTGAAAGCCAGAGAGCAAAGTGCTTGGGATCCCACTTGGGAGGTCAGCCTCTCTGCCAGGCATTGGGAAGGCTCCTAGAGATGGAAGAGTGAATGAATAAAGCACAGTGCTTACTTTCAGAGAGCTCCCAGTCAAGTGGAGAGGGCTGTGCTCTGAGAGGAAACAGGTGAGGAACCTGCTGAGAAAGCACAAGGAGAGGATTTCCCCAAATTCTGGCTTCTTCACCAGGGGGCTTCCCAATGGAAGCCAAGTTTCAGCTGTGAATCAAAGGCTGGGAAGGAGACAGGGTGGGGCAGGGGAAGACAGGAAGAACAGTTGGGAAGAAACACCAATGTTCCAAGCAGAGGAAAAGGGCAGGTGCAAGGACAGGAAGTGAAAGAGCTCATCGTCCTCTCATGGAACTCTTGAAATGATGCCCAGACTTAAACAGGAAGGTTTGATGATTCTCAGGGTTGGTTATTGACTCAACAAAGCCTGCTCCCAATTTTCTCCTAGAAGGTAGATAAAGAAGACTTGATGTGTCCACCATCTATTTTTGAAAGCCTGGTATTTGTGAGCATTCCCTTCTGTGGATCAACCAGAACTCTCCTAGTCACCCCTTCTGTGATGACTGTCATCTCCTCTAAGTGTAAAAGGAGCCAGAATTTCTGCCTATTATTTTCAGATTGCTTCCTCTACAGGAAATTGTGTCAATTCATTTGGACATTTGTGGTTTCACTGTACTCCCGGGCCATTACATCATTATGTGGTAACTCAGAACTCCAGTGGCACATTATCAGAGCTGACTATTTCTGGAAGCCAGGAGATAACAAACAAAGCGGTTTCATTTGGCCTATAAGCATGTTAAACACCCTCGGCAGAGGACAGCAGAATACAAATATGCCTGCCTCCTGACTTTTATCAAGGAGAGGCGAGGGACGTGGGATAGATATAAATTATGTGCCCTGCTTCAGTGAGATATCTATCATAAAATCTATTGCCACCGATACAAACTGGCTTCAGTGTATAATTTAGTGACAGTTTTGTGCATTATGTCTCCTCGCCGACAAGATTGCTGCATGGCGAATGTTGCCATATCTAGGTATGGATGGAACTGCCTAAAGGTTTAAGCCATTTTATTCCATCCTGAATTAACATGCTCAGCCTAATCCTCATCTCCCCGGGAGACTGGGAATTGTGCGGGAGAATGAGCAGAAGCCTTTCCATGCAGGTGGCTGGGGCCTGTGTTTCCACTTGCCTGCATACCGTTCCCCCTTGTGAGGCTGCTGATTGAAACTTACTCTAAGATTACCTTGCTAATAATTTGAGCCTTATCAGGGAAAAGAAAAAACACAACAAATTAATGAGATTTCTGCCAATAAAGAAATATAAAGGGCTTACTTTCCTAAAGATGCCTGATACCATGGATAAATCATAGACAAATAGAAAGCTTGCTGTAGTTTATGCCTAATTATAAATGACTTAATACCAAGTCAGACCCAAAAGATTCGGAGGTGTGATCTCGTTAGAGGGAGACAGAACTACAGTATCAAGATTTTCATTAATGCAAGGAAGTCTCTTCTTCACTGCTCATGTTTAGCATTATCCTTGGGGCAAATAAGGAAATTTACCTTCCCACATAGATGAGTTGGGTTCAGGCTACTGAAGTACATTGCTTAATAATTGCTTTTTGGACTAGGCCAGGACACTGAATGTTAGGGCCCTTCCTGAGACCAGCAATCGTAGGAGGTATTTATGTCTTGCTACTCAGTGAACCAGGTAGGGCATGAGCATATTAATGAGACAAAAAAAGGGTTCCTTCATGAAAGTGCTCACGGACACCTGAGCATCTCTACAGACTGCTCCCTTCCTAAAGAGGGACTGGCGAGGTAGGAAATGGGCTTTGTTTCTGCCTTTGTTCCTCTCTTTTTGTATTCACAGAGTGTCTGTTTCTCTGCCCACTTCAGGGTCTTCATCTGTCATACTTCCATGTGACTTTGCCCCCTGCCTACCAGTAGTCTCTCTCTCTGTCCTTCTCCTCTTGTATCACAGGTGATCTGGATCAATGAGACTAGATATTCAAAGAGATAGAGAAGATGAAAAGTGATCACCTCAAGGGTAGCAAGAATAAGAGATTTATAATTGTCTGAAGATGGCCTAAAATCACCATGGGCCTTTTATGGAAACATAGCTATGCTTCTCACCTTTTTGCAAACAACTGCTTCATCATGAGACACCTTAGAAGGTGCCCCAAAGCTTTCAGGTCAAGCCACAGTGAAATCTCTGCTGCATAGTTGGTCACATGGAGGACATCTTCAGGGCTTCCTCTTGGACTCTTCAAATTCTTCTACCACCTGGGTAAGAAGTCCTCCTTTTCCTTCTCTTTCTCATTGTCTTTATGCTTTCTATTTCTCTTTTACTAAATCCTGCTTTTCAGGGTAGGTTTTAAAAACTCATCCACAAATAGGAATGGGAAGTTGAAAATAAGTATAATCATTTTCCTAGGGAGCCTCACTTCTAATATAATTGCTATCGACTACTCATCTGCTAGAGAGGGTTAAAAAAGGCCCCTGAATTGGCTGGACCCTGATTCAAAATGCTCTCAGAGGTCTGACCCCACTGTAAAGTCCTGTAGTTCTAATTGTGCAATTTCAGCCTCCAGTGAGGGTAGAAGAGGCAAGGGAGCCTTGCAGGGGTCTCTGAAATCAGATAGGCAGTTTTTTATGTCATTTACTTAGATGGCAGTTTAAAAGAGTGACAAAAAACAAAAACAAAACAAAACAAAAAAATAAAAAAACAAAGGCGAAACAAGTCCAGTAGGGCAGCAGAAGGAAGGGGGAAGGCCACCCACTATAGAAGCTCTCAGCACCTGTTGGAGAACAGGGGGAGCCTCTACCACCTCCTCTTTGGTAAGTGGTGGGATTTTAGGAAGTGTAAAAAAGAGAAATCCTGGCTTTTAAACTAGTTTCTTCACCAAGGTAAGCCTTTGTGTCTAACTTCAATATGTGTATTTTAATTCTTCATTTTCATTCTTGTTGCTTCCTTCCCTGCTACCAGCTGGTACCCCATTCCTGCAGGACTTTGCTCTCAACCAGCTGTCCCATATCTTTTCTTCATTCTGAATGGCTAAGGCCTATTGACCATTTTTCTTAGGGCTGTTTGCCTTTTATTAAGGAATGTGAATCTTTCAAAGCTCTCATGTACTATAATTGAGAGAAGGAAAGCTGGAAAGGGGGGTCCTTTTTGGGGGCTGAATACCGAACAGCATCTCTAAAAATATTTCCCATGAGCAAATATGTATTGGTAAAAGGCTAGTTTTAAGGTAGGCCATGACTTGAGGGGCACTACTGGGAACCTGAATATTATTAATAATCCTCCCAAAAGACCAGACTTATTCAGACCAAAGCAGCTAGCCAGTATTGGCCATGGCCAATATTCAGCAATGCCTGCTAGAACGTGCATATTTAATTTGGAATCTGTAATCAGTAGATAAGTACCATCATTATGGGGGTGGGCAGCCAGCTTTTCTCCCCTGCCAGAAATGGTTTATGTTTGCTTGCTTTGGTTTTAGCTTTTGTTGGTGGTGGTGATGGTGGTTGGCACCAATATGGAACCAATAATTATTATTATTTTTTTTTTTTCTGAGACGGAGTCTCGCACTGTCACCTAGGCTGGAGTGTAGTGGCGTGATCTCCGCTAACTGCAACCTCCGCCTCCCGGGTTCAAGCGATTCTCCTGCCTCAGCCTCCCGAGTAGCTGAGATTACAGGCACCTGCCACCATGCCTGGCTAATTTTTTTGTATTTTTAGTAGAGATGGGGTTTCACTATGTTGGTCAGGCTGATCTCGAACTCCTGAGCTCGTGATCTGCCCGCCTAAGCCTCCCAAAGTGCTGGGGTTACAGGCGTGAGCCACTGCACCCGGCCTGAACCAGTAATTCTTAATTGGGTGGTCCTTTGTTTACTCATTGTCTTGGGACTTTGCTCAACAACAGGAATTATCTCCATGAGGAGTGTTTGCCAAACACTTTAAAGTCCTGTGGGTTAACTGCACTTTTCTAATAAAAAGACAAAAACAGACAAAATGATCCACTCAAAAGAGAAAGAAGCAGCTCTAATTTTGAAAGTGGCAGTGACACACTAAATATATACATTTATTAAGAAGAAATTTTGAAAAAAAAATCAATGTTTAACTTATACAAGTGTTTTAAAAATGTATGAGTATCTTGGGTGCATATTTTTACAAAAGAGTGTTTTGACCAAAAGTTATATGGAAATGCCAAAAAAATTTCTATGATAGCACATATAGATTGTTCTGGAACTTGCTGGAGATCTAGTTCCAAAAGAAAACCAGCCTTTCAAAGATTTTCTGTGAAATTAATTGATGAAAGGTGTTCATGTATATATGTGTGTTTCTGTGTTTGAGATTCTTACAGAAAATAAAGTGTTTTACTGAGTTCACAGCATAAAATAAGGAAGATAATTTTGTATGCCAATCTTATAAAACTCA
This sequence comes from Homo sapiens, assembly GCF_000001405.40. Classification (NCBI taxonomy): domain Eukaryota; kingdom Metazoa; phylum Chordata; class Mammalia; order Primates; family Hominidae; genus Homo; species Homo sapiens. The sequence goes on from NC_000015.10 coordinate 47,527,620, forward strand.
TAGCCTCTTACTTTATTTCCTCACCATGTCTGTTTTCTTTAGGGCATTTTGAGCAGTGGGGAAAAAGGAAACTAAATTTATATTCCTCCTTAGACGCTTCCTGAAGAAAAGGAAAAATAAATAAATACTGGAAAATGCTTGTGAATTTTTTTTCATGAAAATTTCTGTAAAATAATCCACTGTTGAAACTGCTAACAGCTGTTTTTTCACACTCTATAACCCCCAGCAGGTCTGAAAATCCCCTGCAGATTTCAAGATATTGCATGTCAGTAGAGTAAAGCACAGTTCTTTGTTACTATTATTTTAAGGCCAGGTTTCCCATATTACTTCAACATAAAAAGCTCCTGTGCTATGTAAGTAAATGTTTTCTAGCTGGCAAAAGGTAGTATCATTTTATTTCCATCCAGACATGGGGTGGGAGGATGGCCACTTCAGCTCTTCATGCTTGACTACACCCAGAACAAAACCAAGGAAGGTGTAAGGCACCTGGTTGATGTAATCCTGAGTCTCTGTTTTAAACTTTAATGTGGACACTGCATTCATTTTTAGCTGAATAAGGACAATGCTTCAGCTCCTCCACACTTATTCACCATATCAGTGTTCAGAGGAATAACTAAATTCTTATGCATTTTCAGTTTTGTCTTTACTTAAGCTGTAACTAAGATGAGAATTCCCAAGAAGAAAGCCCCACATCTAGATCTTGCTCATCACTTCATGGCTCCTAAGGGCTGATTGTCCAATTTTTTTTAAGGTAACCAAGAGTACAGTCCTCAAACTTTAGTCAAAGGCTTGCAATTTGAAGTAGAGTTGGAAAACAGGCAAGTTGGTCTGCGGGGCCATTTAACTTGTATCTTACTTTTATCATTTCATTCCTCTCCATCCTTCTCAGTTGGCCAACATTTAGAAGACTGGATTTTCAGCCTCATACGTAATTGTGGAATGAAGGGATATTTTTCTCTTTAGCATGTAGTCCTGATATGCATGGTTCAATAAGGCCCACCACCATGTAGCAGGATAGATAAAAGGAAAGGCCCTCCTTTAAGGTTGCTACAGGGAAGTTTGACATATTATTTCCTCTCATATTGCATTAGCCAGAACTAGGCCACATCCAGCTGCCAGGGAGGCTGGAAAATGTAGTTTTTATCCTGGCTGGCCCTTTGAAAATACATACAGTTGACCGTTGACCTTTGATCAATTCAGGGGTAAGGGGCACCAACCCCTAACACAGTTGAAAGTTCACATATAACTGACTCTCCAAAAACAGTGAATAATAGCCTACTATTGTCTGAAGTCTTATCTATAACATAAATAGTTGCTTAACGCATATGTTCATGTTATACATACTATATACCATATTCTTACAATCAAGTAAGCTGGGGAAAAATGTTATTAAAAAATAATAAGGGTGAGAAAATATAGTCTTATCAATAACATAAATAGTTGATTAACACACATGTTTATGTTATATTATTATATACCTTATTCTTACAATCAAGTAAGCTAGAGTGAAGAAAATTATTAAGAAAAGCATTAAAAATAAAATATGTTTACTATTCATTAAGTGGAGGTGTATCATCATAAAGGTCTTCATCTTCCTCGTCTTCATGTTGAGTAGGCTGAGGAGGAGAAGTAAGAGGAGAGGTTGGTCTTGCTGTCTCATGGGTGGCAAAGGTGTAAGAAAGTTGAGAAAGTGGGAGGAGAGGCAGGTGAGGCAGGTACACTGGTATAACTTTTATTGACAAAAATCTGCATATAAGCATATAAGTGGACTAGCACAGTTCAAACCCGTGTTGTTGAAGGGTCAACTGTATTGGGCAACAAGGCTTTAGCTGGAAGGGGAGGCTCAAAGTAGGGATGATAAGAAAAGGGAGGCTTCCACACAGGCTGTCATCTACTTTCCTAAGCCTAACCTAGTCACACTCATGAAAGAGATTCAAATTCTTCTGGATGTTTCTCCATTTTAGCTCTAAGTATCTGTAGCACTAAAAAAAAAAAAAAAAACAAGTCATCTTCACTTTGAGGCACACTTTTTTACTTTTCTTAATTTATTTTCTCAATATTTAATTAGTGATGGCTCCACTAGCCCTATTTGGAAAGAGCTTTGTTCCACAAATGAGGGTCATTGATGTAAACCTTGTGGAGATGTTAGGGATTCAGGGAAGGCTATCATATTTATTTTTCAAAACCTACATTTTTCTTATTTTGTAAGTAATTTTATATGAAGGGGTGATCGTTCCAGCCATTTGCTGCCAGTTTGAAAGAGCATGTTCCAGGAAGATATTTAAAGCCTTCCATGTTTCATGTTCATGTTCATGTTCATTCTTTGGGTAATAGTCGCAGTCTGAAATGCAGCTCCTACCAAAAGTCATGATTCAGCCTGAGCTTACCAAGTTCTCACTGCCATAGGGAGGAGGAAGCAGTCACCATAGCTCCACTCAGCAGTCAGGACGGAAGCAAAGGTATCACATCTCTTGTTTCCTGTCATGCTTTTGGGCTGAGAAGATGCTCTTTTGATGATCCTCTCAGGCCCCGACTCACATGGCAGAACAGGAGAAGCTATTTGCTTTGACAGATACATACCACAGGTGTAGAGGACCCAATTTAGTTGAATCTCCTTTAGAAATGGTGGACTTCATGTTTTTAAAATCTTCCCTGTATTTCTCTTTGTCATGACAAACACATTCAGACAGAACATCTAACTTGTGAGTAATCCAAAATAATTTGAGCAAATGCATTAATAGATTTCATTCTGAATACCACATACTGGAATTTAAAACAACAAAATTAAGAACTTCATAATTAGACAATAGTTCCCTAAATTGGGGCATTTATATAAAAGACCATTGTCATATAAAATATATACGTAAACTCAAACCTTTCTTCTCTTTTAACAAATCCTCTATGATTATTTCTTTGACATAGTTTTTTTGCTAGTTTACCTAATTAAGATCACAAGATTTTTAAAGAGACCTCAGACAGATTTTGAATATACTGTGAGGAATAAAGGGCATTGCCAGAAGTCAGAAGTCTGAAGAGATGATTTTAAGATCAAAGCTTTCCCAAATACAAATCCTAGCTTAAATCACTTGAGTTTGTAGGAGATGTATAGAGAAAGAGTGTGGGTCCGAAGCCATGATGAAGGGTGGAGACAGACAAATGTGGGTTGAGTCCTGCTGCTGCTACTCATTAACTAGATGATCTTGGAGGAGTTATTAAAACCTCTCATAGCCTCAGTTTCCTTGTCTATAAAATGGGGCTAAGAATGGTGCCTGTCCCATAGGGTCATGGATATAATTAAATGAAATAATTCAAACTAGTAACTCAGCACACTATCTGGCCAGAATAAGTATTCAATAATTGTTCATTATTATTGGCATAATTACTTCACTATATATGTATTTATGAATAATGACATATTTATACAAGAAATTAAAAATAAGGATCAATGAATCATGACAGTCTATCCAATTTGCCTTTAATGTAACCAAAACAAAATCTAAGTGAAAATGAAAATAGGTCAAAGACATATATCTTTATATGTATATGAAAAGTTTCCTACCAAGTTAGACTCCAGGGAAGAAACCATGTATTGTCAATTTGCTATAAATACACATATAGCAAATAGACACTTTAAAATTATATGTGCAGAATATCAGCTTGGCATTAAGATTGTGGTTTAAAGTGCAAAGAAACTAGGATTCAAACAGGAAATCCTCATCATAACCTCACTCTGCCCTTTTGCCTCCATATGCATAAACAAATTATATTTGGTCTTTCATTACATGGCCAAACATACTGGATTCTGTAACATAGTTTGTACCAAAATTATCAGATATTAGAAAGTAGCTACCCATTTGGCAGATGCTATTTTAAAAAAGCACTTTATATCATTGAACATATTTTCAGGTAAAGGCACTGTATATATGTGGATATGTATTTGTGATGATCTCCTTTTTGACAAATGAATTCAATGATTTAGTTGGCACTTACTCTGTGGTTGTTCATTAGAACAGGGATTGGTTGAGAGTTGTGGGGACATTACCAGTCTCCCCCCAGACTCATCCCCTCCAAGGGGTCAATGTCAGGACACAATGCTTTATTGGGAATCAGTGGGAGAGAAAGCTCTGGCTGATTCCAGCCTGCCTTCTCTTCCTGCAGTCTCCCCCATGCCTATAATTATTTATTCACTTTCCTAATGAACTACCAATTAGAGGTCATGTTGTTATGGACTGTTCTTTGCATGTGTTGGAGGGGAGGGGATTCTTGTTCTAAAGCACCCAGTGGACTAACAGAATGTTCCTTGTGGTATTAGGTTGGTGCAAAAGTAATGGCAAAACCACAATTACTTTTGCACCAGTCTAATACAATGGCACCTCTACTCTTCTCTTCACACTATACACTCCAGCCCCACTCCCGGCAGTTAATTCCTCTGCCTCTCTTTTTGGTATCCAAAGACCTTGACCATGGCGAGATCCTGGAGAACATTCTCAAGCCTCAATGTAAAATCAGATTACAGTCCAGGAAGTTTTCCTGTAATGGTCATAAATATATTTGAATTCTCTGAAAATTAGCCTGTCTTGGTTGACTGATGTCTTTTTCAGGGATAATTTATTTGTAAAGAACTTCCTTCCATCACCATCAAAACAAAAACAAAACCAAAAAACTGTCAATGAATAAAGACATTTATTGAAAGAATACAGTAAAATCTCCTAAAATCTAATTGCATGAAGTGCATCTGACTTTCCTGGAACCTCTAACAGTCTCTCTCCCTCCTCCTCTGGGTTTGCACCGTTATTCATCTCTGCTGTGCATTTGACATATCCCTCTCACTGCGCATTGACTTTTCCTCAGGGTTCTTGGTTCCAGCTCCCTATCGCTTTGGCTTACATTAAGCTTTGAGTTGCTATGGCACTGATTCTGGCTCCAAACCTTTATTAGATGTCAAAGTCAATCCCAACCTTTTCATTCTGGGTCTCTCAGTACAAGTTCTTAGGATGGAGTATTCAGTTGGTTGCTGGTTGGTGAGAGGATTGATTCTCATGGGGCCTCTTGTGCACTCCTTGGCCAATCCACAGTGGCTGGTAAAGATCCTGTGGAGATACATCCTTCAAGGCTGCTATTGATGGCAGATATTGACTAAGTATCTCAGTTTCATTGAAATCTTTCATTTAGCTGAATATTCCATATCTGAGTACAGCTGGATACCAGGAAATTCACTATATATAAATTTCAGGGTGACCTCATTGCCCACTTTTGTTGGCATGTGTATAAAGAGAAGTGTATACCACCCAGCACAGTGAAGTTTCAATTTAAGCTTTAAATAAAAATTGTTTGATGATATTGATGATGATGATCATGATGAGGCTACCAAGTCTGAGGAAGAAACAGCCCATCTTCCATGGCACATTCACAAGTAAAACAGAAAAAAAAAGTCCTCAGATGTTATTAATACTTTAAGTGCCACCACTGATAATCCGTAGGCTGGCTGTAATAAAATAGAGAAGTCTTTGGTGCCTAAAGTTTTTATCCCTGAGATAATGTGTTTATTTTTCCTACCTGCCTAATGCATCTGTAGATGGTAAGAAATTATAATGATTACTTGGGTGAAAATTTTCAAAAAGAAAGCATGAATCTAGTTCAGGCAGTATAGGTGTAAACCAATAAACCCAACAAAAAATAACATTGCAGCCTCTACTCTCTTCTGGAAATCATTAATAAAGAGACAAAAACTTTGAGCATAGACATGGTGATAATGAATTTAGCACAGCATTTATCTGTAAAACATATCATGGAGATTATTCAATAGCTGTTTATGGCTATTATCTTTTGGAATATTGTAGAGAGTACAATAGTCAGCAGAAAGTGTTTTCATTCGGTCATTTTCTTTAAAGTTCAAAATGAAGTCTGTAGATTCACTTTCTCTAGGGTGTGTGGGAAGCGCGGGAAGTGAAGACAGTGGAGTGACAGTTCACTGAGCCGAGATGAGCTGTCAGGGTGGATGTGTGACTGAGGGGGTGAATGATGGCTATTAGTGTTGCCAAAGCTGCACCCCTTGACTGTGCCCCCACCAGACCATTATATTCTACTTGTGAGAGGACAGGGGGCCATTGGAAGAAGAATGTGCAGAGACAAGGTTTTTGGCTTCTTAGATGGATGGAGGATGGATGGAACTTGTTTGCTGAGTTTAACATAGAAGCCAAAACTGGGATACCACATAGGCTTGTGCAACTCACGCTGAATGTGCTATGGTTCCTCTGATTGGATGAAAGAGTCAAAATTCAAAATGGCAGAATTGTGTCAGATTTATGAGTAATGTAAGTGCTTTTTAAAAGTTTCATTGTAAAATGTTACTGATACATTAACTTTAACCGAGGTGCAAAGACAGAGACATGTATCTAATATGAAGCCATCACATATGAAATCAACCCAGAGTTATATAATGCTTTGTGGCACAGATTGCCAGGGTGCCTATCACCTGGAAGGAAAGAAGGACACTGAGAATGTCCAAGTGTACTATGTGTGTCTGTCTGTGGAACACTACTAGCAAGAAGGTATCTAAGCCAAAAATGCCTTCTTTTTTTTTTAAATGGAGACAAATTATCACCTTGTCACCCAGGCTGGAGTACAGTGGCTCGATCTCGGCTCACTGCAACCTCTGCCTCCCGGGTTCAAGTGATTCTCGTGCCGCAGCCTCCCTAGTAGCTGGGATTACAGGCGTGCCCAGCTAATTTTTTTATATGTTTAGTAGAGATGAGGTTTCACCATATTGGCCAGGCTGGTCTCCAACTCCTGGCCTCAAGTGATCCACCCACCGCAGCCTCCCAGAGTGCTGGGATGACAGGCATGAGCCACCACACCTGGCCAACAATTACTATTTATTCCCTAAAGGTAAACGCTAATGCAGCCTAATAAAATAATTTTCATTTAAAATAAATAGAATAGTTACTAACATTAATACATTTATATTAAGTATATGCCATTCTTGACTTTTATAAACAAATGCTCATGTAAATAAGTAGCTTGGTCTGGCAGTATCCCACTGTTGGAGAGACTACGTAATGCTTTCGGGGATTTGAGATTCTTGAAGAAGTTTCCTACATGGAAGAATTACTTTTTCACCCCACATAAATTTTTGCTCTATCTCATGCTCCCTTACCTGCATGCACACACCCAAATTCCTTGTATAATACTGTTTCTAACACAGCACTGCCTCTCCCTGCTACACTGATGAAAAACCCATTCATCATTTACATATTACATATCTGCCACTTTGTTCTATATATAAACACTAGTCTATGCATACCAAATGTAAATGTAGGTATTTGTAATATTAAGCTCAGGAAAACTAGAAATAGACATAATGTAGAACAGCTTTGGGGGCAAAATTATTCAATACCAGAGAATTTCAGGATCAGTCAAGCAGGAGGGATGAGAGGATCAAGAATGTGACAAAAAAAAAAAAAACACAAAAACACACACACAAAAAAACACAAAAAAACACAAAAAACAACAATGAGATGACAGGAAAAGACCTTTCAGAAAATTAGCAACAGAGTCTGAGAAAGCTGCTCTGAGGGATTGAGCTTATGCTTATGTGATGCTTACTTATGTGTACCCGGTGCTGCTCTAAGTGTTTACATGTGTTACTTGTTAAATTCCAAACCCTATGAGGTAGATACAGGTGTTCACCTATCCCACAGATAAGAACATAAAGGTAGACAGAAGTCAAGTAACTTGCCCAAGGTCACTGAGTAGGAAGAGGCAAAGAGATATGGGATATGGGGTATGCACTCAGTTTGCTTCAAAGTACCTGATGTTAACCACCACACAAAACAGCCCCTAGGCCTTGACCCTAAAATGGGGCAGTGGATCTAGATATTTCTTGATTCTGAAAAACCGTTCTATTAGCAATTCAACAAGTACTTTTTAAGCACCTACTGTACATAAGAGCTAGTTACCTTAGGGGAGTAAACAACAAATCAGGTAAGTTGATACCCTAGAGGGAGTTAAGACAGATACAAAACCACTATAATACTAGATAGAAAGTGACAAAAATACAAAAAAAAAATAAATTAAGACATAGATGAATGGTATGGGAGTTTTCAAAAGTTAGTATTTCATTTCCAGGTAGCACAGGATGAGAGATGCGGGCAGGGAAAGAGAGAGGATATGAGGGAAAGCCTCATGTCATGCATAATTCAAAGGTATGCTGAATTTGTAAATGTGAAGATTGAATGAATCTTCAGGTAAGTGAAAGCAGCACACTGGAAGATGTTAAGATAATTGGGGCAGATACAGAAAGTAGCTTGTTAGTTTGTCTTGGCTTCATGGGGAGGAGTGGGCAAGAAGGCAGGAAACGTGAGTTAAATTCAGGCCATCAAGAGCCTCAAATGCTATGCTGTAGGATTTGGATTTTATTTGGTTGGGAACTATGAACAGTTTTTTAACTGCTTTGGAAAGATTGATCTGTGATTTAGAATGGTGTGATTCCTTGAAATGCTAATGTTCCCGGTAGATAAAGCTTTCATTTTTGTTCAATTTAATGTAACAATCATTTATGTAGAACTCTTCTACATAACCATAAACTCTCTACAGCAATGTACCATTACATTACCTCTACAAAGGAGGAGTTCCACCATAAATGGTGGTTACTTTGATTTTGTCGTGGATTTGAGGAGTATAGAAATAAATAAGGTATTGTCTTCAACTTCAAAGAGCTTCACATAGGGATTCCAAATGCTATTAAGAGGTGAAAAGTTCTTTGAAGGCCAAGAGGAAAGGGTATCCATTCTTATTGGGGACACAATGAAGGCTTGGGAGGAGCCCCTTGGCTCTCTTAGCTAATGCAAGTTCAGTCTCAGTCGTCAGATTGTACCATTGGCTTCTAGACTCAGACCGATTGAGTCTTAGAAGGGTCTAGGTGTTCATCACTGAGGGTCTAGGTGTGTACAAATCAGTAATGATATCCATGTCTTCACCTGAAAAATATATCTTATTATTGGTCTCATGTTGTCTTTTCCAGGGTAAATATTGATTATGAATATTGAGAAAATAAAATGTAGTTAAGAACAAAACATACAATCAGCTATTCCATATCCATTACAACTAAGCCAATCATAATGTATTTAGGTCACTAAAATCCATAATTCCCAAAGATGGTATTATTGTACAAGGCAGAAGTCATAGAGAAACCTAAGAAGATGGAAAAAAATAACTTTAAAAGTTACCCAACTCACCCAAGCCATCACTGAATATTTAGGGAGTAATTTCTCCATGTAAAAATACTTCATGCTCTTTGCCTTAATCAGTCTTTATTATACACTTAGATAACAATGCATGAAAACATTTAATTAAGAAAACATCAGTGTGATGCATCTATAAGCAGTTAGATATAGAAGTCAGATAACACCAAGGTGGTATAAGAAGCATCTTAGAAGAGTAGAGCCAGTGATTCTCTTAGAAGAGTAAAACCAGGAAATACTGGTTATGACAATCTCTTCCAGCATAATTTGGAAAAATCACAATAAATAAGAATTAATTTTATAGTCAGAAAGTGAGAAAAACAAACATTCCTCTTTTCACACTACAAATAATAGAGAGTAAAGCTTGATAAATGTATCATGGCTAGGAGGGATGGGTTTGAACAGATTATAAAACAACAAAGCAGACCCTCCTTAAAGAACAAATACAACTTGTATGGATTAAGAGGATAAGGCAAGATGCTGTTTAGTCAGGAAACGTGGTAAATAAGTGTTCAAGGTAGAAGGTACAGGTTAGCCCAGGCTAAGTGGGAAGCAGTGCCTCCCTCTGCTTAGCTGAGGTGGCACTTAGGTTGAAGCATTATGAGACATTGGAAAGTTAGGCAGAGTTTAGATTAGGTAATATAAGGCATTGGGAAGGCACTGTAAGTCTTAAAAAGGAGAAAGACTTTAAAATTTTGTTTATGTATACAGAATGAATTAGAAGAAATAATACTGGCTCAAATGCTCTGCCGTGAGTTAGGCTTGAGCTACATGGGTCTGGGCAAGGATGTTGGCAGTTGGAATTAGGAGATGGAACAAATTTAAGAGTTGCCTCAGAGGACCAATCATGAAGCTTGATGATAGACTGGCTACGGAGGCGCAAGGAAGGAAGTAATCAAGGATAAATGACGTGTGTCTCAAGAGTTGCTACCTTTGTGTCTGGGATAATACATGGCTGTCAGTGGGAATGGGAATGCTGGGCTAGAGATTCTGGAGAGAAGGGAGAATGTGTAGTTTGGTTTCGAATGTGTGGAGAGTTGACAAGAGATTATCCAAATATCAATCATAGGCAGCGATGCAGGAGAACAGTTAGCATTGGAGGAGTAGACGTGGAAGTAAGTAACATGGCTGTGGGCACAGAACATGAGACTGGATGTGCTCTTCAAGGAGATGATTCAGAAAGAAGCAAGGCAGAAGATCAAAGCTTGAGAGCATTACACAGAATTAGGGATGGGGTAGAGAGACTAAGATGTGATCAGAGAAGAAAAGGACAGTGCGATGAGATATTTTCTCAAAAACTATAGTAATTTGATAGAAGCTACACATTTTCTGATTGCTCAGGATCCAGGACATTCCTAATTACAGTCAGTTGTTCAAATTTCCACTTCCTCATATTATATTCTTCACATCTAGTAGTGTCTGGTCCAGGATAGGTATCAATAGATATTTACTCAAGAAAGTTTGAAGAAGTTGGGTGTTGATACAATGGGGTTAAAGGCTTTTGCAGTATGTCCTGCCCTCCACTTCAGTTCCCACAGGACCCAGCAGCATGTCAGACAAGTTGAGGTCTGGAAGAGCCCCATATGTCTTGTATCTCTTTGAGTTAAAAATTCAAACGAAGTCCCAGTACTAATATTAGAATATATCAACTTCAGAGAAGCCAGCATCTTAGCAAAGATATCTTATAGAATCAAACGAATTATCTGTACCAGAATCCACTGGTCTGTTGATTGGTGTGTGAGATAACCACAGTGGCTATTGATACATATTATAGTACATGACAGAGTGTGGTTGTTTGAAACAGCAATAAATAGGTTTATTTCAGGCAAACTTTAATGTTCTAAAAAAATAAGTCTTTTTTATTGAGTTTAGTAACAAATAACCTTTCCAGAATTTTCCAACTGTCAAAAAATCTACATAAAATTATAATTTCATGTCAGAACTTTGATGTATGTATAGGGGAAAAATTAACTTTAGAAAATTTGGTTATTTAAAGAGGATACAAAGAACAGACACACCTTTAACAACCATGCAGAGGATGTAAACCCAAAGGAAAAAAGGAAATAATTTGCCTGGTATGAAGAAGATCTACTTAGAGCTCATGGGATAAGATTAGGAAAAGGCACATTAAGCTAAGAATCCTGAAAAACCCTCTTCTTATTGAGAATGTTCACACTGTGACTTAAGCTTCAGGGAAATTGATAACCACGCCTTTCCCGGACAAGGTGTTAGAAAGCATATTGCAAGAAACATTCTGCTTTGCTGAATTTTATTATCTAGCCAATTAATGTAAAACATAACAATTTTATTTCAAAGTCTTTCCTATATTGTGATGTGCTTGTCATCACCTGGTACTGCCACTGAAATTTCTACTAACGTGTTTACAACTGTGTTGCTAGCTAACATATCCTGGTGACAATTAAAACACTGTAAATTTATTCCCAAAAGAAATAGGCTCACATAATCAAAAGATTTATAATGTTATATTAATGCAATTTTAAATGCCTCTGAGACGAAGGTCATTTGCCGTATAGTCCCTGGCTCAGTTTTTTTTTTTGTTTGTTTGTTTGTTTTGTTTTGTTTTGAGACAGTCTTGCTCTGTCTCCAGGCTGGAGTGCAGTGGCGTGATCTCAGCTCACTGCAACCTCTGCCTCCTGGGTTAAAGCGATTCTCCTGCCTCATTCTCCTGAGTAGCTGGGACTACAGGCAAGCACCACCACACCCGGCTAATTTTTGTATTTTTAGGAGAGACGAGGTTTCACCATGTTGGCCAGGATGGTCTCGATCTCTTGACCTCGTGATCCACCCACCTTCGCCTCCCAACTGGCTGAGTCTTATACCAAGGAAATAAATATACAAACAGGAGCAAAGAAAGGAACTACAGCTCTTGATTATTTGTGCTTAGCACTGTGGGAAGCACAGATACAACTGCAAAGAAATATAGCCAAAAATACAAGTTCGATCCAGGAGTTGGTGGATCTGGGCCCTTCTCTATCATGATGGAGTTGCATTTCACTGGGGAAATCATTGATCCTGTTGGTATCTGTTTTCTCATCTGTGTAAGGGAATGATACAAGCCTCTCTGGTCTCACAAAATGCATTAGAATGCACTTTGAAGAGTCTGGAAAACTACTCATGCAAGAGATGATCAGGAGCATGATTTGAAAGACTTTTATATTTAGCTGTGTGTGTGTGTGTGTTTGTGTGTGTGTTGCACTTACATTTGAATATGGATGTGTCTACTGCTCTGGGATTTCAAAACACTTCAAACTATGTAATGAAGCCACACTGTGAACACTTAATTAATTTAGAGTAGGTGCTGATTCTTAATAAGAACTTTAAAACATGGTTTATTGTGAGTAAGCCATAATTCAGGGAATCCACCCACATATAAACGAGATTTGCCTGTAGCTTAGAAAGACCTACTTTAAACAGGATCTGAATAAAATGTCAAGAAACTTTATTTCCAGGTTTCTATGGTGGGCGACCTCTGAATGTGAGATAGCATTTCAAAATTAGCAAGGCATCCTTTGCCACTAAGAAACAAATAAAGTTACTTCGTTAACTTGTACTGAAAAAAAAAAGCATGCATTTACTCATTTATTCAGTCATAAATTGAGTCTCTCCATTTGTTCAGTAAACAGTGAATGAATATATTGTAGTTCCTGGTAACGCAGGCAGGCTGTTCTTAGCCAGTATGCACCAGACGGAGGAACTGGATGTGTGCGTGGATGGTGTCCTAATTGGTCAGCAGCTACATACCGAATAGAAGAATGAAGAGAGAAGACTGGCCTCAGGGAGTGCACCATCTCATTGAAAAGCAATATGATGAATCTTAAAATGAAGTAATTCATACCATCCTTGGGGAAAACTGTGGAAGGGACAAGTAGAGCTGCCCTAGGGAAGTTGAGGAATTCTTCAAAAGGAAGGTCAGAGTGAACTGAAAGGAAAAATAGAGTGTCCCAGGTGGCCAAGAGTCAGAGTGGGGAGCACATTTCAGACAGAGAGTACAATTTTTCTAAAAGCTGAGAACTGTAAGCAAATTTGGAGTGTCCCAAGAGCAAGAAACTCATTAGTAATGGAAAAGAAAGCTGATGGAATAGAGTATAGGACAGAAGACTGAACCAGACTTAAGAATTAGGTATAAATTACAAGATAAAGGGGAACCATGGAAGAATTTTAATGACATGATCAAATTTATGATGGGCACAATACAGAGAGGCTGTGTTTGAGAAAAGATGTAGACCCTGCCTTCAGGGAGCTTTCTGACATTCTTGGATGTGACAAAACATTCATGTGCAACATAGTAAAGAACATTGCAAATAAGAAATACTCAAGTGTTTGGTTGAAAATGCTGTTAGGAAGGCTAGAGTTGGGATGAAAGTTTTCCAGAAAGATATTTTAGCTCCACTACACTAAAAAATCAACACTGTAATTTGACTCTTAAAGTATCTAAGTGTTTCTACAAAGACGATATCAGCATAAACAATAATCCCCCAAAAAAATTCAAGATGAAAGAATCCCTATAGTAAATAAAAAACTTTCATGCCCAGAATCATCCAGATTCTCTGTTATTGTGAGCCTCCGAAAAATTGCTTGATCTCTACTTGGTTTTGTGTGGACTCAGCCAAAACTGATGTTTCTAACAGCATTTTCTATGTAGTAAGATGGTGCCAGAGACACAGGAGAGAAATGGTAGAGGGGAAAAAAAGAACTGTGAATGAATCCTCTCTGAAATTCTGGCATTTCTTCAGAGATGTCCATGGTCTTTCCCCTTTGCAAAATACCATTCAAAAACAGAATCCTGTATCTACAGATGATCGGGGGAATAGCCCAGCTGTGCTTTTCATATATGCACCTAACTTATTTCAAGGGTGTTGCTGTTTTATTTTTACAGCTGCAAAGTGTTAGCAATCCAAAAAGAGCTGCCAAGATTACAATCAGTTGAATTAACTTAGGGCTGTGTTCTTGGTAGATTCAGAGCTGTTCTAAATCAGTTCTCTGTGCTGTTGCTGAATGCTCTGAGTGATCAGAGCTGTTTCCCAAACAGAGTCGGAATGGTTATTTCCCCATTTGCAGCTGCTTATTTGATTTTTAAAAAGACCCTTTGAAACATTTTCACATTTCCTTAAAAAAACTGTTATATATGCATATATACAGAGCAAGATTGCTGTTATAACAAGAAACATGAAGACATTGACAGTCAGTGAAATCCTGAAGACCAATCACAGAACTGAACTGCAGGTGCACCTAAGATTCTGGATATGTTATAATAATCAGCCAATAACAAATTTCTGTAATATTAGATCCTATTTTCCTCTGACTTCCACTATAATGTTCAAGAAATATTTTTCTCCAAAGCAAAATAACCCAACAGTCTGACAAGAATATTTTTTGATGGGAAACTAATTAGATTAAAAGCTAAGCCTGAGGTATTCTGGAATATATAAACCTTGGAGAACTTATATGCCTTTCTAAATTGGCAACAAGTCACCATCCTTAGGATCTCCATTATGCTATAGGTGCTACTCCTTTGAGCAGACCATAGAAATGTGTTTTATTCTCAATTCTACACATGCAGTTCTGGACTCTGGCCCTATGAAGCTACTTGTTTGGCCTGGTGATTTACAATGGTTGGCCAAGCTTATGTACAACTCACAAGTAATACACTATTGAGCAAGAGACCTGTTTTGGCTTAACAACTTACCAAGCTAGAGGTTTCAGTATTCCTACTTTGCTTCCCTATCCATTCCTAATGTTTACAGTACTATTTTGCTTCAAGCAGTACTCTTTTTTTTCTGAGATGTGCATTTTCTTTTTAGTCAATAACTTGTTTCCGCTAGTTACAGCCAATACTATATAGAATATGCCAGTGGAATGTCATAAAAGCACTCGTGTGGCTTTGGGGGAAACATGCCAAGTAAGTCAGATGCTCTTCCTAGCAATGACTGTGTGTCTGTTCAAGTTAGCTATGAGGCTTAGGACAGAAGCCAGCTCAGGTGTCCAGATGCTCTTCCTAGCAATGACTGTGCATCTGTTCAAATTAGATATGAGGCTCAGGACAGAAGCCAGCTCAAGTGTCCTCCTTGACCTCAGGTCAAGTTAGGTGCCCTGCTGAATGTTCCCACAATGTCCTGCACATTTACTGTTGATAGGTATCTGTTTAGACCTTTATCATGCTCATTAGACTGTAAGTATCCTGAGGGCAGGGGTAGGACACTGGGATGTCATCAGTTTTATATCACTATATCAGCAATGCTTTAACAATGTTGACACAGTATAGATGTTCAACAAAAATGGTTTTCGAATAAAGTAAAGACTTTATGGCTCATGATGAAGCATAGTGCTACAGAGGAATCCTGGAATAGGAGTGATATGGTTTGGCTGTGTGCTCACCCAAAGCTCACCTCGAATTGTAATAATCCCCATGTGTCAAGGGTGGGGCCAGGTGAAGATAATTGAATCATGGGGGTGGTTTCCCCCCATACTGTTCTCATGATAGGGAATAAGTATCAAAAGATCTGATGGTTTTATAAAGGGCAGTTCCCCTGTACACACTCTCTTGCCTGCCACCATGTAAGATGTGACTTTGCTCCTCATTCGCCTTCAGCCATGATTGTGAGGCCTCCCCAGCCATGTGGAACTGTGAGTCTATGAAACCTCTTTCCTTTATAAATTCCCAGTCTCAGGTATGTCTTTATTAGCAGCATGACAACAAACTAATACAAGGAGTTAAAGGGCCTAAATTTTAGTCTACACCTACTATGTCACCTATGGGCTAGTTATTTTAAGACAAGTGTTTTTCCACCTTTTTAAATTATTTTTTTTCACTGAAGGGTTTGAACTAGGTGATCTGCAGTGTTTCCTTCAAGCTCTGGAATACTATAACTGTTGGAGTGTTATTTCATTCCCATGATTTTATGACAAGAAGATGGTAACCTGCTAAATTGATTCTGGGTACTTTCACTATGCCCAAGTGGAGAAAAAAAACCCTTTATTCTAAACAAGTAAGAGTAAAGTTTATAAAGATGGATAGAAGAGATCAGAAAATGAATAATTTGCTAGACCAGAGTGAACTTCCAGAGTGAAACTATGTTGGTAGACTTGCCTTGGAGTATTTGAAAGTCTCTGCCATTCATCAGAAGCTTTCCTATTCATCTCCAATAAAATAATTAAAGAAGTTTGGTTAATTTTGACCACGAAAATAAACTAAAAAAGTAGGCTTAAGGCTAAATATTTTAAATTTTATTAGAATGTTTTGATTCTTACTAAGTGGATGCAACCAGGTATTATATAAAACTCTGTTTTTGTAAAATTAATTTTATTAGACTTTCCTATGGTGGATCAAACAGTCAATAACTTGCAACATTCAGCATACTTTCTGGAGTTTCCCAATCCCAAAATATCCAAAATAAAGTGTGCTCTGAATTTTGATGACAACATCAGCATGGGAACCTTTGGGTTAACACTAATACTCTTGTTAGAATGTGAATAACTGTCGTTATCATCTATTCAACGAATAGCTATTGAATACATGTTTATTGGCTCGAAATTGAATATCTACTATTTGTCAAGCACTGTGCTGGAAATTTAGGACTCAAAAGTAAGTTAAAAATACTGTGGTCAATTATATTTTAAAATATGGAATTGTATTTTAAAATATGGAAGTATTAGTGCATCAGGCCACTGTAACCCATTAACCTCTAAGGTCAAACAATTCAGATTAGTACATGTCATCCAAGAAGTCCTGGGAAAATGGAACTCAGGATAGATAAACTATGATGGAGAAAGGAATCAGGAAACCTTCTGGAATATGAAGGACTTTGGAAATAGAGAGAAAAAGAAGAATGGGTTGCTCCCATGTGTGGCTCTGGGAACATAGAAAACAACTTTAGGGGAATCAGAAAGATTAAACAGAGAGGGAAAAGTAGGGGTGGGGGGACTCGTATTTTTTGGGGGTAGCCTTCAATACAATTATAGCCTAAAGCAAGTATTTTTTAATCTTGAGAGCTTAGATCAGCAATCTGTTAAACGATATGAATGGCTATGTTGATCAATAAGTGGAAATAACTTTTAGAGATAACTATATGAAAATTTCTAAACCTGGAGAAGGGCAAGTTGTCATTAAAATTACAGACTTATCTAAAACTACTATAATGGGAATTGCTATGTAAGAAATGGTTTCTTTGCAAGATGGCATGGGATGAGGGAAGAAGAGGTAGTCAACCAACAAATCTACACCTTAGAACTTGCCTAGAAAATGTAGACATATACCAAAGAGATGAGTTTTTATTTTCAAGATAAATAATACTTTAGGATTCTGAAGGGACCCAGGGTGAACATCAATCTGCTTTGATTGAAAATTAACACTTTGGGGGAAAAAAGTATAACCAATTGAGTTGCAAATTAAGGTAAATTAAAGTAGGCTGCTAAATTATCCATCACTGGGTGAATACAATGGGCACTCATCAATTTCCACTGTAACTACCAAAACCTATTCTGGATCAGATGACCAATTACTAAGGTTGTTGGTTGTCTGTCCTGAAAGATACATCCTTTAGGCTGTAATACCAAACCACATTATAATTTGTGTCATGATACAACAACCTTACCACAGGGCCAGAGTGAGACATCACATTTTCTTGACATTAATAACTAATAGCTCAGAATAGCAACATGTATTCCCAGACTGTCAGTTTCTGAATTGAATTCTGTAGTCTTCTTTTACTTTGCATGTCCATTATTGGATTAATCTAAATCTAACTTCTAAGATTTAAGTAAATATAATCGGTTTTTAATATAGACTCAAATTAAACTCAAATATATGCGTTTCCCTCATGTATTTCGTGAAAGAGCTAGGTGGAAAATAATGTCTTCTGTTACTCAGAGGACAGAATGAAGGAAAGAAGCCCTGGAATGAACATCTGAGGACATTCTATTTTGTTCCAGTTTAGATTTTGTCTTCTGTCTTTAGCTTGTGACATCATCTCTTCCTAATCCATCTGCCCTCCTTATCATTTTTCCTCCCCCAGTGTGGCAACAGTCTAGGCTACATGAAAGGCCCTCTCTAGACAGGAAGCAGAAAGATGCACAAAACTCAAGGTGGAAAAGCATAGGGACATGAGATTAAGTACTGCCTGAAGCTCTCACACCAATAGCTACTCACAGGGACACACACTCGCTAGAGTGCATTTATGCATAAGCGAGCAATAGGGAAGGATGGAGCTAGCCCTACTGGAAGGGGTAGGGAAACTTTCAGCGTTGTTATTTGCTGGCATAGAAAGTTTTCTTTTAAGGAAACTTAAAACTCCAAAACCATGGAAGTAAAAAGAGGTGCAAAGTAGTGTGAGGCAAGACAAGGAAGAGTTCAGAGTGTCACCAAAACCAAATGAGAAAAACACGTATATCAGACATACCCCATTTTATCCTTTGGGAATCCAAGACTCAATAAATTATCAATGTTTCCCAAGATTATACAAGTAGAAAGTAATATAGCACTGGGACTCTAATTTAAATTTGCCTGATTCATAAATTGAGTTTCTTTTCACTGCTTTATCTTGTCTGTCTAATTAATAAAATCTAGCCAATTAACCCGCACTGGACATATGTAGGTATATATGTATCTGTAAGTGCACTGTATCTCCAAGTATTTTGGAATAGAATTCTCTCTCAGTGCAAAAAAAATGATTGCAGACTAAAAATCAAATCTTAACTTAAAAGTCTCAATGTAGATGACCTAGAAAATAATGCCATGGAACAGAGAACTTTCCTCCCCCAGCCCCCTAACCTTTTGCATTTAGGACCCATGACCAGCACCTTGTGGCCATGAAGGAGAAACCCACCATGGTGGGGCGTGTACATTTGATGTGTATCTCGGTGGACACAACTGATCCTACTGGACCATTCATATTCAGGTTTCCCTGGAGATCAACCATAGCTACCTTCCAGTAAGATGACCAGGGGCATCTGTGCCCCTAAGACACAGTTGTATCCCCATTGCAAAGCTAATTGGAATCCAGCTTGCAACCTTGGCCCTGTCACACCATATTCCAACCCAATTCTGTTTAGTGCTTGTGCATCAAGAGCTAGACATCCTAGCAGACAGAAATAGTCTGTTTCCAGCTTGGCCTGCATCAGGAAGAGTCAGTGGAGGATCACAGCTTACAAAAATACACACAAACACACAGATACTTCTGATGTTTATGTGAACCTGTGAAATGACCCAATTTTTTTTACATTAAATCAACGTATACATACATAAATACTTCTTGGGAAGATTATTATTTCTTATACATCTTGAGCTATGTGGCTGGAGAATCAAGCCAGTCTTAACATGTAGGGAAAAAATGTTGAAAATTAAATTAAAATTTCCCCAAATTAAAACCCACCAGTTTATAAATCTTCATACCACATAAGCACCTGATATTTTCCCGGAAACGGTAGCAACACCACCATCACCACTAATCACAGGAAAATTGTTGTGAGGCTTAATTAATACTCACTGATTAGCTTTATATAGCCTAAAGCTTGGGAAAGACCCTACTGCAGAATAAAATGTCTTGCTTTTCAACTTTACTAGTAATTTTTGTGAAATATCTCAACTTTGGTTTTGCTTTCGTTTTTGTTTTAAACATCAAATATTCTCACAGAGCTCCTGTTTCTATGCTATATTGGTTTTTAACTTTTTTTTACCTTTCAGCATTTGGTAAGTCCCAATAAAATGAAAGAAAATGTGTTCATCCATCTTTGTTCTTCTTTAATAGAGATTTGTTTCAATCATGTTGTTATCTGCACTTGAAAATAGCAGGCTCATAGAATCTTAGTTTGAAGCTCAAAAATGTGCATACAGCATAAAGGAAATCTTAGAAAACCAGCCACGTTGGCCTAAAGCCTCTTAAAACCTTATAAAAATGTATGTCTAAAGCATTATTAACATTCGTCTCCTACCTACATGAAAGTAATCAAAATGAAGTCAAGTTGCAGCTCACTGTGGCTTTCACCTACGCTAAGCAGATACAGAAGAAAAGACAACTCCATTTTCTCACCAACATTCATCCTAAGTTTAGTCCAGGAAGAGAATATTCTAGAATTTCCCACCTCTAAAATGAAAACATGTTTTTTTCTCTCAAATGCAAAACTGCTGACACATTATCCCCCTTGATCCAATGGTATCCCTGTGTCTTTTCATTTGCCACAAGCTCTTTGAGAAAAATGAGGTGCTTAAGATAAGATGGTGTGCTCTGCCTACCACAGTTGATGGCAACTGATGTGGAAATGAAGGGCTTTTCAAACTTTCCTAATTTGGTGGTTGGGAATCCCCAGCGATGGGCTAAGTGGTAAGAAGATCAAATGGTTGGAAACACAGAAGTGGGTCTGCTTAGTTTTTGATGCCAAGAACACTTCCAAAGTAGGCTTTAGTAGGCAGCATGGAGAGGCAGCTGTGGCTCAGCTGAGGGGACTGCTGGTTGTTACATGTTTTTATTATCTTAAAATCCTTGCACCTGCCAGAAACACCTCCCCCTGGAACAAGTTCAGCTCTTTCTTGGCCCTCTCCCTTCTGGAAGCAAACACAGAAATGGGGAAGTATACAAAGTGTAGGCAAGGGAATTTGCACATGTTCAAAAATATGGAACAAGCCATTGCTCTTCTAATGTAGCTTTCACAGAACTCAGGAGACTGAGTCGTCCTGGTTGCCATTTGGACCTTCTTCAAAGCAAGCATGAACACTCTTAGGACAGAACATTGTGCTCCATAAAAAAAGGTTGCAGAATGAGAGAATCCCCTCCAGTATGCCCTGAGAAACTAGGGATTTGGTTTATAGCATGTCAACTTTAGAAAAATACACACAGATGTGCACATACACATATATACACACATACACATGTACGTATATATACAAATGCACAAAGTATGTTTTTGTGCACATATGTGTATAATGTTCTGAATCTATAATAATGTGTTTGTTGTAAACATTTAGAAAAATGCAGGAAGTTATGATACCATATAATTCTAATGGACTTTCCTGGAAGATCTTCCTATTAGTATTATTACTAAATATAATATCAGTATTATCATCAATATTATTAATAGCAACAAGTGTAGATCATGAAGCAAGGCATCCAGGCTTCTTAAGCCACCTCATGAGTTACAAGGACACATTGCTGAAGACCATTACACTTTTACCTGAATCAGTTCATGCAGACCTAGGAGCTGAAAATGACCTTTATCACTTTGCTATGTGTATTACAGGGGATTCTCCAGTCCCGATGGAGCCAACCAAGTGCTTTTCTCCTATAGCACCTGACAAAGAAAACAGATAGCGAGAAAGCCTGCAGTCAACTCTGGGAATGGGGATGGAGGCCCCGACCCCAGCCTTCCCTGCTTAGAGGAAACAGGAAACTCTGTACCAGCTGGGTGCATGAAGGGAAGCTTCTTCACCTTCTTGCAACAAAGTCAGAAGTGAAGATGTGACCCTGAGGGTCCCAGAAGCCCATCTGCTTTACAGAGTGGCTGTGGGAGGGCTGAAGTTCCTCACGGTAGCCTTGAGGGACCTTTTCTTTCCCCAGCACAGTCTGCTTATTTCCTGTGAAACTGCTCTCAGGGCACGAAGCCACTGTATAGTGAGCCTGTGGTGACTACAGTGCTATTCCATATCTTGGCGGTATTATTGGGAGAAATCACTTAATACCATCTTATATTAAATGGAAGAAAGGTTTTAAATAGGATTTTCAAAGATCTAGAATACAAACACATTTTCACCATGGGTTTTTTTTTGGACTAGGAAATAAATTCATTTGTGTGCTACCAAATATCATAAACATCTAGGTCTACTAACCACTAATAACTAGAAAACTGGCTTTAAAGTTGTTGAAATGAAGATGATTATAAACACTTAAGGTATTGATTTGTACAAACCTTCCTGTTTCTGAGTGCCTTTAAGAAAATTAAAGGGATTTTGGAAGTGTGCAAAATGGATCTTTTTTCACTACAGCCCTAAGCAAGTATCCTTCATTCCTTGGATTAAAGTCCCAATACTTGCCTAAAGTTGCACAGGCAATAGTGACAAAGGTCATTGGAAGTTGGATACCCCACCCAGTTTTCCCTTTCTTCACCCTAAAAGTGCTCCATGGAAGATCTAAATTCTCATTAAAGAGAGAGTAGAAAGGTATCTTTGCCCAAGTATTGGCCTTTTGAGACACTGGAGAACATGTTGCTATGGTATGGTGCTTTATAACCTTTCAAGAGGTTTTACTTTTATTATATCATGGAAAGCTAAAATTGAAAGAGTGAGCAAAAGTGATTGAAAAAATGAATTTTAGAATTAGGGTTTCCTTTACTTCCAAGTTTTGAAGTTTATTTGGTTTGATGCAGGGCAAGAATAACCAAGCATCTTCTCTGGGTCCATTTTTTAATGTTAATGGTATAAAATAAAACAAAACTCAAATATTTCTGTAATACCACAAGAGAGGTGTAGAGACAGAAATAACAAGGAAGAGGGGAGAAAGAGGTGCTTTATCTTGCCCTCATTTACTTCTTTCTATTAAATGACAAATGGCACTATGTTATTTGCTTCTGCTCTCAGTTAATTTTATGTATAGATATGGATAGAACAACACCTTTTTGTAGGATACAATATGTATTCCCTACTGTGAGAACTAGACTACAGCCAAGGAATCTGAGTGTGTTGTCAAGGAAACCTCCATGATTTTATTCATCTCCATGGCTGATCCCGCCATGTTGTCTAAGCTTCTTTTCCCCACCTACCCATCCATCCATGTGGACTCAGTTCTATGCAGTGATGGACAAGTGAGCATCACACTCACCAACTGTCATAGCAGTTCCTTTTTCCAAGCTCAAGTAATCCTCAGAGCTCATTTGCAATAATTTTTCAAGAGGTACATGCTGCCTGTATTATTGTCTCATTCATTCTCCCGTGGCTGAGAAACCAATGTCCTGTAAACCTCAAGGAGCTCACAACTTGTGATTACTGTCCCAAGCAGAAACATCCCCAACTTGGGGCAAAATTCGATGTGGGAGAAAATGTAAAAGTAAATATGGCATTATCATTTTCAGAAGTGCACATTTGCCATAAAATAGGCATAAATTCCCCATAACAGCATAATAAAAATTAGACTAGAACTATCATATATGAAAGGTTAAAGCTATGATTTTTAATGAGAGCTAGGACAACTCAGGATATCGATAAGCTTTGCACCTGACACCTCCAGTTATATGAAGGTTTTCATCTTTTGATTGCATTGATTCAAACTTATTTCTGTCTTGGGCTCCTGAGTGACCTATATGAGATGAGTTGCTGGCTCTGATCCATTCTCTCATGATTAGATGACCACAACTCATGATCTGTATTGGTGGGTACTCAGAGAGTTTGTGCATTGCTTGGCCAGCTGGGGGCACACTTATCTCCTGAGTTATTCCTCAGTTCAGAGGCCTACTCCATTTGGTTGGGGGCAGGTTGCAGAGTTGGGGGAAGGGATGGACTGAATGTACACCTTTTCACTGTGACCTTAGAGACAATTAGACTATGACAAAAGGCCAGGCGGACAAAGTAATACACACAGACTGGTGTTATGCCATGAATAAAAGAGAATACAACCTCTGCAGGACCTGTGGTCTAGGATGGAGGCAGTGAGCTAGTTAAAAGAAGAGGGGAGAATGAAGTGAGGAAGAGGAGGCTGAGCCTCACATACTACATTTCATTTTCCTTCATATCTCTGTGCTTCCAATACACAGGGCAAATACTTGACTGATATGCCTAGCCCTCACCTCCATCGAAGTCTAACATCTGGGACTCTGTGTGTGTGTGTGTGTGTGTGTGTGTCCCCTTATGCACCTGCATTTGAATGCTGTGGTATTAACATCCATTAAAGTCACGTGACCAAAAGGACTTCAACCAGGGCCAGAGATTCAGAGCCATAGTAAATGCTTTAGAATTATGTATAATTTCACTGAAACCATACAAATAAACATGTTGCTATGAAATTGAAATACACAGAGGTATGGATGAACTTATATATTGCTAGAGGTCATACAAATTGATAAAACACTTTGAAAAGGAATTTGACCTTAGGTATCAAGAGCTACCAAATTAAAAGTGCATGCATTTTGACCTGGTAATCCCACTTGTGGGCTTGTGGGACTCCAGCCCAAGGAAACAGACAAAAAAAAAGACAGTCATACACATATGTTCATCACAGCGCTATGTACAATAGTGAAATACTAGAAACCATCTAAGTGCCCAATAGTAGAAGAATAGTGCGATGAACTATGGCACAGACATTCTGAAGAATATTTTGCAGTTGTTAAACTGGTGGTTCTGAAGTCTATGTAGCAATACTAAAAATGTGCAATATAAAATACTGAGGAAAACCACAAAATTATATATGCACCATGGTTGCAATTGTGTGAAATGTATATGTACATGGGCAGAGACAAAAAATGACAATGAGTAACAATAAAATAGCTATGTAGAAGATATGGTAGTAGGTGATATATTTCCTTTTCTATGGTTTATGGCTCTCAATGTACTTTTTAGCAATAAAAAGGAAAGAAAGTATGAGCTTATTCTTATCAAGAAAATGGCAATGTATGTGTGTGTGTGTGTGTCTGTGTGTGTATATATATGTGTGTGTGTATATATATGTATACACACACACACACACACACACACACACACACATATGGCAAGGCACCAAGAAGTGTATGTATGTGTGTCTGCCTGTGCACATGTACATATTTTAGGTTTCTCGGGGAGCAGTGACATTTTTAAATCTTAAATTTCAAAATGCAGTTGTTTAGAAAGTAAAGATTTTGAGCATGAGAATTATGACTGAGACATTTCATCAGCACAAAATTACAAGTAGAAGATAGGTTTGATATTGTTTCACAGTGACAACCTGTTTATATATATTTTTATATATATATAAAAATATATATAAATATATATATTTTTATATATATATAAATATATATAAATATATATATATTTTTATATATATATAAATATATATAAATATATATATATATAAATATATATATATTTGAGATGGAGTCTCACTCTGTCACCCAGGCTGGAGTGTAGTAACCTCGATCTTGGCTAACTGCAACCTCCGCCTCATGGGTTCAAGCGATTCTCCTGCCTCAGCCTCCCGAGAAGATGGGATTACCCAGCCCACCTCCACACCCGGCTAATTTTTGTATTTTTATTAGAGACAGGGTTTCACTATGTTGGCCAGGCTGGTCTCAAACTCCCAACTTCAGGCAATCCGCCCATCTTGACCTCCAAAAGTGCTGGGATTACAGGCATGAGCCACCGCGCCCAGCCAACCTGTTTCAATTTTATGCCCTTAGTCATAAAGTCTTTCAAAAGTTACAGGTGAAATTCCTTAAAAAATTGTCACACTTTAAATGACAGTTTTGGAGCTCTAAAGAACATAAATGTTTTTACTTTATCACATAATTGCCTCTAACTACCAGTTAATTTAACTATATGGCTGTAAAATTGTTTTCTAAAGTGACGGTGTCCCAGCAGGATTGCATAAAACACCTTTTGCCCACACCCGCGCCTATCAGCCTATCACCCTTTTCCTTTTGGCTGGCATATTTTATTCCTGCTAATAGTTCACATTTCCTGCCTGAAAGAGCATGTTTAAAGGCTACTGATGTATTGTACCAGTGAATATTAGACTTGAAAGAGAGCACACCAAGGGGCTAAAAAGACTTTAAAATCATGATTGGAAATGAAGTTGAGGTTTTGTTTGAAGGTGCAAACCAGGCTGTATTCAGCTGTGTGTCAGTACAAAGCTTTTTTTCTCCTGCACTTGTCCTGTCTTAAGCAGGGCATTTCAGTGTTGTTTGATAAGAAGGCAAAAAAAAAAATTAAATGTCTGTGAATTAGTGCATTACATATGAGGGACTTTCCCAAGCTCTGCTATAAAAAGTGGGTCCCATTTAAAGATTTGTATGTTTTTAGAGAAATATAGGATTTCAAGAATAAGGGGAAAAACTATCCCAAGAGCAATGCATTGCAGGTGCACTCTGCTCTTAGCAACTCATTTTAGAAGGATGACAGCCAGAGTGTGACTACAGAAAAAAGGTGAGGATGAGACAAGGTATAGAAAGGCATGGGAAAGGAAACCAACTTTGTTGAAGCACATACTTTGCACCAGGGGATCTAGGCATTATCTCATTTCACCCTCTCTGAGCACTCCATGGTGAAAAAGCTATAAATGTCACCACACTCTCTGATAAGAAAGTTGAGCAACAGGAAGATTGGATTACTTGCTCAAGGTCACACAGCTTTTGTGTAGTATGGGCAGGATCTGAACTCAGACACTCTAGTGTAGAGTCCTCTATTCGTAGCCTCTGTACATTCTGGAGTCCAGTACATAGCCATTATGTTCTCCAGCTGCCCTTCACAGTCACAAGACAAGAGTCAGAACACTGTAGCTGCTTAGCCTGGAGAAGACAGGGAACAAGACATGAACTCAAGTTCTAAGTGAATGAGTGCAGTTCACAAGTACAGTGCTACAGACCCAACGGTGGGCAATTTGAAAGAGGAGACTCTCTTTGCAGGGATCAATGATGTAGCCATGGAAGAAAACAAACTTTGTCACAGCACAGATGATCCTGGCCTTCCATAGATGGGAAAATGTGTTAGTAAGTCACTTCAGCATTCAGTTTTCCTTTCCCAAGAGAGCACCTTTATATTTGTCTCCATTTTGTCATCCTGCTGCTCATTTTTAAGCAAGACATGGAGCTGTGAAGCCAAGTCTACAGTGACACACAGATAATGAACAATGATGTTACATGGAGGGCACACAGACCCTTTAGTTCTCTGTCATGTGTCACTGCTGTAGGTAACATCTGTGATAGATCTCAGGTAAGGTTCTGTTTTGGTCGTGTAGCTTCTGTGTATTTTCTCTAATAAGCCCACTGTGAGGAGGTGCTAAAGCAAGGCGGTCTGTGTTCTCAGGGGGATTATGGTGATCTCAGGATGAAACTATGCTCAGCAGGGCTCAATCCAGGATAAATGATTTATAATTATACAGAAAGATAAGACTTGAGCTTCACATGATTTTCGCTCTGATTGAAAATATCTTTGCATGCCGTAAGTAGGCAGTGCTTTTTCTGGACAACAATTGAGCCTTCCAAGCAGGCCCGCTTCAAATATAAATCCCTAATATGTTCAGAGAATGGATATACCAATCATATGCGTACAACAAGTAAAGGTAGACTTGAGCCACTTCCCCAGGAGGATGTTGAACCAGTTCTAATGAACAGAATGCTGGCTCAGGTAGTCTAAGGGAGGTAAGATATTTTGCAGAGCCCAGATGTACCCCTTTCAAGAATGTCCTAATGCTGCTCTCTCCCAACCCCAGAAACCTCTGTGATGGCCTCTGCCTCCCCACAGTCATGGTTCTTTTTCTCATAACGGTTATCTGTTGTTAAATTCTCAGTTCCCAGGCCCTAAAGAGAACTCATTCATGCCATGAAAACTGACAAATTAATTCAGTCTAATATATTAATGGCACATAATATCTTAAAACACTACCCCTTGCATACAATACGTTTCATTTTAATAACTTCTTGTTTTAACCTGAAATAGTAAGCAAGTAATATGAACTAAGTGATCATTCCTGAAAAAGTAGGGTGGGAACATTATGTGGGTATGTGTAGTCCAAGTTACTAAATTTACTGAACATCAAAATCATGTGGTGGTGGGGAGTCTCCTACAACATAGATTGCTGAGGCCAGCCACATAGTTTCTGATTCAGAAAGTCTAAGGAGCCAGAGTATTTGCATTTCTAATAAGCCCCCCAAAGTTTCTACTTAGTAGACCATATTTTGATAATGATTAATAGCACTGCAAGGTCTACTCTAAACTAATGGCTTTCAAGTGGCATGATGTAATAGGTGATGAGCATAAATTGGGTCAAATTCTCTTAGGAAAGCCAAAATATAGATACTTTCCTGATAGTCAGAATAAATTATTTAGAAATGACCCACAGAACCATACCTATCAGGCACGCATAAAACAGAAAATCATCCCATGGAATAGCTGGGGGTACTCATCATCCCTGTGTTAAGATGACCCTCATCAGTGTTTCTCTCCTTTAACACAGTTGCTTGGAGACTGATGGCACTTTGTGACAGTGAGAATAAAGGCCTCATTAGAAGCCAGAATTCCAGCAGAAATAGAAATGCTACATTTATGTTTCCTGGTGGTTTTGGCACATACCTTTACATGTTTTCTTTTTAATTGATATATACTGTTATACTTAAAAAGATTATTTATCGCACAAACAACACCATAATAGCTTTAACAGGAATCAAAATGGAAGAAGAAAATTATCCCGCAATCCCACCCCACCAACAAATTATTGCTTCCATTTTTGTACTCCTTTCCGATTCCCCGTATGCACCCATAATTTTTCTAGTTGTAATCATAGCATGGATAAAATTTTGTTCTCTGCTTTTTCCACTTAACATTATAACTGTGTTTGATGAATACATAAGGATTATCATATGAAATAGACCAAGAAATAAATTTTTCTGAGAACGCTTGCTTATCAAAATGTCGAATTTGTTTAAGTTGATTACCTGTTATGTATGAGGTACTATGCTGGGCATTGTGCATGTAAGACTGTAAGAAAAAATGTTTCTTGGCCTTCCTAGTATTTTTTTCTATTTTTTTATTGTCCTGTTATTTTTGTTATTGTCTATGGGTCATGCTACAGAAGTGTGTGCCATCCCTAAAGATATTTTGGAAACACAGAACTAAATGAGAAAAATTATGCAAAGTCCCTTTTCCCTCACTGCTTTTACCTGCTGTGGAGCCTCCCTTCCCAACAGAGTGAGCCCTAGGGAACCATAACATGGCTGGGGCTGTGTGCTCCTTTTCTCACAGAATTGGACAAAGATGATGGAGAACAGTAACTGGGGATGGTGTTTTTGTGTGCCTAAGTCAAAATCAAGTTTGAAAGTATTAAAGCAAGATGTCAGTGCAAAGGTATCATGTGTCCAATTTCTCTCTTATTGCTGTGTGACTCTGAGCATGCCAGTTCATCTTTCTCAGTCTTGAGTACCTCATCACTAAAATGTACATAACAATGCCTACCTTAAACGACTTCTCATGATTAAAAGAGACAATGTAGAGCATCTGATAGAGAATCTGACTTGTCATACAGTGTCAAGAAGTAAAAGCAGTTATCATTACTTATAGTACCCTCGGAGACTACAGGAGGGGCCGGTGTGGTGCAGAGGAGCAGAATGGGGAAAAGGAAAGAAGGCCTAGGGGAAACTCAACAGTCACTTCATGTAAAATGACAGGAGTAAAGTACATGTCTGTGGGGGTGCCTGTCACATAGCAGGCACTCTATCACTGCACTTTTGCAAAGTTCTCTCACCTGGTTAAAATGAAAACATAGACTTCACAGTTAGCTACCTACACTTGGAGAACCTACGGTTGTGATTTTACTATGTATTTAATTTGAGGTTAACATGCTCTTAAACATCAACACTTTCACAAACATAATGCTCAGTATGAACCAAATGCATAGATAAGCTTTTTTTCTTGAAGTTGATGTCTTGGGTGCCACCTTCATTAAATACAGCTAGAATGGCCTGCATTAGCTCCATAGTGCTTGGCCACCTGCCAAGTGCAGGGAAATCAGCCTGAATTCCAATCTTTATAATAGATGAACCAAGGACTTACTACTCCCCTCATGAAGCAGAACTGATATTGTCATTAAAGTTTAGTAGCTGTACACTTCACAGAGAGTGTATTTGCTGGGTTTTGGTTAGGGAAATCACATCAGGTTTACATTTTCTTGTTAGTTTTGAATCTACTTCCTTGTTAAAGGCCAGTGAATACATTGAAGTATATTAACATCTCTTCATCAAAGGGAAAGCGTTGGTTGTTGGGTCTGGTAACTCTGCTGTTAGAACGGGCCTGTTAATTTGTTACCCTACAGTGAATGCAAGGTAAGCTGTACTGTTGGTGGCAAAAGGATTTGAATATAAATTCCTTGCCATGAAGAGAAGCACTAAATGAAACCTACAATTCTGATGAAGCCTATAGTCTCTTGGAATGTGCAATGCCAGCTTTACTCTGCATCCTTGAGTTTGGAAGAATGATCAAAACCGTGTAAAGCAATCTCACCAGCCGTCCGTAGACCTCTGATACTCATTACTGGACACATCATTTCACTTCACTGGACCTCAATGATCCCATATGAAAAGGTACAATCGTGGTAGATCATCTGTAATTTCTTTTACAGCACTAACCTCCTCTGACTTCATAGGATATACTGTCTATATTCTATCATTATATTCTACAAACTGAGTGAAATTGGTAGAACCAAGGTTGAGCTTTATTCATTAATTCATTTATTTACTATATAATAGCTATGTCAATTGTATACCAAGATATTCTGCCAATGAGATAAATTACAGAGATAAATCCTTGTCTGAAGCTGATGCTCATATTTAATAGCAAAAGTCATGTACATAAAGAGCAATGATTCAGGACAGAAAGTGCCAAATAACCACAGGCAAAGTGTAGGATACACTGCAAGTTCAGGAAGGAGAGAATCATGAAGGGCTTCATGAAGGAGGTATTTTATCCAGAATTTGAAAAATAGTGTGAATTAGACAAGCAGAGACTTGCACAGGGTGAAGAGGAATGTAAAACATCTTTTTATGATGCTAACTGTCCTAAAAGTATAGGGCATGATTATCAGTCAGGGAATCATTTACTCTATCATATTCAATTCAATCTATTAACTCTAAATTGTGCACTAGATATATCTAGGATTTCAGTAAAATCTATGAGACATGGAAAATAATAACAGCTTTGCTTCTGCCTTCAATAAATGGGTTTCCCTGGGGATATTAAAAATAATAGTGCATAAACAGAATAGTTAGGAGAAGAGTATAAGATAGAATCAGTGTAATTTCCAAAAATAATGGCAAAAATTAAAGCCAAAATGTCACAGAGAAGGGAAGTGGAGTGAGTTGAAGTAATTAGGAACAACTTTATAAAGGAGGCTGATTTTGAGCAGAGTCTTGGAGCAGCGATGGGTTTGAAAGGGAAAAGATACAACATTCTAGAAAGTGCTAATAGATGAGAAAACTCATGGAAGCGTGAGTAAGCTTATGATTTTGAATGGATAGATTAAGAGATTAGAAATGAAGATTCGATCCATTTTGTTTGTCTAGTGTATCTCCCAAGCTGCTAGAACCAAAGGCATCTGGAAAGATACCATTGTAAAGACACAGCAAAGAGTCAATGCCCAATGCTGAGGAAATCAAGGACACGAATATTGAAAAAAAGTCTTAAAGTGTTTCTCTTCAAGCATGACGGAATGGGGAGGCAAACAAATTCTCTCCCAAAAAAGCAACTATAAAACTGGACAAAATCATGAGAAACAATCATTTAATACTCTCAAAATTAACCAAAGACAGACAACAAATTAAGAAGCATTTATTCATGAAAAATACTGAGCTTCAGGTCAGAAGAATATAAGTTTGTGGTTTTCATGCCAGTGGCTGCTCCCATCTCCCTCTCAGCTTTCTTAGCTCATGAAAACAAACAGCCCTGCTACCCATGCTGGAGAATTATACATATTGGAGCATTGACAGTTAAAGCTTAGTAGAAGCTAATAGGGAGGTCTAGGGTCTCCACTGATGTTGCAGTTCTGTTTGAGGCAGTCAATGGAGTGGAGCCAGAGATTTAACAGAGAGTTCTGGGAGATGAGATAGGATTAAGGGGACTGATAAGCAGTCCACATATTCTGAATTGACTGGAGGCTGTGTGGATGTGCAGGAAAGACTGGGAAGGCTCAAGCCACCCAAAAATACCAGGTCAATGGAGAATGCACACATTCTCAGAGGCAATAGAAGACAGCCTGGAAGGAAGCAAAAGATAGGACAAATGAGAATGGCCTAAAATTTGAATGTCATTCCCAGCTAACACCCAGAAAATGGAAGCCTTACTGGCTGAAGGTGTTTGAACACAACTTTTGACCAATCTTGGGCTGAAGTCAAAGTTATGCAGACACAGAGATGATCCCTAGGAAGTTAGACTAAAAATAAAACAAAATAAATGATAATACTGAGTAGGAACATCAGCAGCTATAGTTTACCATGGAGGCAGACTTCACAGATATAGTCTATGTAAATTACTAAACAAACAAAATAAAAACAAAAATAATTATCTTCAGAGGAGGAGAAATCAGAACCCAGAGTTGCTAAAATATATTATCTAAAGTGTATTCAACCAAAAGTTCCAAAGCATGCAAAGAAGCAAGAAAGACCAGTATTCAGAGACAAAAAAAAATGCAGTAAATAAAAACTGGATTTGGCAGAAAAGACTTCAAAGCAGCTTTTATTAATAAGTTCCATAAACTAAAGAAATCTGTTTAAAGAACAAAAAGAAAGCATAATAACAATGACTCAACAAATAGAGAATTTCAATGAAGGGAGAGAAATTATTTTTAAAAAACAAAAGAGAATTCTAGAGTTGAAAAGTACAATATCTGAAGTAAAAAAGAAAATAATAAAGGGCTCAAGAGCAGATTTGAGATGGAAAAGAAAAATAAAGTATGAAGTTGAGAATAGAGATTATCCAGTCTGAAGAACAGAGAAAGAAATGTTTAAAGAAAAATGAACAGAACTTCAAAAACCTGTGGAACAACATTAAGCATATCATCACATGCAACTGGAATTTTTAGAGGGGAAAAAAAAGTAAAGGGGGAATATTATGAGGTGAATTCTGTTCTCCAAAAAGACATTAAAGTCTTAATTCCCAGAACCTGTAAATGTGACCTAATATGAACATTGAGTCTTTGCAAATGATCAAGATGAAGTCATTATCTCTGTGTGCCCTAGTCCAGTATTATTGTGTCCTTATAAAAGGGGGAACTTTGGACACAGAAGAACCTGTGTAGAAGAAAGATTATGTGATGATGCAGAGAAGGCAAAGATTGCCTCGGTCTAACAGAAGCCAGGGAAGGGGCATGGAGCAGATTCTTCCCACATCCCTCATAATGAACCAAGCTTGCCAACATCTGCTTTCAGATTTCTATCTTCCAGAACTGTAAGACAATAAATTTCTGCTTAAATCACCCAGTTCCTAGTATGTTATTAAGGGTGCTCAGGAAACTAATACAAAACAGAAAAAAAAAAAACAAGTTTTGAGGAAATAATGGTTTAAAACTTCCCAAATTTAATTTAAAAGTTATTAACCTACAGATCCAAGATCAATGAATCTCACACAGAAATACTCAAGGAGATTCATATCTGGACACATTACAGGCGGTTTATGGCCAAAGAAAAGGAGAAAATCTTGAAAGCAGCAAAAGAAAAATGATCCATCACATACAGGGGAATGATTAACAGCTGATTTATTGTCATAAACAATGAAGTTTAGAAATCAGTGGAATGACAACTTCAATTGAGAGGAAAAAAAATCTTGTCAACCAAATCTTCTATATCCAGCAAAACCATCCTTCAAAAATGAAGGTGAAATAAAGACATTTCTAGATAAACAAAGACTGAAAGAATTTGTTGCTATCAGATATGCCTTCTAACAAATATTAAAGGAAGTCATTCAAGCTGAAAGGAAATGACACCAAAGAGTAACACCAAATCCTAAGAAAAAAACTGAAGAATACAGGATATTTTAAATATAGGTAAATATATTTAAAATATATAGGATATTTTAAATATAGGTAAATAGAAACAATTCTATAAATGTGTTTTTCAATTTTTTAAGGGTATTTTAAATATAGGATATTTTAAATATAGGTAAATATAAACAATTCTATAAATGTGTTTTTCAATTTCTTATTAATTTTAAAATATTATGTAAGATTTTATTAAACAATAATTAAAACACTGTGTTGGGTTTTAAGATTCAATATATAATGACAAAATTGCATGAGAGAGGAAGATATATTGGAGCAAAGTTGCCATGTTTTACCAACTCTAAGTTAGTATTTTTCTAAACTATATGGTGCTAAGTTAAGGTGCATATTTCTATCATTATCCCAACAGACTTTATAAATAGAAATTGAATAACTTATTATATAATTCAAAGGACCTACAATAGCCAATACAACATTAAACAAAAGAACAAAATACCTGATTTGAAGGTATATTATTAATGTAAAGCTACAGTAATCAAGAGAGTTGATATAGTCATAAAAACAGATAATTCAATCAATGAACCAAAGTAGATAGTCAAGGAATATACCCACACATACATGGGCAACTGATTTTCAACAGCAGCACAAAAGTAATTTAACAGAGAAGGCATAGTCTTTTCAACAAGTAGTGCTTGATCAATTAGATATCCACTTGCAAAAAAAAATTAAATAAATTGTAGATCCTTACATTCACTATGCTAAAAACTTATTTCAAATGCATTATAGACCTAAAATGTAGGAACTTAGACTATAAAAATTCTAGGAGAAAACTTATGAGAAAATCTGCATAAGCTTGGTTAATCAATGAGTTTTATATTCAACATTAAAAGCCATAAAAAGCTTGACAAATAGGATTTATTAAAATTAATAACTTTTGCATTTCAAACAATAGCTTTAAGAAAGACAGGACAGAAACTGAGAAAAATGTATTTGCAAATCATATATCTGGTAAGACTTGAATAGACATCATACCTAAAAAGACATCTATATGGCCATAAGCACATGACAATATGCTCAATATCATTAGTCATTAGGGAGATGCGAATTAAAATCACAAAGAGATACACGCTAGAATGACTATAGTAAAAAAGACAGATGATACCAAGAGTTGGAAACTAGAAACTTCATACCTTGCTGGTGGAAATGTAAAATGGTATAGCTACTTTAGAAACAATTTTTTAGTTTCTTAAAAACTTAAATATAAAGTTTCCATAAAACCCAGAAATTTTTGTAAATTCAGTAATCTACCTAAGAGAAATATTAAAACATATATCCAAACAACAACTTGTTTGAGAATATCCATAGTTATATTCACAATAGCCAAAGATTGGAAACTACCCAAATGTCCATCAATTGACAAATGCATAAACACAAGATGGTATATCCAGTCAATGGATTACATTCAACAGCAAAAACAATGAACTGCTGATACATGCTACAAACCTAGTGAACCTGAAAAATATATTCTAAGTGAAAGATGCTAGGTGTAAAAGACTACATAATGTGTAATTTCATGTATTTCATTTATTTCATCTTTTCTGAAAAGGCAAATATATAGTCAATAGATTAGTGATTGCCTGGGGCTAAGAAATCGAAGCTGCAATTGATTACAAATGGGCTCAAGGAAATTTTATTGTGTGATGGGCATGTCCAAAATCTGGATTGTAATGACTGTTGTACAACTTTTTAATGATTTAAAAATCACTGAAGTGTAAACTTTTAAAAGTCTAAAATTTCATTAAAATTCAAGAAAACAATTTGAAGAGTTAGGGGTATAAATATATGCCACTATATAGGCCACTCTTCTCATCAGGAATAATAATTTGTTAAAAGGCTGAATGCCAACTGTTCTTGAAATGCTATGGCTCCTCTACAAGGAACACCTTTCTTCCTACCTCCCCCCATCTCCAATCCTATGCTTTCTTCAGTAATCATCTCCACAGCCCTTCCTGAACTCTCTGATTAGATGATCATACCATTAGTTCCCAATAGCACTTTATTTGTAGTTTTCTTCTTACATTACTCATTCTCTTCTCTGTATTATAATTAAGTCTTTGTGTGCCTTATCCCTTCTATTGTCTCTTTCTTTTTGAGAGCATTATGAGGACAGGAAATAAGTCTTACTTATTTTTAAATACCCAGTGTGTTCTAGGACCATAACTGACATGTAGAAAATGTTTAACCAATACTTACAAAATTAATAAAAGCATCACATTTACATAGGTTATGTATCATCATAAACAGCCACACAGCTGGTGCCTTTCCCAAAGATAACTCTTCGGCCAATGTCCTGTGGCAAAAAATAAGTAACTGCCCTCACATCTTCCTTCCTACTCCCAGACAAAGGCAAGTGCTGGCAGATGGAAGGCTTTACTTTCTGCAAGTGTAAATCTGTGATCAGCATCTCCTTTGTCATACTTCCTTGGAAAGATTTCTGACCACCATTTAATTATGAGTTCAAAGAAACCTGACCCTACGTCAATGACATTTCCAAACAATCATCATGCTCATTTATAAATCATGGAGTGTGTTTACTCATAGGTCTTGAGACTGTGTACAATGTACATAATGCCCATGCAAGCTCCTCTGAAAGATATTAAAAATACAAAAGACAAGAGTCAGCCTGCCTATACAAGCTTACCCGCCATCTTCTTGAGAGAAGAAATCCCCTCCCTGGAGGCAGTAATGAGGAAAGTGGTGGTATTGAAGGTTGTAGTTTCCAGCCCCATTTCTGGCATGATACTGTGGGAACTTAGGCAATTACTTAAACTCTAAGCCTCTATTTCTTCATTTGTGATGTGATAAGAATACAGGATATTAATGTAGATCCCCAGTCCCTTATCTGCAATTGCAAATTCCAGAAATCTCTCAAAACAGAATTTTTTTTATAACTTGTTTGATGTTAAAACCTGACCTGATCTGAACTTACTTGAACTGATATAAGACTATTTATAGTCTTCATCTAATCCCACTTAATGAGAATATCCATACTTTTGGCTGAAGAAACACAAATATGTTTGATTACAGGATGCTAGCCTAGATACTGATAGGGACAGGAGGCAGAGGAATTCTAGGGAGAAAAGGGCGGGATCCCTGGTGAAACCCTTAAGCTGAAAAGCCTGAGACCATGGCCCAAAGTGAGAACTTATATCCCTGTTTTCTCACTAGAATGTTGCCTTTTCCTAAACCACCCATGACCCCGCCCTACCCCATCCTGTGCCTATAAAGACCCCAGACTCAGCCAGCAGAGAGGAAGAAGAATCTAGACATCGGGACAACTATGGCTGGATGTTGGAGAGAAGCAGCTTGACTTCAGAGGGACAGCTTGACAGTGTAACTTCAGAAAAGAATGCCAGACTTCAGGAGAAGATTACCTATATCCCCCATTCCCTTTTCAGTTCCCTTTCCCACTGAGAGCAACTTTCACTGGCAATAAAATTCCCCACATTTACCATCCTTTAATTCTTTCATGTGACCTCATTTTTCCTGGATGCCGGACAAAAGTTTAGGATCAAGTACAGATACAGAAGGGCCCACTGAGCTGCTAACAGTTAACCTTTCTGAAGATGGCAGAGCTAAAAGAGCACCGTAACATGCCCACTGGGGCTGCAGGAGTCACAGGCACCCCATTAGAGACTGCTGCAGGGCCGGCACAGAGTTTGCTCCTGCTGGTGCCCCAAAGCGCTCACCCCAGCTCCTGCACCCACTCACCTGCACACTCCCTCCCATGAGGGGTGGAGCACAGCGGGTCTGAGTGAGTGGAGATCATCCCTGCCAGTGCTGAAGGGGCCAGCTGGTTCCAGCACTCATGTACTCCAGTTCCCACTTCATTTGCTCACACACTCCCTCCCGTGAGGAGTTGAGAGCAACAGGCTGAGTAAATGGGGCACCCATGTCACGAGTCCTGCAAAGGAGTCAGGGAAATATCCTTCTTCAATACTATTGAGAATGTTTTGAAATGTATGATACATGCACTCTGTTGACTTTCTAAAATCTGTACAATTCTGAATCTGGGAGGCATCGAACCACAAGGGTTGTAGATAAGGGATTGGGAGCCAATTTTTACTTCTTAGGTTTCTGGGGTGGGGAGGAATTAAATGAGATACAAATGTGTAGTACATAACATATTGTCCTCTCCCCTTCCCTTTTCTCCAACTCTATCATTGT
Organism: Homo sapiens; assembly: GCF_000001405.40. Classification (NCBI taxonomy): domain Eukaryota; kingdom Metazoa; phylum Chordata; class Mammalia; order Primates; family Hominidae; genus Homo; species Homo sapiens. Next base: position 47,565,757 of record NC_000015.10, read on the forward strand.
AAAATTCCAGAAAAGTAGAATTGGAAATGCAAAATATGTTTTATTCAGTGCAAAGCGGGAAGTCAGCAAAATTTTTCTTCTTCATCACTGCATGTGAGTTTGAGACCCTCTCTCCCTTCACTTCTGGTGTTTCTGTCTTCATCCTGTCACTACTTAATTTTTTTCCTTAGTTTACAACTGAGATATAGAAGTTTAAATATTTTTTAAACATCGCAAAACCCCAAGGAAAGAATCTAATCATGTAATAAAAGAAGCACTTATTATACAGGGATATAGGCCTTCACAGTTACTTTCCTAGCACGTAACCTTGAGTTGGTCACATAATCTCACAGAGTACCAGTTACCTCATCAGCAAAATTGAGATAATGTCTGACAACTGACAGCGGCAGATGTCTGGATGAGGTCATTCCTTGAGGTCACTGTCAGCTCTGAAATGTGTGATTTTGGGATTCACAAGAGTCAGAGGATATTCCCAAAGCCTTTGGATCCCAGTGTTTGGGTCACCACCTGCTTTGACAGATTCATGCTAGGCCCACTTTGGCCTTGTTGAGTAAGAGGGAGATTCCTTCTTCCAGTAGTAATGAGTGGAGAGAGTAGGAGGCAGACAATGGGGAAGAGGAAGAGACAATGACAAAGTAAGGCTGGAGTGTGTTCACTTGAACTGAGTGAGCTTTGGACCAACTGTATGTTATCAAACTGCAAAATGTGCATGCATCAGGTATTCAGAGCCCAAGGAGAGTTCCCACATCTGTAGGGACAAGAAGTGTGTCCCTGGGGCTTCCCATAGTGACAAAGAACATAGAGTCATTTTCAAGAGCTTCTTAGATTATTTTGCTTTATGCTAAGTGGGAACTCCTTTGAAATTAGAAACACCTTAGAGATTAGAAAATCTGGACTGTACCACTTACAGATTGCATGACTGTGAGCAAGTCATTTAACCGTCCCCAACCGGAGTTCCACATATGGAAAGGGCAATGAATACCTCGCTCCTGAAATTGTTATGAGAATTCAATGAGCTAACGGATGGAAAGTGTTGCTTCCAGTGTCTGTCACGTGATAGTGTTTAACACAGGCTAGCTGTGTAGTCCTGACAAAAATATGGGGAGTTCTGAAGGAAGACGGAAGATGTTTTTGCTTTGTTTATTTAAGAATAAAACAAGAGGGTGTTACAGAGAAAAGAAAATGAATGAGCCTAGCCTTTTGCTCCTTTGGACAAGGCATGAAAATATCAGCCTCTCTTTACTCTTCAAAAAGAGGTCATTTTTGGAAGCTGAAATTTGTTGTTTGGAATTATTCTGCCACCAGTATTTATAGTGGCTGTGGAATGGCATGAAAGAATATAGGCAGGTCTTAAAGTAGGCTCAAAAATTCATCAGAGAATTTCCCATTGAAGAGTTTTTGTGTAAACTTCTGCTTTTAATTATAATTTTCTGCATATTTGGTCTGCATTCTCCATTGTTATTTGAGAGAGGTAACATGATAAAACAAAAAGGATGTGAAATTTTACATTGGAAACCCTCACTTCAAACCCTGGCTTTTATGTTGGGAGTAACGAATTAGAAAATTTAACAAAAATTTAATAGTGAGGAAAAATATGTATGCATATTCAAATAAATAAACTTCAAACAAATTAGCAAATAATGTTAAAGGACATAGTACATGGATGAAAAAATGATTTTACTAGTTAATGTTCCTCACATCTCAAAATTGTTCTTTCTTCCTCATTATCTTTGCTCTCATTTCCTAACCATGAAATACTTTTCCTCTAAATCTTCCCAAAGTTCTTTCCCTCTCTTCATTTAGGTTTCCATCAGAATGTGACCTCTTTGAAAACCCATTCCTGGACACTTCTTTCGTATGTGAACACACACATTCTCACTATTCTCTGTTTTCCTTCAATTTGTATTTCCTTCTAGTTCTTATAACTGTCTAATATTACAGTATATGCTTATTGCTTACTTCCTTGTGTTTGTCTTCCCGCACTGAAGTTTACCAGGTATGGGACTCAACAGGCTCCTAAAAGTAGGCCTGGGATATGGTAGGCCCTTAACAAGAGATTATTGAACAGATAAATGAACAAATGAATTAGTGAAAGAATGAATGAATGAAATCACTAGGGAAAAGACAACCAACTGAGAAATCTACAAAAAATTTAAATAGGTGATGCCGAGAGCGAGAAACCCACATGGCCAATAAACATGAAATAAGGTTCTATGTCATTAGTAATAGAGAGTTCCTATTTACCACAATGTGCTATTATTTAACCCCAGTGAAATTTTTAAAACAATTTAAAACTAGCCAATTCAAATTTCAGAGGTAATGTAGTTGTATCAAAGCTTGTATACACTGCTGGTGGAGATGTAACTTGGAGACCAAAGTGGCAATATCTAATAAAACTGATTATGCTCATCAAAAAAAAAAACTGATTTTGCCATTTAAAAAAAAAAAAAAAGACAAAAACCGCAATTACTTTTGCACCAATCTAATAACATTGTTTCCTCTATAGAAACTATTTCAGTTATGGCTATGATCATCTTTGTAGCAATGTCTATAATAGTATACAGTCATAAACCACCCGAGTGTCCATTGGCAAGAGAAAGGATAAATTAATTATAATGTGATCAAGTGATGCAGTACTGTTAAATATTAGTAAAAATGATTTAATGTTGAGTGACAAGGTGAATTTACAAGCAATTCTATATATCATTTTTAAATAAAACAAGTACCTGGGCCCATTACATTACATTACATTAATTTTATAGGTTCCTCTGCAGAAAAGGAAAGGAGAGAGGAAAGCATAACATTATTTATCTGTAATTTTTTACTTCTTTAATAATTACATCTCAGGTAATATGATAAAATGTTAATAATCATTCATTTCTGGTGATGAGCATATAAGTATTTATTATGTGTCCTCAGTGAGTTTCGTATTTTGTTTTATTTTCCCATATTAAAAATCAACAAAAATAGGCACCAAACTTACTCGTACTGTGCCTAGGGCAAGTTGCTTCATCTTAAGAATTAGTGTATCTATTTCCTCTATTTTAGGTTACTGCAGATACTAAGTGAGCTAACACACATAACAGTGCTTTTTAAACTATAGAGCAGTATGTTATTATTACGAATAATATTATTAATATTATTATTATGGCCATCATTAATTCTCCACTAATGGATGCTAAGTAGAACAGCAGTTTTCAAACTGTGCTCTATGGAAATCCACAGACCTTTATGGACCTCCAAGGCCTCTGTGAAGCTTCGTGGGTGCTGTTTGGGAAAACGAGGAGACAGGGCTTCAGGCTTTAGAACCCATTTCAGTTTGAAAAGCTTTAATTTTGATCTGTTTTCATGTTGGACCTGGAAATAAGGTTTCCAGTAAAGAAAATATATATAGCTTGGTGGTAACTATACCTTTTCACCTGTTACATTAAGCTGTAAGAAATGTCACATGACTTCATTTTTTTTCAAAATTAAATTAAATGTGATTCTGATTCTACATCTGCATTCCACCTGGCTGCTGGGTAATTCAGTATCTGTTACTACTGGCTCTCCCTTTCTGCCCTGCCCTCTGTCCTCTAGAATCATGCAAGTTTCTAGGGGTCTTATAAAGCAAAACCTTTCAAGAGAAGACTGTGGCCTACAGTGCCCATGGTCATTATTGATATGCTATTCATACAAGGTGATGTGAGCCCTTAGGTCATTCCGTGGATCCTGAACTATGTGGGGCACAGGACACTTTCAGCAGTGAGAGAACAGCTACTTGGGTCCAGCCAACCAAGGAGACCACACAGCAATTCCCCTCAGAGGACCTAAAAGCATTCTAGGGCACCCTGTAGGTCCCCAACACATTCCCATTCTAGTGTTGGAACTTCACTTACCCAGGACTGACTACTTCCACCTTTAAAGGAATACAAAAGCTGGACACTTTATTGGAATGGAGGAGGGAAATGCAGTGAGGGAAATATACATAAATTAATAATTTAGTAAATTATCTTGCTATGGATCATTTTATAAGGATTTGAGGCCAGGCGCAGTGGCTTACACCTGTAATCCCAGTACTTTGGGAGAACAAGGCGGGTGGATCACCTGAGGTCAGGAGTTCAAGACCAGCCTGGCCAACATGGTGACAACCCATCTCTACTAAAAATACAAAAATTAGACGGGCGTGGTGGTGGGTGCCGGTAATCCCAGCTACTCAGGAGGCTGAGGCGGGAGAATTGCTTGAACCTGGGAGGCAGAGATTGCAGTGACCCGAGATCGCACCACTGCACTCCCAGCCCGGGCAACAGAGGGAGACTCCATCTCAAAAAAAAAAAAGATTTGAAATTTCTGACCTAGAGCTGTATCTCCCTGAGTATCATTTGGTTTTCTTTTCACTGTGAAGTCTTTTTATTAAAATCAAAAAATTTCGAAATCTGACTCTGCCCCACCCCATTCTGACATCCTCAATCCCTGCTCTGACTGCCCCAGCAATCTTTTGTGCCCTGTGATTGAGGAAATGCGGAGACCTGTGGACTCATAAAGGCTGGTTCCAGGCTGGATGCCCTGCACTGCATGTAGGTGGCCCGCGGCCATTACTCACCTGGAAGAAGCTTTTTGTTGTAAATCTTATAATCATCTTGTGAGGGTACAATTATATGGGGTTTTTGTGTGTGTTCAATGTTTTAGTTTAGTTTAAAGGTTGATATTTAAATATGTCACAATTGGTGAAACTTCTTTTTGACATTTTATTTTTTAATATATCTTTGACTGAAAAAGAAGTAAAGTGTTTACCACTTGACACCTGAGATTTCCCTAAGTATGTCTTCATCAAAAGGGATTGGAACTCTAATTGGATTATTGCTTTTGTTCTCAGCCTGGGCTGGTCAGCCCCAGTGCTGCACCCCAGCAGGCCCGGCGCAGCCTCGTCTGGTCAGTGAGATCTTCCCTCCACTACCCGAGGCACACACAGTTCAGTCCTGAGTCCAGGAGGCTGTTCCTCAATGCAAGACAAATCAGGGTACTTTACAGCTCTTCCCAGACTGTGCCATCCCAAATGATTAACTTGTGGCCAAAGACACAGCAAGGTCCAACCTAATGCATTAGTGGGTTGGAAGAGGCCAGGGGTGTCTCAGTGATGGAGTGGCCTGATGCTGTGAGAAATGCTCCATATGTTTCAGATAATCTGAAAAGAGGTGCAGACATTTTTGGGCTCTCCAAAATATGCATCTAGGGCTGAGGAGTTTTAGACTCTATGAATAGATCCAAAAGCTGACATACATTTCAGACCGTGTAATACAAAATGCTAGGAAACAGCAAACTTGATCTGAATTCCCTCCCCTCCCCACTCTTCTCCTGCCTGCCTGCAAGCTGTGTCTCAGTCTTTATCTTACACGTTCACTGTGACTTTTTTTTTAATTGACAGGGTCATAAGTTCACTTCTGATGGAGAATTACTCTTCGGCCCACTTGCTTAAAATATATTTGAGGCCAATATTAAGAGCATAGCTGTACTCACTCTGTAACTGGAAAAGAAAAAAAAAATTCTGGAGCCCAATTTGGAAGAAAGCATTTGAAAATAAAACAAGGAATATTTTCAGAGGCTAATGCTCCTGGAATTTATTCAAGTGGCTGCCATGGCCATTGGCCTCAAGAATGCCAATTACAGATGCTCTGCTGTCTGATTAGAGCATTCTTGAGTCCAGAGCAGTACATTAAGTCAAAGGGTAAGTCTTTGAATTCTGCAATGAATTTGATTAAACATTTACAATTATAGAGTGATTTTAAAACATCCCAGAATCATCATCAATCTTCAATCCAGGTTTAAGAAAGCAAAATATCTGATGCCGAGAACTATTTTGTGGCTGGGATGGTTTCCTGAAAAAGCACTGTAGAAAACATTCTGCTAAAACTTTTATTTAACAGCTGTGGTTTAGGCATATTTAGAGTTATGTAGGCCTCATTGGATAATGATTATGGGAACCACAAATATTAAGGTTTTGCAAGATCATTTTTGGTACAAAATAGGAAATTGCCCAAATTTTGGTTAAATTATGAAAATGTGGGTCTCAAAATTTGGCTATACATGTGTGTGTCTGTGTATGTGTGATGTGTGTGTGTACATGTACATCCTTTAGTTCATCATTACCTGAAACAAACAAAGAGATGATTTTTTCTTCTGGCAAAAAGTCCTTGAAAAACAAAACCTATTATTTTCTGGTTGGAATTGAGTTTCCTATCCAGTACTTAGTTTAAAGTATTATAGAAACAGAAGCCAAATCACACATTGTCATAGGTTCAGATCAACATCACTTCTGACTCTAGATGAGGTTGAAAATTTCAGCCTAGGAAACACCTCCTTGATCACGAGGCAGTACAGGTTTCTGAAAGTAAAAGCCATTGGGTCAGTACAATCATCTCTGCATTAGATGTCATCCCTAGGGAATAACTACTTCTAAAATCTTTCTTAAAATGTGTCTGTAATAGTGGCTAGTTTCCTCTGATCAAATGTATATCAAATGAGGTTTATAGGTTATTTTCAATTTTTGAAAGACTTTATATCAGCTATTTTTATATAATAAATTATTTGTGTATTAGTCTTTGTGATTTTTTTGAATTGGCTATTGTAATATAACACAAATACAGAACAGTGCCTTAAATTCTTTTATAATCATTTTCCTCCTATTGTTGGTGTTTTGAAACAAAGTGTTTTATTTTAGATGGCAGCTTCTGTATTCGGCACAGAAACTGTGATAGACCCTGGCCCTTCCTTTATGGGTCTGCCTCTGCCACCATCTGTTCAGAAATTACCTGCCACCCTCTCTTCTGCTTTCCTTGATAGCTGGGGTCAGCCTTCAGAAACAGGCATTTCTCTACTGACATATTAAGAATCAAATCACATGCATTCTCACACATATACACGCAAACACACAAACACATATATACAACACTTTCTTCCAATACAAGAAAAATACAAACACAGAATGTGTACTACTGCTTTTCCAGGAAATCTTAACCTATTCAGAGCTCTGGAATTATTATTTTTAAAAATAAAATATTTATTCAAGCAAATAAATCATTAATCTGTTCAATTAATGTATTTTGAACTTTTGCCAGATACTATGTTAGGTTTTAAAGGTGAAACAACATCGCATATGCAGGCTCTGTCCTCATGGAATTACATCCTAAAGGTAAATCAAACCAGAGCATTTGAAAAAAATATTAAATATTAATATTTTTCAATGCTTGACACTTGAAAAAAAAGTTTTATTTTTAAAAGCAAATTAATCACTATAACAATAAATGTTCTCTGTGCCCGGCAGTTTGGTAAGCATTGTGTGTGTTACAAAGAAATAAAAGTGTAAGACTAGGTATCTTAAACTCAGGAAGAAACAACCAGCACAAAATAGTGAAGGCAAAAGTGAATTTGTAAGTTAAATTAGAAAAAAAAAATTCAAAGTTTTGATTTAACAAAAAAATCAACAGCTGAACTGAACAAAGTACTTAATTAAAAACAAAATAATACTCAAGATTTGTTTTAAACAACTCACAAAGTGTTTATTCTCCAAAAAAAAATCAGAAAATAAGCTAAAACAAAATTAAACCTTATAAAACAGGCAAGATTTAGTCACAAAATGCATGCTAAAGAAGTTATTCAAAAGTTCCAGAACATAGAATTATTTTTACATGACAAACTTCCGTTGAATTAAATACTGATCTTATATTCACTCTAAAGTGGCCTTTACGTCAATCAGTTAAGCTCTATCATTTCTCCCTTGGGAATATCTTAAGAAATCATCCCATTTTGTTCATTCCCTCTGCCACCCTGCTAGTCCAGATGTTCATCTTGAGTCTCATGGAGACAACGGTGGTGCATCATTGCTGGTCTTTCTTTCTTTCATCTCTCATAGTTAACATGGCATTAATCTTCCTAAATTGCCACTATTAAAACATGTCCCATGCTGAATATCAATCAGCTGGACTCCTTATACCTAATAAGCCAAGTCTAAACTTAGCCTGGCTTGAAATTTCCACAGGAATCACCCCTGCCTCTTCAACTTTATTTTTCATCTGTCCCAGCTATCAACACTCAATCTTATGATGTTGACATCTAAATGACATGGAAGTCACTTTATCCTACTCCATACATCTGATTTCAACATATCCCTCATTTCTGATGCCATCTGTAAGTCAATATGTCTCTTCAGTGCAAGCCCATCAAATCTTCTGTGACAAAGCCAGTCTACCCTGGGCTGTTCCTTCCACAAGACTTTGATTTCCCACAGAGTATGCCATTTTCATAAGATTGTTGTTATTTCATAGGATCCAGGCAAGAACTTCTTCTCTGATGTGAAGCCAACTGGGTTTCAACTCTGGTTTTGCCAATGCTTATTGTGTACCTCTAGAAAATTCACTTGACTTTTGTCATCTGTAAAGATGAAAAGAATATTAGGACCTGTAAAGTTGGTCTGCTGTGCATCAGTAAGCTCTGTAGTTGTTAATTATCTTTGTTATTAACAAGAACTTGTTGGATTTTGCAGGCTGGTCTGAGACTTCAGATTGATTGTCCTCATCCAGTTATGACTTGGCTCTTCTGGAATTGAAAGGGAGACCTCAGCTGGCTGGTCTGATACATCTACCCCATCAGTATCCCAGGTCCTGAATTGTTTCTCCCATTTGGTTGAAACCAATGTGGAGCATTGATATAAAATTCTATATACACATCAATTGAAACAACTCTATTACTTTTTCACCCCAAAAGGGAAGCAAATTTTCCCTTTCAAGGCTAGAGAACCCTCAGCAAGAATTTAGCGGAATCTTGTATGCACAAGTAAAATGCTGAGAAATCCCATTCATGACAAAACAAGGCATTTCTAAAGAACAGTTATCTTTTGAGACCAAAACATTCCTATGCAGAGACATAAAATAATATTACCAATTTAACCTCTACTTATTTGTGCCATAATATATAATACTTTCCAGTATTGCTATATGATGTTCTTACATGTGGCACATTTAAATAAAACAATTATTGACTAAGATCTCAGTTCTTTTGGATAGAGCCTGATTTCATTCTCAGGTCTCTGCTATCTCCTCATTTCCCCACATTATTAAGAATAATCAATACTCCTAAAGTAGTTTTTGTTTGGTCTTATTTGGGTCTAAATACACTAATCTACCTAGGAAATGACTGATCAATTTTAGTTTGGGCCAAATCCTGGCTCAAATTGTAAAAATCAAAGGATTGTCAGCTTTTTGACACAAAAATGCAATGCCACAGTGTTTACAAAATGAGAGGACTTTCAAATGGTGTTTGTTAAGTTAGACCTATAAAGTGAAACCAGATCTGGGATCAGATCACTGAGCTGATGGAAACAAGGGCATCAGGGACACAATTGTCATTTCACTCATTGAAACAAATTAATCGCATCAATTATGTAGCAATCTATTCCACTCTGTCTCTTAATTCTTTTGAGGTTGCTGAAACAGGATCAGAGGATACATGGCTTTCTCCCAACACATAACCTTTCTGAAACAGAGGAAAATATTCTAAAGTGGTTAGGCAGGGAGGGGGTAGAAACAAAGTCAATAAGAGACTCAAGGGTGAGTCATAGCTGAAGCCACAGTAAAGCCCAGATATGGGGTAGGGTGAGGGCACAATGGTGGGAAGGTGCAGGAAGGAGCAGCTTGAATGGGGGCTGGCTAGTATAAGAAGTCTGTCATGCCTGTAATCCCAGCACTTTGGGAGGGTGAGGTGGGCAGATCACGAGGTCAGGAGATCGAGACCATCCTGGCTAACACAATGAAACCCCGTCTCTATTGAAACTACAGAAAATTAGCTGGGCATGGTGGCATACGCCTGCAGTCCCATCTACCCGGGAGGCTGAGGCAGGAGAATCGCTTCAACCCGAAAGGCGGAGGTTGCAGTGAGCTGAGATTGCGCCACTGCACTCCAGCCTGGGTAACAGAGCAAGACTCCATCTCAAAACAAAAAAAAAAGAGAGAAGAAGTTGGTGCTTTCACAGTAAGGGCTTTGAGTGGCATTCAGGTGATCTCTTTAAAAAATCAATAAAACATTGTGGTATCTCTCCTTTTTAGGTATGGAAGTTGGATGAGGGCATGCAACTTTAAAAATTAACACAAATGCACATGTAGTAGGTGCTCTGTACATATTATTTAAAAATACAGACCATCCTTTCTGCTCCCCAGTCTTACTGGTTTGGCTGGAAAAGGAGCCACGATAGAGAAAATTCTAGATTTACCCAAATGAGACATTTGCATTACAAAATATTTTTATATGACAAAACGACTCACAATGATATTCCTTTAAATTGAAAGTTCCTGACAGCATTACTAATTGACCATGATTTTTCTTTTAAGTTTCAGGAATCAATGTATTGCCTGCACTTAATTTTAACTGAAAGCTACCTTGTATAATGTTCAGAAACTATATTGGAATTTATCTTTAAAATGCAGAGTGATGGAGCTACAGAACTGAAATAAAGAGAAACCAAAATGATTTGTTAAGAAAGACCACAGTCCAAATGCAGCTGACCCCAGCACATCTTCCCATCACAGGTAAAGGAGGCCAAGGAAACCCCCAGTACTTGGGAGTGGGGGCTAGAGCAGGATCTGGTGCTAAGGCAAGCCCATACCCCAAGTGAAGTTGTTGATGATTGAGTGTGGTGGAAAGACAGGTGGGGTGGTCTGATCAGCACCCTACCTGTGATGAATTTATCTCAGAACTTGGCTTTGCTGTCATCCTGCATGGCCCCAGGTAAGGAATGCCCTTGTCTGAGCCTAACCCATTAGAGGCAGCTCAACTGCACTAAATCACTCTATTCCCAGACCAGCGGTCACTGAGGCATTCATTCTGCTGGCAAATCTAGGATTGAATTAGAGAACTATTAAGGCCTCTTACAGTCCTGTAATTCTAAGATTTCTTTTATTCAATATTTACTCCTTGGACCCGGGCTAGGCACTAGCAGAATCCTTCCAGGCCAGGTTTTCTCTGGCTTGGTAAACTAATCCTCTTTAATTCTCTGTCCAGACTATGTCTTCCAAGCCTTTTCTTCATTGCTTATCTATCCAGAACAAAATGAGCCTTACGCGGCTCTCGGATCTGAGCAGTTAGATGTTTCCTTTTGTTCTTTGAGCTTTTGTTGCTTCTGCCCATATTATATATGCATATATGTTTGTGTACCTACAGAAATACATCTTGGTACTTATGCACACATGGAATGCTTGCTATTACCTACAGAAGAAACCTGCTGTCAGCAAAAGCATTAGTTGTGTTTCTGTTTCTGTTTCTATTCCCCAAGCTAGGATTTTTGTTTGAGTAGGAATTTGTGCCTTAATTATAAACATTAGTAAGTGAAAAATGTTTGCATTTCACAAATATATTTTCTGTTTCACAATCTTCATAGCAGAAAGTCAGGCTCATGAAATATGATATTTACTTGCATAATTTTCTCTCCTTTTCCCCTGATATTTTGACTTTAACAGCAAGGGTGAAGAAAGTTATGCAAGCATATGGGGTCACCCTAGCAATCATCATTAATCTTTGCTTCCCTCATCCTTGTTTACTAGAAGACCAAGCTAAATTGTACCTGGACTTTCTCAAATTTTTCCACAGCAGTGTTTCACATTTCTGAAAAAGTCACTTTCAGCAAAAGATGGCAGAAAAGGCACATGGCTGCATGAGGGCCTCTGATAAAAAGAGATAATTTGCAAGTGATGGGAGGCTGGAATTTATGGTGTTCAAGATGTGTTTTAAGCTGGGACATGAGCATCTCTAATTCAAGAGAAGAGGCCAGTGGCTTGCTGCAAAATTATTCCCTCCCTCGAGGGACTGAAGGTGCCCTGGGAAAGGGCCTTATGCCTCACAGTCCAGGGAGGATGGTGGGAGTAGGCAGGGAGAAGTATGAGAGGGAACTGGACAGTGATTGAGGAATGATGGCTAAAATTAGTTTTTGCTTTCCCTCCCTTACCATTAGCAGACAGTCTGCCGCTCCAGCTGGCTTCTCTTGAAGTCAGAAAGTTAACCTGTTCTCTGCCTCAGCAAGGACAAAGCGTGTTCTATTCTTGCCTGTCAGTGTGGTTGGAGTTTTCAAAAGTGAAAGGGAAGATATGTGTAAAAAAATGTCTTACTGATTTTTCTTTTCAAAATATGCATGTGGAAGAAAATGTAGGTGCCAGACATTAAAATATAGTATTCTCATGTTTATTACACCAATAATAGCTTAATTTGTGGAGACCTTTATAGATAGTAACAGTGTTTTAAGCACTTTGGATGCATGACATTATTTTTTCCTCCAGGTAACCTTCTGAGATATGCATTGTTGTTATCCCAAATTTACAGATGGAGAAAGTGAGCTACAGAGGTCACTTGCCCATGGTTTCCTCATTAGTATATAGTGGAACAGGGATTCTCTGATTCCAAATCTTGTGATCTTAACCATCTCATTGAACTATCTCAATTCAGCTAATGAGTCTTACATCAATGAGACTTATTGAATGAGTGAATATAGGAAAATAAAATTACACTGCATAAAGTAGGTACTTAGTAAATATCTGTGGAAGAAAGTTTACCCTTGTTCTGATCATGAGTCAAATCCCTATTTAGTGTCTGGTCTTTTGAGGACTACTGTTCCTTCAGATTTTGTGTTTGTTTATGTGCGTTCACATGGACGTACAAGAGCACACATTGACTAAACTCTAAAATCTCAACTAAATGGAACTCTGAAAGATCTCAGCTAAATTGAACTAATTGATCTAACCAAATGATCTATGTATAATAGAAAACGTATAATAACACTTCCATGTCTTTATAAAAGTTGGGGTTAAGGATGCTTCTCAAAGTACAATCTAAAAGGAGTAACACAAATTTGTGAAATAATCAAAAACAGAAAAATATATGCCACCTATATGGCACATGTGGACTCCATTTTTAAAATTCCAATATATTCTACCTGTTGTGTTTTGAGGAAATTCTACCTGTTAGAGCATTTTATGGATGTGTACCTATGTGGCATACATTTTCAGCCATTTGATATAACTAAATGATCTATGTGTAATAGAAAACAACATATAATAACACTTTTATGTCTTTACAACAGTTGGGATTAAGGATACTTGTCAAAGTACAATCTAAAAGGAGTAACACAAACTTGTGAAATAATCAAAAACAGAAAAATACACACCACCTATCTTGCATATGTGGACCCCATTTTTAAAATTCCAAAATATTCTCCCTGTTGTGTTTTGAGGAAACTACTGGTCAGAGCATTTTCTGAATGTAGGGCAGGTGTTCTCACTGTGGTGTACATATGAAGCCCCTGGGTACTTGGGCCTCACCTCTGAAAGTTACACTCTGTAGGCGTGAGTTGAGTGTCCAGAAATCTGTATTTTTTTTTTTTTTTTTTTGAGACAGAATCTCACCCTGTTACCCAGGCTGGAGTGCAGTGGTGCCATTTCAGCTCACTGCAACCTCCACCTCCTGGGTTCAAACGATTCTCCTGCCTCAGCCTCCCAAGGAGCTGGGATTACAGGCACCTACCACCACGCCCAGCTAATTTTTGTATTTTTAGTAGAGACGGGGTTTCTCCATGTTAGCCAGGCTGGTCTCGAACTCCTGACCTCAGGTGACCCACCCACCTAGGCCTCCCAAAGTGCTGGGATTACAGGTGTGAGCCACCACGCCCAGCCAGAAATCTGTATTCTTAATGAGAACCAAGCTTTGCAAAGAGTTGATGTAGTTAATTGAGGAAATGCCCTATGTTAAGAAGGACTGCTTCTGTTTCCTCTCCCAAGGCAGGAAAGTAGGCCTCTGTGCTTTGCTTCATAAAACCATATGCATCATTTTGCTTGTATTAAATAAAATTTTCACTGCATTCATTTTGCTTGGTAAGTGGCATGTGACTACAGTACATAGTAATTACATGTTCCTGAAGACTACTTGGTAATTTGCACTTAATAAGACCAAAAATAATTATCCTGTACTCCAATCTAGAAAACATAAATAATCGTAAATATATGGTACTCACCATGTAATTACTTTGCCACTCCACTCAACTCTCCATAAGATTGAGCTATTACTGAGGAAGTAAAGAATCATCACAAAATATTCCCTATTTTGCCTGATAAACTAAAGCGACTCAACCACAACATTTGCATTTTCAGACACATTTTCGTAGGTTCAGAATTTAAATCAGAAAATTTAAAGGAAAGAGCATTCCTGAGCTCTTTGGGGACTTTCTGATTTGACCTTTTACGTAGTAGTGCTAGAAAATTTCTCTGAAATTTAAACAATTTTCAAACTCTTTAAAAATATGACATAACCCACCTGTCTGAGATGACCTTTCAAAGCTACTTCTAATTCTGTTCTCTGAGTTAGTAGAGAATGATTAAATTTTAGGTCTGAGACACACTTATATGGAGCGGAGGGACAGGAGCTAGCATTCCCCAGACAATCTTGCCTGCTTACATTTAGACTTGAGGTTCCTTTCTTCCTAATGGGATGAGCTCCAAAAGCCTTTCCACATAACACTATGCTCCATGTAGGGTTTCCAGGTTCTACTGGCATCCATGGTTTTTCACGAACTCTGCAAAGCAATCGATAGTTAAAATCATGTTTTTGTAATGAATACAGTTAGAGACCTTCTCCCATGACTAGCAAGGTGCAAGGACCTAGGTAGATATCTGAATCACCTGCAATAGATTTGTTTTGTTTTTTCATGTTTGTGGTTGTCTTCACAAGCAGAGTATTGTTGAAACCCTTCTTATTCTATTACCTCTCACTCACCAACAGCAACTACCACATCGATAAAGATTACTATAGCCATTGAAAGTGTATCACTACCATGTGCAAAGAGAAGTATGTCGAAAAAAAAACCCATTCATTCATTTATTCAACAATTATTGATTAAAAGCCCACTATGCACCAGGCTGCCTAGGTGCTGGGAATATGGCAATGAGTAAAACAGAATTTCCCTGATCTTATGGAGATTAAATTCAAGTGAGTGGAGCAAACAAATGCTATCAGATCCCCTATAATGCTCACTTTGAAAACATGAATTTGTTCCAGTGCAACTTATTAGGGAACAATTTGGGTGTAATGTGAATTTTGTGTTTGCTTATGCATGAGTTGTCCATGAGAAACACTGCAAGGTAGAAAACTGCACCCAGCTGAACTGAGTCACATAGGAATATACAGAGTGGACATACTTAGGGATCTACCAGCTTCCTCAGTTCTCCATGTTGTTATGAAACACATCCATCTGCATCTGGTATTACAACTGTTGATCCATTTTCACATAATCCTTGTTCTATCGCATTACAATCACTCACAGGCTGCAACCCACCCCTGCCTCCACAAGCAAACTTCAGATCTTTTTCAGGGTACAGTAGTATTTATGTATATACTGACCACTTAACATATATAAAACTGTGCTATTATTTTTATTGTTGCCATCTTTTCCCGTAACGTGTCCCTGATGAAGTTTTTGCATGTTGGGCCCCCAACCCTATTTTCTCCATAAGTCCTGTGGTTTACATTGTGCAATTTCATGTGACATAGTGATTTTTAGGAACACATATGTCACCTTATGGCAGAACTACATATAAACAAGCAAACTGCCAAATAAACAAGATAATTCCATGTAATGGGAAGTAGTTTGAGAAAAGTAAATCAGGGAACATAGCTGAAAGTACCTGGATGGAGTGGGAAGGCACTCCTTTAGATGGCGTAGCCAAGGAGGCCTCTCTGAGGTCACATTTGAACTGACACCTGAATAACAAGAAGGAGATAGCCATGCAAAAATCTAGCTAAGAGCATTCTAGGAGGAGTAGTGGTGGGATTTGTGGGGGTAAGGGACGCAAAGGTCTTAAACCAGGAATAAGCTTCACATGTTAGAGGAACAAAGAGGACCAGAGCAAAGGACAGGGGGTTGGGAACAGTAGCTGGTTTCAACTCATGTAGACATAGAAGAACATTGTAGGTCATAGGAATTTTAGATTAAGTGTGATGAGAAGCCACTGGAGGACTTTTTCCACTACTGATTGAAGCACCTGCTCTATTTACAGATGAGTATCTGAGGTCTAGAGAGTTTATACTTCATGCCCAAGGTCAAGTCTCCAGCCAGAATCTAGGTCTCATATCTTTTCTCATGGGAATAGATATACACATGCAGCCATTCCTAGATGAATCCTTCATTTGAACTCTGGGAAAGAGGATATCGATTGGGAAATTTTCCCAGATTGTCCCAAAACAGATTCTGGATCCATTAAAAGCATGATGATATTGGACAGAAGTCCAGTTTAATCAGGCTATGTCCAATGTCCTGTTTCATTCCACTGGTGAGAGAAAAATAGGCCAGATAAATGCCACTAAGCCATCATAGGTGCTAGCAAGATTTGTAAGACAGCCAGTCTTGCTTAAGCAACTGCCAGTGCCCAGACCACCCCGAGGGGTGCTTTTGAGGAGTGCAATGATGCAGTCAGCGGATGTCCAGAGTGCTCCTTGCTTTCTCACTAACTGACATGAGACACGAGGCATGAGAATCTCTTGACAGTGGATTACGAGGCCACACCATGAGTCCCACAACTGAAAGAAGTTGTAGAATTTCTTTTCTTAGATGGATTGACACTTGTTCTTTATCAAAGCCAGTCGGAAGACAAAAGAATAAATTTAACTTGACAATAGGCTAAATGCCACAGGGTAAATGCCTCAGCAAAAAGCAGGCTATTTGGGGTTCTGCTCTACACTAAGCAAAAGAGGCAGCTGCCTATAGGGTGTGGTGTGAAGAGGCTGCTGGGTGTCTTGTGAGGGTCTGGAGCAGGTGGCCCTGTGTGCACTGCCCACAGCCCTGAGCTCACACATCCCTTGCTCCTCAGTCCTGCAGTCCTGCCTGCAGCCCTCCATGTCTCTTGTCTCTAGAAGACTGGGGAGGAGACGGTGGGTGATGAGGTACTAAACAGTCTGTGATTCTCAGGCTGAGCTTCAAAGCATGTCTTCCCAATCCCACCCCACCCTCAGCCTGCCAGCCTCTCAAGGGCAGCGCAAGATCCATAAGTGATTCCTACCCTCAGCTACATACTTGTTCTCCACTGCCTCATTCCACATCTGCATAATCCAGAATCTTTCACGTAGACACTGCTATACCTTTATGCCTTTTACAAAGCTATATCATTTGCCACAAAATATTGCCAAGCCCTCCACTCCCACAGGATTCCAGGAAGCAGGGCAAGCCCACATTCACTCATTCATCAAATCAGCACATATTTACTGAATAGCTAATGAGAGCTATGCACTATTCTCAGTGCTAGGAATTAATCTATGAATAAGAAAGACCCAAGGTCTGCCCTCTGGACCTCCTCCTAGGATGTACATCCCTTTGGCCATATATCTCAAGGATGGCCCTAAGTCCACTTCAGCAGAGGCAGCTGTGACACCTGCTAAACACGTGAGTTCCATGGCCCACTCTAGACCTTTTGTAGAAACTGAGTTTCTAGGATGGTGCCTTGGAATCTGCACTTTTTCAAAGCTTCCCCAGTGATTTTTATAAAAGTTAAAGTTCAAGAACTGCTGCTCCAAGGAATGAATGAAGGACTGTAGCTGGAGAGGTTCTTTCTGCTCCTTAGAGTCTGGCCTCAGAGCAAGGGGCATCTTCTGCTCGTGAGACCATTCAAGGATGTTCTCTGGGGATTCTGTGCCTTATAGGTAGTCAGGGCTGGAAGTTGTTTCGGTCTTGGATTTGAAGGCAACCACAAAGCCCTCACCCCAACAGGCGGTCTCCAGGAGCCACGTATTTTATCAGGATTGCGTCCTTTGTGCCTAGACATGGCCCTCTTTTAAAAGTAGTCACTCCTAGGCATGGCTTGGCAATAAACAATGACCAGTTATTTCTACCTGAGTGTAAACCAGGGCTCCATACCCCAGCTGTCAGTGATGGCCCGCAGAGAGCAGACATGGATAGGAATGGGAATGTGTATTCCAGGACATGTGGCCAAGATGGCTTACAAGTCTTCTGGGAAAGGGGAAGCGTGACAGCTGTGACAACATTAGGGCTTGGGAGGAGAGCAGGGGAGAAAGAAGGCAGAGAGTAGCCAGAGGTCAAAGAGGTTACTGGGAGAGTCGGGTTCTTCTTCACAGCTTTGTCTGCATCCTGATCTACTTTAGACTGGATGTCTTTAGGACACAATGAGCAAGTGCAGTCTCCCTGTCCTTCTCCCACTGCAACCAGCTCACAGCACGGATCCCATCTATGGCTTATCCACAAACACTTCATTATCACCTGCCCTTGCCCCAGCCCTCTGCACTAGTCTGTAAACTTCTTGAGGGCAGGGCAAGATCCACATGTGATGCATGTTTGCCCCCCACACTCCCTAACAGAACTTTCATGTGTAATGTGCTGAATAAATATTTGCCAAAGTAACCCCAGCACTTTGGGAGTCCAGGGCAGATGGATCACCTGAGTTAAGGAGTTCGAGACCAGCCTGACCAACATGGTGAAACCCCTTCTCTACTAAAAATGCAAAAATTAGCCAGGCATGGTGGCACACGCCTATAATCCCAGCTACTTGGGAGGCTGAGGCAGGATAATCGCCTGAACCCAGGAGGCAGAGGTTGCAGTGAGCCGAGATTGTGCCATTGTACTCCAGCCTGAGCAACAAGAGCAAAACTCTGTCTCAGGGGAAAAAAAAAAAAGGAGAGTGAATGAATGCAAATTGAATGGATGGAAATTTGCGGAGGTCAGAGCCTGGCTCTGCCTGATTTATTCAGCCCCTGGCATAGCATCTCATGCAAATAGCCATTTAATACTTGTGTTTGATGATCATGAAAGTGATAATAAAACCCTGCAAGGGATGATTGAGGATAAGGCTCTTTATTTTTGGTATCTTTTGTTGGAAACTGCCTTAAATCTGTTTTAGAAGTAGGCAGGGTACAAATAATAAATGAATGATTGGATGAGGCTTTAAACCTCTGGGGCCTCTCTAGACTTTCCATTTCCTCTCATACCCCCAGGGCAAAGCAGCCTTCTGGGGATGGAAGGTGAAGAGAATTTTTTCATTCATGCATGTATTCATTCAACAAATAAGTTTTGAAAACCAGACCATGCTTCTCTTAAGCAATCACCTTGCTCCAGGGTTTCTAGACCAAGTGACTTCTTGAAGTTTCTTTCAAGGCTGTGATTCTTGATTCTACTCAGAAAAGGTGGGGATATTGAGGAAGTGATATTGATAAGGCCCCACAGGCATCGGAGATTTAGGGAATGTATGAAGGCAGCAGGTGTCCATCGTCTTTCTGCCTATCTTAATACAAAAGCACTGGTGAAATTGCTTTAATGCTTTGTTTGGCATCTGTTTATGTCAAGTCAGATCTTCTCCCAACATCCAAATGAAACCTGATGTGACCTCACATAATACAGCAGATGTGTCACCTTGTAACAAACCCTGCACAAAGGTCTTACTTGACGTTTAAGTGCATCAAAATGGAAATTATATATGATCAGATTTACCTTTCCTAAGCATTTTGCTTCTAGTGGTACCTAAATTATACCAGTTGATTAAAATAGGCAATCAATGTCTGCCTGTTGGTGGTGTCTTAACTTGCTATATATACTGTTGGTAAATACCACAACATTATTTTAATCTGTAAATCGGATTTGTCAGGTCTGATTTATTTAAACGGCTCTCATGTCCCAAATTCTCTCTGACAGCCCCAATATGGGAGCCTATCCTCTTCTTGAAAAGGTAATATTGCCTGGGGCTTGTTGCTACCTTAATAGAGGCAAGGACACTGTGTAGCAAGAAATAAGAGAAAGACAGGCCACCTTTTCTACAACAAGTTTCTGCAAGCCTCCAATAGCTCAACCAAGCAGCGTCTTTTCACAGAAATTAGGAGAGTACTAACTGATCTAGGTGCGAGGCCAAACACATATTATTTATGTCAATAATACTATTGATAACAATAACAAAAATTGATCCATCATTTACTATGTGCTATGCACTGGGCTAAGTAATTTTTTAAAATGTATTATCCTATTCAATTCCTACAGCAACCCCCATAAGCAAGTACTATTTTATATATGCCAAAGCTCGAGTTGAGAAAAGTTTAGAAACTTGCTCAGATTTGTCTGGCACCAGCCTGCAGCCCTAACCACCAGGCACAGACACACAGCCTGTCTCCAAAGAGTTGTTATGATTAACTGGCTTTTTAAAGGAGGGATGAGACTATGGGGGACCATTTGTTCAAGATTACATTCCTACCTGAGACCACTGTGGTTCCTTCAAATTCTGTAATACTCACTTCAATAAACCTGTTAATTTGCTGTTTCTCAGCCTTTTAAAATGAGCAAGTCTTTCTACAATTAAATAATAAGAGACACTTACTTTTAATATTTATTACACATAAAAATGACAAAAAGGTGCCTTTTAAATGAGTTCCATTATATGCTGTTTATTATGGCCTCTTAGATGTATTTTCATGATGTATCCCTTATTTAGTGTACAAACAGTGCTTAGCAGGCAACGGAATTCAGGGACTTCTTACAAGAAGTGATAGGGGCCTATTAGAAGATGAGAGCCAGCACTTTAATTTAGAAGATACATCAAGGATGCCAGGGAAAATGCCAAGAACTCAGAAATCATGGTCTTGCTTCATGTCGTTTTTGTACTGTAGGGCAGTCTTGGTTGGGCAAGGCAGCTAACTTCAGTGAGCCTTAATTAACTTATTTTTACAAAGCTATAACTTTTTATCTACTTCTCAGATTGGCTAGGAAGACCAAATATGGTCCTCTCTTTCATAGTGCTTTGTTACACAAATACAAATAAAAGGTGGTTATATTATCCAAATGGTCTCATATCCTATCATTATATACAGAAGATTTTACTTTCGGAAACCAACAGCATTTTACAATGGAGTTCTATGAGTAAAGCGCCCCCCATACCCCAACAGCTGGCTCATAGTAACAGTGATTTGTGGAATTAAATGAATTGTCTTCGAAGAAAAATCCTGTAGAACGTATTCACAAGTTCCACCCCCCACCCCACCCGGCAGCCATCAGTCTGTAAAGAAAATTCTGTTTCCCTACTTATTTTTTGCTAGAACTGTATTTAAATGTAGGATAAGATTTTCAAAATGAAATTTGACAGGTTTTTTTTTTTTTTTTTTTACAAGACCTGTCTGTGTTTGTCTTCAGCTCTCTTCTCCCCAGGGTGTTTCCAGTGGGCTGGGAAGGCTGCCAAAGGGTAGGCTAGAGGCTGAAGTCTCCAGGGAGTCTGGGTTTGAGGAAAGAGAGAGAAGAGTTATTGTAGTATAGGAGCAGCAGACGGGAAGAAGGAGCTTCAGCATTCGTTGATGGGCCCAACCTGCTGGAGGAAGCCTCTTTCTGGGGCTGGAGGAGCTTTCCCAGCACATGGGAGGAGCAAAGCTGAAGGAGGCAGGCTGGCTGGGAGTGCAGGAGGGCCCTGCAAGGCCCCCTCTGCCCTACCTCACCCCACCCGTCACGGCTCTGTCCTGGGTTTCAAAGTGGTCCCATCACCTCCTCTACACTTCTTCCATTCAGACAGTCCCTTGTCTTGTGTGCCCTGGCTCCATCTTACATTTCTGCTGACTGGAGGGTCCAAACTAGTCTCTGGTCCCACAGCATTTCAGACCTCTCTGAAGAGCATGATTCATTGGAAAATAAAGAAGCCCTAAATCTATACATATCTTCTACAACTGTGAGTCTTATGTTGAAACCCTTACAGTTGTTTAGGGTTAGTTATAGCACAAATAAGAAAAACAAGTCCACTATATATGGTGCAAAATAAATTCTGCCTTCAGTGATCCGAAGCCAGGGCTGGCACATGTTTTCTCTAAAGGACAAGCTAGTCAATATCTTAGGCTTTGAGGGCCATACATTCTTTATCACAGCTAATCTACCCTGTGTTTGTAAGCAGCCATAGACCATATGAATATAGCGGTGTTCCAGTAAAACTTTATTTATAAAAACAGGTGGTGGGGCCAGAGATTGCTGATTGCTGGAGCAATAAAAACATTTTTTACTTTTTCTTTCTTTTTTTTTTTTAATTGAGATGTCACTTTGACATTTCGGATTTCAGTAAATACTAGAAAGCCTGAATCTCCTCCCCTTTCTCCATTTGCATTGTCAGGTGAGCTCACTGTTGTAGCTAAATGAGAGTTGAGATGGCAACATTGATTTACTCAGACAGTTGCCATCTCTCTGAAAAGAGTGGCTGGGAAGTTGCGTGAGTGCAGCTACTTCTACAGGAAAACACAGAGGAAAGATAACTGGATGCCTAACTAATGAAGAAATTCCCCTGACACTCATAGAAAGACTGAGCAGAAAGGGCCTTTTCTCACTGGCTCCCTCCCACGCCCTATCCCATACACACTCCTAGTCCCTCTAATGAGAGTTGGCCAGCCCAGAGGATCCCACAAAGGACTCCAGCCATGACCCCAGTCATGTCTGTCCTCTCACTCTCCAAGATTTCCTGCCCCACTATCCTTCCTCTGCAGAGACATTGCCTTTTCAGAGGGGTAATTAACTTCAGTGAAACTCCAGCAAGGCCATTTGTCTAGGGGACAGAATTGTAGCCTGTTCTGCCCCTATCTTTTAGAGAGTAGATTAAACTGACTTCAGCAGAGTCAAATCCCTGGTATTAGCCTTTCAGCTGCCCCCTCCTTCACAGACAGAGCCACAGGAGCTGCCCGCTCCTGCCTTTCCTCTTTTGTAAGCCATGCTCCTCAGACTCCGTAAAAAAAGAGTCATTACTTGGAGAAAAGTTTTGAGTTAGCATAAGAACTGCACACATCTGAAACCACAAATCACGAATTTGAGACTACAGAGAGCCTCCCTTGCAGGCATTTGCAATTGCAGTTTGAAGACCAGCCATCTGGATGTTGTCTTAAAGTGTGAGTCTCCATTGTGGCTCCGTCTGTGAAGGAAAAAGTAAAGTCCCTGGAAGAATTTAGAGAGTGGGAGTAGGGGTTTAGAAGGCAGTTACACTTAGACATGACTAGTATTTCCTAGAGGACTGAGTTTTATAGTCCCTTAGTAATAAGCAAAGAGCCGAAGAGAGGGTTTGTCAGTCACAAATGAAAAGCAGTGGTTCTCGATCAGGGCAGTTTGTCTGCCAAGGGGACACTTGGCAATCTGGAGATGTTTTTGGTTGCCACAACTGTCACAATGGGGAGGCTGCATACTAATGGCATCTAATGGGTAGAAGCTAAGGATGTTGCTAAACATCGTACGGTGCACAGAACAGACCCCCAACAAAGGATTATCCGGCACCAAATGTCAATAGTACTGAGGTTGAGAAACACTGAATGAAAGGTGTTTCATGTTCTGAGCAGCCCTCCGCTGTGAGTAGTTAAACCATGAGTGGATATGCCGGCTGAGTCACATGAGGGTCCCCTCCCGGCAGGCTTCCTTCAGGGTGTGTGCATGGCTAGACAGCAGAGGGCACCACTCCCACCACACCACCTCCATTCTGGTGGCAAGAAAGGGTACATGGATGGGAAATACTTTCATGTTTCTTCCCCTATGAGGTGCTATTTTTTCTAACAAATGTAGGTAAGGGGGCATGTCTCCACCATGCTTTGCATGGTAAGGGAGATGGGGCAGAAACAGTCTGGCTCCAACTCTGGCAGGCCTTCCTGTTCCTGCTCCAGCCCCTGCTGACTCTGAGTGTGAGTTCTCCCCTGGATCCTGCTGACAAAGCAAGTGTTTGCCCTCCCAGTGGTCCTCTCCTTGGCCTGCTGAGCCATGGGCTCCTTGGCCATGTTTCTCTTCCTCTTTCAATCCAATCCTACCCACTTTCCATCTTTAAAAAACACTCCAAGTTTCTAGTCTGCTCATGTCCACCTTCTTTGCTTTATAGGGATTTAGTGAATTTATTCTTGCATACATATTTCCTTGGTCATTTCAATGGACTTTAGGGAGGCACAGAAGTAGAGGTATTGGCTAAGGGATCCCTCGAGAACAGCAACTCATCCACTGGATTGAACACCAGGACAGTCACTGGTGGCCTTACAAGAGCAGCATCAGTAGAGTGTGTTGGCAGAAGCCAAATTGTAGTAGGTTGAGTAGATTTGAGTAAAGAAAGGCATTTTGGTTATCTATAGCTATGGGACAATCCAACATAAAACTTAGTGGCTTAAAACCTCCATTTATTATTATCTTTCAGAGTTTTTGGGTTGATTGGGTTCAGTTAGATGGTTCTAGATTGGGGTCTGTATTGGGCTGAATTGTTTTCCTCCAAAAGATATGTTGAAGTCCTAACCCCCATTGCCTCAGAATTTGGCCTTATTTAGAAATAGGGTCTCTGTACATATGCACACGTATGTTTATTGCGGCACTATTCACAATAGCAAAGACTTGGAACCAACCCAAATGTCCATCAATGATAGACTGGATTAAGAAAATGTGGCACAGATACACCATGGAATACTATGCAGCCATAAAAAAGAATGAGTTCATGTCCTTTGCAGGGACATGGATGAAGCTGGAAACCGTCATTCTCAGAAAACTATCACAAGGACAGAAAACCAAACACCGCATGTTTTCACTCATAGGTGGGAATTGAGCAATGAGAACACTTAGACACAGGGCGGGGAACATCACACACCAGGGCCTGTCAGGGGGTGGGGGGCTGGGGGAAGGATAGCATTAGGAGAAATATCTAACGTAAATGATGAGTTGATGAGTGCAGCAAACCAACATGGCACATGTATACCTATGTGTCAAACCTGCACTTTGTGCACATATACCCTAGAACTTAAAGTATAATAAATAAATAAATAAAAATAAGCAAATTAATACACAAAAAAAGAAACAGGGTCTCTGTAGATATAATTATCTAATATGAAGTCATAATGGAGTATGATGGGCTGTAAATACCATATGACTGGCATCCTTGTAAGAGGAAGGAGACACACAGAGAGAATGCCATGTGATGACAGAGGCAGAGCTTGGACCAATGCAGCTGCAATCCAACGAATACCAAGGATCGATGGCCATCACCAGAAACTAGGAAAAGGCAAAGGAAGGATTCTACCCAGAGTTCAGAGGGAACATGGCCCTGCCAACACCTTGATTTCAGACTCCTCACCTCAAAAACTGTGAGGAAATAAATTTTTTCTTTGTGAGCCACCCAGTTTGTGGTACTTGATATGGAAGCCCTAGGGGACTAGTACAGAATCTCTCATACAATTGCAATGAGATCTTGACATGGGCTGGAATTAACTTGTCTTAGTCCATTCCTGGTGCTATAACAAAATCCCTTAGGCCAGGTAATCCATAAGCAATAGAAATTTATTTCTCACAGTTGTAGATGTAGGGAAGTTCAAGGTCAAGGTACCAACAGGTGCAGGTGAGGACTTTCTCCCTGCTTCATAAATGGCACTTTGTTGCTGCATCCTCATGAGGTGGGAGGAAAGCAAGGGCAAAAGCAACTAACAGACTCCCTCTTGTTCTTTTATTATATCAGGGCACTAACCCCATTCATGACATGGAGCTCTCATAACCTACACACCTCCTGAAGTCCCCACCTCTTAATATTGTTGGATTGGGGATTCAGTTCCAACATTAAATTTGGAGGAACACAAACATGCAACCCAGTAGCACAACTGAAGGCTCTATGGGGCTGTATGTCCAGAGGCTTCTCCACATGACAGGTGCTTCATCTAGGATGATAAGAACTGCTGGGGCCTGGCTGTACATTGTTCTCTTGCTCCTTGCAGCCTTTCCACATAGCCAGGTGTGTTGGACTTGTTTACATGGCACCTAGCTTCCCCCAGAGCAAGTGTTCCAGGAGACCCAGGTGGAAGGAACAAGACTTCTATTGACCTAAGCTCAAAAGTTACACAGTGAGAGAGGGGCTATGAGAGGATAGGCTCCAGAATTTAATTAGCAGGTTAAGCCTGAGACTGTAGGAAAAACACCTGTTTCATTGTATCAGGAGAGAAGCAGATTAGGATGGATAGAGACACAGCAAATGTGTGGATGGAGAATGACATATGGGAGTGAGTACAGCAGCTTCAGGATGTTGAGAGAATTTTCATATACTGGCATCTAGTGTCTCTGTGTCTGAAGAAGCAAAGTTATGTGCTGACACTGGTAAGAAAGAAGTGTGGTAGGAGAGAGAGCTTGGGGAGAATGACATTTGGAAAGAGCCACAGTGAAGAATGGGAAAGTGAGCTAACTACGGTCACATACACCACAAGACCCCAGCATCTGTCATTGTTAAATGATAAATTTTGGAAAGGGGAATGAGAGTGAAATCCTGGGGGAGCAGTTGTTTCCTGCTGTCAGTGGCATTCTTATTGACATTTCCTGAGTTTTCCAGCCCTAATCTAGGTCTCCAGCAGTCAGCGAACTAGATGTTATTTCTAAAATCAAGGTAATGGAAGCTGGGAAAATATAATCACTGTTTCATAAGTACATTTCATTAAAAATCAATATCTTCATACTTCGTAGGCCACAAGAGAAGGGAAGAAAAATGTGAAAAATAATTCAAACATCTCATCTAAACATACTTAGAGAATGCCTTACTCTGACTTTGTGAACCAGTCCTTCCATGTTTCCCTTCGTGGCATACTACTGTATTTAAAGTGGGGAAACAGTACCTAACATATGAATTTTTCAGACTCAGACTGCACAGATTAATTGTATCTCATCCTAGAAAGCAGCCATATTTAGTTCATTTTGCTGTGATTGATTGGCTGGGTGTGGGTGAGAGGCAGACCCATTTTCCTCAATGTTAATTTCAGTTGTGTTGAGTGTGGCCATTTTTGTCAATGATCATGGCGTGAGTTTCTGTGATTAGTCATTTAACTGTATGGTAATTGCAAGCTAAATAGAGTGTTTACAACAAACCCCTTGGTTTAGAGACAGAGACCATGTCAAATTGCATCCTATGAAAATTGCATAAATAAAAATTTGCATCTAGAAGGGCCCTTCATGAAAATCATGAAAAGATTGTAGAATTTTTATTTGCATTGTATAGTAGCTCTGTAATTGACAAATGAATTCTAACTGTAGTCCATAATACATTGCATCCAATGATTATTCATCGTAACTGCATATATATTGCTTTGCTCATTATGAAAAGTAACAATGTTGGCAATCACCTTAATTGTTTTTCTTATCAGATTAGTGATAAAGTGCCATAATGAACATAACCTTCGAGAACGTATTCACTAATGTAATAAACAAAGCTAGGTCTTGGCACAGTACAGATCATACAAAGATAGATTTGCCTTTTCATCTCTTCCTGAGAGCCACAGCAGTACCTCTCTGTGAAGTGTCCTTGACTCTAACTTGGTCTAGAATTTCAGAAGCATTCATTACTTTTTGTCTCATGATTAGTCAAAAAAAGATCTGGCTGGGCGCAGTGGCTCACACCTATAATCCCAGCACTTTGGGAAGCCGAGGCGGGCGGATCACAAGGTCAGGAGATCGAGACCATCCTGGCTAACACGGTAAAACCCTGTCTCTACTAAAAATACAGAAAAATCAGCCAGCTGTGGTGGCTGGCGCCTGTAGTCCCAGCTGTTCAGGAGGCTGAGGCAGGAGAATGGCATGGAGCCGGGAGGCAGAGCTTGCAGTGGAGCTGAGATCGCACCACTGCACTCCGGCCTGGGCGACAGAGCGAAACTCCGTCTCAAAAAAAAAAAAAAAAAAAAAAAAAAAAAATTCTATACCGTCAATCCAAACAGAGAATTACATGAAAATTTCTAAAAATGAAGACTTTAAAGTCCCTGGGTTTGGACGATTGCCTGAAAAGACTTAAATAATCAGAAAAAAAAAAGCTTCAAACACCAAGACATTCTCCCTTCTTTAAAAATTTGAGGGAAAAGATTCCAGGGTGAAGTGGTATGTTAGTCTGTTTTTTCATTGCTATAAAGAAATACCTGAGACTAGGTAATTTATAAAGAAAAGAGATTTAATTGGCTCATTATTCCACAGGGTGTACAGGAAGCATCATGCTGACATCTGTTCCACTTCAGAGGAGGTCTCAGGAAACTTATAATCATGGCGGAAGGGGGAGTAGGTGCATCACGTGGCTGGAGTGGAAGCAAGAAAGAGGGCGGTGCAGTGCTACACACTTAAACAACCAGATCGCATGAGAACTCTATCACAAGAACACCACCAAGGGGATGGTGCTAAACCATTCATGAAGGATCCACCCTCATGAGCTAGTCAGCTCCCGCCAGACCCCCATCTCCAACATTGGGGATTACAATTCCACATGAAATTTGGGTGGGGACACAGATCCAAACCGTATCAAATGTCATCACAGTTGACAATGCCTGAGGCAATTTTAATTCATCAGTGCATAGACAACATAATTCACATCTCCTGTGCAGCAAGAGGGACAGATGCTATCAAGGCTTAAACACTATGAAAGATAATATTTGTTTCTCTACAGAACTGAAATCACTATTATAGAACTCATTATTCCCATTTTCCCTAGGTACAAACAAACTTCCTCCTTTAAGAAGAGAAAGTTCATTTCTTTTGCCCTGGTCCCAGGTTTGGTTGGTTTTCTTTTCCACCTCCTGTTCCTCTGTTTCCCTTTCTTTTTGCTCTTTAAAGGCCAGTACTTATTCTGAAAATGATTTCCTATTTCTGAAGTTAGCATACCCATCACCTTACTAACAACTAAGACACCTCCATGTGTGTTTCTCAGGGACACCTGCAGATAAATTGTAAGTAGGTAGTTCATGACAATCATTATATCATTGAGAGAATTTGCAGGAGACGTTCAATTATTTATGCTTTAAAACAGCCATTATTGGGTACCCATCACATACTGACACTCACCGTTCCAGGACCTATACTTTGGGATATGAACTTCTCAGAACAGAGTAGGCATTGAATGTTTATTAAGTAAGTGGCAGTACCTGCTTCCAATAAGCTCCCAGTCTAATGAGGGAGGTGGACCTTTACACAGAAAAGTATAATTTATAGTTTGATGAGTATTCTAGAATAATTAGAAATAGCCAAAATGGGAGCACAGGGAAGGAAGTAACCCAGTTTAGGAAGATTGAGAAAGGCTCCATAGAAATAGTGTTTGGGGTAGATTTTGAAGGAGGAGCAGATGTTTGTCAGGTGAAAAGGTTGGAAGAATGGTGTCTGAGGGCATGTGTGTATCTGTGTGTAGAGGAGTGTGAACACAGGCATTCCAAGCAAGGGTAATGGCACATGTTAAGGCATGGAGGCTGAAGTGGTGTAGTGAATCCTGGAAACAGTGTTCACTTTTGCTGGAATCTGGGAGATATCCAGGTGAGGGGCTAATTGAGAAGAAAGATAGGTGCCAGAGGTTGAAAGTCTCTGTGACCTTCATTGCAGAGTTTTGGGGTTTGCCAATAGGAATCAAATGTTGGTCTAGTAAAAAAGAGACAAAAATCACATTTATTTTAAAAATCAACTTTTCACCATTGAGGTTAATGTCAGCTGTAGGGTTGTTATATATGGCCTTTATTGTATTGAGGTACATTCCTTCCATACCTAGTTTGTTGAGAATTTTTATTATGAAAACAAGTTGAATTTTTCATCAAATGCTTTTTCTGCATCTAATGAGATTAGCATATGGTTTTTGTCCTTCATTTTGCTAATATGATATTTCACATCTATAGATTCACATATGTTGAACCATCGTTGCATCCCTGGGATAAATTCTACTTGATCATGGTGAATCACACTTTTAATATGCTGTTGAATTCAGTTTACTAGTACTCTTGTTGTTGTTGAGGATTTTTGCATTGATGTTCATCAGGGATATTGGTCTGTAATAATTTTCTTTTATTGTAATGTCTTTGTCTGGCTTTGGTATCAGAGTAATGCTGGCCTCATGAAAAGAGTTCCAAAGTACTCCTTCTTCTTTATTTTTTAGGGAGCACTTGAGAAAAATTGGTATTAGTTCTTCTTTAAATGACCCATGAAGTCATCAAGTCCTGGGCTTTTCTTTGATGGGAGAAAATTTTATTGTTGATTCAGTCTCCTTACTTATTATTCATCTTTTTAGATTTTAATTTTTTTTCTTGATTCAGTGTTGCTAAGTTATATGTGTCTATGGTTTGCCCATTTCTTCTAGTTATCCAATTTATTGGCATGTTATTCTTAGGATCAGGAACAACATGAAGATGCCCACTTTAACCACTTCTATTCAATGTAATATAATATTAGAGGTCCTTGCCAGAGTAATTAAGCAAGAGAAAGAAATAAAAGGCATCTAAGTAAGAAAGTAGTGAAATTGTTGCTGTTTGCTGACAACATGATCCTATGTATAGAAAACCCTAAACACCCTATCAAAAAAACCATTAGAACTGAAAAACAAATACAGTAAAGTTGCAGGATACAAAATCAACAAACAAAAAGCAGTAGTATTTCTATACACTAACAACAAATTATCCAAAAAAGAAATTTAAAAATTTTATTCACAATAGCTACAAAAACTAAAATACCTAGGAATACATTTAACCAAAGAGGTGAAAGATCTCTACAATGAAAACGTAGAACATCGATAAAAGAAACTGAAGACACAAATACATGGAAATATATTCTGTCTTCATGCCTTGGAAAAATTAATATTGCCAAAATGTGCATACTACTCAAAGCAATATATAGATTTGAAGAAATTCCTATAAAAATTTCAATGCCATTTATTCACAGAAATAGAATAAAATCTTAAAATTTATATAGTATTGCAAAAGACACCAAATAGCCAAAGCAATCTTGAGCAGGAAAAACAAAGCTGGAGGCATCACACTATTTGACTTTAAACTATATTACAAAGCTATAGTACATAGAACAACATCATATTGGCATAAAAATAGATACATCAACCAATAGAACAGAATTGGGAACCCAGAAATGAACTCACACATCAATGGTCTATTAATTTTTAACAAAAGTGCCAAGAACACAATCAGTAAAGGACAGTGGCTTTAACAAAGAGTGTTGGGAAAACTGGATATCCATATGCAGAAGAATGAAACTAGACCCATATCTCTCTCCACATACAAAAATAAAATCAAAATGGGTTAAGGGCTCAAATGTAAGTTCTGGAACTGTAAAACTAACTAGAAGAAAACATAGGAGAAAAAAACTACGCAACATTGGTTTGAGCAATTATTTTTTTAATTTGACCCAAAAAACTCAAGAAACAAAACCAAAAATAAACAAAAGGCATTACATCAGACTAAAAATCTTCTCCATAGCAAGCAAACAACAGAGTGAAGAGAAAACCTACAGATTGAGAGAAAATATTTGCAAGCAATACCTCTGATAAGGGGTTAATATCCAAAATATGTAATAACTCAAAAACTCAATAGCAGAAAAATAAATAACTCAATTTTAAAAAGGGCAACAGATATATGAAAAAATGCTCAACATCTGTAATCATTAGGGAAATGATGAGATATTACTTCCCACCTGTCAGAATGCCTATTACTAAAAAAATGATTGAAGATAACAAATATTGGCGAGGATGGGGGAAAAGAAAATCTTTGTACATTGCTGGTGGGAATGTAAATGAGTACAGCCATTATTGAAAACTGTGGACATTCCTCAAAAAACTAAAAACAGAACGACAGTATGGTCCGGCAATTCCACTACTGGGTAGGTAGTCTAGGACTTAAAATTAGTATTATGAAGAGATAGCTAAACTCTTATCTTCATTACAGCATTATTTACAGTGTCCAAGATGTGGAAATAACTTAAGTATCAACCCAGGGATGAATGGATAAAGAAAATGTGATATATATACACAATGGAATACTATACAGCCTTAATAATGAAGAAAATCTGTTTTGTGAGGCAACATGAGTGAACCTAGAGGACATTATGTTAAGTGAAATAGACCAGGCACATAAGAAGAACAATTACATGTTCTCACTTATATATGGAGTCTAAAATAATAAAACTCATAGAAGCAGAGAGTAGATTAGTGATTACCAGAGGCTGGGGGTGGGGAGTATGGGGAATGAGGGAGATGTTGGTCAAAGGGCAGAAAGTTGCAGTTAGACAGCAGGAACAAATGATAACTATTTAAGTTGATGGATATGAAATTAGCTTGTTTCAGTCATTCCACATCATTCATACATATATATATATTATATATATATAACATATAAAATAACATCACTGTGTACCCCCATAATTGTATGTAATTATAATGTGTCAAAAATAAAATTAAATTTAAAAAACTAAATTTAAAAAAGATCACTGTGTTCAGTGTTTCCTAGGGTAAATAACTTTTTTAAATGATGGATGAAATAAAGGTAATGTTTTTCTTTATTTCAGAAGAACTCTGAATTTATAATATTGTGCACTAAGAATCTCTAAAAGGAGATTATACTGTAAAGCATCCAGGACCACCACCTCTTTGTTCCAAAACCAGGAAATCTCAAGGGGTGATAATATTGTGTTCATTTCCATTTATGCAAACTGTATGTCTATTGGAAAAGGCCATTCCACACTCAAGGACTTCATGTCACATTTGGGCACTTCAGTGCCCTCATAATATTAATATAATTGGAGGTTGAAAGATTTGTGCTGTCCCAAGCAAAGCATGAAATGTTTCATGAATTGGTGGAAAATTAGGACCAGAAGGATGTCATGTGTCCATTTCAGTGTTTTGGTTTTAGGGAAATCCAAGACAGTACATGATTGATTATGATTAATTGTATTTACTTACATAGTTCTCTTTGTGGATATTTTCATCTGAACTGGGAAAGCACAAGAATTAAGCAGACACCTTTGAATTATTCAAGCTGATGGTTAAAATAGCCCATTAATATTTCAGACCACTCCCCTGTACAAAATGATTCCTACATTAGTTCATCTCTCTGCATAAAAGCGTCTTCACCTGAAAAAATTAAAAAGCTTGGGCTACATTTTTTAAAAGTCTTTCCAGCTGTAAGTGGTAAGGGTTCTGTTACTTAAACAGTATATGAGGGCCACATTAATTAGAGTGTATGTCACCTAAGCTTTCGCCCTTTTTCAGGAATTTACAGATCACCAAGGCAAATAATGCTTAAGGCAGATCAGATATCTGTGTGGAAACCATAAAGAAAAACAATAGCAAATAATAACAGGTTTTACTTATATATTATATACTAGTTTTCTCAAATTTAAATATTTATTATGTACTCTGAGATGAGATAGCGACTTAAAACACCTTTCCACTCAAGGCTTGGCACTTAGCACAGCCTGACGTCACTTTTCATATCATCCTAAGTCTGTGTTTCCCAAAATGTGGTCATGAGACCACCTACCTAATCATACTCGCTGGAAAAGCTTATCGATGAGCATTCCTGGGTGCTAATCTGCTAGGGATGCAGATTTCATAGAGCAGGCTAGAGCTCAGGAATCTGCATTGTTAATAAACTCCCCAACAGAATCTTATGCACATACATTTAAATACTACTTCCTCCAAGATGTAAATCACTGTGCTGGGAGTATGGCCAAATAAATAGAAGAGGGTCTGAGGTAACATCAGAGTAACAGGGGATTAATACCACTGCATCCTGGTAACTCCCCTCACTTCATTCTAGCCAACGGCAAGGAGGTTGTTGCTCCTCTGTTTCACCCCTTGTCTTGTCTGAAAGGTAAACAAACTTTCCAGAAAGTAGTTTTACCAACAAGTGAGGGAAGGGAGCAACAGAGGTTGGAGATCTAATGGGGAAAGGTCTGCCTTACGCTTTTTTTTTTTCTCAAAAAGTAGATGGAGTTTGGAGAAACTAAGGTGATTCCAGGGTTCACTGTATAAACTATCCAGATGGATTTAGAGATGATAATATGAGTACATTTGGAACTAAGGCAAAGAACCAGTGCACATATGATAACTCAATACAACTGAAAACACAGCCATTTGATTTTTAATGAATACAAGAATTTTAATATGCTTCCAGACCTTGTTTTTCTTTTTTCTATTTTCTTGTATTTTTGAAATTCTCTGTATTCTTGAATGTGGACTTTTTTCTTTTATAAACCCAGTCCACTAATGCATACAAAGCTCTGTTTCTGCCCTAAGGCTAAGAACATTCCAGGTGAACTAATCAATCAATTTTGCCCATTAAGAAAGAGCACTAAAATAAAAAGAATCCTAACCTTTTGATGGATCTGCTAGTTGTTTGCTAAATACTTTCTTTTTTTAATGGCAAAACACCAAGAGGAGAAGCAGTCTTTCACCTTAAGGAGAGGAAAAGCTTCCAGTTCCTAGGGAATTTGTAGCATTTGGGGAATTTGTACCATTTGGGGAATTTTTTTTTCAAATCCTGGAGTATCGGTCAACCATAGCATCACTTGGTGATAGTGGTGTTATTTTTAGTTAAGTCTTTCTAGCCCAAGTTGAAACATGTGCATATTTAAAATGTAGAATAAATGCTTTTGCAAAACAAACTGAGAACCAGGCGTGGTGTTTGGCTTAACTGAATACCTAACTCAGCAATAGCTTTTGCACAGTGTTGTTCAAAATATCTTCCTTCAATTTTCAGATTCTTTGCCTTATATTATAGAATTGATGGAGTAACTGATTTATTTTGTAGGATCTGAAACTTCCAACTCATTATTTCCAGGTTCTGAGTGTTATACGACTGAACCTATTGGTAATGTGTGTTCTTCCAGCCTAATTGTTAAATGAGAGAAGTTCATGAAGAAAAATGAGATATGATGTTGCATTTCATGAAACAGCTGCCTCAGCCCAAACAAATGTTTCTCTTATCTGTAGAAGAAGATAAAATAAGACATAGCTGACCAGAGATCTTCAAGTTTTAAAAGTTTAACAACAACAACAACAACAACAAAACAGATGTTTCACATGCACAGTGTCTAGCCTATCATGGTGTTTTACTCTGGTCTACTGGTGGATGCTTTTCCTCAGCTGAACATATTCCTAACTAATAATGGAATTCAATAGAGAAATTGCATTCAGGTTAGAATCCAACTTAGCTTAAGCCATTATTACTTTAAGCAAGAGATACATAAAATTAGAGAATGACAATCTGATTTACTAAATTAATAAGCACACCACAACTATGTTTAACTCAGTATTGTGGTTTTAAAGGTCAGAAGTAATGGAAAATCAATCCATTTCTCTTTTCTTTTCTTTTTTCAGGTTTTTGACCAGACAAGCCAACCTTTTTCAAGGTAAACAACATACTGTTCTCCAATTTGTTGGCAAAATCCAGCGAATTGTTACTGGTTTTAGATAAGTTTTTGCTGTATGTCATGAGTGAGACGTTCAAATGGTGCTCAGAATTAGAGTTTACTGGTGATGTTAGTGATTCGAGCATGCTATGAATATTGCTTGACTAAGTACTGGTCTTAAGAGAAATAGAGAGAGAGAATGAGAGAGAGAGAGAGAGAGAAAGAGAGAGAGAGACAGTGTGTGTGTATCTTTTTCTTGCCCAGTCAGCCCTTTTGTGATACAGCAGACTCTTTGTCTCTGATGTTCAAAAACAGAAGAAGATTTCTTTGTGAGCAGCTGTGACAGGGCCTTGCACCTCTCCAAAGCCTATTTTGGAAGAATTAGAAAGCAAAGTGCCCCCAGCACAGCCCTAACCTTTCAGCTTTGGTAAGGTCTTCCTGTCCAACTCTAGCAGGAGAGTATTAGCCAAGTTGTGTAACTTTCCAGGAGTATCTGTAAAAATTAGCAATTGAGGATGTGTTAATCACATTAAATAACATAATAGGGATCCTTTTTTATTTCATTAGAAAATCAGAATGCATTTGATGTGCACCATCTGGTTTGTGAATACAGGAATAAGTTTTCAAAAGGGCACATTTCCAAGTTCTATGTTTCATATGCTTCAGAAGGAAAAACCTGTAAGCAGCTCTATTTTTAATGAGAGCAATGGTAAAGCTAATAAGATTGGGGTGGATTTCTAGTATGTGCCATTTCTCCTAAACTACATGTGTTTGCAATACGTTTGGCAGAAATGTCCTGTTGAGAGGCTGGGCTTCCAATTGAAAATTTTAAAGTTCTCCATGTGTTAATTGGAAAATAGAGAAAGCTATCATTGTAGTAGAGCATCTGGCTTTCTAGGTATTAACTATGGGTCCATCTACTCATAAAGACTAGTATTTTAAAGTTATCTCCTGTTACTTACTATGTTAATTCTAGAGACTGTAAGTTTCAGATCATAGAAAAAGTCAAGTTAAACTTCATTATGTATTGTATGCTTTTTAAAAATGTCTTTTAGATGCAGTCGCTGTTTGTACATAATAAGCAGAAACAAAATAATAATAAAATACCAGATTTACTATTGCTACCCCCATATTGAGTTCTTAAAATATATTTTTTACTTAAACAAAAATATAGCTCTGGAATGTAGTCATCTTACTCTATGAAACAGAAACATATTTGGATCACAAACCTGCTTTAGAGGAGTAATTCCTTCAGTTTCTTCCATAATTCTTACAATTCTATACAGTAACAAACAGGATTTGTGAGGCAATATAATGTTCTTCTTAACCTCTCAGTAATTGGAGGCATCTTCTGTATGTATTCCACAAGTCCAGCTCATGCTGATGAAGGAAGTATAATTACATTACAGGCAATCTCATCTAAGGTAATTACAATTGTCACCGTCAATCCAATTAAACAGGATAACTAACTCTACTGAGTCAGAAGCACCATAAAGCTTTCTGACTAAATCCAGGCTTTGGGATAAGGATGTGATTAGAATTCTGAGAATTTTCATTTGCTAAAATACTGTTGTGTATACAAATAGATAACAATGCTGGGAGGGGGGCTTGTGGGGAGAGATTGGATACAGGTAGACTTTTTTTTTTTTCATTTACTGATCAATTTCTTATTTCTAAGCCAGAAATCACTGTAGATTCTTGGCATCAAACTTCAGGCCACACAACATCATTATGGAAAGGTTACCCCAGCATCACAACATCCTAATGCTCTACTGTTCCCATCTGGCCTCTTGTCCTGAATCAAGCCTGGATCTCATTATTGCTTCAGAGACCTTTCATCTTGTTCCAGTTGTAAAGAT
The DNA here is from genome assembly GCF_000001405.40 of Homo sapiens. Classification (NCBI taxonomy): domain Eukaryota; kingdom Metazoa; phylum Chordata; class Mammalia; order Primates; family Hominidae; genus Homo; species Homo sapiens. The sequence goes on from NC_000015.10 coordinate 47,602,756, forward strand.
GCAAAACACCATCTCCTGAGCTCCATCCCTGCCTTTGCAGGATGGAAGAAGTTGGCTCAAGTAACAGTCCCCCACCCCCGAAACTCTTGCAATGGTTTGTACAGGGTCACTGTGGGAGGCAACGTAGAACATCACTAAGAATTACAGAGGTGTAATGACAAGTGGATAGGATCCACTTCTCAAAGATTTCACCTCTGTCTCTATAGTCCAGGCAAGAGGATAAGCTTTGGATAACAGAACTCAGAGAATGAGAAATGGAAATGATATTGGGCACTGTGACTAAGATTGATAAAGGGCCCAAGTGAGATGGCGTATGCTTTCATTGGATGGTACATTATGTGAAGATACTGGTGTTTTCTTTATGGTTTTTCATATATAAAGAGATATAGGAGATAAACTTCTTCATCATGGGGTAGGAGGGGAGAATTTGCAATCTGATGTCAATGGCTCCCTTAGTCACCCGTGACTCACCACTCAGCATCATCTCTCAGAAGCCCACACCCTGGCTTTTCTGTCCTGTAGCTGGGACCTTCTGCCTGTCTCCATTTCTTCCTATGTGTTTTTCATCCCTTTCACACTCCTTGCCACTCATGGATGCCTCTTCTCTTTGTCCCTATAGGAACTTCCAATCCTGCTTTAGAACTTACTCCTTCAGGAAAGCAACTCTCACTGAAGTGTGGGAGCGGAGCAGAGAAAAGACTAGGTAGGAAGAGAGCCGAGCTCAATTTTATATTCCACAACTAACTGGTTCTGACTTTCTCAACAAGTCGCCAAAGCTAGCTGAGTCCAAGTTCCTCATCTGTAAAATAAAGATGTTACCATCTGTCCCGCCAACCCCATTTTACTTAATTTCATTGTGCGTGTCTAAAATGAAGTTACAAATGTGCGAAAAGTCCCTCGTAATTTATAAATTCCATACAAATTTGAGGGAATATATATAATTATTATTCTTATTAAGTCCCCTCCCCCTCGCCCCGATTATTTCCTTCTGTTGATTCCTGCAGCCCTTGCAATTTAAATGGTACTTCTAAAAACGCCCTCTTTTATTTCCTGGTGTATTGTTTCTGTACTTTCTGTTTCCTTTTGAGTGTCTAAGAACCCAAAGGCTGGCACTATGTTGCTTATTTCTTTTCTGTTTTTCCTAACATTTAATTTATTTTCTGACCCCCTGAGATGGAGTGATGTGTCGAGGCATTGCATTGTGTTTATACCCTCTTTTGTTTTCCTCCCATGACTGCAAGCATACAGCCCAACTTAGTCTTGAAGAAGTCAGGCTGCAGCATCAGTTAACGAGCATAGAAAGGGCCCAGGTAGGAACCGGAGGCAGAGGCCTTCTGTGATGCTCTTGGCAATGACTAAGACCATGGCCTGACCCTTGGAGATGGAGAGGAGGGAGTCTCATAGTGCTTGAGATTGGGTTTCTTGTCTTTCTGAAAGGATAAAGATCAAAAACCAAATTAATTTGACTTTAAAAAATAAAGAAGAGAAACATTTCTTTCACATCCAAGTTTGTGGACTAAAGCTTTACATAAAGAAAGTGCTTAACACGTAATTGTTATTACAGTATGTAATACCTAAAAAGACTCTACAATCCATCCGGTCCGATAAACTTAAGAGAAAAATAAAGCCTAGAAAGTCTTAAGCTATTTCATTTCTTAGGGGTAGAAGTGGGTATCCTTCCACTACTTATTTAAAGACAACTAAACAGGGATATGCTAATAGCTTCAATTAAAATTATGGAAGAAGTAGTCCAGGAGACGTCTTGAAACTTGAAACTTTGTCAAATTGAATTAACTATTTTAAATACTCAGAATTTTCATTAACATACAATATATGTTACACTTACAATATTTGTTGTGTTTGAAATTCAGAGAGTAATTTGTTAGATTCTTTCTCTTTTAAAACTCTAGGATCCATCCTTGGTGGATTTTATGACAATGCCTGTAAAATGGAGTAGCTATAAGGAATTATTCACTGTAATAGTTTGCTGGAGTGCAGTGGCATGATCTTGGCTCACTGCAAGCTCTGCTTCCTGGGTTCATGCCATTCTCCTGCCTCAGTCTCCCGAGTAGCTGGGACTGTAGGCGCCCACCACCACCATGCCTGGCTAATTTTTTTTTTTTTGTATTTTTAGTAGAAATAAGGTTTCACCATGTTAGCCAGGATGGTCTCCATCTCCTGACCTCGCAATCTGCCTGCCTCAGCCTCCCAAAGTGCTGGGATTACAGGCGTGAGCCACTGCACCCGGCCTCACTGTAATAGTTATCTACTGCTGTGTAACCAATATCCCTGAAATTTCACAGCTTAAAACAAACACATGCTGTCTCACATAGTTTCTGAGAGTCAGGAATCTGAGAGTGGTTTTGTGCAAGGTCTCTCAGGAGGCAAATCTAAGATGTTGGTACCTCAGCCATCTGAATGCTGGGCTGGGAGTGGAGGGTCCACTTCCCCAAGGGCTCATTAACATGGCTGTTAGCAGAGCCCTCTGCTTCTCATTATCTATTACTAGGAGGCTCAATTCCTTACATGTTCGCCTCTCCATAGGCCACTTGAGTGTCCTCAAGACATGGCATCAGATTTCTTCCACAATGAGTGATCTGAGACAGAGAGAAAGGATCAGATAGGAAAAGAGAACAAGCAATAAATCTAAGAGGCTTTTACTCACACCAACCAACTCGGACACCAACTGGGTGTCCAACAATTCTATTCAATTCTGATACCAATTCCCAGAGTTAGTGCAGACACCCCTGGGTCAAGGGCTTAATCCCACAAGACTGCCCCTACTTCAGATGCCAACTGCAGATGGGGTGTCTTAGGCTACCTTTCAGAGAACAGCACCTCCCCAACTCGGACATTTCCCCAACCACATCCCCGATCCCCACCAGGCAGCCCAGGATCAATAATTTGCTAGAATTACTCACAGAACTCAGGAAAGCACTTTACTTGCTATTACAGGTTTATTATAAAGGATACAATTCAGGAACAGCCAAATGGAAGAGATTCATAGAAGGTATGGGGGTTGGAGGCTTCCATGCACTCTCCATGTGCACCACTCACCCAGCTCCTCCATGTGTTCACCAACCCAGAAGCTCTTCTAAACCTCCATTGTTTAGGGGCTTTTTTGGAGGTTTTATTAAGTAAGCACAATTAATTACATCACTGACCATTCAAGATTAACTCAATCTCTAACCCCTTTTCCCTGGACCTGGAGGTTGAGGGTTGGGGCTGAAAGCTCCAAGCTTCTAATGAAGGCTTGGTCTTTCTGATGACCTGCCTCCATCCTGAAGCTATCTAGAGGCTTGCTAAGAGTTGCCTCATTAGAACACATATGCTCCTATCACCCTACTACTTTTTTTATATATATAGAGACAGAGGGGTGGTGCAGGGTAGATTTAATTTACATAGTAGCAACTCAGGGGCCAGTTAGAGCTGGCAGAGTTGGGGAATCTATAACCCTAAATGGCATCCCTCCTCCCCTTCCCCCTTGGAGACCAGTCCTTACATTTGGATGGGGCTCTCTGGGTTGTAAAGAGGATAGTCCATTTTAAAAGAGAGAGAGATCTGAGAATAAGGCTGTCTCCAAGTCAGGGGAAGTCCAGGCCTGGAGATAGTTCTCTGTGTGGTGTTCCAGGGGTTTGAGGGAACAGGGGTTCCTCAACAGGAGTTCTGTGCCAGGCACTATGGACAAAGATAGAATGTCTTTCTTATTATACCACAAAGCCACAGTACCTTTTATGACCTAGCTTCAGAAGTGACATGCCATCACTTCTGCTGTATTCTCTTGGTCACAAAGACCAATTATGATACATTGTAGGAGGAAACTGCACAAGGACTTGAATACCAAGAGGCAGGAATCATTGGAGCCCATGTTGGAGGCTGGCTACACATCCACCATGATTTTTCTTCCTTTATCCACAGATGTTTCAAGGAAATCTGGTGTCCTTTTGAATGTGGTTTGAATATGCTCATAATGTGATTCCTTGGCTAAATGATGACATGTTATCTATTTACATTACTAAACTCTTGGTGGCCCTTGCACATGTGAGCTGTTGAAACAAAAGCTTGCTTGAAATTCTCACAGGAATTCTCAAGGCCTGAAAATGGGCTATGTGTCCCATTCAGACTTCTGAAGGCAACCTCTGGCAATGGAGAGATGCCTGGCCCAAACCACAGGACCTGGGCTGCACTAATACTCTTGCTGCTGAATTGTGCCATGACCTCCAATTTCCCATCCTTAAGATCCAAGAATCAAGGGAGATGATCTACATTGAACCTTCTTGTGCCAAATTAGAAACTAGCCTAAGAAGGCTTAAATAAAATTGTTTGAAAATTATGATAAGGACTTGATCAGATAGATACCTTTTGGTGAAGGTGAGATCAAGGATCTAGGAATATGTTTAGTAGATTTGTAGAACTTACATTTCTTTTTAAAAAGAAGTTTATTAAAATCATATATGACTTCCCCAGTCAGTCACCACATACTCTAATTGACCCATAAAATGTTATCTCTGGCATGACACTTTATAATTGACCAATATGGTTAGATCACAGATCATATAACTAACAAGCAGCCTTAGAAATTTCCTACTTTCTCAATTTATAGACAGACAAATGGAGGTTCATCAAGATTAATGACTGTCTCCAGGTGACAAAGCAAGCTAGTGGCAGCAGCAGCATGTAACTCAGAACATCTGGATCCTTGTCCCTTTCCACCTACCTACTATACCAAGTAGTTGGTGTGTATTTCCTCTATCACTCTAAGTAAATATCTACTTACCTTTTATTTAAAACAAGCAAGCAGACAGTTTGAGAAGGAGAGCATTATTGGCTTGAAGGGAAAAGTGCCAATGTGTCTAAGAAAATATTTTCATTTAACAGTGCAGGCCTAATTAAGATTCAGCCCTCTGTTTTATAAATCTTGCAAATGCGTAACCTTGTTCTTATGAGAAGCTGTTTTGGAGAACCATGAAATATGGGCTTGTAGCCCATTTACATTGTACTCTGTGACATGTGAGGTATTGATGAAGCATTGGAAGGGGTACACTGGCCTTTCTTTAAAGAGAGAGAAGCTGGTGGAAGATAAGTGATAATTCTGCAGACAGGCAAAAGGCCTAGGGAGAGGATGCCAGGAGTATGCTGGGCTTCTGCCAAACATTTCTTTGGCCACTTTGTTTTCCTGTCATTTCTCTTTGTCTTATCTTATCCCTTTCAAAGCTTTTTGCACTGTCTGTTATAACTGTGGTCATAATTTGACCTAAGAGAGTGCTGTATATTCTCCACCCTCAAGATTATTATTTAAAAGTTTTCCAGCTTACATGTAAACAAAGACTGTTCTTTTTGCAGTCAAGATAATATTATTATGGAATGGTTCATTTGTGTGCCGAGTGGGAGTAGACTTGAATTTTCTGCCGTTTCCTTAAAGGAACATGATGGTAATTTACTTACTTAGATGATTTAAAAGACATAAAAATATTTAATCCATAGATTACTGATTCATAAACTTCTTTACCTCCTCCTCTGTCACTGGCAATTATATTTTCTAGATTAACCTAAATGAACTATTAATGACCAAAAACTGGACTAATTACATCTACTGGGGATGGTTTTACTTTTAGAGGAATTTTCATCTGTAGACTTCAACAGTAGAAAATGAGCTTCCTCCTTACCTGTTTTGGTGAGGAGAAAACAGTTGTACAATACCTGATTTGCTAGATTTTCATTAAAATTGCAAAGTTACCAACTGTTATCTGGTGGAGGAAAGCTACTTTTTTTGCTTTTCCTCATTATTCCCTTCATAATTTCTCTTCCCAGTTAAAGAGCAGTGTTTCAAGAACTCATAAGCATCAAATCACCTCCTATATTTGGGTATGAACATATATATGCCATTACCTATTAATGTATATTATGTGTAAATCATATATGTATATATAATCCTTATATAATATTTTCTCTGGATCCAAATTCAACAATAATTCAATCTCCTTCTGCCCAAAATCTGAAGTATATGTATTTAAATCATACTTTCAGCACCTTGTTTCTGGTACAATTAAATGGAACATTTGTAATGTTGAATCCTTTTACCTTTGAATGTCATTGTAATCTCCAGTAATTTCCTACAGGACCAAGCTATAAATTATACAAAAATAAGCATTAATACATTTTACTCCTTGAATTATTACGGAACACTCTGCTTTTTTCTAGCCTATGTTCATATATTTGATTCTGGTTCACACATTTATAGAAAACATTATAGGTGAGAATTCAATGTGTTCTTCCTATATTCATTGAACTTACATAAACACTCAATACAATAGCTTAAAGTTGTATCATGAATTTTCACTGACTGTCAGACTTGGGACATTTAAGTGACCATATTAGTTGTGCCATAACACGGATTGTGTAACAAATAGAAGAATGGAGTAACCATAGGGTTTCTGTCTGTAACTTTTGCGTCTATGTTACCTTTACAGCCCATTACATAGATCTTAATAAATAAAACACTTGTAAATGAAATAAGAAGATATAGAGGGAAGGATATGAATGTATACCATGCTGCAGTGGAAAAACCATGTTGAGATATATATTTGGGGCAGAATTCACTAGTTTATTGTGACCAGCATGTTCCTACATGTTTGGAGCTTGATGTAATGTACAAATATGAGTCTACAAGTTTAAAAACAGAAAACAGAAGACTTTTCAGTGGCCAGTTTTTTCTGCCTATTTAGGTACGTATTCGCTTAAGCTGCCCCTAAATTGAGGAGCAACTCCCTTAAACATTTGAAGGTACATATACGCAGGTCTTAATTGACCCCAAAGGAGGCCTTTGAACTTCACTGCTTCTAAAACATATTTAAAATTTAAGTCTTTCTGCACTAAAATAGCATATATATGTGATGTGTAAGTCAAAAGGCTTACTAAATCTTTATCCCCGTAACCCAATTAACCTGGATTTATGCCCTACTTGCTCATGCAGGAAGTCCATAACTGTAAATGTGCCCCTCTCCAAGTCCTCCCAGGCACTCCCAGGTGATACCGCATGTGTACTCAGAAGCAATTTTCTCAGCACCTGCATTTACTTTACTTGAGGCTCCACCAGGAAGGACACCCTCTCCCACTGCCTGCCACTGCCCCTGTGGCTTCAGCAGCCCTGCTGCCTTTTGCAGCATCCATTAGGTGCTGCATGTGTGCTCTGTTCTGCCTAATGACCCTGTCTTTCTTCCTGCTCGATCCAGCCTGGTCATTATCTCCTGGTGGCTGCTTTGAGGATATCCAGACTGTCCAGCAGCCTGCAATAGAGTGAGGAGAATTGATTTCTTCTGTGGTTAAAGAGGGGTCTTACTAAGGAAGTATTTCTTGACTCTCAGTGAGTTAGACAGTTTAACACAAAGGTTCTATTTTTGCTTCTAGCCCTTTCTTCCTCCAGGACCTAGCCACGTTTCAGGATACAGGCCGTAGGCTGACTTCCTACTCTTCACCAATGCCTAGGAAACGTATATAAGCAAGATTATCCCCACTGGCTCTCTCTTCCATTAGGGTGAGTTCTTCCCAGAAAGATAATTAGTGCCACAGCCTAACCCTTCTAGACTTCTACTGGACCACCACATAAGTTCGACACACATGCCCAGCTTTATTTGAATTCCAACAGTGGATTCACCTTTAACCACATCTCCTCATCCTCAAGAAAAACTCTGGGCTCTATTTGAATACATGTTTTTTTATGCCCTTAATACCTGTGTGATGAAAAGTTGCAGACATGTCTAAACCTTAATGATGAAGAGTAACAGGCTGAAGCTCAGGCAAACGCCCCCGCCACCATGTGTACATTTATCATTTTTCACTCTTTTGAAGAAATCACTTTCATCATCTGCTTCCTTCCTAGATATATCTCACTCATTCGGAGTATAATAATTTAGTCTTGGTACCATTTTTCTTTTCCAAATTCTTAATATAAGTAGCAATACTCTATGCTAAAATATTGAAAAAAGAAATTTTCCCAGCACTTACGTGTTTTTCCACAGCTGAAAATATAGTTAATAAGCTGCAGAAATGCCCAACATGATTGTTTCCAAAGTAGAGAGCAGAATGAAAGAAAGCAGGACAGGAAAGGAAACAGATACTACTGTAGCTCATTTTGAAGTGGATTAAGTTATTTAAGGAATGACTATATGTTATATGGCAGTTAAAAAGATTTTAAAACAGCTAGATATGCTCAGAGCATATGTCTTTACATGGCAAATGGCACACAAATGACTGAGGCTTTATCGTCATTCCTAATGTAGGCAGCACCTAGTGGTGAGAACATATGAAATCCCAGCCTAAGGAGGCAACAGCAAAGGCACCTGAGTCAAGGTTGCACATAATTGATTAGCCTACCCACTGCCACCGTCCTACATACACACACACACACACACACACACACACACACACACACGCATGCACACAAGCACACACAAACATGTAGGAGTCTAGGACTTAGTTACAGAATCTGTGCTACAGATACCAGTCTTTACATTTGTCTACATTTCAGCTGCAAGATACCTTGCCTTTTTTATACCCTACATGTCTAACAATAAATGATTTAGTTATGACAACATGCTATCATATGTATTAAAAGATTTTGCAATACATTTTTTAAAAATGGGAAAATAGTCACAATTTTTAAGATTTGGGAAAATACTCAAGCCAAAACATTAAGTGAAAAACCAGATTATAGCACTTTGTATACAATATAACGAACGTGTGTGTGTGTTTATATGTACAAAGTACACAAAATATACTTATCATTAGGCTGACGTAATTACAGGGAATGTTTTTGATAGATTTTTCTATAGGGTCCATATTTTCTGTAATGAACATACATTAATTTGATAAAGAAAAAATGTGGCCTTGTATAGAAACGTAAATCTTAGAACAATGTTTACAGATAGTTAAGACGTAAAGGATTAGTGCAAATGTCACAGTCCTGGAGCACTAGAAAAAGCATTAAATAGTTTGCAAGGAAGGAAAGCTTATCCCATAAGAGCCACTAAAGTGAAAGTTGATAAATCAATGTCAAAAGTTATGTTTTTGGAGAGACTGTGGTTTTGATTAAGCTGAAACAAAGTGGCCACATTGAAGTGGAGCCAGTGCCCGATGGAAAATACATGTAAGAACTGCTTAACAGTGGCATTGAGAAAAAGGTGCAGAAATAAAGATGCCAGGTGAAAATAGAGTGTGAGGGAATGAAGGGGAAATGAATGAGAACAGAAAGGAGAGATGTGAGTTTCTGCTCCTTGGCTTTATCCTGAGTTTAGAAAATCATGTCTATAAAGTGGAATTAGTTGGTTAGGAGTTGAAGCTGATTGGTAGGCATTGGAATGGTTGTTCTGGAGAGAATGATATACTCTCCAGAGTATAAATTTCATAGCAAAAGCAATGCTCTTTATGCTGCCCCTGAGGCCATACCATTGTCCCTTTGCATGTTTGGATTTGTAATTGGCCCCTTAAAAGAATTGAGCCTGCAGTTTGGTGACCAACCTAAGGGCTCATGGTGACTAAGACAGAACTTTCTACTGAGAAAATAAGCAATTTTGAGAACAAAATACAAATACAATGCAATCATCAGTCCCTTGCCTACCTAAACAGAAGAAATTCAATGTATTTCTTCCTTTGGGGCAAAGTTAACACAGTACATTATTACATTAGAGAGTAATGCCGTTAAAAATCGGTGAGGTGTAAGAAGCTCTTATCCAAAATGATGCCATGAGGGCTAAGGTTGTAGATACCTCATGCTCCTTTTCATAGTTATTACTTCTTTTCTCTAATTTCCTGGATTTCTACTGTGGTTTCTCACTGTCTCTAGTGGTCCCCAAACCCTTCTCATTTGTTCCTTGCATTGTATCTGGGCTTAGAAAATGTGTCAGAGAGAAAGGGCTCAATGAACTTTCTTGTGAATGAAGGGTATGGGCTTTAGCACTCAGACTTTTATGAAGATGGTTTTGGCAACTCAAAGGCCTTGTTTATTTTTTATTTTTTATTTTTTTTTTGGTGTCTGGAATGTTGAGATTGACAAATAGGTGAGTTATTATAAATGAAATGATATCAAACAATTGTTCTCTTGGCAACTTGCTATAAATCTGCAACTTTTACAACTTCTTTTCTAGATCTTGTAGTTAACAAATGCCTTAACAATGCTAATGTAGAATTTAAAGCATAGAACACATTTCAGAATGTTGTAAATGTTTTTATGAAAAACATAATGTTGGTGAATTTTAAACTCTGTGGAGCCTACCATTAGACTTTATTTTTCCATTATTTTTGAGATAAAGAATACATCTGATTATTCTAAAATCTAAGGAACTTCAAATATGTACCTCTACATAATTTGGAGCTAAATAACTGTTTGCAATCACAGCATTGAGAAAGCCTCTACCCCCACACATACACCGTCACACAATAATCATATTTCACCTCAACTCACTCTATCCTACACCTTCAATTGGTGGAAGGGTAGGTTTGAGCCTCATTTATTCATTCATTAGGTTACATTTTAAGTTTCCACTGCATTTTCAGCACTGTTTTAATGAATATTTCGTGCATTCCTCATCAAATATTTATTGAGCCCCTGTATGCATCAATTTCCTTCCAGGTTTTGAGGATACAGTAGTGAATGTGACAGACAAAGCCTCCTCAGTCAGAAAGCTTAAAATTCTCTCGGAGGAAGATAGCAAACAAATGCACTCATAATACAAAAATTACCAGGTAGTGCTCAGTTTTAGGGTGAGATACTAAGATGAGTAACATTTAACATTTTTCCTTTGTCGTCATGGTGCTTACAGGACAAATTGTAAGTAAAGAAAATATTTAGAAGTACAGTATATCTGGACCATTCAGAGACCCCCAAAACTTTATTTTTTAATTTTTTTTTTTGAGACGGAGTCTCACTCTGTCACCCAGGCTGGAGTGCTGGAGTGTGGTGGCGCGATCTCAGCTCACTGCAAGTTCCGCCTCCCAGGTTCACGCCATTCTCCTGCCTCAGCCTCTCCAAGTAGCTGGGATTACAGGCGCCCGCCACCACGCCCAGCTAATTTTTTTATACATATTTTTAGTAGAGATGGGGTTTCACCGTGGTCTCAATCTCCTGACCTCGTGATCCGCCCGCCTCGGCCTCCCAAAATGCTGGGATTACAAGCGTGAGCCACCGCGCCCAGCCACTTTATTTTTAAATGAATCTTATTCTTTCAAGGAATATTTAAATTTAGTACCATTTGTACAACTTAATGCCATTAATACTAAGTGACAGTTAAGCCTTTTTATATCCAGTTCTAATTCATTACAAAATGTCAGCTACCCTGTAAGTAGAGAGGCCCCAAAGATCCCATTACAGAAATCTAAATAAAATAAAACAAAGCAAAAAACAAATGATGAATGAATCAGGTGAAAAAAAGAAACACACACACAAACAACCTGCCTCAAAACATAGTTACAAAGTGCGTGCCCAAACCACTTCCCTGGCATCTCTCTGGATGATCAAGATTCGCAGTGTCCATTGCAAACACCTCATGCAGCACACTTAGGAGTTTTGTCAGCTCCCTCCAGTCATGGCAGGCAATACATAACCATTCAGATGGTTCAAATGGGTCAACATTGCTGCTGTTTGTTGTATCAAGTGCCAAACTCCTTCTTTAAGTTGACAACCCTCATTTAATTCTTTGCAGTTCAAATCCCTCTTTCTCTCCAGCTTCTTGTTCCCCTCTGAAAGAGCTGAGCTTCCTGTCTAAAGTCATTTGGATCCCAGCTGGAGACATGAGACCTTATGCAGTCAGCCAGTCAGTCCCTCCTCCCAGCTCCAGTGTCTTTTACACATCTATCTTCATAGTCCTTCTGATCTCACTAAGTACTTTGGTGCACGTATCAACTCCCCAGTATAATTTGTGTTCCCTAAGAGTTCCCACCCTCCAGTCTCTGTAGATCCAGGACCTAGCATGGTTTAGGATCTACAATCATTGAAATACAAGGCTTAGGAGTCAGACCCTTCTGGGCTTGAATTTAGACTCTGCCACTTAGCATGTGTGACAGTGACAATTTACTTATTCCTTGGAGCCTCAGTGCCCTCATCTGGAAAATGGGGTTAATAACAATATCCATCCTACAGGTTTAATCTGGTGATTAAATGAGATAACATTTCTCTTAATGTCTGGCCAATTTTCGTCAATTATTTTTATTATTGTTTCCTCCATACATTCAACAGATACATTTCTCAAGGCCCTAGTATGTGCCAACCACAACCTGTTAGGGAATAAGCCTGAAATGATTGGAACTCAGGGTGAATCCCAGGGGCATTCTAAAAATGTTTTCTTCAACCTAATAAAGTTGACCTTCCATATACACAAATTATGTATGATTCGACCAACCACAGGTCAAAAATATTTGGAAAATAGCAATAAAAAATAATACAATAATAAAAAATGCAAATAAAAACAATGCAGTATCACTATTTACATAGCATTTACATTGTATTAGGCATTAGAAGTAATCGACAGTGATTTAAAGTATATGGCAGGATGTATATAAGTTGTATGCAAATACTCTGCCATATTATATAAGCAACTTGCGCATCTGTGGATTTTGGTATCCACAGGGGTCCTTTAACCAATGGCACAGATACCAAGGATGACTATACATGACAACTTCCATGACTCTAGTTTTCTCACAGTTATTTTCTCTTTTTTAACTGTAAAAATTAAGGCTTCATTTATACACACAAAAACAAGTATTTTTTTACGAAACTGTCTTCTTGTGTTTATTTTGCAAAGATGAGGAAGTTTTAGGGTTTTGTTTTTCACCTATTGCAAAAAAAATCCTTATCAAAGAAAACAAATAAGGAATACCCAAGGGTCACGAATTCTAATGTATTTGAATAGTTGGCTTCGGGACCTTTTATTACCACATCAGTCCAAATGAGTATAATAAAAGGAGAGAAAAGTGTGCCACACATAAGAAGGAAATTCTATTTTATTTGACACTCATGCAAGCCCTGTACAGAAATTGTCTCTTTGCGAAAGCATTTGCATTAATAAAGCAAAAATATGAAAACCATTTCAGATGGATTGTTAAAAATCTGAAAGGGACATGAGCTTTGCATTTTAAATCAAAAGTATACAGTGCCATGAATTATCCAGTTACTGAAGAGCACATTTTTCCTCTAAATGTCTGGGAAACTCCTAACACATGTTGAGGCCCAATTCAAATACTTAAATAATACCTCCTCCCTAAAGTCTTCCTGTAAATTAGCTGCATCCACTTTGGGTCACCTTTAATCCTTTGTGCATATTCAAGTATGATTACGTCTTATTTGAATTAATATTTACCGATCTCTCACCCTCTTTCATTTGTTATATACTCAAGTGTCTAGACCTTGACTTAAAATCTTTTTTTTTTTTCTTTTTTTGAGATAGAGTCTCTCTTGCTCTGTTGCCAGGCTGGAGTGCAGTGGTGCAATCTCAGCTAACTGCAGCCTCCACCTCACAGGTTCAAGTGATTCTCCTGCCTCAGCCTCCCAAGTAGCTGGGACTACAGGTGCGTGCCACCACGCCTGGCTAATTTTTTTGTATTTTTAGTAGAGACAGGGTTTCACCATGTTAGCCAGGATGGTCTCGATCTCCTGACCTTGTGGTCCACTTGCCTCAGCCTCCCAAAGTGCTGGAATTACATGTGTGAGCCATCATACCCAGCCTAAAAATCTCTATTTTCAGTGCTCTACTTGGCTATGACACAATGGTAGGTGTTTAAAAAGAGAGAGCGAGTATAAGAATTATTGACTGTATGTGATTGCTCTCCAAAGAGGAAAAAAAAAAAAAAAGATGATCCTAGACAAGGTATTGTTTAAGTGTGTAGGTATTTATGTGGGTAAATGATGCATCTGTGAAAGGTTTGGCTACGACAGAATTTGTGTGTACTTTCTGCCTACTGGGACTCTGAGTTGTCTATGATGGAAAAGTAGATGTTGGAAATAAAAGACTGTACACCCAGTGTTGTATAGGCTGTACACATTTCTTTATTAACACCTTACTCTCTTTCTCCTTTATGGAATTCAAACCCCAGCCCTCTTACCTTCTCCCAACAGCTCTATGACTTCTAGACAGCATTGCACATATGTTGAGAAGTATTTTCGATCTCCTTAGCAGCTTCAACTGAACTGCTAAGAAACAGCTGGTTTGGGCATACATGCTTTTTTACACCTGAATTTCTAGTCACGTGTTAGCCCAGGGCCAAGACTTGCAGCAGCAAACTTAGCTCCCAGGCATGATCGTTAGCAGGAGTGAGCTGTTGCCTTCTATGAGCCCAACAGTGAGTTGCTTGCCAAAGTCATCACTCCACCTTGATCTCCTGGTTAGTCAAGTTCAGTCAAGATTTCCCTCAGAAGCTGGAGCTCGTTACTGTTTCTCCAGTCTCTTCCAAGGTTACCTACCTTCTCTGGCAGAGGATAAGGAATTCATCATCTTTCAGACTGCAGTCTGTTGCTTGGAGGCTTGGAGGAAACTGGCTGAGAAAATCATAGTTAGTAGTTGATAACAGGCCAATGAAAATTAGCGAGACTAAGGGGACTACGAAAAGTAGTTGCTAATGGGACAAAGTTTTACTATGTCTTCCATGATGAAATTCAACCTCTTCATGGCCTCTTTAGGAAGGGGTCAGTAAAAACTTCTACTATTTTTAAAAGTTGCCACAAACAAAGTTTGATTTGCTTTGAATGTGACACCATAACAGAAGTAGGCTTTCAGGAAAGAGGAAAATGGCCAGTTTTGTATTTTTGGTTTGGTTCTGTTTCTTTGTATTTTTTTCCCACTTTAGAACATACAGGAATGTTGTAGAACATTCTCTCTTTCTTTGAGAAACATTTAGCACGGTTTCTAAATATACCCTGCAGAGTTAAATTCCTGTGTTTGGTTTAGACTGAGATCTGTTGACCTAAGGCAAGACTTCGACAGATTCAGTTTTTTCACCTGTAAAATGGGATGGTACCTACCTCTTAGGGCTGAGCTAGAGATTAATTGAGTTAATCTATATAAACACTTAGAACATTGCCTGGCACAAAGCAAGAGCTAGATGCTGTGTAACTATTAGTTACTCTTAACATCTCCCTCTCATTTGAGTTCATTTCCTCCAACTGATATTTCACTGGGCATCCATTTGGTATGGTCCTGATAAGATGTCTCGTCTAATTCCTTGTCTCTTCTCCCTTAATTGAGTTGATTCTCAAGGTTAATGCATTTTTATTGATTTATTCTTGGGAACACAGAAGACAGTTCAGAGAATATTCAAACTAGGAGAAACAATTTTGGCCCCAGTGTAGCCTGCTGGGTGACCTAACCCTTGCTGGGCTTTAATCCTCTGTCTGTAAGATGGGGATAATACTTAATTGGCACTCTTTCAGTGCTTAGATGGCTAACAACAACAATAAAAAGCTGAGTAATTTGTAAATATAAAGAGTTAATAGGTACTTCATAACTGAAATCAGACTGTCCTAAAAGAGCAGCTCATTTATTTGAAAAACCATACAATCCGAGGAGGTTTTTGCCTGACCTAGGCAAGCCACCCTCTGACCGAGGCTCTAAAAGGACTGCCCTGGAAAGCAAAGGAGGCTGGACCAGCAAAGCAATAGGCTGGTGCCATGGCAACACTTTCAGAAGAGACTTGCCTGTGGCTCTGCCTACACAAGCCTCTGAAAAGTAAAGCATTCAATCAATGAGTTGCATTGTCCACTGGACACTTCAGCCGATCAATGTGGCTGATCTCGTCACTGAATTAATTGGGTCACTTTTGTGTGATGTAGCTTTAGGGATTTTTGTGTGTTTTTCCCATTATAGAAATAGTAGAGTTAATCTCCAGTCTGTATTTAGCTTCACGTTTGACCTTTGCCACCTCTCTGTGTTGGAAAGGGCAAAAAGAGGAACATAATGGAATAAGAATAATCTCAGAAATAAGTGTATGGTGCAGCCAGAGTTGAATGACTGCTACAATACAGAATAACTTCATAGGTAACATTGAACATGTTAACTGAGTGTAAATATCAGATTCTTCATCTATACAGTAGGGCTATAATAGTAACTTCTTAGGGAGGTTTTGAAGATTCAGAGAGATGATATGTGTGATTAGGCTTTGTGAAATATGTAGTAGTCAGATATTATAAAAGGAGCTGCTCTTTATCCATCTGGGTCACTTTCCAGAGGGAGGTAAAGCTGGCATTTCTGGAGTTGAACCTATGGGCCAGAAGGGCTGTGAACTGGTGCACTTTTGGGTAAAGGATAATTGAGGAGGAACTCAGCCGACGTTGCAGGATTCAAGCACAGGCAGTTGTGCAGGCCAGGTAGTTTCCAAGGCAGTAGCACCCTGGCAGAAAGAGCCAAACCACTAAGGGAAGACCTGTGCTAGTCATCATTTAGGCTAGACAAAAACGACTTGCTTGCCTTCTTGTTTCCTTTCCTCTCCTTTGGAGGGAATTAGGCTCCTCACTTGTGTGTGTGTTGGTTGAGTGGTGGAGGAGAGCATTATATTCATCTTCAAACCTTTAGTTAAAGCAACGCAAGAGGGTGGGGTTCTCCACACCCATAGCTGACATCTGCTTTGACAAGCAGTGGAATGGATGGTGGCATTAGATGACAAGTCGCACTTGGCCAGTGGGCCTGCAGGCCAGAGCCCAGGTATGAGGACGTGTTCCTTGGTCCTAGATAAAATAAGTGGAATAAGTACAAAGTAGTGAGCTTTAGCCAAGCTAAATTTCTTTTCTTTTTAGCAGTGTTCCTTAAAGTGTGGCCTACAGACCAGCAGCATCAGTATCACTAAGGAACTTGTTAGAAAGATGAAATTCAGGCCCACTAGACCATATGAATCAGCATCTTGGGGAGAGGCCCAGAAGTCTGTTTTTAACAAGCCATCATGGTGATTTGGTTTGCTCGCTAAAGTCTGAGAATCACTGACTTAATGGAGTGCTCTTTAGTGTGAATTTGAGGCACCAAAATGAAATGAAATTACTTTTAAAAATGAAATGATGATGAAAATGAATGGAATTTTTGTCCATGTTATAACATCCTTACTTGGAAAACTATAAGACTAGCAACCCTATGTCATGTTTATTGCCCTCAGAAATCCAAAGGTCAAAAGAAAAATTTCCTTCAGAGACCTTCCAAAGCTTAGATTTTATTATTTTAATTGATTTTTGTCTCCCTATTCACATTACATCTGCTGTTCAATACAGGATGTGACTGAAAGGATGTGTCTTAGAAAAGGGGTTGCGGTGACAGTGGAACCAGGGGTTACAATATGACACCCCAGCCTGAACTCACCACTTGAGACATGGTTCTAGCAGGTCATAGCACAGTGATCCTCCCATCTTTTGCCCAGACAGCAAGCTTCTGTTAATGTCATCTAAGACTGCACTCCCTTCCTAAAGGGCAGTCTCACAAGATCAGCACCTTCTGCATGCCCACCCTGTGCACATGCAGTGAATGTTTTTGAATTTTTTAAATGGATATGTCCATTTGCAAGCGATCTCACACCTGGGAGTGCCAAGCAGGGAGAGTCCCTGAGTGGAGGGCATGTGCCCAGGCTCCTCACACCCTCTGGA
Organism: Homo sapiens; assembly: GCF_000001405.40. Lineage (NCBI taxonomy): Eukaryota > Metazoa > Chordata > Mammalia > Primates > Hominidae > Homo > Homo sapiens. The sequence continues at coordinate 47,620,361 of NC_000015.10, forward strand.
GGCAGGGGAATGAGAGTATCTGCTTCAGCATGTCAGCACTTGGTTCACTTTATTCTCAATATCAAGACAATGGGGACTTGTAATTTCAGGGCACAGGGGAAATAATAACTAATATTTAAAGTTTAAAAATTAAGATGAACATGCAGCCTCTGGTGACTTATTGATCTGGTCCTGGGATATTTTTTAAAAAGCAAATCAGCCAGCTGTGCTGACACTCCGTATATTCATCTTCCTTACTTCATCATCCTGTCAGTGTGTCATGATCTAGTGGGTACTAAAGGCAGTAAATTAGGAAGTGGTCGTTGTGGCTGAGGGGTTTCACTTGCCTTTAAAATATATATATATATATACACACATATATATATATATTCTTTGTGCAAATATTTTATTGTGAGTGTGGGTTTTTTTTAACCTTTGGATTAGTGGGGTTCAGAGGAATATGTCTTAGCTACTCATCTCTCCAATGTGGCAGAGGGAAGCTGAGGCAGGTAAGACTCCAATCTGTCCCCAGGCTGGGGTCTAGTGACCCAGGTTAAATGCCCTGGTGCATTCCACCTGTGACCCAGCTCTTGACAGCACGGAATCCTGCCTTTGTAAAATAGGAGATCCCTAATGAAGAAGAAGAACACACAGGGTGATATGAAAAAAAAACCCTGTGTTGCATACACAACGGGCATATAGACTCATAGAGATGGGCTCTTACATCCTTGTTAGTTCACAGTCAGTGGTGAGAAAATAGCCTAGAACTAACCTACCCTGTTAAAGTTCTAGATGGTAGCATTTTCTCAAACTTCCCCTAGGTGAACACATGTGCATGCATGCTCAAGCACCCACTACAACAGCAGGTGAGAACCCCACCAACTAAAACATGCAGTGCTCACTTGCATCATAGATGCTTGTCTCTGACTTTTTGCTAAGTAGAACAAAAGGATCGCCAAATGTCATAAACTGCAGTCACGATCAGAAATAGAAACGTAGGAGTTATAAGCACTGTATGTCCAAACTCTTCCCCCAGGACAGATTTTTTTTTTTAATTTTAGTTGAATTAGCTAAATACATAAGCCCGGTGAATCAACAGTGATGACTCACTTTAGATCTTCCTTGGCAAGGAAGTCTAAACCTGTGCAAAGAGAGCAGCTGTGTCTGGTAGAGCCAGTTTGGGGCTATGGGCAATTTCCGGGGTCCCCAGAGTGCCTGAGTTCATAGCCACACTTTACGTCACTTTCACCTGCAGCTCTTGCAAGCTCCTGAATCCCTCTGTGCCCTAGAGCATGAAAAGTGGTAAAGGTCTTCCTCCACACCCACAGCCCCACCCTCTCTGCACAGGAGATCCTGATTTGGCTGTCAGCTCTACATCTTCCCTTTTATGTGGCTCTAAGGACTTCACTTAATCTTTTTGCCTCAGCTTTCTCACCTGTCAAACAGACATAATTCAATCAATTCCACCTTCTTCACAATGTTGTTATAAAGAGCTACCAAGGTAGTACATATAGAAGACATATAGAAGCACTTTGTAAGCATGAAGTGTCTTATGAAAGCTATTATTGGCCTTCAAGCACAACACTTTAACCCCATCCCTAATTTTCAGAGGCTATGAAAGCTAGTGGTTGCTGTCTCCTAAAAGTGTGGGATAGTAACCTGGAGGGTTCCGTTCATGAGGAGGAAGTCCCTGGTGGCACTACTGAGAGGGGTGATTGAACAGGACCAAAAACTCACCTAGGACTCATCAGGGTAGATTGCTGGTGGTTGAGGTTATAAATAACTTACTGACCAAAACTTTTTGAGGTAGCTTTAAATCAGTGAGTCTTTTGAATCTATGCATATGCAGGTGAAACCCAGCCAAAAAAAAAAAAAAAAAAGAAATGAAAATATGGGAGGGATTGCTGACTCAGCTACCTTCATTCACAGAGAGTCTCAAAACGTGGGAATAACAGTAACCAAAGTTCAGCTTCCTCAATTGCAAATAAAGCTGAAATTCTGTCTGATTTCCATGAGGTTTCCTCTAATGTTACCTCTCTCCTCAGCATGGAACCGGAGTATGCTAAAGCCAGGAAATTCAGCCTATCCAAAGGAAGCATCACAGAAGCCACTGTAGAATCAGCCAAATCTGCAGGAGTTCAGTTTGTCTTTAGCGTCCTTGACCTTTTAATGCATCTCTTCAACTTTGCTTCTCCTTGCTCCTGATATCCTCTTAGGAATTCTGCAGAAGCCGACCCCAAAACCACCATTTGGGTATGAGCAAGTTACTAAGAAAATACTCCTAGGGCACACCAGTAAGGGAGAGGGGGTTGCAGGACAGGAAAGGAGAAGTCAATCAAGTGTGTGATTTTGGCCAAAGTCCTAGCTCAAGCATGATCCCCAAGGGGAGCTCTGGAGCATAAATTACATTTTAGCATTTGTTCCACTGAAGGCTTGGGAGCTCAGCTTTCAAAGGCGTGCAGGGGTTGGTATTGATAAGGCCACCTGAGGGGTTTGTAAACTCTCAGAAACTTCTGGCATTCTGCAAGAGCAGTTCCAGAAGTCCTTGGAAAGTCCCCTCAAGAGAGTTGCGGGCATGGCCCTCAGAAGTTAAAAAAACACAAGCTGGGGAAAGAGTGCATGGAATCAGTAGGAAGGATCCCAGGGAATCTAGAGAGAGCTCAACCAGTCCACTACCCACTGTAGTGACAACCCTCTTTCTTTAAAACTGCCCTTCTCTTCCCCCCTCCCTCTCCTGAAGCCCTGTCTTCAAGTCAAAATAGTGATGTCAAGTTTCTATCTGTGTGAAAGGCATAAGTAGCTTTATTTGTAGAGTTTTGTCCATGCTTCTTATCATGGTCCATGAGCCCCTCACCATGCTGGTCCTGCCTTCCAAGGCCCAACTATTGCCCTGCCCAGTCTCAGCCTCATGTGTTAGCTGGGTCTTCTGTTATTTGTAGCTAAAGTAATGATACTGATCACCACACAACAGTGAACATTCATTGAGTGCTTATTTCTGTGCTAGTTTATGGACTTTACCTAAATTAACTCATTTATTCCTCCCAATAACCTCTTTTATATAGGTAAAATTATCATCCTTATTTTACAGGTAAGGCAACTGATACAAAATAATGTTTGTTGTCAGTAGTAAAATTTATCTTGATTTGTAAGCCAATGGAATAATTAGTTTTAGAAAAATACTAGGATGCATCATCAAGCAAATAATTAGCAACTGCTTGGAAAATGAGAGTGGTGTTGATACTACCAGCAGTAGTTTGTGAAGAGCAGGTAAGTCAGATCAGTTTCATTTTCTCCCATAATAGAATGGTAGCCATGACAGACATGGGAAAAGGTACGGATGTTATGTATCTTCTTTCATGTACTCAATAAAATATTTTCAAGGGCTTCTGTGAGGTAATGGAAGGAAACAAGAAACAGACCTATGTCCTGTTTCAGAGTATTTTGTAGCCCAGAAGGAAAAATAAGACATCCATATAGATCATTGTGATATACCTGTGCTTCAAATCTTGCCCTCTCTATAATCCATTCTTCACACTGAAGGGAAAATAGTTTTTAATTTTCCCATGAAACGAACTGAGAATGTCAGAATCCTGCTTTAAAAATCCTTCGATGTGTCCCCACTGGAATCAAAGTCTAGGCTCCTGACCCTGGCTGACAAAACTCCCCGTGAGCTGGCCCTGCCAGTCTCTCCAATCTCCTGTCCCACCAGTTCTCCTGATCCCCCTCTGTCATTCAGAACTGCCGTCCGTACCCAGGAGAAATATGATCTGTCCTCACCTTCAGACCTTTGCACCTATTGTCTAGAACGTTCTTCATGCCCTTTTTGACCTGGTTTACTTGTACTTGTCCTTCATATCTCACTCAGCATAGACACTGCGTGTTCTTGGAAGACTTCCTTATCCCCCAAGGCTGTGTTAGGAGCCGTACTTGCATGCTTCCCTAGCTTCAGGTATTTGCCCATATGCTCACACTTATTCTACTGCCTTGCACATTTCTATTAGCCTAGGGGAATAAGATAAAAAGAGTTATTAATGGTGTTGACCTGAGAAGCTCTATCAAACACTTTCTGGTAGGACTGTGTCATTTTTTATTACCTCTGTGAAAAACTTACAAATATAGTCATCCAATTTGTACATAATGTGAAAATAGATGGGGTTACCGGAATTCTAGATATGGGGAAAAATAGAAAGTGTTCTTGAAAGATTAGAAAATGATTTCATCAACAAAGCTGAAATGTAATATGGCAAATGCCAGGTCATCCTCCAAAGAACACAAATCTTGTAACACAAATATAGGATGGCTAAGCAGAAATATAGTGGAAAAACACTTAGGACAGATAACTAACCATGAGATAAATGTGAGTCAGCAATGAAGTGCCATTACAGGAAGAAAATGCAGGACAAATTCATATTTCCCAGATGCATTAAATGAGGCTTGATATATTTGGCTGGGAAGGGAATTTTACCTCCACCATGGCTTTAGCAGAGTAAGGCATCTACTTTCAGTCACCAAGTGATAAACTAATGAAATATATTTTGTCAAATTAGTGAAGAAAATGAGATAATTTCACATAGACTGGAGAAGGGAATTATTGTTTCTGAGACTCAAACAATGCGGCTACATCACACTTTTAAACTGTTTTCCAATTAACAACATGCTGCATTAATGAACATCCTCTCCTTCAATTTTTACAATACGTTACAGGTTAACCATGATTATCACCATTTTAGAGATTTTTTAATAAGAAAGCTGATTTTTTTTTATGTTCAGAAAAGACCAAATGAAGTTAAGATTCTGGTTGACAAATCACTTTTCTCCCAAAGATTTTTTGGGGGGAGAAAACCTTGCTCATGGAGAGGAATAAAAATTCTGAGCCAAAACCCAGTACCCAGCTTATGGCCTAATTGTTATATGCTATGATAATTGTTAAGGGGTTGAAGTGAATGAATGCATAAATACAGGAGTGATAAAATATTTAGACGAGTTATTACTGAATGTTGAAAAATAAGAAGAAAATAGGCAATCATCTGCCATGTGTGGTTTAGATGGGTGGGCTTCACATTTTTTATGTTCCATCTTTATCAGTAAAATGCCTATTGAAAATATGCACAACAGGACTGGGTGCGATGGCACATGCCTGTAATCCCAGCACTTTATAAGGCTGTGGCAGGCAAATTGCTTGAGCTCAGGAGCTGGGCAACATGGTGAAACCCCGTCTCTACAAAAATAAAAATTACAAAAAAAAATTAGCCAGGCATGGTGGCGTGTACCTGTAGTCCCAGCTACTTGGGAGGCTGAGGTGAGAGGATCGCTATACCCCAGCCTGGGTGACAGAGCCTGACCGTGTCTCAAAAATATTAATAATAATAATAATAATAATAAATTTTGAAAAAAGAAAATATGCACAACAAATAGGAATGTTTATTTATTTATGAATTATATGCATGATTACGTACTGTTAAACTTTATGCAACATTTACAAAAACTTAATTTAAAAGGGTGTGATAAAATATAGATAAATATGACTTCACTATTTTCTTCCTGTATTCCAATACGATCACTTTCATAATCCTAAAGTAACCATATCTTATTTTGAAGGCCATTACTTAAAACATTTTCTAGCTGAAGATTTCTCAGGGCTTGAAGAGACCAGGGATTATGAAAAGCCAGGAAGGGGGCCTGGGGCAGGTGAATGAGATTGAGCCTTAGTAGACTTTTAAAATATATAACTTGTGCCCAATTTATAGGCTTTCTAGGCAGGTAGAGTTGGAAGACTTCTTTGGTCAGGAATGACTGATAAGACTTAAGGTCCTAGGAGGGCATAAGCATTGCTCACCTAAGAGTTGTGAGATGTGCATCACAACCGTGTGGGCTCTACATGAAATCAGGGGTCTGTCTAAGGAAACTTCCCCAAATGTCCAAGGACAGAAGAGCAGACACAGAGTTCCCTGGATGTGCTTACTAAGACACTATGGTTTGTGGTTTATTCTTTTATGAGAATGTGAGTTCCCTGAGTGTGTGGCTGCCCTTCCATGGGCATGTCACTGCTACTTCCACTCAGAAGTGCTCTTCTTAATCAAAGTGGCCAGTAACCTACATGCTTATCTGAGTGTGGACTTTCTGAATTCCTGTTGTCATTGGCTTCCCAAAGACTTGGAGAAACTGAGGACATTCCATGAAGCCCTACGTTTGTCATCCTATAAAAACAAAAAGAGTTTTCAATGTCTTTATTTGACCAAGAAAACAAGAAAAGTATATTAAAGAAGGGCTCTGAAAAACAGTGGGATTGTTATTGTTGCTGCTGCTGTTCTTATTTTTATGTTTTTCTGTTGCCCTTCTACACAACACCTTTGTTTCTGAGCTTTTCCTTGTCCATTCTGTACTCTTTTAATTTTGAAATTGAATAACAAGTCCCCTTGTTTGATAGAGTGTTAAGCAAGTAAAATGAAGTCAGCCTTGAATTATCTACCAAAAAAGAAAAAAAAATTCAATGCTTTGGCTAATGGGGATGTTCCAAAATGCATGCAGTTTTGTGTGTATGGAATGTTCTGAATTTAATTTAATTTCCTAATAGTTACAATCATTTGACCGAGAACAGGAGGCACAAAGGAACACTAACAATAGGGATGTCATATGAAACAAGAAAGAGAGTATCGTACCAAAGAAGTTTAATTTACAAATGCAAGTTGGTGAGCAAGAGAGAATGTGACCCATCACCAGAGCCAAGCCTTCCTTGTTTGGTACAAGAATGGTAATTAGTGGGACAGCCTTCTCAGATGGCGGCCCTGACTTGCTAAGCATTTACTACCCATCTTCTCCCAACCTGGTAATATGATTGAAGTAGGAGGAGTGGGAGGAAGGATAAGGAAACAAAAGCCAGTTCATCTTTGCCTTTAACATGATTATTCCCAGATCCATTCCCAGACCTCCATCTCAAATGCTGCTTTGAAATCAGTCTAGATCTTAAAGGAACACCAGAGGGAGTATTTAAATGTGCCCAATAAGCAAGAATTATGGTGATGTGGAAGTAAGTAAACAAATCAGTTGATTAATTTTTTTAGTTTGGCCAAGGTTAAAATTCTAACCCTGCCTCTATCAATCAAGTTTCCTAAATCAATTTAGTTCCCATCTCTGAGCCATCACTGTTTCTTATCTGTAAAATGGGATAATAATCACAGAGATATGGTGAGAATTTATGCTATAGTACGTGAAAAGCATTTAGCTAAGTGCTAAATGTATAATAAGTACTCAATAAATGCTCTCACTTGCATTTGATTATTTTTAATTAAACTTTTCATTTCAAGACAATTGTAGATTGACACACTCTTGTAAGAAATAGTGTAGAGATATCTCCTGTACACTTTACCCAGTTTCCTTTAATAATATCTTACAAAAGTATAATGCAATATCTAAATCAGTGTCAACACTGGTGCTGTCAAGATAAGAGTATAGCTCCATCACTGCAGGGACTCCTCCTATTACCCTTCTATAGACATATCCAACCCTCCCTCCCTGACCACTGACCCCTGACTCTGAGCAAACACACTCACCTGCTATTTTTGTCATTTCAAGAATGTTGTATAAATAAAATCATATAGTAAGTAACTTTTTGAAACTAGCATTTTTCACCCATGAATATTGCCTGAAGAGTCCTCTTTATCATTGCATGTATCAATAATTTGTTTCTGTTTCACTGCTAGGTACTATTACATGCTATTAGCCTACCCCTCTGCTAATCCCACACACTAGATTACATACTATGGATATGATATACCATGGATTGTTTAACCATTCACCCACTGAAAGACATCTGGGTTGTTTCCAATTTGGGGCTATTATAAATAAAACTATTATAATACTATTATTATAAGATAAAACTATTATGGGCATTCATACATGGATTTTATGTGAACATTTTTTTCATTTCTTTGAGATTAAGGCACTTGCAGGGTTATATGTGAGTTGTATGTTTAGTTTTCTTTATAGAAACTGCCAAGTTGTTTTACAAAAGAATAGCTATACCATTTTCTATTCTGACCAGCAAGGTATGTGATCCAGTTTCTCTGCATCCTCACTAGCATTTGGTGCTGTCACTATTTTTTATTTTTGTCATTCTGATGGGTGTGAAATGATAGCTCAGCGTAATTTTTATTTGTATTTCCCTAATGGTTAATGATGTTAAACATCTTTTCATGGGCTTTTTTTCTAACTATATATCCTCTTCAGTAAATTTTCCCATTCTCTAGTGGGATTGTTTGCTTTTGACAGTTTTTAATTGTTTTGACATTTTTAATATGTTCTAGATGCTAGTCCTTTGTCAGTTGTATGTATTGCAAATATTTTCTCCCAGTCTATAACTTGTCTTTTCATCCTCTGTACAAGGTCTTTTGCAGAGCAAAGCCTTTTAATTTTGAAGAGGTCTTTTCTTCTTTCATGGCTTGAACATTTAGTGTCAAGGCCATGAATTCTTTGCAGAATTAATTCAAGGTTTGGAAAACTTTGTCTTATTTTTTATAAGGGTTGTAGTTTCACATGTAAGTCTGAAATTCATTTTGAGATAATTTTTATAGAAGCCGTGAGTTTTAGATCAAGATTCTATTTACTTACTTAGCCTATGGATGCCTACTTGCTCCAGCACATTTGATGAAAAGCCTGTCCTTCCTCCATTGAGGGAGCACCTTTGCCAAGAATCCATTGAGCATATTCATGTGGGTCTATTTTTAAGTTCTCTATTCAGTGTCATTGATCTATATGTCTGTCCCTCCTCTAATACCACACACTCTTGATTACTGCAGCTACATAATAAGTCATAAAATTGAATAAATCGATTCCTCCCAATATATGGTAGATCCTAATGTTGGAGATGGTGACTCTTTCCACCTTATTATGCTTTTTCAGTATTATTTTAGCTAGGCTAAGGCTTGTGCATTTTCATGCAAATTTTAGAGTAAGCTTATCTATGACTCTAGAAAACTATTGCTAGAAGCTAAATGGGAATTGCATGAAACCAATAGGTCAATTTAGAAAGAATTGATATTCTTACTATGCTGAGTCTTCCAATTCATGAACATGGTATGTCTCTAGATTTAAGGTTTTTTTCTCCTTTTATTGATATATAATAATTTACATATTTATCAGTACATGTGAGTGTTTGTTACATGCATAGAATGAGTAATGATCAACTCAAGGCATTTGGAGTATCCAGCATCCTGAGTGTTTATCATTTTTACATGTCAATATAATTTCAAGTCCTCTCCTCAGGTTACTTTGAAATATATATAATATTGTTGCTAAGTATAGTCACTGTAGTCTGCTGTCAAACATTACAACTCGCTTCTTTTATCTAACTGTGTGTTTGTACCCATAACCCACCCTTTCCAATCTCTGGTATCTATTATTCTGTTCTTTATGTCCATGAGATCAAGTTTTTGGCTCCCATTTATGAGTGAGAATGTATAATATTTGTCTTTCTGTGCCTGGCTTATTTTACTTAATATAGTGACCACCAATGCTATTCATGTTTCTGCAAATGACATGATTTTATTCTTTTTTATGGATGAATAGTATTCCTTTGTGTATGTATACCACATTTTCTTTATCCATTCATTAATTGATGGACATTTAGGTTAATTCCGTATCTTTGTTATTGGAAATAGTGCTGTGATAAGCATGTGAGTACACCTATCATTTTGATATACTGATTTCTTTTCCTTTAGATAGATATTCAGCAGTGGGATTGTGGGACCATATGGCAATTCTATTTTTAGGTTTCTGAGAAAACTCCATACTGTTTTCCCTAGTGGTTGTACTAACTTACATTCCCACCAACAGTGGCATATAAGATTTCCTTTTTCTCTGTATCCTTGCCAGCATCTGTTATCTTTTTGCCTTTTTAGCAATAGTTGTTCTAACTGTGGTGAAATGATATCTCATTGTTGTGATTTGTTTCCTTTAATTTTTTCTTTCTAATTTTTGGCATACATATTCTATACATATTTTGTTGAATGCACCTAAGTATTTTATTTTCTTAGGAGTGATTATAATACTGTGTTTTTATTTTTAGTATCCACATTGTTCGTTGTTATGTAGAAATGAGATGATTTTTGTGTCCTGTGACCTTGCTGAACACACTTATTAGTTCTAGGACTTTTTATAGATTTTTTTTGAGATTTTCTATGAAGACAATTACATCATCTGTAAATAGGGACAGTGTTATTTCTTCCTTTCCAGTTGGTATGCCTTTTATTTCTTCTTCTTGCCTTATTGAAGTGACTAAGACTCCCAATACTGTGTTGAATAAGAGTAGTAAGGGCAGATATTCTTGCTTTGTTCTGACCCCTGGAAGAATAGCATTCAGTCTTTCATTATTACGTATGATATTAGCTGTTGGGTTTTTGTGGATGCGTATTATTGAGCTAAAGAAATTTTCCTCTATTCCTATTTTGCTAAGATTTTAAAAATCATACATTGGTATTAGACTTATTAAATGTTTCTTCTCTATCAATTGATATGATCGTGTGATTTTTTCTTTTTTAGTCTGTTGGTTTAGAGTATTACATTGATTTATTTCTGAATGTTTAACCAGTCTTGCATACCTGGAATAAATACCACTTGCTCATGGTGCATAATTCTTTTTATACATTGCTGGATTTGATTTGTTAAAATATTTTATAGATTTTACATCAGAGTCCATGAGAGATACTTGTCTGTAGTTTGCCTTGTTTGTGGTGTCTTTATCTGGTTTTGGTAGCAGGACATTATTAGTCTCATAAACAAGTGGTGATGTGTTCCTTCTTCATCTGTGTATAAAAGAGGTTGTATAAAATTAGTGTTAATTCTTCTGTAAATCTTTGGTATAATTCTACAGTGATAACTCTGGGGCCTGAAAATTTCTTTAGGGAGCTTTTAAATTTTTCCATTTCTGTAATGGTTATAAGACTATTTAGGTTGTCTGTGTTATTTTGGTTTGAGTTTTAGCAGTTTTTGGTTTTTGAAATCCATTTATTCTAAATTGTAGAATTTATGAGTATAAAGTTATCTGCTGTACTCTGTGGTAAGCTGAATAATGGCCCCCAAAGATATCCCTGGAAATCTATAAATGTTACCTTATACACACGAAAAAAAAATGAAAGAAAAAGGAAAAAAAGGCTCTGCCTGTGCAAGTAAGTTAAATATCTTGAAATAGGGAGATTATCCTGGACTATAGAGGTGGACCATAAATGCAAACACAAGTGTCTTCATAATAGGAAGGAGGGGGAAGATTTGGCCAAATAAGGAAAAAAAGGCAATGTGAAACTGAAGCAAGACACTAAACTGCTGATGTTCTAGAAGCTGGAATATCAAGGAAATAGGTCTTTCCCTAGAACCTATTCTGTAGAACCAGAGAGAGGCCCAGTGAAACTCATTTCAGACTTCAGATCTCCAGAACTATAAGAGAATGAATGTGTGTTGTTTGAAACCACCAAGTTTGTGGTAATTTTTTACAGCACCCGTGGGAAACCAATATATTCTTCTTTATTATAATGTGTCTTGGCATGGATTTCTTTTAATGGTAAGCATTTCTAATGTAAGCATTTAGTGCTATATAATTTCCTCTCACCACTGGCTTTAGCTGCATCCCACATAATTTGATATGTTGTATTTTCATTTTTATTGAGCTCTCTATTTTTTTTAAAATTTCCTTTGAGACTTTCACTTTGACCATGGGTTATTTAGAAGTGTGTTGTTTAATTTTCAAGTATTTGGAGATTTCTCTGTTGTCTTTCTGTTTTTTGTTTTTTAGATTTTTGTTTTCTTCCTAGTTTGATTCCATTTTGGTCAGAGAACACACTCTGTATGATTTAATTTATTTTAAAATTGTTGAGGTTTATTTTATGGCGCAAGTTATGGTCTATGTTGAAGAATGTTTCATGGTTACTTTTTTTTATAAAGTCTATTCTGCTGTTTTGGGATAGAGTGTTCTCTCTGTGTTGATTAGGTCCTACTTGGTTAATTGTATTGTTCAGATCTTCTATAGCCTTGTTGATTTTCTATTAGTCCTGTCAGTTGCTGAGAAGGGAGTGTTGAAGTCTCCAGCTATAATTGTGCATTTGTTTATTTCTCCTTTCAGCTTTCAGTGGTTGGCTCATGTGGTGTTTTATATGTACACATTTATAATCATTATGTCTTCCTGAAGAATTAATCTCTCTTTGTCTCTAGTAACATTTGTTGTGAATTCTACTTTACCTAATATTAATATAGCTACACCTGATTTTTTATTTTTTGGTTACTAATTTTCATAGAATATCTTGTTTATATTTTTATTTTCAACCTTCCTATATTATTGAGTTTGAAGTGAGTTTCTTATAAGCAGAATATAGTTAAGTCATTTTTTTCCTTTATCCACTGCCAGTCTTTATCTTCTGATTGGCATAGTTAGGCCATTTACGTTTAAGGTAATTATTCATATGTTAATGCTTAAGTGTTTCATTTTATTATTTGTTTTCTGCTTCCTTTGTTTCTTAGTCCTCTATGTTTGTTACTTGAATCTTTTTAGAATTCCACCTTGATTTATTTATGGTGTGTGAGTATATCACTGTGTATAGTTTTCTTAAAGGTTGCCTTAAGTATTATACTACACATATATAACTTATCATAGTCTACTGGTATCAGTGTTTTACCACTTCAAGTGATAGGTAGAAATCTTATTTTCACTTAGGTTCCTTTACCCTCTCCACTTTTAAAACATAATTACCTTAAGTATATTCTCTACACATATGGAGCACCACATCAGATGATGTTATAAGTTTTGCTTCAGCCAGCCTGTAAGTTTTAAGAAGTTCATGAGAAGTAGATACTTGATTATAGTTATTCTTATGTTATATTTACTCCCATTCCAGTATTCTATCATTTTTGAGTTTCCAAACTTTCTTCTGTTATTATTTCCTTTCTTCAGTCATTATTTCCTATTTAGTCATTGCCATTTTTAAGGGTAGATTTTCTAACAGCAAATTATCTTAGTTTTCCTTTGTCTGAGAATGTCTTTATTTTCTCTTCATTGATAAAGGATTGTTTCACTGGATATAGAAATCAGAGTTGACAATTCTTTTAGTATTTTTAAATAATGTGCAATTTCTCCTGGCTTCCATGGTTTCAGATAAGAAATCCTCTGTCATACAAATTAGTATTCCCCATGAGTTATGTATCATTTATCTGTGGTTGCTTTCACAGTTTTTGTTTCTTTGTCTTCAGTTTTCAGAAGTTGAATTGTAATGTATCTTGTCATGAATTTCATTAGGTTTATTCTATCTGGGTTATACTCACCTTCTTAAATCTGTAAGTTCATGTTATCTGTAAACTTTGGGAAATGTTCTACTTCATTTAAGTGAGCAGTTTTCAGTACAATGCTCTATTTCTTTTTCTTCTGACATCTGAAGATACAAACGATAACTCTTTTGGTATTGTACCTCAGGTTCCAAAGGTCCCCATTAATTTTTTCAGTGCATTTTCTCTCTATTGTTCAAATTAGGTAAACTCTATTGAGTTGTCCTCAAGTTCATTTGTTCTGTCCTCTGTCATCTCCACTCTACTACTGAGCCAATCCAGGAAGTTTTTCTTTTGCTTATTACATTTTTCAGTTATGTCATTTCCATTCGGTCTTTTTAAAATAATTTCTATTCCTTTGCTGAGATTTTTTCCTTTTTTTATCTATATCAAGAGAATTTGTAATTACTTGTTGAAGCATTTTCATGACTGCTTTAACATCAATGTCAAATAATGCCGACATATGATTTCTCTTGAGTGTGGTATCTTTTGAGTGTCAGTTTTTATGAAGGCTAGATCGGTGTGTATGTTTAACTTTCTGTTGGGCACCACCAATAAAACACCAATAAAAATGGGTCACTTACTCATAGTGCCTCATTGCAAATCAGTGGGGTGAACATTCAGCTCCCCACTTGGTGCTGCTGACCCTTCCTAGCAAAAGCAGGGCACCAACTTGCTTTCATTGTCTTGATTGTCTTGAGTTGAGGTAGAAGGTCACTTTCCCGATGGTCTTCACTGCCACCTGGGAGAAGGAGGAGGAGGGCTGAGTCACACAACTTTGTTACTGCACGATGGTGATAGAAGTTCAGCTCCCTTCTGGGCCCCAGTGACACCATGACAGTGGAAAAGAAGAAGCTGAGTGTCACCAGTATGTCTTCAGAGCACCTCATTCCACCTCATTGATATTAAGTGGGAGTGGAGGCTTAGCTTCCCACTGCACCCTGTTGATGCAGCAGAGGTACGTAGACAGGGGAACAGAAATATCAACTGGGCTTATTCAGTGTCATTGTTTCAGGGTCATTAAGGAGGCTCAACCCACCACTAGACCTTGCTGACACTACCCTGGTGGGGGCAATTGTAGCACTGCCTCTGTCTGTCAGGCAGGGAATAGAAGATCAGTTTCCGTGTCCATGGACAGCACCATAGTGAGGAAGAGCACTGCCTGCTTCTTCGGGGGTGGGGGCGGGGTGGAAGTTCAACTTCCCGCTTGCCCCACTGAAACCTCCTAGGGGATGATGGTGCAGGTTTTTCCTGCATGTCTGACTGGAATGTGGAAGGTACTGCCAAAAAAGGTTTTCTGCTTTTACGCCAGCACTTTCCTGGTGTTTTGGCTAGGAGAACAGACCTTTTTTGGAGCTTTTCAGTCAATAACAGATAGTACATCCAAGATGGAGCCTTCTTCAGCTCCCTGTGAAGAATATGCAGGAAATAATCAGGAAACCAGAGAACTCCCCACCTTGTCACTCCTCAAGTCCTGACCTCCCTGTAAAGTCTGCCTTCTCCTTCCACATGTCAGGGATACATGGGAAAGACACTATGATGATCAGAAGGCAGAAGACAGGAACTAGGGGAATGTTTACGCCACTGACTTTATTGGGGTTTCTGAGAAAAAGGCAAGACAGGACAAGATAGACAGTTTGGGATTGGCTGTAGGGGTGGTCTCCTGTTGCCTAGTACCTGGCCTTGGGGTGATCAACACAGAAGAATGTTGTCTCTTAGGGTGTACTGGCAGATAAGGGAGGCATGACCCTAGATTGGTTAGTTTCATATTAAAACAGCTCCCAATAGGGTCCTTTGTTATCTCTAAGAATGGGCTAGGCCAAGAAGAGATGTTTTTCCCCAGCCAGACAGATGTCTTAAGATGCCAAAACATTGTAATACATAGGAAATTTAAAAATATTTACAATACATGGTCAGTCAGAAGTATGGGAGGCCCTGGACTTGCGACTGGCATCGAAAAATGAGAGCAGTCTTATGGGATTGAGACTTTAACCTGTGTTGTCTGCAATAAGTCCAGGTGTTTAGTAAGTATCAGAATTGAATAGAATTGTTGAACACACAGTTGGTATCTGGAGAATCAGTTGACTGCCAGTATTAGGAACCCTTCCCCAGCCCATACCAAGGCACCCAAATGTGTGATCACAGTTGGGTACCTGAGCTTTGGCAGGCAGGCAGTCATGTCACCAGGTGCACATGACAAATGTCATGCATGTTTTAACTAAATACAAGGTGAGAGTCAGAAATTCTCTTCTGGTGTTTAGTAGCAATGAAGACTGCACCTGACCAAAAAATAAAAATTCACGAAACTTAAATGCTAAAAAAAAAAAAAAAAAAATTTTACCGAAGAGAATCTTTCCATTTAAGGGCCTCAAGCACACAACTTTTTTCACAGAAGCCATCTTGAATGTTCAACATACATAGATTGCTTTTGCTCTCAAAATTGACAGAGATGGGGAGCAGGATTGACTAAACCAGTAACAAAAAATATTTTAGGGATGATAGAAATGTTCTCACACTGAATTGTGGTGATGGTTACACGACTTTA
Organism: Homo sapiens; assembly: GCF_000001405.40. Lineage (NCBI taxonomy): Eukaryota > Metazoa > Chordata > Mammalia > Primates > Hominidae > Homo > Homo sapiens. The sequence continues at coordinate 47,636,187 of NC_000015.10, forward strand.
TACATTTACTAAAAATAATTGAACTACGAAAATACAAAATAAGAGTAATAAAATGAAATTTAAAAGTACGCAAATAGAATCTGCTCATTTCTGAATTGAGAGCAGGTTTTCAAACTTGAATTATGGTCTTGAAAAACAATATTGATCATGGCTGAACCAGTGTACAATGCAAAGAGGACAATAATGCAACCCTTTGTCCCTAGTGAAACTCTTGTTAAAACCAGACATGAGCTGAATTATGGTAGAGGTTCAGGCTGTTTGCAGGGCTCCACTTTCCAACATGGATGATGGCTATCTCCTGAATTTCCTACCCCAAGCTTCTCATCAGGGTGGACCTGTTCTCTTTGGCTACAATCCACTCTCAAGATGCCCCACCCCTGAGATTACCCACACCCTAGACATTATCTTCTAGCCAATCCTCTTCTATCATTTCCTCTTAAGATTCCACATCTCCTAACATCACAGCGAAGGCAAGATATTCTCCTTTACCCCAGGGCAGCTATACTGTCCTCTCAGTCAGCACTGTCCTAGCGTCCAAGGGAAGAAGGCAGTATATTGGCTTTTGTCCTGTGGCAACACTACTGTAGAACCAGGGCCTGCAATACAGAAGGGCCCTAGAACCCTACCCGATGCATGTAAATATTAATCTCATATCAGTGTTTCTTTCTGTTCTCTCCTTGTTAGAGGATCGCTAAAGATTTTTTCACCAGGCCAAAGTGTGCTCATGGCTGCCCTAGGCTGGGCTATGTGAACACACTTAGTAGGTTAGTAATTTGATACCTGATGAAATTTGTGTTTTTGAAATAGTGCTGAAGCACTTATGTGGACATAAGTGTGATGCTGATGAAAAAAAGGCAGAGAAGGGGCCCAGGAGTGCCAGACTTAGACCACATATTTGGCTCTGAGCAACTCAGCTCTGGACAGAATTTTTGTACATCTTCTCAGCAAAATAAAATGTCTGCTTTGATCTGAACACATTCTCTTCAAAGCCAGTGTAGCTATCGCTTATTGTTACTGGAACACGCTCCAGGAGACCTCAACTTATACTCCAAGAAGCTAATAAAATATTTCTTTCCACCCCAAACAGTGCTTTCCCTAAGACAGCTTCTGGTAAATGTGGGTTTTGAATTGTATTACTTTTCTACCCATGTTTCGTTCATCACCCCTTCTGGGTTAGAAGTCAGGGCAACTGCTTGGCTGGTCCATCCACTAATCTGACTATGTCCTTAGAGCAAGATTAGGGCTCCAAGGTAAGTCACTTGGCTGATAGAGGATACACTTTTTTTCTAGCGTATCAATCAATAGCAGAGAGCCCATGGGCTTTCCTCAATGCTCAGGAGATTGGGGAACATTTCACACTAACCTTCTGTGCTCAGCATCGTGTCAGTTTTTCAATGAGAATGATTTTCATGCTGGGAATCACAGACCAGGTAGTAAATAGGTGTGATGCTATAATAAGCTTTTGGAAGTAGTTATTTTCAGGAAGGCTTTTACACTCTTTCAAATCATGTAAATAAAGTAGTGGCCCAATACAAGTACAAGTAGTGGCCTAATAAAAGTGGCCTCTCTGCTAAGGGTCTCCCACTCCATTACCAAGTCTTCATGGGGAATATCCAGTGCTTCCATGCCACCCTTGGCAGTCCTCATTGGTGCCACATGTTCCAACAAAGTTAAGGAGCCACTTGACTAATGAAATCCCCAGACAACACATAAATCACAGGACTTTTTTACTGTCTGAAATAGCAGACCATAACTAAAATAATACCTGAGTAGAAAGGTTATGTTGCTGGCACAGATTACCTGGAGCATATATATTGTATAAGCAGATTTGACCAAAAACATGAAGGGAAAAAACTTATTTAAAATTTGGTGCAGTAACTAGCTATCTTTGCTGCTTGTTTTCTAATTTTATTTTGTGTATCTTAGACAAAAAAAAACCCAATTTCTTAATTCCCTGGATTCTACAATAGCAATTTCATAACAGTTTCTCTCTGGGACCTTCTTGAAAAATGGCCGTATGATGTGTGATGATGCTGTCCAATTTGTTCTACAATATTCCCTGAGAAACTGATCAACCTCTCTGTGGGCCTTGGTAAAGAAGATGGGAGGGGTGAGTAAGATGAGGCAGGATGTGAAACTCATTGAGACCTTCCAATGACAAGCACGGTAAAACTCAGGAATATTGTAGCATTTTGTGTATGACTCAATAATCTTCATTAAACTTGAGATTTTTAGAATGATATCAGACTACTGAAGTCACTGCATTAATAAAACAGATACTAGCACCCCTTAACAACGTAACAAATGTGTATGAATCATTTATATGATTTTTTTCTCTTGAACAATGTTTGACAATAATCAGATGATAATGAAATGTATAATTAATAACAAAAATGCCAACATCTGTTAGCTTGTTATTACAGACTGATTTTTCAATGTACTATTTCAAATGTGTCAGCATTAACCTAATTTATATTAAAATCTGCTAAATACAATCTGCTTTCATTAGTTGTTAATTTGGATTGGCACATGACACCAAGGAGGCGCTTCCTCTCTGCTCTCCCTCCGCATTTCTCGCTTTTGTCTAAACCGAAGATTACCCCAAATGTCTTTTAAAAACCGGCTGCCTCAACTCAAATGTTCTGCCAGCAGATGGATCAGGTTGGCTGGCTGTTTGCTTTCAGCTGTGAATGATCAGTTCATTGATTCTTAAAATGTAGCACTTGGTCTCAGGAAAAAGGCTGGTCCCCAGCTGCAACCACTTCTGATATTCTTCTGTCCAGTTGCCTGCTTGTATGTGGCTTCCTCTCACATCCGTGCACTATGTCTGTCTCCTGGAGCCTAGGCCACTAGCAGGGAGGACACAGACTCTGCTCACGTGAGGTGCCCTTCTGCCTGGGGTTTTAAACTACATGCCCTCTAAGGCTCAAAGGTTGAGGGCAGATCTCTTTAAAGGGATGACCACCAGTGACTGGATGTTTTCTACAAATGAAAAGCACATGTACAGCATGAGCCTGGTGCATCTTGTAGTGTCAGAAAGTAAGGAAATGCTCTAAAGAAATACAATGGTGGGATATGCCAAAGGAGCACAGCATGTAACTGAAAAAGCTCTCAGTGGACCAAGCTGGAACAATTTAAGGAACAAAATAAAGTAGTATTGAGTTAAAACCCAAAATATAAAATAAATATCCATGAATCCATGCACTTATACATAAAATGATTGAATACATTAATAAACTGGAAATAAGACTCAAGTCTCCCATGCAGATGAATTCCAAATAATTAATGGAGGTTCTCCACCCTCAAGGAGGGAAAGAATAACTCCTCAGTCCTCAAGTGTGGGCTGCACATACATAGTGACTTCCTTCCAAGGACTGCAGTATGGAAAGGAGAAAAAAGAGAAATGTTACAGTGGAAAAACCTGACAAACATTACCTCAAGCACGTGATCTAGGCCAATATCAACAGTCAGAAGTCATGTTGATGGCATGTAACTTTGATATGATGTGATGAAAATGGCACTGTACTTCTCCAGTCTTCCTCTCAATAACCCATAACCCTAGTCTTATCATGAGAAAAACATCATGCAAATTCCACTGGTGGAACACTCTTAAAAATACCTAATGAGCACTCCTCAAAAACTGTCAAGGTCACCAAAAACAAAGAAAGTCTGAGAAACTGTCACAGCCAACAGGAGCCAAAAGAGGCATGATTTATACATTTAATATGATTTTCTGGATCGGATCCTGGAACTGCAAAAAGACATTGGGTAAAAACTCTGGATATCGAAATAAACTATGATGTTAGTTAACAATAAGGTATCAATATCAGTTCATTAATAGTAACAAATGTATCATAGTAATGTAGGATGTTAATAATAGGAGACACTGAATGCAGGGGTATTTGGGAAGTCTCTGTAATGATCTTCTAAGCTTTTTTGCATATCTAAAACTGCTCTATAAAATAAAGTCTATATTTTTAAAAAGCACATATAATTTTTTGAAGAAATATTGGACACCAGGGATAATTCACAGTGTGGGGAACCAACAGGCTTGAGCGAGGAAAGATTCCCATGCACGAGTCCTCGCACCATCTGCAGGGAAAGCCCTGCAGATGGGACTAACCAAGGTGTCTCAGGAAGAGAATATGTAAAGAATTGGCTTGTCTTAAGACACAAATATATCGGTCTGTAATCTTCAAAATCTTGCTTGCTGTGTTTTCTAGAGCAGCTCTTGAGATCCTGCTTATCTTCACCTTAGAGTGAACTTGTGAAATTATCTGAGCTTGAACGGAGCTCAAAGAAATGCCCCATGTGCTAGGGAAATTGGTGATTCTCTTGCAGGTAGGATGTCAGTACTCTCGAAACAGCTTCCAGTGCACTTAAGGGATCATTAAAAAGAAAGGTGCTTATTAATTGATAAGAATGAATTTTGTACGTCTATGAGCCTTAGGTGATGTATTGGAGGTATTGCTTTCTCTCTTACGAACTGAGGGTCGTCAGGGTGGCTGACTCCTCCCTAGTGTTGAAGCAAAAGTGTTGTTATATAACGCGTTTCTTAAGTCAGCGTTAACTAGTCACAAAAAACATCCTAATCGTGTGCACCCAAAGGAATATGATATTAACGTTAAATATGACCACAGGCCAGTCTGGAAGGAAAGCTGAAAATTACATACCTTTTTTTTTTTAAATCGCTTCTTGAACAGAAAGTGGTAATAATAATATTACACACCTACACAGCCTATTATATTCAAGAAACCTCAAAGTCCTTCACCAATTATTCTTTATATCCACAGGGCTCACATTTCTTGGGAAAGGAAGTCACTAGTGATAAAAACCTGGTCCCCAGTGGTCGTCCTTTTCAAAGCCAAGTTAAATGGAGCGGAGTGGGAGGGGGAGGAGTTGTTCCATTTCCCCACTGCTGCTTCCGCCCGAGGGCTGCCGCAGTATCCATTCCTCTCGCATCCCCTTCCCACCTGCATGTGCAGCTTGGGGATCAGGGTGAACTAATGAATGGCCATGGCCAGCAGCAGGACAGCAGGAAACAAGAACCACGTCTAGAAATATCATGGCTTTAAGCAGATTTTAAAAAACCAGCTACTGTTCAAGATGCAGGGCTGAGAAAGTGCGAGAACTGAGTGTGTTGGCAAAGGATCTGACTGTGACTCGGGGCCTGTTATTTGCTGTTCTTGTCTGCATGGCCTTAGGAATTTCAGTCTCCCTCTCTCTCTCACACTCTCACTCTCTCTCTCTCTTCCTACAGTTTCTAAAATCCCTAATTTCTAATTCCTGCTTTGTGCTTAGGGAAGTACCTGGAGTGAAGGTTAGAGGAATCTGCATTTTGGTGAGGCTTGGATCCAGGCTAACTGGGCTCTTCCAAAGGATCCAGAAGTTTGGGGAAATGTGGCTCCTTTTATGAAGAGGAAATTGCCCTGGCTTTACCAGCTTAATTCCTATTGTGTGTTGCAGGACATCACAGGCTCTTCCACATTGCTTCTTCCTCCTCTACAGCCATATTTGCCTTTACACCTCTTGCCCTTCCGCCTCACTGAACTGTTTTTAGTTCCTCCCAATCATAGGTCTTGAATCCACCACTCCCTCTGCCATAAAACGTCATGCTCCCCACACTGCCCACTGGTATTCCTCACTCTAAAACACTCACCCAAAATGTCACTTTTTGATAATCCCCAGTCTGGCATTGGGCACTCCTATGTGGAGAGCTCTCTGGATGTGCCCTGTTGTAGCACAGTGTGTGTACTGTGCTTCACTTGGTTGCCTTGTCGGCCTCCCCTGCTAGCCTTGAGGGTTGTATCTCCAGGGCTCAGCACAGTATCTGCCACAAGGTAGCCACTCGGTAAATGTTTGCTAAATGAATTATGATCTGTTTCCCCAGCCTTCTTAATGGAGGAAGCCCACCTAACTTAATGATAATGACAGCATCAAATCTTTCTGTAGTTTAGAGACAAATTGATGGCCATTACTTTTTGGTACAGATATGTCATATGCCTGTTAAAGTGGATTCTGAATCAGCCAGTGCTGGTAGAGGCATTAACTATGGACAATAACAGAAATAGAGCAAGTCTGGGCTGGAAAGAAACATAAAGATCATTAGTTCAGCCCTTTGCTTTTACAGATGAGTAAACTGGGGTGCAGAGATTAAACATCTTGGTGAAGATCATTCAGACTCTACGTGATTTTTTTTTACTCAAAACCCAGTGCTTTTTCCACTCTTCTGTACCATGTGACAGAAACAGATGCACACACACACACACACTAGCTGCTGAGCATACACTGTGAGTACAGCAGAGGGTATGCCTTTTCGGACACCCAGAGTCACATTCCTTGCCCTCAAAGGCTTCACTGTCTAGTTGGAGAGGCCAGGCTTGCACACATCTAGATAGGAGCAATGTAGGAATCTGAGAGGAGACACAGGGGTCAGAAGACCTGGAGTGGCCCAGCCGGGAGTCTGTGAGAGAGAGCACAAAGGGAATGATGTTGTGGAGCAGCAAGAGAGGGAACCATCACTTCTGGGGGGACAGGACTGAGTATATGATGGCTGAGAAAAGAAGGCCATCTCCGAAAGGGCAGGAAGGCAGCAGGAGTTGGGATGATGTATGGTTTTATCCTGTGATTTTACTGTGAACCACTTCAAATAGTGTTTTGGAAAGTGGTGGAGCAGCTAGATATATTGAGAGAGAGAGAGGTAAAGATGAAAATGGAGAAGGAAATGCGGGAAGGGATAGGGATTGCAATGGAGAGTAAGATAGAGATGAAGATGGAGATGGAGATAGATATACAGACAGAGATGGAAATAGGGAGAGAGAGAGAGACAGAAATAGGAATAAGAGAGAGAGAAATAGGAACAAGGTTGGGGATTATTTCACAATTCAGCTACAGCAAGGATTCTTCAAGCACATGAGGAAAGGAGGTGTAAGTTTCTACTATGTCTTATATGTGAGATGTCTTTTTCAGCAGTAGCTGCATGTGTACTGACAAGAAGACCTCCTGTAGAATATACCACATGCAGTAAGTGCAGAGGACTCTTTAAGACTAATTACTGTGAATGAACTTGCCTTTCCCCACTACGTAAAGTGTCCAGGGCCTGCATTTCCACTGCTTTGGAAGATCTGATGAACAGAAGAAAATATATCTTGTTGCACAGTGTAGACTCTCAGTGTCTGCAGCATAGCTTCTCATGGCAGGTTTGAAAGAGGAAGGGGTGAGGCTTAGCTACAAGCTTCAAATAAGTAACCTAGCTGTAGCATGCAACATGAGAGCAGGTCTTCTCAAACTTTTATGTACTTGCTAATCACTTGGGGATTTTAGTAAAATGCAGATTCTGATTCATTTGGTCTAGCATGGGGCCTGAGGTTCTGCATTCATTACAAACTTCCAAGGAATGTTAACCCTAGACATAAAAGCAAGATCCTAAAGCATGTCTTTTTATTGACAGGCAGTAGTCGTACATATCATGGAGTACAAAGTAATATTTTGATACAAGTATACAATTTGTAATGATCAAATCAGCATAATTAGTATATCTGTCACCTCAAACATTTATCATTTCTGTGTGTTGGGAACATTCAAAATCCTCTTCTCTAGCTATTTACAGATATACAATAAATTTTGTTAGTTATAGTCACTATACAGTGCTATAGAACACTAGAATGTATTCCTTCTATCTAGCTGTAATTTTGTATCCATTAACCAACCTCTTCTTATTCTCCTCTCCCACCCTTCTCAGGTCCTAGCAACCACAATTCTACTTCTCTACTTCTATGGGTTCAATGTTTTTAGCTCCCACATATGAGTGAGAACAGCCAATTAATTCCCCGTTGTCTAGACTAGTAAGCTGCATCCCTGGCTATATACCTGGGGAGCTTTTAAAAAAACATCTATGCCAGGTCTCATCTTAGTCTTTTCTGTCTTATTTGCTGTGAAATGGTTAAAAAAAAATCAAAGATCAAAGTGTGTGCACCATTCTTTATTCTCCCACTTAATATTTACTCCTTCAAATATCATGTAATTTAAAAAAATCAGTGTCCTGCATATTGTGGACTTGCAATGCACAGTTGAAAAATGAGTGAAAATGGTATACAGATGTTAAGTGCATACACAATTGCACAGTTGGCATTCAAAGTCATTGTGTCATGTATAATGCCATATTCATTTAAGTAAAATTGTTTACTTATGATAAAATCGAATTGCCTCAACTATGCATTTTGAAGCAATTAATTCTAGCTTTCTGCTCACTTACAATAAGGTGGTTACTGTGGTTTGAATGTGTCCCCTCAAAATGTAGGTGCTGCCAATGTGATAGTATTAAGATGCAGGGCCTTCAAAGAGGTGATTAGGCCATGAGGGCTCCTCCCTGGTGATTGGGGGCAGGTGCCCTTACAAAGGGGCTTGATGGAGGGAGTAGCTTGCTCTCTTGCCCTTCTGCCTTCTGCCCTTTGAGAGTGTAGCAAGAAGGCCCTCGCCAGACACCAAATGCCAGCACCTTGATCTCAGACTTCCCCTCCAGAACTATGAAACATACATGTCTATTCTTTATAAATTACCCAGTCTCAGATATTCCATTACAGCAGCACCAAACAAACTAAGACAGGGGCTTTCCCACATCAAATAGTTTATACTGGCGGGTCTTAGAGATAACTGAAGTGGTTTGTTCCTGTTCCCACCAACTATCAGTGTTTCTTTTGGGGGCCTGATTTAGTCTCTGAGGACTAAGTGAAGCTTCATAACATTAGGACAAGGCCTAAAATTAGCATATTGGAGATTTTTCAGGGACACAGCATGCTGATCTGTGTGTCTCTAAAAGGGCACACACATCTGTTTCCAAGACAACAAAAGAACATCCACTCTGGTGAAGATATTGACATCAGCCTGTCCAGGAAAGAGAGCATGTGGGTGCCGGGGCGTCATCTGAGAGTTGGTTGGGCTCCAAATCTGTTTCGTTGCTGGCAACCTTGATGATCCACAGAGGGATAAAGGAAGTTTGGCCTAATTATGTGATGCTTTAGTCCCTTATTGGAAACATCTTTAAGGAAACAGTCAAGTTGTGGAAAATGAGCGTCACTTCTTCTCCCTCTCTGAAGGCACCAGGGTGAGCACAGGCCACCATGGGTATTTTATAAAACGTTTAGGAAACAATAAAACCTTCCACAATTTCTCCTTGTCCAGCCCACTCCCTGGCCTTCTCTCCTAGCCTTCTCTTTATATAGACTAACTTACTTGGAGATTGGCACCAAGGTGCTGGCAGAATGGGTGTGGGATGTTCTTTTAGATAGGAAAAAATAAGCCCAAAAACAAAGTTGGAGTTTTTTTTTTCTTCTTCTTCTTCTTCTCACTTACACAACTCAACACAACACTTCTGACACCAAATGTGTGGGGGTTTTTCCCCACACACCAAGCAGTACCTCAGCGGACACCAGCTGGATGTACTATAATTCATTCCAGCCCTGGCACTGTCTACCTGGAGATAGCATCAGGTCACACAGGTTGAGGGCTCAGTCCCACAAGACTGTCCCACTTCACATGCCAATCATAAGCCCCGGGTGGTTGGCCTGTGCTTCTGACCAACCAGCTATACATTGGGATTCCCACAACTCCCTCCTCAGGTTCCATTAATTTGCTACAGCAGTTCACAGAAACCCGGGGAAACATTCTACTGTTTACCCATGTATTATAAAGGAGACTAGAGAGGACACAGGTGAACAGCCAGATGAAAAGATGCATAGGCTGAGGTATGTGGGGTGAGGCACCGAGCTTCCGTGTCCTCTCAGGGAGCCCCACTCCAGGAACTTCTGCATGCTCAGCTATCCAGAAGCTCTCCTACCCCATCTTTCTGGGTTTTTATGGTGGCTTCATTATGTAAGCAGGATTGATTACATCATTGGCCATTGAGGATCAAGGCAAACTTCAGTCTTCTATCCTCCCCAGAGGTTGGAGGGTGGGGCCAATAGTCCCAACCCTCTAACCTTGCCTCAGTCTTTCTGGTGACCAGCCCCCATCCTGAAGCTATCTAGGGACTCCCAGCCACCAGTCTTTCATTAGCATACAAAAGATATTCTTATTACTCTGCTGATTTCAACGGTTTTAGAAGCCGTATGCCAGGAAACTTACCAAATAAATATATAGATTTCACTATATCACAAGTGTGTGCCAGGCAGCCTGAAGGATGTTTGAGATCATAGTGCCTACCTAGACATGAGAACGGACTGAACGCATTTAGAAATATCTCCATTTTTAAATAAGAAAAAGACACTTAAGAAGAAGGAAACATTAGTGGAATCATTTGGGTGACTGAGAAAATCTCCTGATGGCATTTTCAGGATTTTTAGAGTGGAAAGAAGAAAATCAAATTGCTGCAGCTAAGCTGGAAATGTTCTGGGGACAGTGTGATTCTGAATCACTGTACTTCTCTCTAAGCCCCAAGGGCTGATTATAAACGGAGCCATATTCATACTTGAGACCAGGCCTTCACTTTCTCGGAATATGATGTCAAAAGCAGCCAGGGAGTTCAACTTTAGGAAAAAAGTGGAAGGAAATGACTGCTTGTGTGCATAGGACTGGATTTATGTATTCACTAGGTAAATGTGTCCCCTTTGGCAAAATATGCCATGAGCTGAAAAATGTATCACTAGCCACCATCTTCTCTGAGAGAAAACTGTGGTAAACAAATTTCATGAAAGAACAAGATTTTCAGAGACTAAAAAAGGTTGGCATTTAAGTTTCATCCAAACTGCAGCTGTGACCAAAAATAATCAAGCATAACTGTGGTTAATTGTGCAGCAACCTACACCCTCCATACTCTGCTAAATCCCTAGGTGATCGTTTTGAGGTTTTCTTTTTTTCTTTCTTTCTCATCACTGCTGATTCAAAGACAGGTACAATTTTAGCTTAGTACGAGTTTTCCAAAGACAAGACAAAGCAACATAGTTTGGCTATGTTGTCTAAACGTTGTAATCACAATTTTCCTATGAGAGCAACATTTTGGATATAAAGTGTACTTTACAATGTAATAGGCTTTAACTACCAAGATATACACCTTTCTAAGTAAGTCCTATTAAAACAATTTAATAGCGTGTCAACAAGTACAAACAGAATTGTGCAGTTTGTTTTCATGCAGTGAGCTAGTTTAGCCGGGGTCTGTCAAGTGCTATTGAAGCTCACTTTGAACTAACAGGATTACATGATCGGAATTGTATTCATGGAAGGTCTTTATTCTTAGTGCTGACAGATGAAACGCATGATAAGTTATAGGGGTTACACTAAAGAAGTATTGAGTATTTTTGTGCATGTGCAAAATGTGTAGGTTCACATACATTTCCATACTTAACAGACGTATTGATATTTTAGTGGCAAAGCACATACATTTTAAAAAGAGGAGAAAATAGAAACATGTTCTCTCTTAAATCAGCCTGGTTAATTGCAGATGAAACTAAATTCGCATATTTTGACTCTTTAACGTTCTATTGAATGGAGTTTTGCTAAATCAGAATTTACAACAGGCATGCCCAATTCAATTGTGGGCAAAAAAAAAAAAAAAATCAGCACTAACAGCCTTATTGGAAGCAAATTATTCAATGAATCCAAATAGCCTGAAATATTCTACAGATTGTAAGATAGGGCTAGCTTCCTATACATATTTGCTCAGAAACAAAGCTGTGGAACACTCCCTAACTGTGAAGGAGAGACTTAACTTTCCATCCCTAAGCAGGGACAGAGTGATAGTGGGGTGCTGAATCATCCTTTCCGCACACTCACGTATTCTGGATGATTTGGAGCATATGAAACCCAACAGAAATGAAAAAGAAAAATGTAAACTTACTTGAGGATACAAAACACAATATTTATATGTAATATACACCCACCTGTGTATTTATGTGTAAGTAGATACTGTATGTCTTTTTATGGGCCTGTTTTCATATGTCAGTATAATATTGATGATACAAAATATATACAGCAGGTCCTCAGATAACATCATTTTGCTATGATGTTGAGAAAAAAACATCTATGCCAGCCAGGGCCACTGTCTGTGTGGAGTTGGCACATTCTCTCCATGTCTGCATGGGCTTCCTCCTGGTGCTCCGATTTCCTCTCACATCCTAAAGATGTGCATGTTAGGTGAAATGGCATGTTTGAAGTGTCCCAGTCTGAGTGAGCATGGGTGTGTGCGAGTGTGCCCTGAGATGGGATGGCATCCTCTCCAGGGCTGGTTCCCATCTTGCACCCTGACCTGCCAGGGTAGACTCTGGCCACCTGCAACCCTGAACTGGAATAACTGGGTTGGAGAATGAATGAATGAATGAATGAATGAAAATTTGTAAAGTAGACGGTAATCATACAAATGCACTTAGGGAGCCCGCCCTATTTGTAATTGCTTGTTTTTGAAGGTATGATCGTAGGAGGTGCTCCTGACAACTTTCACTTCACAAACAGTTATTCCTTGATGCAACCCAGCACCTCTACAGCAGCCGGCACTCACTGATTTACCAAAAATTGAGTAAATAATTTTTAACCCGATGTTTTTATGACTTGTTTTATTAATCATTCTTAAATGTGTGTATAGCTCACATTTATTTCAGTATTTAATATTAGAAGGTTTTGAGTCTTTAATTAGAAGTTCGGTGATGTTTTTGTGACCAGAAATATCCCACAGGAACTTAACTCTTGTTTATATCAATTAGCTTATGGTAAAACTACTTTTTTAATATGTGGTTTTACTTAAAGTTGCAGTTTCCAAGAAAATATTGACAACAGCAAGTGAGGACCAACTGAATATGTAGTACATCTATATTTGTATTTATATGTGAATACATATGTATGTCTATGTGCATAGGACTGGATTTACATATTAGGCCACTTTCAATGGGCCTATTTTAATATGTAATATTGAAGTCATGACCATAAAGAACCCATTTAAGGTCCTTCCTGCAGCTCTATGTCTGTTTATAATGGCATAAGGAAGAGAACAGCTATGGGAGAGTTTAGGTATAAAGCATTGTGTACAGGGCTTTACGTGTCACTTAAATAGAAGCATTGAGCCAGATAGACAGATGGAAGAGACGCATCTCAGATACATATCTGTGGGAAAAATGTACTAAAAATAAATGTCTGACACAAATGTCACCGAGTCATTCAAAACTGAACTACACAAGCCACTGGGACATTATCAGCTAACATAACAGACATCTAACACCAGTCAAAGTGGCCTGCACAGGAAGGGGCTTCCCTCAGAGACCTTCACAAAAATAAAAGAAGAAAAAAAAAGTACAAGCCAGAAGTCATCAAAAGACAGTGCTACATAGCCAGGTGTTGTGGCATGTGCCTGTAGTCACAGCTACTTAGCAGGCTGAAGCCAGAGGATCGCTTGAGCCCAGGAGTTCAAGGCTGAAGTGCACTATGATCACACCTGTGACTAGTCACTGTACTCCAGCCTGGACTACAGAGCAAGACCCTGTCTAGAAAGAGAGGGGAGGAGAGAGAGACGGAGAGGGAGAGAGAAAGAGAAAGAAAGAAAAGAATACAAGTTTTGTGCAAATGGTTGCAGGACCAACAGATGGCGGTTCAATTTCATAATAGAAGCCAAATGCCTACAACTTTTCAAAGATATTGCTATACAATAGCTCGTGGAGGCAGTTTCCAAAATGAAAAGTGAGGGCTAATAGTGTACTCTTAAAACTTCTCAACTAGCTTAGAGTCTTCACTGAAGAAATGTTGTATGAAGAAGTATGGGTTACACTGAAAGTATTTCTTGTGAACATAGCTGCTTACTATCTCGAGGGAATAAAACAGAATTTGGAAGCTGGATTATTGGCCCCACATGCCCTCTTCTCAGCTACCACCACCTCTGCATAGACAACATATACTGAGCGCCTGGATGTGCCAGTGATGTGCTGAGTGCTCACAGGCATCATCAGATCTTATCCTCCCAGCAATCCTGAGAAGAAGGTTCTAGTATTGGGTTAACTGACTTGTGCAAAGTTACATTGCTAGTTCAGTGCAGGATTCAGTAGACCCATGTTTGTAGTTCTCTAAAAACCTAGTCCATAAAAGCTGGACTGGACACTATCTCATCTAACAGTCCATACACCAGGCTGTAGATGAAGATGTCAACATCACCTGGGGAGGGGCCTGTTATGCAAAAAGCATGGCAACCTCTCTGTCCAAGAAACCGCTATAACTATGTGGGAACTCACAGCCAAATGACTTTTGCTGAATTCATATTTAAAGATATGCCACCTGGCACATTAAAGATGCTCTATATAAATACTAACATTACATATGTATATAGCAAAAAAATTCTAGGCATAGCTGACACCAAGCTCGGTAATGAGTTGCTGATTTCCCTGTCAATAGATTGAGGTACAATGAATTTATATAGTGATTGGCAGCACAGGAAGCTTTCATTTCAAATCTCACGTTTATTAACTCACTTTTTTCTTCACAAGAACATTGTGACATAGGAGAAACAGTTATTCTAGTTCCCCTATAGAGAATAGGAAAATGCAGATTAAAGAGATGAAGCAATTCACGAAAACAACAATGCTAAGTGCCACACTGACCTGGGGCAAAAGTCCAGGGTGATATTGCTTTCTCTGCTGCATCTCAAGTCTGCTCAATTCATACTACCCCACTGAGAAACAGGAAATTACGCTCAAATTTCCTGACATGGTATAAGAAGAAACTTAAAAATTATCTGGAAGTCAGTGCTGATCACACTGCATCATTGATTCATTAGACCAGTCAGTGTTTGCACCTGTTCTCCCTTTACTGATTGCCAGTGAGGGTGCTCGTGATTGTCTATGTGCTATTTCTTTGTTTCTGGGCACATTCATAATTTTCAGACAGAGCTTTACCTTAATGACATGAGTGGCAAAGTTCTATTTTCCTTTTCTCTTACTGAATCCTATGAGCTACCAAAAAATTCCTAAATTTGTCCTGGGCATGATGGCTCATACCTGTAATCCCAGCACTTTGGGAGGCTGAGGCATGGGAGTCGCTTGAGGCCAGGAATATGAGACCAGCCTGAGCAACAGAGCAAGATCCCATGTTTAAAAAATAAATTAGCCAGGCATAGTGACATGTGTCTGTCATCCCTGCTACTTAGGAGGCTGAAGTGGGAGGATCACTTGAGCCCAGGAATTGGAGGCTGCAGTGAGCTATGATCATACTGCTGCACCCCCAGCCTGGGCAACAGAGCAACACCCTGCCTCTAAAAAAAAAACTAGTAAACTTCTGTTAGTACAGGCAACATAAATCCTGTCCTCAAAGAGCTCCTATCAGTGGAAAATAGCCTGATTCCTAATCCATTCATAGCTGATCT
Source organism: Homo sapiens (assembly GCF_000001405.40). Taxonomy (NCBI): domain Eukaryota; kingdom Metazoa; phylum Chordata; class Mammalia; order Primates; family Hominidae; genus Homo; species Homo sapiens. The sequence goes on from NC_000015.10 coordinate 47,651,515, forward strand.
TATTGGGACCTTAAAACCAGAGTTAACCCATCCTTGCTTGTGAATCTTAATGCATAAAGAGTGTTCTAGAATGAGGCAACCACCAGGTTCTTCACATACCCTGCCCCTGTTTTCAATCCTGGTTTATTATCAGGGGATGTTCTGGGTCAGACCTGATTCAGCTACATCTGATACTCGATTCATGTCCCACTCTAGATTTGACAACCTTTGTGATGTTCATCTCAGCAATTTTGCACCTTTTGTGCCCTGCACATTTTCTGATACACTGTTGAGAGTAACATTTCCAATTGTTTCCATTTAAGACTCTTTGCTTTGGTATCTGGTCTCCAGGACACCTGTGTGATCCTTCCTTCAGCCCAG